>NC_000007.14:140006779-140631779 GCF_000001405.40 Homo sapiens | reverse complement strand
GAGCTGCAGATGAGATTTGTTCAGATTTGTCATGAAGTGTGTGGTCATCCAACCCCAAATATAACTCCCTGGCATCTTGTGGTGACTGTCATCTGGTTCATTTCATCATCTGTATTTGTGACAATCAACAAACATAGACAACCTTCCAGGATATCAGAAGGGGACCAGTGCCCTCTGTTTACCCTCCAGCTGACTGATGCATCTAATAGGGTGGAAAAATGTCAGAGAAGAGAGAGCTTCTTAATCCCTCTCAAAACAATCAGACTTGAAGATTCCAGCACCACAGAGAGCCAAGAGAGCCTCTTATTCCAGGCTCTTCTTTCCCTTGAATATAGGACAGCCAAGATTCCTGGTCTGGTACAGAACTGAGAGAGATGGGTAAAGGGGCTAAGAGGCTGCTTCTGGGTACACACACAACCCCGAGGTTCAGGCTGCCAATTTGTCAGAGAAAACGAGAAAGAGAATGCTCCTTTTGGGACCAAGAAAGAAGCAGAACAAATGCAAGAGTCCCACGAGGCAGATCCACATGTTCCTTCCCCACACCCCCGAAATCTGGCTTCTATTCCTATCCATCTGCTGAAACCATATCTTAGGTTACTAATGGTTCGTCTGTGGCCAGTTCCCTGTTCTCATGCTTCTTGATCTCACTAATGCACTTGACACACCCCTGACCCTTCCTTCTTGAAACACAAGTCAAGGTGGATGTAAAATGGGTGCAGTGATGAATCTGCGCCACTTGTCAAAATACTGAAATACTTCTATTCTGGTTGGTAAATAGGGTGTCCCACACTCCCAGGACCACTAACTCTCCCCCTGCCAAGATCTGGCCATTAAAGTGTTAACAATAAGGCCATTCTGCTTGTTGGGCTCCTGCACACCTTTGTTATAATTTTGTTGTGTGTTTTTGTTTTTGTTTTTTGAGACGGAGTCTCACTCTGTTGCCCAGGCTGGAGCGCAGTGGCATGATCCTGGCTAACTGCAACCTCCGCCTCCCAGGTTTAAGTGTTTCTCCTTCCTCAGCCTCCCGAGTAGCTGAAATTACAGGTGTGTGCCACCATGCCTGGCTAATTTTTTGTATTTTATTTTATTTTATTTTTAGTAGAAACAGGCTTTCACCGTGTTGGTCAGTTTGGTCTCGAACTCCTGACCTCAAATGATCCGCCCGCCTTGGCTTCCCAAAGTGCTAGGATTACAGGTGTGAGCCCAGCCTGTTATGTATTTTGAATACTGCCTCCTCAGTGTAGACGCCATACTGTTTTGGTTGTTTTAATTGTCTTTCAAAGAAGAGTTCTTCACTGCTTCCTCCTATTCTTATTCAACAAGTATTTATGCAACCCTCACAGTAGACCAAAGTCTCGGTTAGGCATTGTAGGGAATAAAAAGAAGCCAGTGCGCGTGTTCTGCCACTAGAACTCCCTGTCTAGTTGGAAGGTCCAGGTAAAGAAACATACAAAGAGCCTGGGCAACATGGTGAAACCCTGTCTTTGAGAAAAATACAAAAATTAGCCAGCCATGGTGGTACATGCCTGTGGTCCCAGCCACTCAGGAGGCTGAGGTGGGAGGATCACTTGAGCACAAGAGGTCGAGGCTGCAGTGAGCCGCGATGGTGCCACTGCACTCCAGCCAGGGTGACAGAGTGAGACCCTGTCTTAAAAAAAAAAAAGACCTGGCGCAGTGGCTCATTTGAGGTCAGGAGTTCGAGACCAGCCTGGCCAACATGGTGAAACCCCGTCTCCACTAAAAATACAAAAATTAGCCGGGCATGGTGGCAGGCACCTGTTGTAATCCCAGCTACTCGGGAGGCTGAGGCAGCAGAATTGCTTGAACCCAGGAGGTGGAGGTTGTGGTGAGCTGAGATTGCGCCACTGAACTCCAGCCTGGGCGACAGAATGAGACTCCATCTCAAAAAAAAAAAAAAAAAGAGAGAGAAAGAAACATAAAAGACACCATGTAGAGAGTGAAGTAACAAGAGCACCATAAGAGCAACCCGTGCCTCACTTGTTCACTACCTTCTCCCTCTTCACTGTCTCCCTCAGTTCATCATGCTCAGTTTCATCGCTCCCTCCCAAACTGGACCTCTGAGTTGTTCTTTATAAAGACCGTTAGCTCATTACCTCTCACTGCCTCTTGAATGTACCACTCTCACCTTAATGTGTCCAAAAGAGAACATATTATCATTACATTCTGTGGCCTCCTTATTTCCCTGGGTTAGCAAACCTTCACTCCTCTTTCTCATTTCAGAACATCCCAACATCTAGCCTGCTGCCGGGTCCGTCTTCTCCCTGGCTCCCACGTGAGTCCTGGTGCTCCTGTCCTAGCAGGCGGTCTTCATGCTGGGCAGGCTTTGCCTTGTTCTTTACTCCATGCACTGGCCTCCTCAGGAGCACTTTCCCTTCCCCAACTCTTGGAATCCAATGGAGTCTTTCTTGGCCACCAGGCGCTACCTCTTTGAAGCAGTCCCTGGCTCCCCTTTCGTTGTCCTCCTCCAAATTTCTCCAGTTTATATTTGTTTCATAACATTTGCCACCGTGTTCGAATGTATTCCTCCACCCAGTCTCTAATGGCGCTCCTGCACACCTCTGCGGTTAATTTTGAATACTGCCTTTCACCCTAGACACCATTCTGTTTTGGTTGTCCTAATTGTCTTTGAAAAAATAGATCTTCATGGATTCCTCTTGAGTTTTCTGTGAGTTTAAGGGCGTGTCAGGCATTCCCTGAACCAACCTTGTCTTTCCGTTTTGAACAATTGCAATCTTTTATTGCCATTTGGTTGATAGGGTTTATATCTTTTATCTCTAGCTTGAGGGCAGGGACCATTTTTTATACTTGTGTATTCCCAATAGCACCTCAAAGAGAACTGTCTCCAGCTTGCTGATTAATCATATTGATTAGTTTTAAACTGATCAATGCTGGCTCAGATTAACTAAATGAAATTATAGGCCAGGTGCAGTGGCTCATGCCTGTAATCCCAGCACTTTGGGAGGCCGAGGCAGGCGGATCATTTGAGGTCAGGAGTTCGAGACCAGCCTGACCAACATGGTGAAACCCCGTCTCTACTAAAAATACAAAAAAATTGGCCGGGCGTGGTGGCGCATGCCTGTAGTTCCAGCTACTAGGGAGGCTGAGGCAGGAGAATGCCTTGAACCTGGGAGGCAGAGGTTACCGTGAGCTGAGATCGCGCCACTGCACTCCAGCCTGGGTGACAGAGCAAGACTCCACCTCAAAAAAAAAAAAAAAAAAAAAGAAAGAAATTTTAGGCCAAAGGGGATTTCCCGTATCTTGAAAGTTAGCTAAATAAAAATGAGCACATTTCCAGGCATTGCACAACTTCTGAGTACAAAACACCAGGCACAGATAGGAAACAAACAGAAGTAGGGTCTCAGGTCAGGCAGAGCAAGCTGCGCTGGTCTGAGGGCGACCTCCGCCTTACTTTCACAGTTGGCACCATAGCCAGTGCAACTGAGGACTAACAGGTCACTGTGCACCCTGACTTCTGCTGCAAAGGGAAGGGGATCAGGTCACCTTCTAATTCCAAAACCAGCTTTTACAGATTATAACAGCACTTGTATGTTGGAGAGTAGTTTAGAGCTTACCCACACTTGCAAACAAATGAGGCTGTGTAAGCAGCCCTGCAGGTGAGTTGAGGACATGGTACTGTTATTACTAATTCATTAAGAATTAATGTATGCTGGCCAGGCACAGTGGCTTACACCTGTAATCCCAGCACTTTGGGAGGCCGAAGCTGTCAGATCACTTGAGGTCAAGTTCGAGACAAGCCTGGCCAACATGGTGAAACCCCATCTCTACTAAAAATACAAAAATTAGTTGGGCATGGTGGTACACGCCTGTAGTTCCAGCTACTCAGGAGGCCAAGGCAGGAAAATTGCTTGAACCACTCCAGCCTGGAGGACAAGAGTGAAACTCTGTCTTAAAAAAAAAAAAGAATTAATGTATGCTGGGCATGGTGGCTTACAGCTGTAATCCCAGCAGTTTGGGATGCTGAGGTGGGAAGATTGCATGAGCCCAGGAGTTAGAGACCAGCCCGCACAACAAATCAAAACCCTGTTTCTATGTCTCTACAAAAAAAAAAATTAGCCAGTTGTTGCAGTGCACGCCTTTGGTCCCAGCTAATTGGGAGGCTGAGGCAGGAGGACTGCTTGAGCTTGGGAGTTTGAGGCTGCAGTGAACTGTGATTGCACCACTGCAATCATCCTGGGTGACAGAGTAAGATCTCATCTCAAAAAAAAATAAATAAATAAAATTAAAAATAAAAATAGGCCGGGTGCAGTGACTCATACCTGTAATCCCAGCACTTAGGGAGGCCAAGGCAGGCAGGCAGGAGTTCGAGACCAGCCTGGCCAACATGGTGAAACCCCGTCTCTACCAAAAATACAAAAAAAATTAGCCAGGCATGGTGGTGTGCGCCTGTAGTCCCAGCTACTCGGGAGACTGAGGCACAAGAATTGCTTGAACTCTGGAGGTGGAGGTTGCAGTGAGCCAAGATTGTGCCACTGCACTCCAACCTGGGTGACAGAGCAAGAGTCCATCTCAAAAAACTAAACTAAACTAAAAATAAATAAATAAATATTTACAATAATATGTTAGAGCATTATTACTTATTAGTATTATTTGGCAGGGTTAAGTTCACCTTAGAATAATGGAAGACATTTGCTGAGCGCTTTTTCTGGGCTATGCACTGTGCTGAATGTTTTACAGGTGCAATTTCATCTAATCCTTACCAGTCTCTTAAAGTAAGTGCTACCATTATCACCATTTTACAGAGGCGAGAACTAAGGCTTAGAAATGTATCTTGATCGAGGTCCCGCAGCTCTCCAAGTTCACTGGAATTTAAACCTGGGTCTGTCTGATTCCAAACCCTTTGCTTTTAATCCTTATGATAAACCCTCTCTCAAGCTTTTTCTCAGAACCCGGGAGCAGCTGCAGGAGTAGCCTCAGCTCCATTCTCTTGTGCTGGCCCCAAGCAAGGGGATGGAAGATGACGTCTCCCTCTAAGATTGCTGCCTTTTGTCCAAATGTGCTGGCTGGGAGCCAGGCCTGGAAACTCTCTGCTCATGGAAAGAACAGAAGCCAGCAAAAGAGGGTGGGAAGAGTCTGAGGGGAGGAAAGGAAGAGGAGGACAGGAAGGCAAGAGGGAGAAAGGAGGTGGGAAAGAGGATTCTGCGGGTAGCACAGCTGGAGAGGGAGATGTGCCAGGAAGCAAGCAAACGAACGTGACCTACGGGTGCATTCCATTCAAGTGGGCTGTTCAGTGGTGCAGCGTGAGCCTCCAGCCCTGGGAGGCACAGGCCCCGAGGCTGTCCAGGTGCTCAGAGACCAGGACAGATCACACCGGGTGGTCCTTCCTCCCATTCTCAGGATTACTATCCAGTGAGGTCAGATCAAAACCAACAGCAGGAAAGCCTTCAGAGGGAAAAGAAGCCACAAAATGGCAGCCTGAGGGCTGCCTCTGGAAGTGGAGGATCTGGCCAGGCAGGGCCTCGGTGTCACAGCATGCATGGTGTGCAGGGGACGGAGAAGGGGAAGGGAGGAGACTGGGTGCTTGAATAAAATAAAATCATAACTATTTCCCAAGTTCCTAATCTGGATTGAGGAGTGGAAGGCCCGTACGGTGCCGTCAAGGTGGACCTGTAGGCGTTAGGCACCTGGACCCTGGAGTCAGACACCCTGACGCATTCAGCACCCACGCAGCCTTGGGAAAAGTTAATCCCTCCAGGCCTTAATGTCCACATCTGAGAAGGGGAGGCAATAGTAAGCTTACTGTGAACATTAAACTAAATGACCTGTGTAAAATCTTGCTTAGGGAATAGTAAGTGCTCAATTTGTATCAGCTGTTCATTCATCATTGCAGCTTAATTTGAGGTGTCAAAACATAAATATGTGAAACCTTCAATAAAAAATGTATAAATAACATTTGAAGCCAACCATACAAGACGTAACACAAGGTTATATACATTTTGTTAGAACATCAACTTTTTCTTCTTTTCTTATAAAAGAAGAAAAAGCATTCAGCAGGAGCCCATGGCTAATGTTTTTTGTTTTCGTTTTTTTGTTTGTTTTTGTTTTTTGTTTTTGTTTTTGAGGCGGAGTCTCGCTCTGTCTGGCAGGCTGGAGTGCAATGGCATGATCTCGGCTCACTGCAAACGCTGCCTCCTGCATTCAAGCAATTCTCCTGCCTCAGCATCCACAGAAGCTGAGTTTACAGGCACACGCCACCAGGTCCAGCTAATTTTTTTGTATTTTTAATAGAGACAGGGTTTCACCATGTTGGCCAGGCTAGTCTCAAACTCCTGACCTCAAGTGATCTGCCTGTCTCAGCCTCCCAAAGTGCCGGGATTACAGGCATGAGCCACAGCACCCAGACTGTTCTTTTTTTTTCTTTCTTGAAACGGAGTATCGTTCTGTCGCCCAGGCTGGAATGCAGTGGCGCGATCTCGGCTCACTGCAGCCTCTGTGTCCCGGGCTCAAGTGACTCTCCTGCCTCAGCCTCCTGAGTAGCTTGGATTACAGGCATGCACCACCACGCCCAGCTAATTTTTGTGTTTTTAGTAGAGACAGGGTTTCACCATGTTAGCCAGGCTGGTCTCCAACTCCTGACCTCAGATGATCCGCTTGCCTCGGCCTCCCAAAGTACTGGGATTACAGGCATGAGCCACCGTGCCTGGCCTCATGGCTAATGTTATCTGGTAGCTATAAGGCAAATGTGTTTTGTTTTTTGTTGTTTTTTAAAAAATCTCCAGGCTGGGCGTGGTGGTGCACGCCTGTCATTCCAGCTACTTGGGAGGCAGAAGCAGGAAGATTGCTGGACATAAGGTCGAAGCTGTATTCACATCACTGCGCTCCAGCCTTGGCAACAGAGAGAGATGCTGTCTCAAAAAGCAAAAAAAAAAAAACAAAAAAAAACAAAAAAAACAAAGAAAAACAAAATCTCTCAACAGCCTAATAATAACAAAGAACATTTCTCACTTCTAAAAAAAAAACAATCACCAGAAACACGAACTTCACAAATCTCTCTGGGTTTCTGAAGAAGTGGCTCTTCAGCTAAGAAAAAAAAAAGGAAAAGAAATGCCTTCAAGAACATGGAACGTGTAACTAGCAGATCCAGGTTCTCCTGTGACAGCTTCTCCATGGAAACCTGAGTCCCCTGAGGCAATGGAAAGGAGGGTGAGGAGGTGAATGAGCCCCAGACAGGGTAACAGGAGCCCTGGGTTCTGCTTCTACCTCTGCCACCATGTGGCCAGGTGACAGGCTAGGTGAGCCAAAACCCCCCTGGGCCACAGTGTTGTCACCTGCAGCCCTGGCGTCCCACCTGTTCCCTCCCTGTGTTGGTGTTGAGGGGCCTCTCTGTGCCAGGCGCTTTTCCAGTATCATTAAGTTTGTTGTTGTTGTTGTTGTGTTGTTGTTGTTGTTTTGCCTTTCCTCCTTGAATTTCCTCACTAGACTGGGACCTCTGAGAAGCACTGTCATTTACAGGCTGGGTTCCCAGTAACCCACTGGATCACAAGGGGAGAGCTGCTGAGGCCAGGAGGAGGATGTGGAAGGCTGGGTCAGCCAGCACAGGCGTCACTCCCAACAGGGTCCTGGGAGAAGGGGCTCAGCATTTCCTGAAGGCAGATGACTCTATAAATAGACCAGGGGATGGGAAAAGGATTCGATCATCCCATTCCTCCTGTCAGCTCAGCTCCTCCTTCTGCTCATCCGGACTCTGCAGCCTCTCGTAAATGTTTTTCACTCACATATGGCCCTGCCGGGGCGTTAGGTGTGGAAATAGGGATGTGAGATGGACTTTCTGCTAGATTGTAGATCCAAACAAGAACTGAAGAAGGTATACCTGCCATTTATTTTTAATTTCCCACAGAAATTTCTCCTTCATCCATGTCAATATAAGGCCAGAGTTTTTTCAGTAGGGTTTTATTGGAAGGAAGGAAGCAAGCGAGGAGGAAAATTATACACCTTTTGATACTGTGGCCTATTTAAATTCAAGGGTTCAGCAGATCTTCCTGTTGTGACACTTTCCATATGCTCTTTTTTTTTTTTTTTTCTAGACGGAGTCTTGCTCTGTCACCCAGGCTGTGGCATGATCTCGGCTCACTGCAACCTGTGCCTCCTGGGTGCAAGTGATTCTCCTGCCTCAGCCTCCCGAGTAGCTGGGATTACAGGCGCCCGCCACCATGCCTGGCTAATTTTTGTATTTTTAGTAGAGACGGGGTTTCACCATGTTGGCCAGGCTGGTCTCGAACTCCTGACCTCGTAATCTGCCCGCCTCGGCCTCCCAAAGTGCTGGGATTACAGGCGTGAACCACCGCACCCAGCCCTCCATACGCTCTTTAGGTCCTCAGAAAGGTTAGGTCTCCTGACTACAGCCTTACTAAGATGTTCCTAGCACCTTCAGTGTCATGACAGTCTCCTCTGGGAGGGAAAGGGACTTTTTTTTTTTTTTTTTTTTGGAGATAGAGCCTCGCTGTGTCGCCCAGGCTGGAGTGCGGTGGCATGATCTTGGCTCACTGCAACCTCTGCCTCCCGGGTTCAATCAATCCTTCTGCATCAGTCTCCCAAGTAGCTGGGATTGTAGGCACCCGCCACCACACCTGGCTAATTTTGGTTTTGCCATTTTGGCCAGACTGGTCTCGAACTCCTGAGTTCAGGTAATCTGCCCGCCTCAGCCTCCCAAAGTGCTGGGATTACAGGCGTGAGCCACCACACCCAGCCGGAGAGGGACTTCTTGAGGGCTGCTCTTGTGACCTCCATAATGCAGAGAATGATCAGTTCACACCAAACTTCCTGGGCCAGGCTAGAGGCAAACCTAATGGGGGCTTTAGTTTACTTAGCAGCCAAAGTTTACTCAGCTCCAGCCATATGGATACAGATTCGTGTTTAAAACGATCATAGGGGCCTGGCATGATGGCTCACGCCTGTAATCCCAGCACTTTGGAAGGCCAAGGCAGGCAGATCCCCTGAGTCCAGAAGTTCTAGACCAGCCTGGGCAACATAGCAAGACCCCATCTCCACATAAAAATAAGAAGAAGAAGAAGAAGAAGGAAAAAGTATTCAGTGTCCCCCTAGAGGGTTGGTGGACGGTTGGGGCTGGGACGGGGGTTGAATTGTCTCTTGGACCTGGGCATGCTTACTTCAGTACACTGGTGTTGTAAAATTCTGTGTTCTTTTATACTCATGAGCACTGAAGGCTCCTGATGGCTGGATAGCACTCATTTAAGCTGAGCCTCCGAAAGAGCATTTTAACAAGTCTGAGGAGGAGGGGCTGTGAAAACTTGGTGAATTTGGATAAAGAGTATATAAATTTTCTGTACTATTCTTGCAACGGTTCTGTAAACTTGAAATTATTTCAAAATTAATTTTTTTTTTTTTGAGATGGAGTCTTGCTCTGTCGCCCAGGCTGGAGTGCAGTGGTGCAATCTTCGCTCACTGCAACCTCCGCCTCCCAGGTTCAAGCGATTCTCTTGCCTCAGCCTCCCGAGTAGCTGA
Source organism: Homo sapiens (assembly GCF_000001405.40). Taxonomy (NCBI): domain Eukaryota; kingdom Metazoa; phylum Chordata; class Mammalia; order Primates; family Hominidae; genus Homo; species Homo sapiens. The sequence continues at coordinate 140,622,278 of NC_000007.14, read as the reverse complement.
GATTACAGGCATGTGCCACCACGCCTGGCTAATTTTTGTGTTTTTAGTAGAGACGGTTTCACCATGTTGGCCAGGCTGGTCTTGAACTCCTGGCTTCAAGTGATCTGTCCATCTCAGCCTCCCAAAGACCTGGGATCACAGGCATGAGCCACCACGCCCGGCACAAAATTTAAAAATTTAAAGGTCATTATGCTTCTGGTATCATCTTGGCAACAGCTTTCAGAAAGTCTACACAAGTTGTGTTCACAGATTCTGCCTTGGTTTGTGTGTTGCTTGACCCCTACAAAGAAATCCTAAAAATCATTTGGGCGTCTCCTCCTTATGGAGCCAGTGTTGCTTTTCATTCAGTGGCTGGTGCTTCCTTAAATATTAGTCATTCTGAGATTATGCAAATATCTGTGCCTTCCAGCCACGTACCCCAAACGAAATTCAGCCCAATCTTCAAGCCCAACTCAGGGCTGCTCTTCCACAAGTGGCATTCACTTTCACCTGTTTTGCTTATCAGACTGTGTTTTGTATTGGAGACATTCATGTGCATCTTATTTCCTGTATGAGAATGGAAACTGTCAGAGGGCAAATTAATCTATTTTACATTTCTCCCAGGTTTTACTCTGTTCCCTGAGAGAAGCAGGCACAAATATTAGTTGCAAGAATGAATTACGTGACTATAACAGGCCCTTTGTATCTGTGAGTTCCGCATCCGAGGATTCAATCAACCACAGACTGAAAATACTCAGAAAAAAAACATTCCAGAACGTGTTACATTGCAGATGTGTACAATGTAGTTATGCCTAGGGTGTTTGCATTTGTACTGAACATGTACAGACTATTTTTCTCTTGTCATTATTTCTTAAACAACACAGTATAACAACTATTTACGTAGCATTTAGGTTGTATTGGGTATTATAAGTAATCTAGAAATGATTTAAAGTATGTGGAAGGGCCAGGCCTGGTGGTGGCTCACATCTGTAATCCTAGCACTTTGGGAGGCCAAGGTGGGAGGGTTGCTTGAGGCCAGGAGTTCAAGACCAGTCTGGGCAACATAGCAAGACTCTGTCTCTACAAAAAAAAAAAATTTTTTAATTAGCTGAGCCTAGTGGCTCACACGTGTAGTCCCAGCTACTCAGGAGGCTGAGGTGGGAGGATCACTTGAGCCTAGGAGGTTGAGGCTGCAGTGAGCCATGATGCCACCACTGTACTCCAGCCTGGCGACAGAGCGAGACCTTGTCTCTTGAAAAAAGTTTTTAAATTAAGTATATGGGAGGATGTACATAGGTTATATCCAAATACTATGCCATTTTTATGGGACTTGAGCATCCATGAATGTTGATATCTGAGTGACATCCTGGAACCAATCCCCCGAGGATACCAAGGGATGACTGTATTTCCCTTTAGCCATTGGTTTCCACATAATCGCTCTTTGGACCCATTGAAACATCTGTACTGGGATGTGGTTACTGCAGAACAGGATCTAAATCTTGGTCATCTCTAAGGGAAAGGAGCTAATGAGAATAAAGTATCACTTAGCCTTCCCTTCAGGAGATATGATGGCAAAGCAAAACCGGTGCGGAGTGATGAACTCACCTGAGCTGGATGCCCTGCAGCTGTGGTCGTGGCTGCAAGGCAGCTGTGGGACTTGCTGGGCACCGCAGGGCAGACCCAGACACCCACAGACAACAGCAGCGTTTATATTCCCCCTCTCCCCTGCTGTATTTGCAATAGCAATTATAATATATGCTTATAATAGAAAATTTGGAAATCTGGTGGGGGGGTGGTTGTTGTTAGAAATATAGATGTCAGAGAATGGAAAAAAAAAATCAAAGTCTCTTACCCAATGGCAACTACTGTTACTCCCTCATTAAATTTACTTCCAGTCATTTTCTTTTGTGTGCAGTTTTGAATAGTAATAAATTCCTCCTCCCCCCCCCCACCCCTTTTAAACATTGTTTCATTCATTTTGGACACAAGGTTTTGGATTCTGTTTCTTTTGGCTAACATTACAACAGGAACGTTTTTTCCATTTAATAATAGTCTTCTTTTTTCTTTCTAGCTTCAGTTTAAAATTTTCTTTTTTTATTTTTTTGAGACAGAGTCTTACTCTGTCGCTCAGGCTGGAGTGCAGTGTCGCAATCTTGGCTCCATGCAACCTCCGCCTCCTGGGTTCAAGCGATTCTCCTGCCTCAGCCTCCTGAGTAGTTGGGACTACAGGCGCCCGCCACCATGCCCGCCTAATTTTTTTGGTATTTTTAGTAGAGACGGGGTTTCACTATGTCGGCCAGGCTGGTTTTGAACTCCTGACCTCAGGTGATCCACCAGCCTTGGCCTTCCAAAGTGCTGGGGTTACAGGCGTGAGTCACTGCACCCAGCCTAAAATTTTCTTTTTAAATAATAGCTTGATTGAGATATAATTCACATGCCATACAATTCACCCATTTAAAGTGTATAGTTTAGTGTGTACACATTTAAAATGTACAGTTTTGGCTGGGTGCAGTGGCTCACACCTGTAATCCCAGCACTTTGGGAGGCCGAGGCAGGCAGATCACTTGAGGTCAGGAGTTCAAGAGCAGCCTGGCCAACATGGCGAAACCCCATCTCTACTAAAAATACAAAAATTAGCTGGGCATGGTGGTGCACGCTTGCAATCCCAGCTAGTTGGGAGGCTGAGGCAGGAGAATCTCTCGAACCCAGGAGGCGGAGGTTGCAGTGAGCTGAGATTGCACCACTGCACTCCAGCCTGGGCAACAGAGTGAGTGAGACTCCATCTCAAAAAAAAAAAAAGTGCAGAGTTTTTAGTGTATTTGTGGAGTTGTGCAACCCATCACCACCATCAATTTTAGAACACTTTCATCACCCTGGAAAGAAATGCAAACCTGTCAGCAGTCACTCCTTATTCCTCCCACCCACCCACTCCTAACCTCAGCAATCACCAGCCTACTTTCTGTCTCTATAGAATCGTAGTCTTCTTAAACATAATTTAATTTACATTATAATATTCCATTGAATAGCTGTATTCCACTGAATAGCTAAATTATAGTCTACATTACCATTACATTGCTTAACTTTTGAGTAGCTTTTAACTTTTCAATATTATAAGTAACAGCTATGAATATTTATGCAAACACTTTTTACATCCTTAGGATTTTGTTAGGATATATTCCCAAAGTATAGAAATATATAATCAGGCCGGGCGCGGTGGCTCATGCCTGTAATCCCAGCACTTTGGGAGGCCGAGGCGGGCAGATCACGAGGTCAGGAGATCGAGACCATCCTGGCCAACACAGTGAAAACCCATCTTTACAAAAAATACAAAAAATTAGCTGGGCGTGGAGGCGGGCGCCTATAGTCCCAGCTACTCTGGAGGCTGAGGCAGGAGAATGGCGTGAACCCGGGAGGCAGAGCTTGCAGTGAGATTGTGCCACTGCACTCCAGCCTAAGCGACAGAGCAAGACTCCGTCTCAGAAAAAGAAAAAAAAAAAGGAAATATATAATCATACAACCGTAAAAAAACAGATCCAAACACACCAAAAAACTTTCTCCCATCACACTTAATTAACAAATGTTTCTGAAGTGTGGTATGGTGTAGAAGTATAAAACAGTTGCTGATCTTGAAGAGGTGAGCAAGACAGACATTCGTAATGATGAGCTAGAGTCTAGTTCTAGTCTATATTAGATATGAGACCACGGGAATATTGTCGAAGGAGCACTAGACTTGGATTCAAAACATAGACCCATTACTTGTGAGTTATTGTATGAGCTTAAACATGTGACCTAACTCCCTGAGGCTCAATTTCTTCATCACAAAAAAATGATAGGAACACTAACATTGATTTCTGTAGAGCTGAGAAACAAAAAGGGTTTCTTAGCTGGGTTTCCGGCCTACCTGAGAACAGAGAGAAGGAAGACCAAGTTTACATATTTGAAAGTTGAAATAAGTTGGAACCTGACTCTTCCCTGTTTGGCGATCTGTAATACACAAAAGAAACAAAAGGAAGTGTACTTTTTTATTCAAAAAATACATTTATCTGAATTCAGACTATTAAACCATATTTTACCTGTATTAGCATATTTCATAACTTTTATAACTCATGCTTTAATGATTTATGGCAAACTCATACTAGCCTTGATCAGAGAGGTGACCCTGGCAGTTATTGAGCATTAACTCTGGAGGACTGACGCCACTGAGTCTTTCTACACACTGTAATTTAGTGTTCCTATCCAAGATGGCCACTAAATTGCACTTCTTCTATTTTCACCCTCTGGAGAATGGTAAAAAGCATGATTTGCAAATATTGTCAAGTCCAAAGTGTGTTTCTAAACTACTAAGCTAGCCAAATGCATCTCTATATGTTACAATGTTCTGCAGATGTGAAAAAATCCTTCCCGGGTTTATGAAAGTGAGAATGATATGCATCTTTAGCTGCCTCTGGCATCCGGCACGTCACACAGTGTGGTCAGTCCAGTCAGGCTGCCCGAGCCACAGATTCCCAGCGGCTTCATTTGTCAGACAAGCTGACAGGTGTTGGTCAGGAAAATACTGATCAAGTTGTTTTTGTTGTTGTTGTTTTGAGACAGGGTCTCACTCTGTCACCCAGGCTGGAGTGCAGTGGTGCGATCTTGGCTCACTACAACCTCTGCCTCCCAGGTTCAAGCGATTCTCCTCCCTCAGCCTCCCGAGTAGCTGGGATTACAGGTGCCCACGACGACACCCAGATAATGTTTGTATTTTTGTAGAGACGGTTTCACCATGTTGGCCAGGCTGGTCTCGAACTCAAGTGATCCACCCGCCTCGGCCTCCCAAAGTGCTGGGATTACAGGCATGAGCCACTGCACTGGCCTTCAAGATGTTAAAAGAAAGTATTATTGTCAATGACTGAGTATTTATAAGGACAGAAATTCCTGAAATTACTCCGTTGATGCTCCTGGTCCTGAGGCCTCCTTTAGAGTACGGGGGAGCCTTGATATTGAAGGCCATGGAGGGAAGAATCAGCAGAGCAGCATCTCCAAGCATCAGCATCTGGGTTCCAGGAAAAGGTGCACGCACTTTGTGCTGGTAGCACCTGCGTCAGATTCCCAAGATGCTCTGAAACAGAAGCATTTACTGGAGTAAAATACTGCCTTACAGGCTGTGCACAGTGGTTCACGCCTGTAATCCCAGCATTTAGGGAGGCCAAGGCGGGCAGATCACCTGAGGTCGGGAGTTCGAGACCATCCTGGCCAACATGGTGAAACCCCATCTCTACTAAAACTACAAAATTCAGCTGGGCGTGGTGGCACACGCCAGGAGTCCCAGCTACTCAGGAGTCTGAGGCACAAGAATCGCTTGAACCCGGGTGGCAGAGGTTGCAGTGAGCTGAGATGGTACCACTGCACTCCAGCCTGGGTGACAGAGCAAGACTTTGTCTCAAAAAAATAAATACTGCCTTACAAAGGAGAGGGCAAAATAGAGTATTTCTGATGCTGACTGACAATGCAAGTGACATGAAAATAGCCCCCATGATTCAACTCTAGGCCAGCAACTCTTATTACTATGCCTGTGAACTCTTTGGGAAACTTACAAATATAAATTCCTACATCCTACTCTGGTAGTCAGCTTTGTTTGGTCTAGGGTGGGTCCAGGACTCCTCACTTTTAGTAATTGTCCCTGCCGATTCTTTTTTTTAAATAATGGCTTTATTGGGATATAATTCACTTACCATAAAATTGACTCTCATAAAGCATATAATTTAGTGGTTTCTAGTATACTGACTGTGTTGTGTAACAACCACCACTCTATAATTTTAGAACATTTCCATCATCCTGCCCCCAAAATCCATACCTATTAGCAGTCACTTCTTACTTCCCCGCCTCACTTAGCCTCTGGCAACCACTAATCTACTTTCTGTCTCTGTGGATTGGCCTATTCTTTTTTTGTGTGTATGTGATGGAGTCTCGCTCTGTCGCCCAGGCTGGAGTACAGTGGTGTGATCTCAGCTCACTGCCACCTCCACCTCCTGGGTTCAAGCGATTCTCCTGCCTCAGCCTCTAGCTTAGGTTACAGGCGCCCGCCACCACACCTGGCTAATTTTTATATTTTTAGTAGAGATGGGGTTTCACCATGTTGGCCAGGCTGGTCTTGAACTCCTGAGCTCAGGTGATCTGGCCACATCATCCTCCCAAAGTGCTGGGATTACAGGCATGAGCCACCACGCCCGGCCAGGATTGGCCTATTCTGAAATTTCTTGAGAATTGAATTACACAATGTGTGATCTCTTGTCAGTGGCTTCTCTCACTTAGTATAATGTTTTCAGGGTTCATCCATGTTGTAACATGTATCTCAACTTCATTCCTTTTTATGGCTGAATACTGTTCCATTATATGTGTAGACCACTTTTGTTTATCCAGTTATTTGTTGGTGGACGCATTAAGCATAAGAAAAATGATATGTAGGCCTGGGTTCAGTGACTCACACCTGTAATCTTAGCACTTTGGGAGGCCAAGGTGTGTGGATCACTTGAGCTCAGGAGTTCAAGACCAGCCTGGCCAACGTGGCAAAACCCCAAAACCCCATCTCTACAAAAAAATACAAAAAAAAAAAATAGCCGGACAGGGTGGTGCGCTCTTGCCTCAGTCACAGCTAGCTGAGGGGCTGAGGCAGGATTGCTTGAACCAGGAAGGTTGAGACTGCAGTCAGCCAAGATTGTGCCACTGCACTCTGGCCTGGGCGACAGAGCGAGGCTCCGTCTCAAAAAAGAAAAAAAAAAAAAAAAGCAGAACTCCTAGAAATGGGCAGACTTTGGTTGTTAGCAGAGAAGTTGTGCCTTTGGTACTGCCTCCATCTACCTGGTGTCGTGCTCTAAGGACTTGATGTGCGGTGCTTTTGTGCAGGCACAGTTTAAGCATTTGGTCCAAGAAGGGTGCAGGCCGCAGTTTTGCCAAATATGTCCCCCGGTGTTGTTCTGAGGCAGCACAGAGCCTTTGGCTTCTCTTATTCCTCATCCGTTTCAGATTCCTCTGTCTTCTTCCAAATGCAAAAATACTGGTTTGTTTTTGAAAATATAACGAATCAGATAAATAAATAAAGTTATGTATAGGCCTAGAGCAACCCATTTTAATTTTTTTAAAACCTTTTCATTGGCTAGGTGCAGTGGCTCACGCCTGTAATCCCAGCACTTTGGAAGGGCAAAGCAGGAGGAGTGCTTGAGGCCAGGAGTTCGAGACCAGCCTGGGCAACATGGTGAAACACTGTCCCGACAAAAAATATGGAAATTAGCCAGGCGTGGTGGTGCACACCTGTAGTCCCAGCTACCTGGGGCGGTAGGGAGCTGAGGTAGGAAGATCACCTGAGCCCAGGGAGGTCGAGGCAGCAGGGACCTGTGACTGCACCACTGCACTCCATCCTGGGCAACAGACCCTATCTCAAAAAAAAATTTTTGTTTGTTTAAAGAAAATGAGGAAAATGAAGCATCAAGACTCCAGAATGAGCTGCACTATGTAGTTAGACATAGCAAGAGTTGTATTACATTGATTGTGTGCTTTTATTTCTCAAGTTGTTTTTGGAAACAAATAACTTCTAGATATGTTTGCTAAGAATGCTCAGACAAGAAAACAGCTATTTTTGTTCTACTGTAATTGTTGTGGTTTCTTCTCTATTTTTTGCCTGCTCTTCATAAGCTGATAAAACTAAGAGATATTGGAATCATTAAAGCTGAATAGCCCATGGCCTTATTTGCAACACAAAAACTATTTAAAATGTAATTTTATGAATATGTAATCATTTACAATCCTGTAAACCAAAAAATGACTGAGGCAGCTCAATTAATTTAGAGGTTTATTTTGCCCAGGTTGAGGATACCCCTGGGAAAAAGAAACACAAGTCACAGTAAGATCTGTCTCCTGGCCAGGTGCGGTGGCTCACACCTGTAATTCCAGCATTTTGGAAGGCCAAGGCAGGTGGATCACTTGAGGCCAGGAGTTCGAGACCAGCCTAGGCAAGGTGGCAAAACCCCATCTCTACTAAAAATACAAAAATTAGCTGGATGTCTTGGTGCACGCCTGTTAATTCCAGCTGCTCAGGAGGCTGAGTTACAAGAATCACTTGAGCCCAGGAGGTAGAGGCTGCAGTGAGCCAAGATTGTGCCACTGCACTCCAGCCTGGGTGACAGAGTGATTCTGTCTCAAAAAAATAAAAAATAAAAAAATAAAAAAGATCTGTGTCTCCTGTGCTTTTTCCAAAGAGGCTTTGAGGACTTCAGTGTTTAAAAGGGAAACAGTGAGCAGGAGGGGAAGGAGGAAAAGAAAAAAGGGGAGAAGGGTAGGTGATGAGGCAAGTGGTCACATTCTGATGAGGCTCTGATTGGTGCTCAGTGAATCCACATTTTCCATGGGAAAAGAAGGGAATGGGGAAAAGTCAGTAGTGCATTCATCCAGCTCTCAGTTGGTCTGCATTTGACACCAGATAAAGTTAGCATGTGAAATTACAGCTGTCGTGGAACAAAAGGAAGGCAGTTTTTTTGTGTGTGACTCAGTTCCTAAGCTGTTATTTTCCTTTTGGCATAGTGAGTTGGAGGTCCTGAGATTTTATTTTTGTTTCACAATCTAAGCTGTAGTTTTTTGTTTGTTTTTTTTTTTTAATTTTAAGGGTGGCTGCTCCATAGGCAAAGCAGGGCTACCCCATAGGCAGAGTAGCCTAAACTATTTTTTAGGAGGTGGGATCTTGCTGTGTTGCCCAGGCTAGAGTGCAGTAGCTTTTTTTTTTTTTTTGAGACAGAGTCTCACTCTGTTACCCAGGCTTGAGTGCAAGGGTGTGATCTCGGCTCGCTGCAACCTCTGCCTCCTGGGTTCAAGTGATTCTCCTGCCTCAGCCTCCCAAGTAGCTGGGACTACAGGTGCACACCACCACGCTCGGCTAATTTTTCTATTTTTAGTAGAGATGGGGTTTCACCATGTTAGCCAGGCTGGTCTTGAACTCCTGACCTCAAGTGATCTGCCTGCCTTGGCCTCCCAAAGTGCTAGGATTACAGGCGTGAGCCACTGCACTCAGCCTGCAGTGGCTATTCACAGGTGCGATTATAGCTCACTGCAGCCTCAAACTCCTGGTCTCAAGCAGTCCTCCTGCTTCAGCTCCTCCAGTAGCAGGGACTACACGCTTGCATCACTGTACTCAGCTAAACCTTTTTTTTTTTCTTGAGACAGAGTTTCGCTCTTGTTGCCCAGGCTGGAGTGCAATGGCTTGATCTTGGCTCACTGCAACCTCCGCCTCCCGGGTTCAAGCCATTCTCCTGCCTCAGCCTCCCAAGTAGCTGGGATTACAGGCATGCACCACCATGCCTGGCTAATTTTGTATTTTTAGTAGAGACAGCGTTTCTCCATGTTAGTAAGGGTGGTCTTGAACTCCTGACCTCAGGTGATCCACCCGCCTCAGTCTCCCAAAGTGCTGGGATTACAGGTGTGAGCCACTGCGCCCGGCCCTCAACCTTATTTTTAAATTTAGTGTAACAGGGCTGGACGCAGTGGCTCATGCCTGTAATCCCAGTACTTTGGGAGGCCAAGGTGGGCGGATCACTTGAGATCAGGAGTTCGAGACCAGCCTGGCCAATATGGAGAAGTCCTATCTCTACCAAAAATACAAAAATTAGCCAGGTGTGGTGGTACATGACCATAATTCCAGCAACTTGGGAGGCTGAGGCAGGAGAATCGCTGGAACCCGCGAGGTGGAGGTTGCAGTGAGCTGAGATTGCACCATTGCACTCCAGATCGGGCAACAGAGTAAGACTCTGTCTCAAAAAAAAAAAAAATTAGTATAACAAATATGATCCTTTTGGTGTCAAGTTATATATAATACATATTTACTTATGCTTCAGAGCTAACATAATCAAGTTTAGATCAGTAAAGGGCACTGGAAATTATAATTGTGTGGATTTTATTCCTCACTCCACCTCTTCCCCTGCGCATATATCTTATTTTTTTCACGGAATATACACTGTACTTACATAATTTATTTCCACTGAGATAGAATGCACATAACATTCACCATCTTTTTTTTTTTTCCTTTTTTTTCTTGAGACGGAGTTTCGCTCTGTCATCCAGGCTGGAGTGCGATGGGGCAATCTTGGCTCATGGCAATCTCCGCCTCCCAGGTTCAAGCGATTATCTTGCCTCAGCTTCCCAAGTAGCTGGGATTACAGGCATGTGCCACAACACCCAGCTAATTTTTTGTATTTTTAGTAGAGACGGGGTTTCACCATTTGGTCAGGCTGGTCTCGAACTCCAGACCTCAGGTGATCCACCTGCCTCTGCCTCCCAAAGTGCTGGAATTACAGACGTGAGCCACCGCACTCAGCCAACATTCACCATCTTAAACTGTACAGTTCAGTGGCTTGTGGTGTATTCACCGCATTGTGCAACTATCACCGCTATGAAATTTTAGGACATTTCTATCATTCCAAAGAAACCCTCACCTATTAATAGCAACGAGGAACAATTTCTCCCTTCTCTACCCCTGGCAATCACTAATCTACCATCCGTCTCTGTGAATTTGCCCGCTCTGGACATTTTATATAAATGGAATCATACAATATGTGGCCTTTTGTGTCTGGCTTCCTTCATGTAGTAGGTTTCTTTAGTTCACCAATGTTGTAGCATGTAACAGTGCTTCATTCCTTTATGTGACTGAATTCCATTGTACAGATAGACCACTTTTTAAAATCCATCAATTGACCAACGCTTCCACATTTCATTTTATATTTATGTATTTATTTATTTTGAGACAGGGTCTCGCTCTGTTGTGTAGGCTGGAGTGCAGTGATGCAATCAAGGCTCGCTGCAGCCTCAACCTCCCAGGCTCAAATGATCCTCCCCCTAAGCCTCCTGCGTAGCTGGGGCTACAGATGTGCACCACCACACCTGGCCAATTTTTTTATTTTTTATTTTTTGTAGAGATGGGTTCTTGCAATGTTGCCTAGGCTGGTATTGAACTCCTGGGCTCAAGTCATCTTCCTGCCTCAGCCTCCCAAAGTGCTGAGATTACAGGTGTGGGCCACTGTACCCAGCCCATTTTATATTTAAATCACTTCTTGCTTTAAGATTTAAAGAGAGGCCAGTTGTGGTGGCGCATGCCTGTAATCCCAGCTACTTGGGAGGCTGAGGCAGAATCGCTTGAACCTGGGAGGTGGAGTGGCGGTGAGCCGAGATCATGCCATTGCACTCCAGCCTGGGCAACAGGAGTGAAACTCGTCTCAAAAAATAATAATAATAATAACAGTGCTCTGTTATCAGAAGCAGCGGTCCGAGAGGCCAGGCCTCAGGCCACTAGTTGATGTCTTGCTGGGCTCCTAGCCCTTAAGGCTGTGCTGGCTTCACCAGGCTGGTGTTTCCAGATTGCCTTTGCTGGATTCCAAAAATGGCAGCAGAAGAAAGACAGCAATGGGGCAGGCCCAGCAGGATTCTAAAGGAGCTGCCGGGTCCTCCTGAGGGCTCCGCTCCTCTCCCCTCAGGCATAGCCCGCTTCTCTTGGTCCTCCTCCAAATGCCACAGGTCCACAGCCGCTCCTGTGAGAACTGCCCTTGGGACCTGATCTTGTTTATTTCCTCTTCCTACTTGTGGGAAAACACTTTATATCTGTTTTAAATTCTTGACCTTTTTTCTGAGAGCTATTTGTTGTGTAATTAATGACTTGACATTTTAGAATTCTAAGCCCCTTTAAAAAACAAAAAACAGTGTGTTCAGAGATAAGCCTGGAAGGAACTGTAAAATTATATACATATATATATATAAAATCTAGCAATGTCAGTCTGGAGCAATTAAGTTGTCTGGGCTTTTGAGGCTGATCAGAAGCATCTCACTATGAGATCTCTTGATCTCTCTCTCTCTCAAAATTAAGGGTAATTCACAGACGTAATTGGGAGTAAGAGGATCTCTCAGCATCAGCTGGCCAAGAGAGTAGACCGCAGTACCCAACAGGATTAAAAATTGAGGGAGACTCTCCCATCTGGCTTTTTTTTTTTTTTTTTTCCTTAAGACTAGTTAAGTGAGGCTGGGCACAGTGGCTCATGTCTGTAATCCTAATACTTTGGGAGGCCAAGGTGGGAGGATTGCTTGAGCTCAGGAGTTCAAGACCAGCCTAGGTGACATAGTGAAACCCCATCTCTACTAAAAAAAATTTTTTTTAATTAGCCACATGTGGTGGTGCATGCCTGTAGTCCCAGCTACTCAGGAGGCTGAGGCGGGAGGATCGCTTAAGCCCAGCAGGTTGAAGCTGCAGTGAGCCATCATCACACCACTGTACTCCAGCCTGGGTGACAGGGCGAGACCCTGTCTCCAAAAAAAAGAGTAATTGAAAAAAACCCACAAGTGTCAAATGCAGTAGTGAGAAGGGGGGAAGAGTAGAATAAAGAGTTGGATGCGTAACTGACTGTGAATAATCAATTCAGTTGACTCACTGCCTTCAGACCAGTCCCACCCAGCTTCTTAACTTCTGAACCCTCCAGTCAACATGATGTCAATGCCCAAAGAAAATTCTTGAGCCAAGAAAAGATTTTACAGTATTCACTTCAGCAAGAAGAACAACAGGGTTAGATTATGGACTGGGTTGATAAACATAATCAGCTATAGATGTTAGAATTTTAAAAATATTTTTCTTCAACTTATAGGACTTAGTTTCTGAAACTTACAGAAATGTTCAAGCCTACAAAAAATATATGAACTCTTGTGTACTCATCAGCTACCTTCAAAATTTTGTAGGACTTTTTAGTCTAATTAATTTTTTTTGTTTGTTTTGAGACAGACTCTCAAAAAAGAGTCTCACTCTGTTGCCCAGGCTGGAGTACAGTGGGGCGATCTCGGCTTACTGCAACTTCCGCCTCCTGGGTTCAAGCGATTCTTCTGCCTCAGCCTCCCGAGTAGCTGGGATTATAAGCGCCCACCACCACGCCCACCTAATTTTTGTATTTTTAGTAGAGACAGGGTTTCCCCATGTTGGCCAGGCTGGTCTCAAACTCCTGACCTCAAGAGATCCGCCCGCCTTGGCCTCCCAAAGTGCTGGGATTATAGGCATGAGCCACCATGCCCAGCCAGTTAATTAAAATTATTAGTAATAGCCCATCTGGTTAATGGGAAGTTCTATTTTTATGGAAAGCAGTTGAGTGGGAAAATGTGTTATTACTATCAATCATACCATTATCTCTCTTGGAATATAGTCTACTTGGATCACAAGACCAAATTGTCTAAAAAGAAATAAGGAACCTTGGGTTGTGTAAAAACTCAAGCTGTCATGAAGCCCAGCCCTTTGATTTCTTGCGAGCAAGAGATGCCCATGCCAGGACATTGGCCTCTGCGACCTTTGATTTACCATATTTAAATGCAGATTCCAGAGCAGCCCTCAGACTGTTGGCTTTGGTACGTCTTGGTACATCGAAGAGGTGCCCAGGAATCTGCATGTCTGACAGGGTCCCCAGGTTGACTGGAACTGATCCCCCATGGACCACACTTTGGAAAATGGTTCTATCTCACAATCCCAGACTATAAAGTGATAATGAAGTTTATCATGGTAATTTAAGTCACAGAGCACTCCCAACTAGCAAATTCGGCTGGGTTCGTTACTTAATTAATGATTTTTTTTTTTTTTTTTAAGACAGAGTCTCACTGTGTCACCTGGGCTGGAGTGCAGTGGTTCAGTCTCAGCTCACTGCAACCTCCATCTGCTGGGCTCAAGCAATCCTCACACCTCAGCCTCCCGAGTAGCTGGGACTGCAGGCATGCACCAGCACACCCGGTTAATTTTTGTATTTTTGTAGAGACGATGTTTTGCCATGTTGCCCAGGCTGGTTTCAATCCCCTGAGCTCAAGTGATCAGCCCACCCCGGCCTCCAAAAGTGCTGGAATTACAGGTGTGAGCTACCATGCCCAGCCAGTTAACAACTGCTAATCATCAGAGACAAAAAGGGAAAGGTCAGTTTTTTACAGCAGCATTTTTAATATCTTTGTGAATTCAGAAATGCTGGTGGACTGATTGCTGAGTGTTCAGGGGGGTTCTATGCCCCCTCAGTGCCAGCCTCTGAAGCCCCCTGCACTTGCTTCTCAGTATATGGCATCAGCCATTTCTCTGGAGATCATGGTTTTCATGCTGGAAGTTATTACTCCCTGATGGGAAGTGAGTTCACTTAAGTATCATGTCATTTAAGTGCTTTTTGTGATCTTTGACCTCCAAGTTCATACATCCATCTCTGTGCATTCGACACAGTGGCCTTTTTTCCTTTTGGAAAAGCTGTACTTCCTGAGAACTATAGGGAAACTGTTTTCTTGAGGGCATGGGGGGAGTTACAGGATTGATTGTGACCCAGGCACAGCCCTGGTGCTCTCGATGACGGCAGAGACTCTTACTCATCTTTGAGTCCTTCGGTGCATCCTGCACACAGCCTGGCACCTTGTCCTAGTGCCAGTGAAAGGGGAAGCCAGCTTGGAAGAGAGCTGCTGGCTCATATGGAACAAGGTTGGATTCTTGTGGGTTTGGTCTGTGTGGAGGGTGGTGGCGGTGGTGGGGAGGGGCTGTTCTCCCTGACGTCCACTGGGGCCCTCTGCCAGATGCCGGACAGAAGAGTAGTGTCTGTGGGCCCAGCCAAGTGGAGGGACTCCAGAAGCTTTCAGCTCTGCAGAGCTTTGTGAGAGGGAAAATGAGTTCCTTCCTGTCCCTGAAAGGCCTTTCAGGGCTACCCTGCATGACGGGATGGGCAAGCCCTGGGGCCTGGCTTCTTTAAAGAAGTAGGCTCAGTTACAACATAGATAAGCCCCACAATGTCTGGTGCTGAGTTGCTGGATAGGGGAACAGCTGAACTCCATGGACAGGCCAGAGCTCCATGCTCCTGTCCACCCACACACACACAGTTGGCAGATGTGTCTGTTCCCTTCCTTGCTCCCCCAGCTCATGGTTCCCCAGCCTCCCTCTTGTTCATTTGTTACCCATGTGCACTCTCCTTTTCTTTTTCTCTTTCTCTCTGGACTTCCTCCCTTCCTCTCCTTGTTCCCAAGAGCTATCTGCATGTCTTGAAGTTCTGCCCTTTGATTACTCGGGAGGGAGAGGATGCCCAGGCCAGGACATCAGGCAGCCATCCCATCACCTAGCAGGGAAACCATCCTGGGAAATAGGGTAGGAATCCTGGAAACTGAAGAAGGAGTTGGGAGAGGGCTTCCCTGGAAACGTAACGTAAATACCCAGTATCTTGATATGCCTTGAGCTCTAGTCAAGGAGGTGGCTCCTCTCCACTAGGGAAGACCAGCTGGTGTTCATGCCTTACAGAAGAACTGCGTGGCCCATCCTGTTGGCCTTCTCTGATGGGCCCCATCTTGTCAGCACCTTCACCTGAGCCATGTCCATTTATGCTCATGTTGGGAGACACTTCTTCCCAAAGAGTTCTGGAAGGACTTGCTATGAAGCAATGAAGTTTAATCAGTTACTTCAGTTTATATGGGGGCCAGGCACCAGAGTCTTCAACTGCTACTTCTGAGCTGAGGCTGCTGCCTTGGTATCCACACAGGCCTTGCTATTTGGGGGGTTTAAGGAACTCAGTGGGATTCCTGGGTTTGCCAAGACCATCTCCTGGTGTTCCTTAGACCAGACAGATGACCTCGTGACTGGCTGTTTCTTCCTCCTCAGTTTGGAGGAGCTGGGAGGGGCTCCCCATGGGGTGCTCTGCAGACAAGGGCAGTGTGGGTTTAAACTCCCAGTGTCAGGGTTCGCAGAAGGGTAGAGTATCCCTGTGAAGACAGTTCCACTTTGGTGTGTGGTTTATGTCTTGTGTCAAATAAAAGGGCAACTACTTTCTTCTTTGGGGACTATTAGCTCATCACAGTGGTTCTTAGAGACCCTAAAAAAGCACTGGGTCTCGTTGTTATTTATGTTTTGCTTTCTAAGTTTGTATGTTTTCTTAAAATTTTTGGTGACCTTAGCTAAAAGATATATGCAAAGAGGGCCAGGCACAGTGGCTCACTCCGGTAATCCCAGCACTTAGGAAGGCCAAGGCAGGCAGATCACTTGAGGCCAGGAGTTCAAGACCAGCCTGGCCAACAAGGTGAAAAACCGTCTCTACTAAAAATACAAACATTAGCCGGGGTGGTGGTGCACACCTGTAATCCCAGCTACTGGGGAGGCTGAGGCACGAGAATCACTTGAGCCCAGGAGGCGCAGGTTGCGGTGAGCCAAGAGCATGCCACTGCATTCCAGCCTGGGCAACAGAACCAGACCCTGTCTCAAAAA
Organism: Homo sapiens; assembly: GCF_000001405.40. Classification (NCBI taxonomy): domain Eukaryota; kingdom Metazoa; phylum Chordata; class Mammalia; order Primates; family Hominidae; genus Homo; species Homo sapiens. The sequence goes on along the minus strand of NC_000007.14, from coordinate 140,606,053 downwards.
AAACAAATGAACAAAAAAGATATATACAAAGAGGTTGGCATGAGTTCTGAATCCGGGCGGACATCGGGATTGCACCCCCACTTTACTTGCTAGGCCTGGGATTCTGAATTGTGTGTTCTTTCCACCCCCTGCTCCTGGGTGGAATCTATCAGGAATAAATAGTTTGGAGTGTGGGCCCTAGATTTGCTCCCCTCTGAGGGAGGCCCTGCTGTCATGGCTCACTGGGTGTGCATCCCTGTCCCCCCAGGTGACCTGGAACTCCCCTCGGTACTGACATGATGACAGTGTGCAGGCCGGCCAAGGGCAGCCACAGCCAGACTGAAAACCTGAGCTACAAATTGGCTGACAAGTAAGAACACTTCTCCCCCGAGAGTGTAGACGCTGACCCAGCTTCTTACTCTCCTACCACCTCCTTCTTCACTGATCCTACTTCCTTGAGCTAAGGAGCTCTTTTCCAGGTCATTCTAATGAGCCTCCTGCAGACCGCCTCCATGCACTGCATTCATTTAAGGCTTCAGGCCAAACTGATCGAGAGAGTCTGACTAATGGCCAGTGTGAGGAGAGGATGATCCCTTGGTAACTTTAGCCCTATCCCCATGACGCATTCCAATTCTGGGTTTATTTTTCTAACTACTAGGATGTTCAGGTATTTTACTTATGTTTGAGCCCTAAGTCTTTGCAGCTGTACCTGTACACAGTCAGTTTTCCCATCTAATACCAGCGTGATTGTTTCCTTCTCCCCAGATGGAGCCCTTTCTCTGATCCTCTCACATTCCACAAAGCAGTTGGCAGCCACTGAGGGGTTCTTAGCTCTGCACCCCAGTCTGGAACCCCTTATGGGGCGGGAGAATCCTGGAAACAGGAACTCTAGAAACTCTTGGGCTGGCAACCACATGGAGCAGGAACTCTGTCCTTGGGGACTCGTAGGACAGTTGCGGCATCCTTGCCTCTGTTGCGTGAGTTTTGTAAATCCAGTGTGAGTTTTCAGCAAGCCATCCTTTGTTCCTCTCAAGTTTTCCGACAGAGCTTCCATAGTTGTGAAGTCACTCCATGTGTTTGGGCTCTTAGACAATAACTATGATACTTACAATAACACTAGTTACCATTTGTTGATACCAAGATTTAGAAAGTATGCTGTACTTTGAGCACATTACATGTTAACTCATGAATTCATTCATTCATTGAATAAATATTTGTTGACTAGCTGCTATGCACCAGGCACAGTAAACAATATAAATGTGGCCTCTGACTCATAGAGTTTCAGTCTACAGAAGGAAGATGAAAAACTCAGGATTCAAGTCTCAAGTCCCTCATTTCCAAAGCCCATGTATTTAGCTCCTAGGCCATAGTGCCTCACAGCATATAGGACATTAATAACCACGTTGTAGACCATCAGTCATCACCATGCAGACACTAACCTGGATTGTTGTGTTTTTAATGTGTGTGTCTGTCCTCTCTCTTCATCTTGCCTCTAGCACTGTGAGAGCAAGGACCATCACTTCTGCCTTTTGAACCCTCAGTGAGATAACAAACTGATTCTGACTAAAATCTTAATTCATGCTAATATCTCCAGTGGTGATGGAACAATTTAAAAATATTTTCTCTTTGTAAACACACTGTTAGGAATCCTAATTGTTTATTTAAATAAGGAATTCTGCCTTGATAGCCATATTTAAAATAGGAAAATGTGTTTGCCAAAAAAATGTGTTTGCGTTTTCGCAAGTTTCTATTTTATGCCATGCAACCAAGAACAGTGGCGTAATTTATGTGCTAATGTCTCCACTGAGGAAGAGGTCTTTACACAAACAACCTTGGGAATAGAAAGCTAAATAGTAACAGGATGCATGAAATTGCTACTTATTCATCCCTCACGGTGAACCTTAACTGGAGTTTCAGAATTTCCATGCGGTCAGATCTATACATTCAGAAAATGGGCACCGTGAGGTGTTAGCTAATGTCGGCACATCCAAAGTCACTGTACTCAGTCATAACCTTTGCTGGTGGAATAATGTTTGCATTGGACAACACAGATACTCTCATTCTTGTTAGACTAATTTAAAAATGTTTTTCCTTCAAAATAATTTCTAATATCTTCATGGCATTATCTAATCTAAAATTACATTTGGAAGCATGTATCATTACATATATGTTCTAGGCCAAAACTTTATTCAGTGATGGAAATATTCTTCTTCCCCATCCAGTACGGTAGCCATCAGCCACATGGCGCTTCTGAGTCCTTGACATGTGGCAGGTGTAACTGAGGAACTGAAGCTTGAATTTCATTGGATTTAAGGTTAAATAGTCACGTGTGGCTGGTGGCTACTCTATTAGATAGTGCATTTCTAAGCCAAGTGTGAAATCTGAATCTGCCTCTTTATTCACGCATTCATTCATGCACCAGATATTTATTGACCACCAACTCTCCCAGGTATTGTTTTGGGTGCTAGGGGTGCAGACTTGGCTACAACAGGCCAAAATAACAGAATAATCCCTGCCCTGGTGGCAAGGCTCATGAAGAGCTCACTCTAGTGAGGCCCCATTCCAGAGGAGGTTCTGTTCAGATGCATCCAATCATTGTGGCTTTGCCCACTTGAATCAGACAATTTGTCAAGTTCAGGGGTAGCACAAACTTCATGACTTGTGATGTTGTTTTAGTTTTTAAATAGTCATTGCAAAGAACTGCCTGTGGATAAGAAAAGCAGGAAAAGCAGCCTATGTAATCTTTTACCTCGTGAAATTACTCCTATTTTATTTTTATTTTTATTTTTGAGACAGAGTCTCTCTCTGTTGCCCAGGCTGGAGTGCAGTGGTGCAATCTAAGTTTACTGCAATCTCTGCCTCCCGGGTTCCAGCAATTCTCCTGCCTCAATCTCTTGAGTGAGTAGCTGGGATTACAGGGCCTGCCACCACACCCCGCTAATCTTTGTATTTTTAGTACAGACGGGGTTTCACCATGTTAGCCAGGCTGGTCTCAAACTCCTGACCTCGTGATCCACCCGCCTCGGCCTCCCAAAGTGCTGGGATTACAGGTGTGAGCCACAATGCCTGGCCCATATTATTATGATCTTCATTTTACAGAGGTGGAAACTGAGGTTTAGAGGACTTAAACAACTTGCCTAAGGTCACGTGACTGAATTAGGATTTAAACCCAAGCCTATCTGACTCCTAAACCCGATTGCTCCTTCATTTCACCATGCTGTCTCCCCAAGGAAAACACAAATTGAGTTTTTAAAAAAAATTTTTGTAGAGATGGGGGTCTTGTTATGTTGCCCAGGCTGGTTTTGAACTCCTGGCCTCAAGTGATCCTCCCACCTCAGCCTCCCAAAGTGCTGGGATTACAGGCATGAGCCACTGCACCCTGCCCACAAAGTGAATTTTTTTTTTTAATAGGAATTTCAATGTTTGTGGTTTGTGACTTGCATATAACATTTATATCTAAGTTCTAGCAAATCTCTATGACCAGCCAAGAACAATAAGAATCACTCACCTGGTGTTTGTCTTTCTTGTGCAGGGTCAAGGTGGAAGGTCCAAGGACTGAGAAAGACCCTCGAAGGCATCCACTTTAGTCCTCCATTCCATTCCTAGAGACTGATCAGGAGTCAGGCTTCAGAAGGAGTCCCCTGGAAGGCCTCCACAACCTCACGCTAGAGTCAAGAATGGATATGTTCAGCTTGGATATGATCATCAGTGACCCAGCTGCAGAAGCCAGCAGGGCTGGGAAGAAGCAGCTCAGAGGTGTTCAGAACCCTTGCCCATCTGCCAGAGCCAGACCCCGGCACAAGTCCCTCAACATAAAGGACAAGATATCAGAATGGGAAGGGAAGAAAGAGGTGCCCACTCCTGCACCCAGCAGGAGAGCAGACGGACAGGAGGATTATCTGCCGTCCTCTACGGTGGAGAGGAGGAGTAGTGATGGGGTGAGAACTCAGGTCACAGAGGCTAAGAATGGAATGAGGCCAGGAACAGAGAGCACAGAGAAGGAGAGGAATAAAGGAGCAGTGAACGTCGGGGGACAGGACCCAGAGCCGGGGCAAGACCTAAGCCAGCCAGAACGGGAAGTGGATCCTAGCTGGGGCCGAGGCCGAGAGCCAAGACTTGGCAAGCTACGCTTTCAGAACGATCCCCTCTCCGTGCTGAAGCAGGTCAAGAAACTCGAGCAGGCTTTGAAGGATGGGTCGGCAGGGCTGGATCCCCAGTTACCAGGGACTTGTTACTCCCCACACTGCCCTCCTGACAAGGCAGAGGCAGGGTCCACCCTTCCTGAGAACCTGGGAGGCGGGAGTGGCTCAGAAGTCAGCCAGAGGGTCCACCCCTCGGACCTGGAAGGCAGGGAGCCCACCCCTGAGCTTGTGGAGGACAGGAAAGGTTCATGCAGAAGGCCCTGGGACCGGAGCCTTGAGAACGTGTATAGGGGCTCGGAGGGTTCCCCCACAAAGCCCTTCATCAACCCTCTGCCAAAACCCCGGAGAACGTTCAAACATGCCGGAGAAGGGGACAAAGATGGGAAGCCTGGCATCGGCTTCAGGAAAGAGAAAAGAAATCTGCCTCCTCTGCCCTCTCTACCTCCCCCGCCTCTGCCCTCCTCTCCCCCACCTTCCTCTGTGAACAGAAGACTGTGGACCGGGAGACAGAAATCCAGTGCAGACCACAGGTAGGTGCCGGTGTGGCCAGGCAGAGTGTCGCCACCTGACTCTCTCAGTGGTTTGTGTCCCATCATAACCGTCTGTTCTCAGCTGAATTATTTGTTTTATTAAACTGATGGATCTTGTAGTCCAGATGGTTCATAGCTTAAGATACTTTGTTAATTAACCTGGAAACTTGGTAACTGATGCATGTATTTTGTGTTTGTTCTCAGTCCTCAAAAAAGAAGAGTATGTGCTTTTAAAAATTACCCTTTAGATGTAATAAGGACTTGGAATTGGGACAGTAACCAAGAGTTAAATGAAGGACTTATGTTAACCCTGGCAGTCTACAACTTGGTAGTCCCTGCTAACTACCAGTGCTTGAATTTTTCTTGGTGTGGGCTTTAGAAATACACTGGCCCTATCAGTGTCTATCTATGTGACCTTAAACAAGTTATCTAACCTCTCGAAGCCTCAGTTTCCTCATTTATACATATGGATGCACGCACTGTGAATATTTTATAACGTTAAAATAACACATTAAATAATAAAGCATGTTAATGCTTAAAAATAAAATCTGTGCTTCGAAAACAATTTTTCTATTTTGCAACTTAATCTCTAGTCCATTTCTGTAACATGCTAGTTGGTTTGATACCCACTAATCTAGAAACCAGCTTTAGAGCAAAACTCCTCAGAACAGTTGTTGTACTCCCTTTCATCATTTCACCTCCTATTTTCTCTTGACCCACCCCATTGAGCTTTGGGAACCTCCTCCTGAAACTACCCTGTCCCGAGGCCACCAGTAACCTCCATCTTGCTAAATCCAATTGCCAGTTCTTTGTTTTTTTCTTAATTGGCCCCTCTCAGTATTCGAGGAACACCTGTTGACTTGCTCCATCTTGAAACACTTCCTTCATTTGGCTTCTGGGTCACCCATGTCCCTGGAAGTCCTGCTTCTCTGGCTCCTTTGAGTTCCATTCTTTTTTCCTTCTATCTGTCAGAGCACACCCCGAACCTATCCCCACCTCAACCCAGGGCCAGACCTGAGACTTTTCTTCTCCATCTACACTCACTCCCTAAATGATCTCATCCAGTCCCATGGCTTTAAATGTCAATGTCATGCTTATGATTCCCAAATTGAGGCATTCAGCCCCAACTCCCTCCCCCAGCTTAAGGTTTGTGTAGTCATCTCCTGCTTGGATCTCCATTTGGTTGTCTTATCATTTATACTTAACGTGTCCAAACCCAAGTTCTCCATCCAGGCCACCAGTAACCACCTCCTAAAATAATTGTCATCCTTCTAAATGGCATCACCGTTTGTTTAGTTGCTTAGGCCACAAACCTAAAAAGTCATCTCCAATTCCTCTCTTTTTCATATACCCCTTCCTAATTCATCACCAGGTCCTTTGGTTCTAGTTTCAAAACTTTATCCCAAATCTGCCTACATCTCCTCCACTGCTACCATCTTAATCATCTTGGATTCACTTCCCATCCGTAGAACATTCCTCCCTCAGCAGCCAGAGGAGTCTTCTAAAAATATAAACTATAAATTAAATCCTGTCACCCCCCACTCAGCATGGTCTGTCATGTAGGATGATTCTTTTGGCTGTAAATAGCATAATTTCTTTTTTTTCCCCACTTTCTCTGTAAATAGCATAATAGCATAATTTCTTGTGTTCTCTTCAAGGGGGAAAAAGTTTGCATATTCTAGAATTTATTTACATATATTTGTATATATATATGTAAATATATATAAGTTATTCCCAGTTTACAAATAATGCTGTGATAAGGAGCATATAGCATTACTAGTTTTGCTACTTACTAGCTGTGGGACATTGGACAAGCAACTAAATTGTGTTGGCCTCATTTTACCTATCTGTAAAATGGTGATAATTATATTATAGTAACCACTTCACAGAGTTGTTGTGAAGATTGAATGAGTTAACATGTATAACATAAACTTAGTACAGAGCCTGTTCAATATGTGTGAAGTGTTTTATTTTTCTCTGGCTCCATTCTGTTTAATTAATCAGGCTATTTTTTTTTCAGTACCAAACTATTATTTTAACTTCATAATGTATTATTATTATTATTTTTTTTTCGAGACAGAGTATCGCCCAGGCTGGAGTGTGGTGGCACAATATCAGCTCACTGCATCCTCCACCTCCTGGGTTCCAGCAATTCTCCTGCCTCAGCATCCCAAATAGCTGAGATTACAGGCGCACGCCACCACGCCTGGCTAATTTTTTGTATTTTTAGTAGAGACAGGGTTTCACCATGTTGGCCAGGCTGGTCTCGAACCCCTGACCTCAAGTGATCTGCCTGCCTTGGCCTCCCAAACTGCTGGGATTACAGGCATGAGCCCCACACCCAGACCATAATGTATTTTAATATCTAGTAGAGCTTATAGAAAGTTCTTAATGTTGCTAATAATTAGTCAGTTGATCCTCTTGGACTTCCTATATATAACATCATGTCATATGCAAAAAAAAATAATAATCACTTTGTCTCTCTCCTTTTTAGTAATTATAAACCTCTTGTTTGTTTATTTACTTATTATTCACCTTTTCCAAAAATGTCTTGAGTGTTTCTGCCTGTATTTTTCTGAATGTTCTAAATATTACTATCAAATTTCACATACATAAAATATGTGGGGGTTTTTGTAATTAATATATAATTATTTGACATGCTATGTATTTGCTACATTTATTTCTAAGTCTTTTCTCTTTTTAATGCAATGGTTAATGTCTTTTTTCTCATATGGTCTTTGTATTTAAGAAAACTCTTATTTTGTGTGTGTTTGTGTGTATATATATGTGTATTTTTTAAGACATCTTAAATTTCTTATTATTTCTAATAGTCTGTTAGTTGATTCATAGAAACTATGAATATAACCATATTGTCTACAAAGAATCATCATTTTACCTTTTCTTTTTAATTTATACCTAATTCTCTTACCAAATTGCACTGGCTGAGACTTCCGAACAGTGTTAAATCGTAGTGCTGAAAGCAGCGTACAGTCTTACTTCGCCCCTAACTTTAATGGTAACGCATCTAGAGTTTCACTCACAGGCACTCTTATTTGAGATATGTTTTTATGTTATCAAGTTAGTGTCCATTTATATTTATTTTTTCACTTAGAGTTTTAAAAATTAGGACTAGAGATTAGATTTTTGTTAAAGTACTTTTCAGAAACTCCTGATGATCATATGATTCTTCTGCTCTGATCCATTCATATTGAATTTATATTTTAATATTAACCCATCCTTAAATGTGGGGGATGAATTCCCATTCGGGCCTGGTTTATTATTCTTTTAATGTACTACTGAATTTTATTTGCTAATATTTTAAGATTTTTGTATCAGTAAATAAATTAGACTGGTCTAGACTTGGGTTTTATTGCACTATCTTTTTTTTGCAGAATACATACAGGATGATTGCACTATCTTTACTAGGTTTGAGTTTCAGTGTTACTTGAGGTCTGGAGAAGAACTTAGATGCTTCCTTCTTTATGTTCTGAGAAAATCTGAATCCATCTCCAATAATAAATCCTTTCTCCAGCCAGTGCCAAAGCCCGGGTCCCCGAGCACTCCCATGACTTCCCTGCCCCTGCCCAGTGCTTCCCACAGCAGCCCTTCCACGCCCCTTCTGGCTCTTCCTCCAAGGAGGTCCCACACCCCCAGGGACAGGTTGATTCTGGGAAACTGGAATCCTTCATCTGTGTCATCACTGGGCAGGCGAGTCAACCTGGGGAACAGTTATTCCCATTATCTTTTCTCTCTTAACTATCATCTGCGCTTTTCAGTCTTCCAGTGTTTTCTTTATAAACAGCTAAAGTTACTTATTTCAGTCCAAAGATGAAATTTTTCTTGGCCAGTTTGAATATGGTTTCATCAGCTGTGTTTTAACAATTTTGACTTTGGGTTTTTCATTTTGTTTAAAATAGTACAATGGAGGTGATTAGGGCAAGATATTCACTTTCTACTCTTAAAAAAATAAAGTATGCTCTTTATTGTGGTCCTATCTCTTAAAAACAAAAAGGACTGTACCACGAATTTGGCAGACGCACCACCCTCTTTGAGGGAGGAAAGCCAAACCAAGGTTGAAGAAAGAAATGATTAAGGATTTAGAGGTTATGAGGGTTTCAAATTTCATGGCCAGGCTGTGTGTGCCTTAGAGAATGTATTCAGCTTATTTTCATAGGCCAATTATTTCACCTCCTTAAGAGCAAAACCAGCGGATTCAGATCCTCGGTTTAAGAAAGCGTATTTTTCTTTTTCTCTTCCTGTTTCTCTCTCTTCTTTTTTCTTTTCTCCTCTTCTCTTTCCTTCCTTTTCCCTCCTTTTCTCTCTCCCTCTCTATTTGCTGTCTTCTCTTTTCTTTCTTCATTTCTTTAAAGCCCCAGGAAATTAAATGCAAGGACTTAGGCCTTCAATCCTAAAATGGAAAATGAGAAACCCTCAAATGTCAGGAAATTCCAAAGATAAGGTTCCTACAACAACATTAACTTGGTTATATGTGTTTTATGGCATACACTTAATAGCTCTGGCAAGAATGCCTTAAGGCCGACATTTAACAAGAAAAGTTACTACTCTTTAAGTGTGAGCACCATCCTGAATTCACATGTATCTACATACTCAAAATGTCTTAACTGGAATTCAGATTTTTAAATTTTAGTTTAACCTGGTCATGTGACAGCTTGTAGATCTTTATGAAACCAAATAACTGCAATGACCAAAATTTCAACTTTTCAGCTGATTATTTTGGCATCATATAGATTTGGCCTTTCCTTGGAGCTTTAGTGTAAGACTTTCAGAACTTCTTGAGGACGTGAAACCTCAGTCATTATATGGCTGCCAGATCACACTGTGCTGTTATTGATTCCATAATTTCCATCTTCTATGGGACTGATACGGATCCCCACAGCTCTCTGGCTGGGCAGCAACCCTCGGCTCTCACAGGTTTAACAGTTAAAATTAACTTACCAGCCAAGCTGTGGTCCATCTCAGTCAGCAAGGCATCCCTGAGACAACTCGGAATTACCACGTCTAAAAACTGAATGTTTCAAGTCTTCAAAGGAGCGCATTGTTTGATTAAGTTGATGTTTAGAGCAAAAGCTACTCTGGAAGCTTCTGAGAAACTTGATTTAGTAAAGCCATTTATTTCAATAGAAGCTGCATTGGAAAACAGAGAGACGGTGCTTGCTCTTCCAAGGTTGCTGTTGTCCATTACAAGAGTGATTTTCATGTCATTTCTCATTGAAAGGTGGAAATCGTTGGATATTAGCCACAATGAGGGACAGAAATAGTTTTTCCTTCTGACATTTAGGGTTTAGATCCAGGATAGAGAAAAGCAGAAACCCTGTGAGTGATCCTAGTACACGGTGGAGGAGTTACCCGATAACAGAATGCAAGCTGAGAGCTAACGGAAGTCTCCTCCTGCCTAGCCGCCTGCCCTGAGCACCTGGTGGTAGGAAAGCCCTTCCTGAGTATGGCGAGCCATGGGGAAGAGCTGCCGTGGCCACTCAGGAGAGACAGGCAGAAAGACTCTGGCAGCTGGAGGAGGAGGATGGAAGTCAGCGCGTGGCATCCTTGATTTCTAACCCAGCTGGATGATGTTTTAAATGGTCGCTAGGTGCCAGGCTAGCCAAGCTTTTTTTTTTTTTAAACAGGGTCTTGCTCTGTCTCCCAGGCCGGAGTGCAGTGGTGCAATCTCAACTCACTGCAACCTCCGCCTCCTGGGCCAAGTGATTCTCCTGCCTCCGCCTCCGGAGTAGTTGCGACCACAGGCACATGCCACCACACCCAGCTAATTTTTGTATTTTTTGTAGAGGCAGGGTTTTGCTATGTTGCCCAGGCTGGTCTTGAACTCCTGGACTCAAGCCATCTGCCTGCCTCAGCCTACCAAAGTGCTAGGATTATAGGCGTGAGCCACCACACCTGGCCTGTAGCCAAGCTTTTTTAATCCATAGAGGAAAATAATCCTGGGGGAAATGGATTCAAAACAATTTACTAAAAATTAACTCAATAATACAGCTGCTTTTTTTTTTTAAATCTTGAAGTAGGGATAAATTATAAACAGTAAATGTAGCACTTAAAACCAGCTTTTAAAATATTCATTCACGGGGCCAGGCATGGTGGCTCATGCCTGTAATCCCAGGACTTTGGGAGGCCGAGGTGGGCAGATCACTTGAGGTCAGGAGTTTGAGACCAGCCTGGCTAACATGGGGAAACTCTGTCTCTACTAAAAACACAAAAATTAGCCAGGCATGGTGGCACACACCTGCAATTCCAGCTCCTCGGGAGGCTGAGGCAGGAGAATCACATGAATCCAGGAAGTGGAGGTTGCAATGAGCCGAAATCCTGCCACTGCATTCTAGCCTGGGCACAGAGCAAGACTCCATCTCAAAAAACAAAATGGTCCAGCAAGGTGGCTCACGCCTGTAATCCCAGCACTTTGGGAGGCTGAGGCAGGCGGATGACAAGGTCAAGAGATCGAGACCTTCCTGGCCAACATGGTGCAACCCCATCTCTACTAAAAATACAAAATTTAGCTGGGCATGGTGGCACGCACTTGTAGTCCCAGCTACTTGAGAGGCTGAGGCAGGAGAATCGCTTGAACCGGAAGGCAGAGGTTGCAGTGAGCTGAGATGCGCCATTGCACTCCAGCCTGGCGACAGAGCGAAAATAAATAAATAATAAAATAAAATACTCATTCACTTATTCAACCAACAAATATTTACCACGCACCTATCGAGTGTTAGACATAGGAATGTAATAATGAGCGAGATAGACGGAGACTCTGTCCTCACGGGATTTGCAGACCAGTAATAGTTGGAAGGACACAGCTGGTGTCGTGATCATAACTCCTGTCAGTGCTGTGAGGAATCCTGGTGCCATGGGAACATTCAGCAGGGATGTGTAGCCTATCAGGGAAACAGATGGGATCAAGAGGAAGTGACGCTCGGGCCAGCGGGAGGGTGGGGAGTGGACGTTCAGTTTGAGTGAACTAATAGGTGAAAGCCCTGAGACAGGAAAGACTGCATCATGTCAGAGGAACTGCAAGGCAGGAGTGTGGCCTGAGGGCCAGGAAGGGTCTGGGGTGAGGCCTGAAGGTCTTCTGGACCTATACACAAGGTGTGGATTTGGGCCTATTACCTAAGGGCAATGGAAAAAAGGAACATTTTTAAGAAGGGGAGAGAGATAATCAGATTTGCATGTTTAAGGCCGGGCACGGTGGCTCACGCTTGTAATCCCAACATTTTGGGAGTCTGAAGGGGGTGGATCACCTGTGGCCAGGAGTTCGAGACCAGCCTGGCCTACATGGTGAAACCTCGTTTCGGGTAAATATACAAAAAATTAGTCAGGCATGGATGGTGGGTGCCTGTAATCCCAGCTACTTGGGAGGCTGAGGCAGGAGAATCGCCTGAATCCAGGAGGCAGAGGTTGCAGTAAGCCTAGATCACAGCATTTAACCCCAGCCTGGGCAACAAGAGTGAAACTCCATCTCAGAAAAAAGAAAAAAAAAAAAAAGATTTGCTTGTTTAAGAGACCATCCTGTCAGCAGCCTGGAGACTGGGTGGGCACCAATGGGCAGGTGCGGTGAGGCGATGGGGAGAAACAGTGAGGTCTTGTGGTTACCCTGTGGTGTAGCTGCCTCGGGGACTGAGAGAAGTGGGTGGGTTCAAGAGATGCTTTGGAGGTAAAACTTGGGTTAACTAGTTAGACGTAGGCAGTAAGTGGGAGGGAGGCTAGGAGTCTGATTTCCAGGTTTCAGACCTAAACCTTTGGATGGCAACACTGGGCAAGGAGTTGGTTCTCATCAGAGAGGCAATAGGATTACGAGTTCAGCTTTGAGATTCTTCCGCATTGTCCAAATGGGAGGAGCTCTAAGTTAGCATTTCATTTACAAAAATATGGAGAAGTCATGAAGAACATTCAAAATACGACTCAGAATCACAGTGTTTGGCATTGGTTGTTGAAATTTGGCTATTACATAGGTTATAACGCCCTTCAGCAAAGTTCTTTGGAACAACCAGCTCATTCTAGCATCTCTGAAACTCAGAAGCACCAAATATCAAACGATCATTTGAGGACCTGGGAAGTAAAGTGAGGCTGAGTGGAGGTTACACCTCTTCCCCAGGCTGTGGGCTCCCCAAAGGCAGGGACCTCTCGCCTTTGTATCACCCACTTTGAGCACAATGTGACTCGCATGTTTACTTATTAAACTTGCAGGCGGGATGTGGAATGAATGTTGAAAATGTTTAAATTAGAGAGAAGCCTGTTTGGATGTGGTTATCGTTCATTAACCTTTCACAGTTTCCTTTCTCTCAAAGTTAATGTGTAAATGAAGGTACTAAAACTTTCAAGTTAAAAAAAATATTTGTAGAGAACAGAATTAGGTTAGCAGTTGAAGGATTGGTGTGATCACATTTCTCCTCTTCAGGGAGCCTAATCACCTACCTAAACCTCAGAAGGGGAGGACTGATGTCCCTGACATTTATGTAGGCTGTAGAAATAATGCTAGGTGGTCCGGGCATGGTGGCTCACACCTGTAATCCCAGCACTTTGGGGGGCTGAGGTGGGTGGGTCGCTTGAGCCCAGGAGTTCAAGACCAGCCTGGCCAACATGGTGAAACCCCCCTATCTCTACAAAAAATACAAAAATTAGCCAGGCATGGTGGCAGGTGCCTGTAATCCCAGCTACACAGGAGGCTGAGGCAGGAGAATTGCTTGAACCCTGGAGGCGGAGGTTGCAGTGAGCTGAGATCGCCCCACTGCCTTCCGGCCTGGGCGACAGAGCCAGACTCTGTCTCAAAAAAAGAAAAAAAAAAAGGGCAGGGCACGGATCACCTGAGGTCAGGAGTTCAAGACCAGCTTGCCCAACATGGCAAAACCCTGTCTCTACTAAAAACGAAAAATTAGCTGGGCGTGGTGGCTCTCACCTGTAATCCCAGCACTTTGGGAGGCTGAGGTGGGCAGATCACAACGTCAGGAGATCAAAACCATCCTGGCTAACACGGTGAAACCCAGTCTCTACTAAAAATAAAATTTTAAAAAATAGCTGGGCATGGTGGCAGGCGCCTGTAGTCCCAGCTACTCGAGAGCCTGAGGCAGGAGAATGGTGTGAACCGAGGAGGTGGAGCTTTCAGTGAGCCAAGATCGCACCACTGCACTCCAGTCTGGGCGACAGAGCGAGACTCCGTCTCAAAAAAAAAAAATAAAAATTAGCCAGATGTGGTGGCAGGCGCCTGTAATCTCAGCTACTCGGGAGGCTGAGGCAGGAGAATTGCTTGAACCCAGAGGGCAGAGGCTGCAGCGAGCCGAGATTGCACCTGGGTGACAAGAGCCTGGGCGTCAAGAGCGAAACTCCATCAAAAAAAAAAAAAAGAAGAAGAAAAGAAGGGGAGGGGAGGGGAGAGGAGGGAGAGGGGAAGGGGAGGGGAGAGGAGGGAGAGGGGAGGGGGAGGGGAGGGGAGTAGGGAGGGGGGAGGGGAGGGGAGGGAAGGGAAGGGAGGAGAAAGAGAGAGGAAGAAAAAGAAAGAAAGAAAGAAGGAAGGAAGGAAAGGGAAGGGAAGGAAGGAAAGAAGGAAGGGGAGGGAGGGAGGGAAAGAAAGAGAAGGAAAAAGAAAGAAAGAAAAGAAAAGAAAGAAAGGAAGGAAAGAAAAGGAGGGAGGGAAAGAGAAAGAAAAGAGAGAGAGAAAGGAAAGGAAAGAGAGAGAAAGAAGGAAGGAAGGAAGGAAAGAAAGAAAGAAAGAAAGAGAAAGAAAGAAAGAAAGGAAGGAAGGGAGGGAAAATAAAGAACTGCTAGGAAGAGCTAACTTTCTAAATGCTTTGGCATGTGTTACCAACACATGACAATGATAGATCAAATGTTATAATTGGAATCCTACTTTCCTACTAGTTCTAGAAACTGGGCATGTAAAGATTTCTGGCTTCTCCTTGATCTTGTATGGACTGTACCTCATGTTAATTTGTTTGCCTTTCAGACTTCCTGCATAGGAATTAGTCACCTGAAAACTAACCCTTTAATACAGGAAATAGAGCTGCTATTTGAGAAACCTTTTGATGAATCGTTTTGCAAATTAGTTTTGCAACGTGAATAACCATCTTTTATTTTGAAACAGGGTCTCACTCTGTCTCAAAATGAGTGAGAGTGCAGTGGCTGGAATGCAGTGGCTTGATCTTGGCTCACTGCATCCTCCGACTCCCTGGCTCAAGGGATCCTCCCACCTCAGCCTCCCAAGTAACTGGGGCTATAGGTGTGCCCCACCACACCCAGTTAATTTTTGTATCTTTTATAGAGACAGGGTCTTGCTCTGTTGCCCAGCTGGTCTGAAACTCCTGAGCTCAAGCAGTCCACCTGCTTCGGCCTCCCAAAGTGCTAGGATTATAGGTGTGAGCTACTGCGCCCACCCCCATCTTCATTTTTTTAAAGGGAGTTTTTAATTGTTTTCAAATTGGACTTTTCTAATGCTGTTTAGACTAGTGACCTTTTATGTGTCAGAAATCAAATGTAAAGCATGGCTGACCTTTTTTTTATTATTATTATTATTCCCCAGAAACAAGATCTCACTCTCTCACCCAGGCTGGAGTGCAAGTGGCATGATCTCAGCTCACTGCAACCTGTGCCTCCTAGGCTCAAGGGATCCTCCCACTTCAGCCTTCCAAGTAGTTGGAACTTCAGGCACATGCCACCATGCCCAGCTAATTTTTGTAATTGTTAGTTTTTGTAGAGATGGGATCTTACTTTGTTGCCCAGGCTGGCCTTGAACTCCTGGCCTCAAGCAATCCTCCTGCCTCAGCCTCCCAAAGTGCTGGGATTACAGGCATGAGCCACTGTGTCTGGCCTGAGCTCTTATATTAGCATCTTGTTCTTGGAAATATAGAAGGATTATACAAAACATTCAAACTATGTCTTGAAATCCCAGGTGTCTGACAGTAACCACTGGGATAAAAGCTAATCCTATCCCAACAAACCCCAACACATAATCTGGATTCCCGCTTGCATTACATGTGCTCTATTTTTATGTATGTATGTATTTTTTGAGACAGAGTCTCTGTCGCCCAGGCTAGAGTGCAGTGGCGCAATCTCAGCTCACTGCAACTTCCACCTCCCCGGTTCAAGCGATTCTCCTGCCTCAGCCTCCCGAGTAGCTGAGATTACAGGTGCACACCACCATGCCCAGCTAATTTTTGTATTTTCAGTAGAGACAAGGTTTCACCATGTTGGCCAGGCTGGTCACGAACCCCCAACCTCAAGTGATCCGCCCGCCTCGGCCTCCCAAAGTGCTGGAATTACAGACATGAGCCACCGCGCCCGGCCTGCATTACATGTGCTTTAAATAAGCGAGTCATCCGCTGAGATTTGGAGAGCCTTTAACCATACAAATATCTTCTGTTGTTAGGGCAGTTATTATGAAAACATTTTAAAGATTCAGATGTTATTTCATAGGTACTTTATCATTTCGAAATTTGACCTATACAAATATTGTTTCCAATGAGATTTTAAAAAATAAAAACAGAACTATAATCCCAGACAACAGGGAGGCTGAGACAGGAGGATCGCTTGAGCCCAGAAGTTTGAGACCAGCCTGGGCAGCAAAGCAAGACCTCCATTTCTACAAAAAATTAAAACTTAGCCAGCCATGGTGGCATGCAACTGCAGTCTCAGCTACTCCGGAGGCTGAAGGACAAGGATTGCCTGAGCCCAGGAATTTGAGGTGCGGTGAGCTGTGGTGGCACCACTGCACTCCAGCCTGGGCAACAGAGGGAGAACCTGTTTCTAAAAATAAATAGAGCTCTCGCCATGGCAAAGCAAGGCACAGCTACAGCCCCTTTCTCTCTCTCAAAGAAAAGGCCAAACTCAGCCAGGGTCGTGCTGTAATTCTAGGCAGTCAAGGCTTTACCTGTAGGTGGTGGTTACTACCCTGGCCCTGAGAGTGGGAGAAACTGCCTGGCTTCCAGTGAAATGACCCCTTCCTGTCCCCCTTTTCCCTGTAAGGGTTCATAGCATCTCCTCATAGCATAGATTACTTACTACTTGAGGGAAACAGAGGGTCTGCCTGGGTATCGCACAGTACTGTGTAATGCAGCAATGTAATTATCACTGTGTAATGCAGTTTTGTATGGAAAATTAGTTCAGGTTCCCAACAGCAAACTGTTGAAATTCAGCCTGTTTTAGTTTGGAGCCTGTGAATGCAGCTTCCCTCCTGACATGCCTCACTTAAATAAATGCTCTCCATAATGCCCTGTGTCATTAAAAGCATCAGTCTCCAACCAGACTTCCTGCGGTCAGACCCTAATTCCACCACCTTTTCCCAATATACCTGGAGCAATTTATCTAACCCCTCTATGCCTCTGTCTTCTGATAAATAAAATGTGTATAAGAGGCCGGGCACAGTGGCTCACGCCTGTAATGTTAGCACTTTGGGAGGCTGAGGCAGGCAGATCACCTGGGGTCAGGAGTTCGAGACCAGCCTGGCCAACATGGTGAAACCTTGTCTCTACTAAAAATACAAAAATTAGCCAGACATGGTGATACATGCATGTAATCCCAGCTCCTCGGGAGGCTGAGGCAGGAGAATCGCTTGAACCCAGGAGGCAGAGGTTGCAGTGATCCAAGATCATGCCACTGCACTCCAGGTCTCAAAAAAAAAAAAAAAAAGTGCCAAAAAAAGTGGATAAGAATAGTAATTTTGGGTTGGGCACGGTGGCTCCCACCTGTAATCCCAGCACTTTGGGAGGCCCAGGCAGGAGGATCACTTGAGGTCAGGAGTTTGAAACCAACCTGGGCAGCATGACAAAACCCCGTTCTACAAAAAGGTACAAAAATTAGCAGGGCGTGTTGCTGTGTATCTATAGTATACACAGTCAGGGACTGTCTATACTGTAATAAGACAGTCAGGGACTATCTGTACTATAATAAGGACTGTTCCATATCCTTAGTCACAAGCCTTTTAGACTTGGATGAACTACATAAATGGGCTGAAACTTCGTGTCCTGATTTGTAAAATAGTATAGACAGTCCCTGTCTATACTAGTGAGCCACTGCTCCCGGCCCCCTTTTCTATTTTCTACGTCTATGTTTGTTTACAAAGTTGGGATTTTATTTTTTTACATATACTTTATTATTTTCACTTAGCATAATAGCATGAACATTCTTGCACATAAAAGCCACATCTCTTATTCATGGATTTTCACACCTTTTACAATAACAGAAGTTGATTTCAGGCCGGGCACAGTGTATAATCCCAGCACTTTTGGAGGCCAAGACAGGCAGATCACCTGAGGTCAGGAGTTCGAGACCAGCCTGGCCAACACAGTGAAACTTTGTCTCTACTAAAAATACAAAAACTAGCCAGGCATGGTGGTGCATGCCTATAGTCCCAGCTTCTCTGGAGGCTGAGGCAGAAGAATTGCTTGAACCCAGGAAGCGCAGGTTGCAGTGAGCCAAGATGGCGCCGCTGCCCTCCAGCCTGGGCAACGGAGCAAGACTTTGTCTCAAAAAATGAAATAAAATAAAAGTTGATTTCGGTAACAATTTTTCTAAGAAAAAGAAAATTTGGCCGAGGGGATATATTAATATATTCTCTGAAACAGCCTAATTTGATTCAAATTCTTTGTTTTTTCCTCCCATCTGGCACATTCCAGAAAGTCCTATGAGTTTGAAGATTTACTGCAGTCTTCCTCTGAGAGCAGCAGGGTGGACTGGTACGCGCAGACTAAGCTGGGGCTGACACGCACTTTATCGGAGGAGAACGTCTATGAAGACATTCTAGGTAAGAAGCCACAGCGTCTGTGTGCGGATCTGAGTCTGTCTGGGAGAAAGGGGAGGGAGAATGGGGCTGGCTGCTGGAAACACACGTGCACACACATGTACACACACACACACTTGAAGACACCTGTGCACTCGGATGAAAAAGCAGGCAGGTGGGGTGGGAGAGTGAGCCTTGTGGGATATATGACAGACCCTAGGGCTGGAGGGGGAAGACTAGCTGGTAATGAGTGGCCAAGGAGGCAGTGTGGCAGCGTGGCATAGCGAGAAGCGTGGGGCCTGGAGTCTGAAGATCCAGAACCACATCTTGGTTCTGCTGCCTGTTGGCCGCAGGACATTGAGCCAGTGACTTCACGTCTCTGAACTGAGTTCTCCCATCTGCATAATGAGGATGAAGCTAGCTCCCTTGCAAGGTTAAGGACTGGAGAGAATGTTGTGTCAACTACCTCACATATGACAGATGCTCAGTCAACTGCAGGGATTACTGAATGAAAGAAAACACTACACAACAGAGCCTCCTTCAGAAACTGTCAGAGTGTGGCACTAACAGGGCATCAGAACACAGACTAAATGTGATTTAAAAAGTAACTTTGGCTCTAAAGCGTCCTCTGAGATTTCAGAGTGGGTCTCAGATTCAGAGTTTGGTGAGTTCAGTCATCTTCAGGGAGGTTGATGGTTTTAGTGAAGGGCGAGCTCCAACTGCTTACGGTGCGGGTGAAAGGTGGGGGAAGAAACAAGCTGATAAAAGGGAGAAACCCATATGTGTGTGCTGGTGAGGGGCAGGTAGGGTGGATATATGCAGACATGCTGGCATGTAATCATCAATACTAGAAAAAACTTACAGAAGGAGGAAATAGAAAATTTGAGGAAGGCAGATGCTTAGCTAAGCAATTGGAATTGCATCTGTGTCCAGGCTGCTGGAGATGGGCTCCTGCCAAAGCAGCGGGATTCCCAGATCTAAAATGGGAGCGAGATCTGGACTTCTCTTAGCAGTGACTGCCCAAGAGGATGCTTTCAGTTACAAGGAACAGAAAACCCAACTAAACTAGCTTTTCCTTCCTCCATTTCTTTTCTTTCTTTCTTTTTTATTTTTTATTTTTTGAGACAGGAGTCTCACTCTGTTACCCAGGAGTTCAACGGCACAGTCTCAACTCACTGCAGCCTCCGCCTCCCAGGTTCATGCAATTCTCCTGCCTCAGCCTCCCAAGTAGCTGGGATTATAGGCGCCCACCACCACACTCAGTTAATTTGTGTGTGTGTGTGTGTGTGTGTGTGTGTGTGTGTGTGTGTTTTCTTTTTTAGGAGGGACGGGGTTTTCCCACATTGCCCAGGCTAGTCTCAAACTCCTGGGCTCAAGTGATCCACCCCCTTCGGCCTCCCAAAGTCCTGGGATTACAGGTGTGAGCCACCGCACCCAGCCCCCTTCCTCCATTTCTTACCTCTCAGGTTAGCTTTATTCTCAGCAGGCTTCCCAGCGTCCCCACAATGGCTGCCACCAGCTTCCTGGAATCCATATCTTCTTGGTGGAGAGAAGAGCTGGTATCCTGCAAGTCCCAGCAGAAATCCTGAGGTTCACCCTCATTAGACCAGCCAAGGTCATTTGTTCACCTTTAGAGCCGGGGAATGCCATGCAGTGATATCACTTAGGCTTAGAATATGAGCCCTTCCCTGAACTGATCACTGAGGCAGGGATTTGGGATACCTAGATTGGCTAAAGCGCTGAAACTGAGAATGGAGTTAATCTCCCATGGCCACAAATGAGGAGATGGAGAGGTAACCCAGTGAAATCAGAGACTGCTGCCAACAGGAGGGGCGCATGGATGGCAAAACAGCAGATATGCCTACAAGAATGGACACAGGAGAGGCCAAGATACTGACCTCAGTGTTTTGAAAAGGGAAATGTCCTCAGTGTTCCCAGGTTCCTGACACATTGCCTTTGAACACAGATCCGCCAATGAAGGAGAACCCTTATGAGGACATCGAGTTACATGGTCGCTGCCTGGGAAAGAAGTGTGTCTTGAATTTTCCTGCTTCTCCCACCTCTTCCATCCCTGACACACTCACCAAGGTATGAGTCCCCTGGGAATGGTGGCAGGAGAGGGGGCCAAAGCATGGTGGCCTTGAGCACTCTGGAGTTCCGGCCAGCACTGGAATTCCAGGCCACCTCCACCTGCCCTGCCGGGCTCCTGGATTTGTACAACGCTGGCTGACTGGTCTTCCTCCCTCTAGTTCTCTTGGAGCCCCTCTGCTCAAAAAAGCTTCCTAAAATACGATTGAGATTCTGGCTCAGAAACCTCCTCAAACTGGGTAAATAAAAGATGGTACATCCGTCCCATACAACTGTTAAGAATGTCTTAACATAGAGCATACTCTAAGATACAAGACGGAAAGGCATGATGTAGAACAGTAGTTTTAAAGTATTTTGCCATTTGTGGGTTGTTGTTGTTGATTTAATTGAGTCAGGGTGTTGTCGCTCTGTCACCCAGGCAGGAGTGCAGTGGTGCAATCACGGCGCACTGCAGCCTTGAACTCCTGGACTCAGTCAATCCTCCCACCTCAGCCTTCTAAGTACCTGGGATTACAGGCACACGCCACCAGCCCAGCTAATTTTTGTATTTTTTGTAGAGACGGGGTTTCACCATGTTGGCCATGCTAATCTTGAACTCCTAGGCTCAAGTGATCCAGCTGCCTTGGCCTCCCAAAGTGCTGGGATTACAGGCATGAGCCACCGCACCCAGCCTGTGGGTTTTTTAATGAAAGAATATACATACATGTAAACTCGCACATGTCTATATGTGGGTTTTTTTAAATGAAATAACATGCATATATATAAAGATGAAAGAATATACATATATGTAAACTTACACATGTATGTGTAAGAATATCTCCATCCCCAATGTTGGAGGTGAAAAAAAAATCTCTGTGCGGATACCCAAGCATGAGTAACTGAGGACCTCAGAGGAGTTGTCCTGTCTGAATGCCCAGAGGGCAGGGGGAAGGCTGACCTTCTTTTTACAGAATATCCTTTTGAACTTTCTGGAGTTACATACCATATGCACATAGATAATATAACCTTATTGATATAGATGGTAATTTCAACCCATTGCCTGCAGGACTAGCATTTGTAACAGATATCTTGGCACCCATTACCCCTAATCTCCCATAGATCCTACATACAAATGCCCCTTCCATCCAGAGCCTACCAACTACCCCTCTGATGCAGGCCTGGGACATGCGCACTCTCTCTAAAGGGCCATAGAGTAAATATTTGGGGCTGTGTGGGCCATATGGTCTCTGTTGTAACTACTGAGAGTGGCCACTGTAGTGTGAGGCAGTCATAGACAATGCGTAAATAAATGAGTGTGGCTGTATTTCAATCAACCTTTGTTGTTGTTGTTTTTTGTTTTTGTTTTTTGAGACGGAGTCTTGCTCTGTCTCCCAGGCTGGAGTGCAGTGGCACAGTCTCGGCTCAATGCAAGCTCCACCTCCCGGGTTCAAGCAATTCTCCTGCCTTAGCCTCCCAAGTAGCTGGGATTACAGGCATGCGCCTCCACGCCTGGCTAATTTTTGTACTTTTAGTAGAGATGGGGTTTCACCATGTTGGCCAGGCTGGTCTCAAACTCCTGACCTCAAGTGATCCGCCCGCCTTGGCCTCCCAAAGTGCTAGGATTACAGGCGTGAGCCACCGCACCTGACCTGAATGCTGAAATTTGACTTTTTTTTTTTTTTTCGAGACGGAGTCTTGCTCTGTCGCCCAGGCTGGAGTGCAGTGGCACGATCTTGGCTCACTGCAAGCTCCACCTCCCAGGTTTACGCCATTCTCCGGCCTCAGCCTCCCGAGTAGCTGGGACTACAGGCGCCCGCCACCACGCCTGGCTAATTTTTTGTATTTTTAGTAGAGACGGGGTTTCACCATTCACAGGATGGTCTCGATCTCCTGACCTTGTGATCTGCCCGCCTTGGCCTCCCAAAGTGCTGGGGTTGCAGGCGTGAGCCACCGCGCCCGGCGAAATTTGACTTTTATATGATTGTCACTTGTCATGAAATATTTATTTTTCCAACCATTTAAAAATGTAAAAGTTAATTCTTAAGTCATGGCTTGTACAAAAACAGGTGGTGGGCCAGATGTGGCCCACAGGTGCCAACCAGCGAGGTCATTTTTAACTCTGCCCTTGGCTCTTACCGGGACCTCTCCCCATCCTCTGAGGCCCAGTTCAATCATGCGTCCTTTAAGAAGCGTCTCCAGCCATCCCAATCCCTGGGACTTCTTTCTCTCTGATTATCTGTAACACTCAGTTAAACCATTTCTTTTTTTGTTATTTTTGTTTGCTTGTTTGTTTGTTTGTTTGAGACAGAGTCTCGTACTGTCGCCCAGGCTGGAGTGAAGTGGCCCGATCTCGGCTCACTGCAAGCTCCACCTCCCGGGTTCACGCCATTCTCCTGCCTCAGCCTCCCAGGTAGCTGGGACTACAGCCTCCCGAGTAGCTGGGCCATCACCATGGCCGGCTAATTTTTTGTATTTTTTTTTTAGTAGAGATGGGGTTTCACCGTGTTAGCCAGGATGGTCTCGATCTCCTGACCTCATGATCTACCCGCCTCAGCCTCCCAAAGTGTTGAGATTACAGGCGTGAGCCACCATGCCCAGCCTTAATATATCTTAAAAACATCTCCCCAACTAGATTATAAATTCCTCAAGGTCAAAAGGTTTATATTCTAAACCTAAGTTAAAAGAAAGAAAGAAAGAAAAATGTATATATTCTATTTCTTTGGTTTTCCTGGAAGGCCTAACAGTTCTACAATATTTAGTGGAAGAAATTAAGGAAGGCCAAGTACCAGCTGCAAAGGTCAACTTAAATCTCATGGCAAGGCTCTGTTTCCAGCCTAGGAAAAGCAGTGGTCTTCCTGTCCCAGCCCCACAGGGTCAGCATCGCTGGCAGGTGGGGCTGTCTCCACCTGAAGCCTGTCTCCTGTGCTTGATGGCCATAAAGGGATGCTGCCTGCCACCAGGCTTCTGGAAGAGGTGAGGGAACAACCTATCCCAAAGGATGGATCTTACAGACCCAGATAAATTGCTACAATACTTGCCTGCACCAGTTAACTGTCATTTCTCTTCTCATATGGAAAAGGGTGTCATCAAGAATAATCCATGGCAACTGACAATTAGCAAATGCTCTCTGCTTGCCTTGGAAATGTGTTGTTGGTGTTTTCATTGGAATAGGGATGTCTTCAACATTTAGGAAATCCTTCATTTCCCATGGCAGAGAAGCCTGACTTAGAAGAAGAAAGCAAGCTGTCACACCTGGTCTGTCCCCTCTGGGTCCTACCTGGCTCCCCACTTCATGCGGGGAGTGAACTGCCTCACCCCTGAGGAACAATGAAAAACATCTGCCCAGGCCAAGCGCGGTGGCTCCTGCCTGTAATCCTAGCACTTTGGGAGGCCAAGGCGGGTGGATCACCTGAGGTCAGGAGTTTGAGACCAGCCTGGCCAACATGGTGAAACCCCATCTCTACTAAAAATACAAAAATTAGCCAGGTGTGGTGGCGGGTGCCTGTAATCCCAGCTACTCGGGAGGCAGAGGCAGGAGAATCACTTGAACCTGGGGGGCAGAGGTTGCAGTAAGCCAAGATCATGCCACTTCACTCCAGCCTGGGTAAAAGAGTGAAACTCTGTCTCAAAAAAAAAAAAACATCTGCCCAAGGCAGCTCTGCATTCAGGGCAGAACGCTCCTCCCTGATACCAGGAAATAAAGGCTTACCAACCCTTTTCTTCTTGTCACTGCTGGGCTGGAGAAAACCTAGAGCCTCTGCCACCAAAGCAGCTAAGCCCAGTAGGTGAGAATGTCAACAAGAACTTAACGTCCAGCTGTATCTGTATCTGTAGCTGTCCTGAACAAAGAGAATCCAGTTGTCCAGAGCACGTGTCTGATTGCCACGGATCCTTGCAAGCCCTCAGCGGGACACGGTGTCCGTGCTCATTATTCTGCTCATCCACATCTGGGTGTCTGCTGTGTGCCCT
Organism: Homo sapiens; assembly: GCF_000001405.40. Lineage (NCBI taxonomy): Eukaryota > Metazoa > Chordata > Mammalia > Primates > Hominidae > Homo > Homo sapiens. The sequence goes on along the minus strand of NC_000007.14, from coordinate 140,581,640 downwards.
GTTCTAGGGGACAGCTGGAGACTTCACCACTTCCTCCATTAGCTCATCAAATATTCATGGAGTATCTACCGCATCTGGGCTGCATCTGGGACCCTAAAGCTTGCAGGAGCAGTCCCTCCATGTGACCTCCCCCACCAGCTGCGGAGAGATCCTCAGCCATCTTTGGGATGTTCATTTCATTAGGCCACAGCTAGTTATTCGGGTCACTAGAATTTCCATTCGAGAGGGAAGGGCCTGTTGGATAGGCTCTCCTCAGAAAGGACCAATGTGTAGCTGCGGGCAGATGCTGCTGCTGCTGAACGCAAACTGCAAGCTCCTGAAAGGGACTGTTTTCTTTTCTTGCTACGCATCACCCACCGTTTCTTTTCTTTTCTTTTGAGACAGAATCTTGCTCTGTCAGCCAGGCTGGAGTGCAGTGGCTCGATCTTGGCTCACTGCAACCTCCACCTCCTGGGTTCAAGTGATTCTCATGCCCCACCCTCTGACTAGCTGAGATTACAGGCACAGGCCACTGTGCCGGCTAATTTTTTGGGTATTTTTAGTAAAGACAGGGTTTCACCATGTTGGCCAGGCTGGTTTCGAACTCCTGACCTCAAGTGATCCACCCACCTCAGCCTCCCAAAGTGCTGGGATTACAGGCATAAGCCACCGCACCTGGCCTATACTTTTGAATATATGTTCTTTTTAAAAATAACAAGCTGGGTGGCCGGGCACAGTGGCTCACACCTGTAATCCCAGCACTTTGGGAGGCCAAGGTGGGCAGATCACCTGAGGTCAGGAGTTCGAGATCAGCCTGGCCAACATGGTGAAACCCCGTCTCTACTAAAAATGCAAAAATTAGCCAGGTGTAGTGGCACTCGCCTGTAGTCCCAGCTACTTGGGAGGCTGAGGCAGGAGAATCTCTTGAACCTGGGAGGCGGAGGTTTCAGTGAGCTGAGATTGCACCACTACACTCCAGCCTGGGCAACAGAATGAGACTCCATCTCAAAAATAAATAAATAATAATAATAGTAAAATAACAGGCTGGGTGCAGTGGTCCATGCCTGTAATCCTAGCACTTTGGGAAGCCAAGGTGGGAGGATTGCTTGAGGCCAGGCATTCAAGACCAGCCTGGTCAACATAGTAAGACCCCATCTCTATAAAAAATTTAAAAATTAGATAGGCATGGTGGTGCATGCCTGTAGTCCTAACTACTCGGGATGCTGACATGGGAGATTCACTTGAACCCAGGAGTCCAAGGCTGCAGTGAGCTATTTTTGTGCCACAGCTCTCCAGAGTGAGAGCCTGTCTCCAAAAATAAATAAATACATACATACATGCATACATGCATACATACATGCATACATACATGCCTTTCTTTTTTTTCTGAAAACATTGTAATTGTAAAGTTTTTCTGGTTACATGATAAAGAATAAGTGTTTCAATTACTGCAAAGTTTAATGAAGAAAAAAACTCGTCCACAATTGGGGAATTTTACTTTTCTTTATGCCTCTATTTTCTAATATTTCTGTAATAGATTTACATTTTTTTTTGAGATGGAGTTTCCCTCTTGTTGCCCAGGCTGGAGTGCAGTGGCATGATCTCAGCTCACTGCAACCTCTGTCTCAGTTTCCCAAGTAGCTGGGACTATGGGCGTCCACCACCATGCCCAGCTAATTTTTTTGTATTTTTAGTAGAGACGGGGTTTCATCATTTTGGCCAGGCTGGTCTTGAACTCCTGACCTCAGGTGATCCACCCACCTTTGCCTCCCAAAGTGCTTGGATTACAGGCGTGAGCCACCTCGCCTGGCCCAGATTGACATCTTGTATATGTGTATTTATGTGTGTGTATTTTAAAGATCTTCTTAAAACGTGCATGTAACCCCAACACTCACTGCTAACACTTTGGTTTATTTCCTCCCGGATTTTCTCACACACATCTCGTGTGGTGTGCGTCCATGTGTTTGTGTGCATGTGTGTATACATTTTTTTAAAAGATTTGTGATCTTGGGAGGTCGAGGCAGGCGAATCAACTGAGGTCAGGAGTTTGTAACCAGCCTGGCAAACATGGCAAAACCTCGTCTCTACTGAAAATACAAAAATTAGCCGGGTGCAGTGGTGTGCGCCTGTAATCCCAGCTACTTGGGAGGCTGAGGCAGGAGAATTGCTTGAATCTGGGAGGCGGAGGTTGCAGTGAGCTGAGATCCCACCATTGCACTCCAGCCTGGGTGACAGAGAGAGACTTCGTCTCAAAAAAAAAAAAGAAAAGATTTGTCATTATATTGTATATGCAGTTTTGATGCTTTTTTATATTGATCGTATTTTCCCATGTCATCAATTTCTTTTTATTATTATTATTATTATTATTTTGAGACAGAGTCTCGCTCTGTCGCCAGTCTGGAGTGCAGTGGCACAATCGTGACTTACTGCAACCTCCGCCTCCGGGATTCAAGCAATTCTCCTGCCTCAGCCTCTCGAGTAGCTGGGACTACAGGCGTGCGCCACCATGCCCAGCTAATTTTTGTATTTTTAGTAGAGATGGGGTTTCACCATGTTGGCCAGATGGTCTCGATCTCTTGACCTTGTGATCCGCCCAACGTGGCCTCCCAAAGTGCTGGAATTACAGGCATGAGCCACCGCTCCAGGCCATGAGCCACCGCATCTAGCCTAATTTATTTTTAGAAACAGTTTTTATTGCCTGCACGGTATCCCATTATCTTCATAGAATGTCATTAGTCCCCATTGTTAGAATGCCCTTGTAAGCCTTTCTATTTTTATTTTATTTTATGAGACGAAGTCTCACGCTGTCGCCCAGGCTAGAGTGCAGTGGCATGATCTCAGCTCACTGCAACCTCTGCCTCCTGGGTTCAAGCGATTCTCCTGTCTCAGCCTCCTGAGTAGCGCAGGTGCCCACTACCACACCCAGCTAATTTTTGTATTTTTAGTAGAGACGGGGTTTCGCCGTGTTGGCCAGGCTGGTCTCGAACTCCTAACCTCAAGTGATCCACCCGCCTCAGCCTCCCAAAGTGCTGGGATTACAGGCGTGAGCCACTGCACCTGGCCCTTGTATGCCTTTCTCTGTATATATATTTAGAGAAGTGTCTCTTTTTTCATGCAAGAATGTGTGTACCTACAGGCACATATGAGCAAATATGTATGTTTGTGTGAATGACAGACAGCACAGGAGGTCTCCTAAGAGTAGGAATGATGTTGAGATGGGTGAGGGGGATGGGGATAGTTTATATCAAGGATCCCTGTAGTCTCCCACAGGCAGAGTCTCCTGAGGCAGTAAAGTCAGGGGCAGTAGAGGACTGGAAGGAATTGAGCCACCAGCCACCGTTCACAGACAAGAAGGGTTAATGAACCTGGGCTCGAATCCAGCTTGGCCCCCTCTGATGGGGCACACAGCTTCCTTGCCACTGCACCCCCCACCCCGCCCAGGATGTCCCCTGGCCACTCTCCTGAAACAACTGAAGAGGCTTCAGCAGGGAGGTTGGACCTCAGACCATCAGGGTTCTTGTCTCTTTTCCCTTTTGGACACTACAGATCTTTTGCTGTGCCATCATGAGTCGGAGATCTATACAATTAGGGGTGTCTGGGAGCCTCTCAGCAGAGCTAAGCCCCTGAGGTTACTCCAGAGGGACACAATGGGATTTAGGTGCCATACATGTTGGTGTAAGGTCCTCTGATCAAAAGCTAGAATCTTCTCTGGACCACAGTCTGACACATCGTTCTTAGGATCCTAGAGTGACTTCCCTTTTATGCCATAGTTCTGGGTGTGACAAGCAACTGCTGGTTCCCTGATGTTATGAATAAAGTTCTATGGAAACACAGCCAGGTGCATTCATTTACGTATTATCTACAGCTGCTTTTATACTACAAGGACACAGTTTAGTAGTTTTAACAGAGAGGATATGGCCCACAAAGCCTTAAGTACAATCTGGCTTTTTAGAAAAGGTTTGCTGGCTGGGCGCGGTGGATCACGCCTATAATCCCAGCACTTTGGGAGGCCACAGTAGGCAGATCACCTAAGGTCAGGAGTTTGAGACCAGCCTGGCCAATATGGCAAAACCCCGTCTCTACTAAAAATACAAAAATTAGCCAGGCGTGGTGGCACTCGCCTGTAATCCCAGCTACTCGGGAGGCTGAGGCAGGAGAATCACTTGAACCCGCGAGGTGGAGGTTGCAGTTAGCCGAGATTGTGCCACTGCACTCCAGCCTGGGCAACAGAGCGAGACTCCATCTCAAAAAAAAAAAAAAAAGAAAAAGTTTTCTGATCCCTAAGTCCAAGATTCATATCCTCACTTTCAAAGGCCTTCAATAGACAATTAGATGTCTTCATTGCTGTATCATCTCTTCCATCTGTTTCACTGTGCTTACTCTAAGGCTTGAAGACTCTTTTGATCTAATTTACTCTCCCTCACCACTATTCTCAGATAGTACTGTGTCATTGCTAATACTCTCACCCACAGCTAAGTCTTCCCATTCTATCAAATAAATATCTACTGAAATCCCACCGCATCATGAAAGCTCCCTGAACATTTGGTGGCTTATTTGGGGTGCCCTGGAACACATCAGGATCCCCTTTCTCCAGCAGGGTGACCACTCAGAGATGCAGCCCACACATTCTTCAGAAAGCTGTGTGTTGTGTTTCCATTCCTTCTCTGGTTTCTTTCTTCTCTGACCTTTTCATAGGTCATATCTCCTTTGAATGAACACCATCACAATCTACATCTCTAACAAAAGCAGAACCTACGTTTTCCCAACAGTTTGACAGGAGATTCCAGTGCAATGGTAGGAGCATTTCCTTGGATTTTATTGTAGATGGAATTTGGCCTCAAAGAAGGCTTGCCCCTCTTCCTTCTTTTTGTGCTCTTATGGTGCCCAATCCAGGTCAGCTCTTCCTCTACTGAAAGTTTATGGCACTAAGCAATTTATTGCTCCTTGGAGACCTGTGATAAAACATTGGAGCTGGCCACTTAGGAAACTAGGAGTCTTTATTTTTGGAAATCTTTTTAAAAAGAAAAGATTCTGAAGTTATTGCTACTTACTATTTGGAACTAAGCAAATAGCGAATGGAGAAATCAATGGAGCAAAATATGCCTATTCTGTGAGAGTTTAAGATAGGATAAATGTGGCCTCATAAGTTGATAAAGAAAAGCTCTTTCATTAAATAGAACAAGGATAAGTTATTTTGGGGGAAAATGGTTTAGATGAACATATCACAAAATAAATTACCGATGGAATAATAAATAAAATGTGTACAAAACCAAGAAAATCTGGAAGAAAATGGAATTGAATATTTATTGAACATCTAAAAGGAGATAGTTTTTTTAGGCAAAGAAAGAAGAGATTAAATGAATTACAAAAGAAAAGATTAACACATTTTCATATAAAAAGTTATTATAACTAAAATAAAAATACAAGTAAATCACATGGGAAAAGCACACTTACAGCAAACCTGACAAATAGTTAATATCTGTTCTATGTAGAGCTCATTGAAAATAGTAAAAACATTAGAATCCTAAAAGATAAACAAAGAACATAAAAAATACACTAAAGAAAAATACAGTTGGCGCATTGAAGTATGAAAAAATGTCAATGATGTAAAAATAATTATATATATATATATATCTGAAAGAACCTTCCATATCAGTACATTAAGTTTTTTGTTTATTTATTTATTTTTTTTTGAGATAGAGTCTTGCTCTGTTGCCTAGGCGGGGGTGCAGTTGTGTGATCTCAGCTCACTGCAACCTCTACCTCCTGGCTTCAAGCAATTATCCTGTCTCAGCCTCCCGAGTAGCTGAGACTACAGGTGCATGCCACCACGTCAGGCTAATTTTTGTATTTTTAATAGAGACTGGGGTTTCACCATATTGGTCAGGCTGGTCTCGAACTCCTGACCTCAGGTGATCCACCCACCTCAGCCTCCCAAAGTGCTGGGATTATAGGCGTGAGCCACCGTGCCCGGCAAGTACATTAAGATTTTTTAAATAATTGCATGGTATTCCACTGTGTGGGTATATCATAATTTGTTTGACCAGCCCCTCTATTGATGGATATCTAGGTTATTTCCAGTATTTTGTGATTACAAACCATGTGGCAATGTACAATATCCTTTGCACAATATGTTTCCTTGTAAAAAATAACATTGCACAAATAAGAGTATATCAGCAGAGTAAATTCCTAGAGGTGGAATTGCGGGGTCTGAAGCTATATGCATCATAATTTTGTTAGCTCACACTAGACTGCCCTCCGTAGAGCTGTGCCAAGTGATGCTCCCACCAACCCTGTATGACAGTGTGGGAGTGACTTTTCTCCCTCACTTTCACCAACAGAGTGAGCTATCAAATTTTCTTATCTCTGAGCAAAAAAATGTTTCTTTAATGGAGCTTTAATTTTCTTTTCTCTTGGGAATGAAGCTAAGAATCTTTTTATATATCTAAGAATCATTGTATTTCTTTTTCTCTAAATTTTCCATTATTTTGCCTGCTTTTCTTTTGAGTCATTAGTCTTTTTCTCATTAATTTGTAGCGTATTTTGGGAAAATGAGTTAATTTCTGTGAGTTATCGTCTATGGGTTCTAAATTTTTTTAGCAAGTATTTTGTTTGCCTTTTGACTTTGTTTTTTGTTTTGTTTTGAGACAGTCTCACTCCATCACCCAGGCTGGAGTGCAGTGGCGTGATCTCAGCTCACTGCAACATCCGCCTCCAGGGTTCAGGCGATTCTCCTGCCTCAGCCTCCCGAGTAGCTGGGATTACAGGCACCCGCCACCACGCCTGGCTAATTTTTTTGTATTTTTAGTAGAGACGGGGTTTCACCATGTTGGCCAGGCTGGTCTCAAACTCCTGACCTCAAGTGATCCTCCTCAGCCTCCCAAAGTGCTGGGATTATGGCATGAGCAACCACACCTGGCCAGCCTTTTGACTTTGAAGAGGCCTGTTTTAGAAATAAGATATTGAGGGCCAAAGAAACACAATTCCTTGTATAAAAGGCACTCAGCAATCCTGCAGCAAGGCCAAAGTGAGGCTTAGGCCTTGTAACCCCTAGTCCATGTGTCTTGGGTTGTCAGAAAGCCTCAGCTGTAACGTCTTGGGATTGAGGCAGGTGACCTCGCACTTGTCTAAAAAGAGAAACCGGGCCAGGTGTGGTGGCTCATGCCTGTAATCCTAGCACTTTGGGAGGCTGAGGCAGGCGGATTGCCTGAGCTTAAGAGTTCGAGACCAGCCTGGGCAACACGGTGAAACCTCGTCTCTACTAAAATACGAAAAATTAGCTGGGCGTGGCAGTGTGTGCTTGCAGTCCCAGCTACTCGAGAGGCTCAGGGAGGAGACTTGCTTGAACCCAGGAGGCGGAGGTCACAGTGAACAGAGATCGCGCCATTCCACTCCAGCCCGGGTGACAGAGTAAGATTCCATCTCAAAAAAAAGAAACTGAATTAGATTTACATCGCTCATCACACACAGTTTTGGTAATTGGATGATATGTATTCATTGAACACTTACTGGCATAACCAAACTCCACCTAACCTGGGAACATAGACCAGTTCCTCTTCTCAATTTCATTGTCTCGTCCCTGGCACCACCAGTTATCCCCCGGTCAGTCTCCTTTGAATTCATTTACTCTTCTTTTCTCCTTTTCCTTCACAGCAGTCATTGTCCAAACCTGCTTTTTTCCGACAAAATTCAGAGAGGAGGAACTTCAAGCTGCTGGACACTAGGAAGCTGAGTCGGGATGGAACTGGGTCCCCTTCCAAAATCAGCCCTCCCTCCACTCCCAGCAGCCCTGATGACATTTTCTTTAACCTTGGAGACCCACAGAACGGCAGGAAGAAGAGAAAGATACCCAAGGTAATGGTGGCAACAAGCTTCATGCTCAGGTATGCATGACCCCTTCTCTGTGAAAGAAGACTGCAGAGGGGTCTGGGTGGAGAATACATCACTGGCCCCTCTCCCACCTGTGTTGCTGCAGGCCAGGGGGACACAGTGAAGCCAGCAGGCTGGAATATCCGGACCTTCGTCCTGATCATTTTTGTGGTCCTGTGGTCTTCCTCTTAGCCACTCTTCTCCCAATCTTAGCTGCTTGTCTAATCCCAGACAAGGTTTTAATGCCTATCCTCAAAAAGCCACAGCTCCTTCCTTCACCGCCACAAAAAACAGAACTCCATCCATCATGCTCTGACCTGAGACGGTCGACACCCGCTGCAGAGGCAGGTCCCAGTCTGTGCTCTGAGACAGCCTTGTCAACAATACCTCTTGTGGCTCTTTGCAGCCAAAAAGGTAAAATATTCCCAGGGGCTTGGAAATATACATTCTATATGCATCCGTTGTTGGTTACATTTCCTTTTGCTCAATTTCAGTGCTGCAGTTCTGGTCTCTCTTCATTGACCAATTTGGTACTGTAGGGTAGGCAGAATTTCTCCTCTACCCTCTTAGGGTCTCCAGCTGAGCCTTAGATTTAAACTGACGTAAAACAGATTAACAGGAGAAATGCATACTCATTTTATTTACAAGTACGTGGGAGCCCTCAAAAGAAAAATGTAAGACCCAAAGAAGTGACTGGGCCTATGTGCTTATATACTAGGCTGAAGAAAGAGCGGCAATTGTGGAAAAGTAACCAGGAAGATAGGGGTTAAACAAGGTTTGTTTGATTAGATTTCTCTTGGCCTCAACTCCCCATCGCTGCTGATAATGTTTCTTCCCTCCTGTTATAAGGAGGGCCTCTTTTACATGGAGTTTCATCTCCTGTTTTAAGAAGAAAAGGGAAGGTCAGAGCGCCCTTTGTGCACCTGCTGTTTTTAGAGTGTCTTTAGTTAAAAACAACTAATATGCCAAAGTGGCATATTTTGGGGAGTTACATCCTGAACTCCTTCAAGATCAACTTCTTTTTTTTTTTTTTTTTTTTTTGACAGAGTTTCACTCTGTTGCCCAAGCTGGAGTACAGTGGTGTGATCTCGGCTTACTGCAACTTCCGCCTCCTGGGTTCAAGCGATTCTCCTGCCTCAGCCTCCCGAGTAGCTGGGACTACAGTCACCACACCCAGCTAATTTTTGTATTATTAGTAGAGACGGGGTTTCACCATATTGACCAGGCTGGTCTCGAACTGCTGACCGCGTGATCCGCCTGCCTCAGCCTCCCAAAGTGCTGGGATTACAGGCATGAGCCACCGTGCCCAGCCAGGAACTTGGAGAGCAGGGATTCTTAATTTCAGAGTTCATGGATGGGCTTTAGGGGGTCATGAAACCCATAAAAATGTAAAACTTTATGCAGATAAGTTTCGGTGTGGGACACTGTCTGTAGCTTTCAAGGGACTTCTCTGAGTGACCCATTGACCTGAAAGAAAGTCCAGGGAGGCTGGGCACAGTGGCTCACACCTGTAATCCCAGCACTTTGGGAGGCCAAGATAGGAGGATCACTTTAGCCCAGGAGTTCAAGACCAGCCTGGGCAACATGGTGGAACCCCATCTCTACAAAAAAAATTTAAAATTAGCCAGGCATGGTGGTGTGCACTTGTAGTCCCAGCTACATGTGAGGCTGAGGTGAGAGAGAATCACTTGAGCCCAGGAGTTAGAGGCTGCAGTGAGCTATGATCATGCCACTGCACTCCAGCCTAAGTGACAGAGCGAGATGCTGCCTCTAAAAATAAAAGAGAGACAGAGAGAGAGAGAGAGAGAGAGATGGTTCTGCTGAAGTCCACTTAGGGAATGCACCTTTAAGTAGTGGTGCCTACTGAGTGACTCACCTTGGCAGCACTAGGAGAGGTTATGAAAGGACTTGGCAAGTCTGAGGACAGCTAAGAACTGTCATCCTAGAACCTAGAAAGTTAGACTGTTGGAAATATCTCAGGTAAGTGGAATCACACAGAATCGTCCTTTGTGAATGACATTTCACTTTGCTTAGTGTCTTCAAGGTTTAAGCATGTGTCAGCATTTTCTTCTTTTTTAAGACTAAATGGTATTCCATCGTATGTATATACCACATTTTGTAAATCCATCTATCCGTCCATGGACACTTGGCTGTTAGAAAGTTGGAGTGTTTCAACAGAAGTGACTGTTGAAACACTCCAACCCCTTCATTTTCCCGATGAGGACATTTGACCCCATAGAAGCCAACTAAATGGCCCAGAGACACCCAACCAGCTAGAAGCAAAGAGGGCCAGACAATGTTTAAATATTGAAAATAAGAATTGAAATATTCAAGCCAACACGGTGGCTCATGCCTGTAATCCCAGCACTTTGGGAGGCTGAGGTGGGCAGATCACTTCAGGTCAGAAGTTCGAGACCAGCCTGGCCAACATGTTGAAACCCCCGTCTCTACTAAAAATACAAAAAAATTAGCTGGGCATGGTGGCACACACCTGTAATCCCAGCTACTTGGGAGGCTGAGGCATGAGAATCACTTGAAACCGGGAGTCGGAGGTTGTGGTGAGCCAAGATCACGCCACTGCACTCCAGCCTGGTGACAGAGCAAGACTCTGTCTCAAAATAAATAGATAAATAAAATATTTATAGAACATGGAAATTGATTACCATCCTATATTTTTGTTTACTGACCTATACAGATAAAAGTGTTATATAACATTTAACATATAGCTGTGAGATAATAAGATTAATTTTGTAAGCACACAGAACAACTAATTTTAGAGTTCCTCCACGTGTGGGATTCTGAATCACATATGCCATGAGCGTGTACTCTTTGATAGCAAGCCCTGGGGGACCCAGCAAAGCAAAATACATAAATTCGCACTCACCAGCTTCTCACGCAAGAAGAGGGAAAACAAATACATAGGAAACACCAAACTTTTTTGGTCTGAAATATGAAAAACATTTTCCATGGAAGCAGGTCTCCTTTCAAATGCATCAGACAACTAGGCTGGCCTGGGAGGTGGGGAGGGGCAGGGCACAGGGCGTCTGGCAGTGGTGATGGGGGAGACCACATAGGCTGAGTGGCCTGCTTGGAGGCTTGGGATGTGTCCCACACCAGGGTATCCATGTGCACTTGCACACTGCATGTGTGTGTTCTGTGAACACATGGAGGGTACATGACATCTGGGGAGCGTGTCCCTCTGCAGATGGGGCTGCACGCTCGGGTGCATGGCACCACTCCCCGTAGTCCCAAGCTAGGGCTCGGGAGCAGTTCTAATCCCGGTTCTCACCCCACTCAGGGCTGCTCTGACATTCTTTGGAATAGTTCCCATGAAGGGAGCCCTGCCTGGGAACTTTTTTTTTCTGTCTCTTCCTTTTCTTGTTTTGTTTTGGGAGGAAAAGCTCCTTCCCAAGCCGCAGTGACATCGAGGCCTCAGAGGGAAAGCAGCCATCGCATCATGAGCAATGGGCTGTCTCCCCATGGGTCTCTGCTGCTCGTGAGCAGATCCAGACAACAGACGCCCATAGGGCAGTGGAGCTGGCAGCCTCCTTTAGTGTCCTTGACAGTCACGTTCCTGTGTGGTAGAAAAAAATGACTGGGCTGGGTGCGGTGGCTCGCGCCTGTAATCCCAGCATTTTGGGAGGCCAAGGTGGGTGGATCACCTGAGGTCAGGAGTTCGAGACCAGCCTGGCCAATGTGGTGAAACCCCGTCTCTACTAAAAATACAAAAATTAGCTGGGCATAATGGTGGGTACCTGTAATCCCAGCTACTCAGGAGGCTGAAGCAGGAGAATCTCTTGAACCCAGAAGTTAGAGGCTGCAGTGAGCTGAGATTGCGCCATTGCACCCCAGTCTGGTCGACAAGAGCGAAACTCTGCCTCAAAAAAATAAAAAAAAAAAATGATTGAAAGACACCCATGAGCCCATGGGAAGTTTCTCCCACTCCCCCTGGCCCTGGCCCTCCATCGTCCTAGGAGAGGGGCAGTGAGGGAAGCCCAGCTGCCACAGAGAGTGGGCTGCTAACACTGGCTGTTCTTCTCCTGGTGTCTGGCAGCTGGTGTTGCGAATCAACGCCATTTATGAGGTCCGGAGAGGAAAGAAACGGGTGAAGAGGCTGTCCCAGTCAATGGAGAGCAACTCAGGAAAAGGTAGAACCCCCACCACCAGCCCTCCTCCCGCAAGAATCGGAAAAGAGATTCTTTCCAGAAGTGGCTTCCTGTTTTTTCTGGTTGGCTCACCAAGGAGGAGAACAAGCTGATGCTTTGTAAATGTCCCGCACTGTCTTTGGGACAGTGGTGGGGCTGGGAGCTCAGCCGGGGCAGCATGTCCCCTGCCTCCCCATCCTTGTCCTGGTCCACCACCAAGTCAGCCCAGTACTGCAGGCCCTGGCCTGACTGTGGGAGCAGCCTTCCTTGCTTAGCCTGCACAAAAGGGGCCAGGACCTTCTGTTGTATTATCTGATATAGGTACCATCTAGTACCATCTGAACTAGAGCCAAATTAATTTGGCAGTACATCGAGTTGGACGAGACGTGGTTTGTGCAATACATTGAAAGAGACAACAAGAGGCGGGGCGCGGTGGCTCACGCCTGTAATCCCAGCACTTTGGGAGGCTGAGACAGGCGGATCTACCTGAGGTCAGAAGTTTTATACCAGCCTGGCCAACATGGCAAAACCTTGTCTCTACTAAAAAATAGAAAAATTAGCCAGGCATGGTGGCATACACCTGTAGTCCCAGCTACTCAGGAGGCTAAGGCAGGAGAATCACTGGAACCTGGAAGGCAGAGGTTGCAGTGAGCCGAGATTGCGCCACTGCACTCCAGCCTGGGTGACAGAGCAAGACTCCATCTCAAAAAAAAAAAGAGGCAACTCAACATCCCCTCTGAATTAGAACATTTGATCTGTGCTACCACATAGAAAGAGTTTCCTACATGAGAAGAACTCACATTTGCAATTTTCTTCCTTGTTCTTTTCTTCTAGTGACAGATGAGAACAGTGAGTCTGACAGTGACACAGAGGAGAAGCTGAAAGGTGAGGAGAGCCACTACTGTGCAGGACTCAGGCAGGTGACTTGGAAGCTGCAAAGGTGGCCCCTCCTCCTTAGTATGAGGGACAGAAGCGTCCTGCCGGAGCTTGCTTGGCAAGGCGTGGACATCTCGGGAGACAGTGGGGCCACAGGGTGCTCCAGAGCCGGTCCGTCATGGGCATGATCAAAATGGCACTACAGTTGCTGAGAGCCAGGGTGGCTGCAGTAACGGCAGCGACCCCTGCTCCCATGCCTCTCCCTATGTCCTGAGGGTTTTCCACACTTCAAGGCTTGACACTGCAGCCCTAAGCCTCCAGAGACCTGGAGCTTCTGCCCACTTCTGCTCAAATTACTGTGTGATCTGGAGGAAATCACTTAAGATCCAGGGCCTCTAGTTCATCTGTCTGATGAAGTTGTTGAAATAATTGGTCCCTATGGGTCTAAAATTAAATAGTCTAGGCCAAGGCTTTAGTGAGTTTTCTGCAATTTTTCAGACCCCAGGGAGAAGCCAAAGAAAGCAAGTCCAGGGGCCGGGCTTGGTGGCTCACGCCTGTAATCCCAGCACTTTAGGAGGCCGAGGCGGGTGGATCACAAGGTCGGGAGTTCAAGACCAGCCTGGCCAACATAGTGAAACCTCGTCTCTACTAAAAATATGAAAAATTAGCCAGGTGTGGTGGCAGGCGCCTGTAATCCCAGATACTCAGGAGGCTGAGGGAGGAGTATCACTTGAACCCGGGAGGCGGAGGTTGCAGTGAGCTGAGATTGCGCCATTGCACTCCAGCCTGGGCAACAGAGTGAGACTCTATCTCAAAAAAAAGAAAGCAAGTCCAGATTGCTGAACGAGGTGACAGGGACCTGTCCACTCAGTGACCCTGCTGCATTCACCTCTGACACCCAGCTGCTCCCGGACTCACCTCTAGAATGAAGCAAGGCCATTTCATTGCAGAGTTAGTGGCAGGAGGGGAGGTGGACAGGAGTTCCTGAGTTAGTGGGATCTCTGCCAGTTGAGTCACAAGGGATGTTTACAAAGCTCCCAGCTCCAAAAGCCCTATAGTCTGGATTCTGTCACATCACACCAACCAAAAGACGAGGGAAATGGGTGAGGGGAGGAGTCACTGTCCCCATCTCATCAGACAGATGAAGGCAAGGACATCTTCAGCCTCTGCCCAGAGTCCAGACAGCAAAACCATGGCAGAGCAGAGCCAGGCTCCTGCACCCTGATTGGTTTGGTAGCCAACTGAATGTTGGTTCTCCCAGAACTTTGGCAGAGATCCCAAATAAAGAGTTTCCTACTAATTTGTTAGACACAGAAACACTTTGGGGATTAGAAAAAAGTACTTGAGCTGATAATTACATAACCTATTGCAGCTCGGCACAATTCCACATGGACTCATGGTCATTTCAGGCTCTTTGCTCACTCTGTCTCTCTCTCTCTCTCTCTCTCTCTCTCTCTCTCTCTCTCTTTCTCTCTTTCTCTCTCCCTCCCTCACCCAGCTCACAGCCAGCGCCTGGTCAACGTGAAGTCCCGGCTGAAGCAGGCGCCTCGGTACCCATCACTTGCCCGGGAACTCATCGAGTACCAGGAGAGGCAGCTCTTCGAGTACTTTGTGGTTGTGTCTTTGCACAAGAAGCAGGCCGGGGCTGCCTACGTGCCAGAACTCACCCAACAGTTCCCTCTGAAGGTAACAGGGTGGCCAGGTCCCTGTGGCCTGCCAGGGTTCTAACCATCACCTTGTTGGGACTCATGAATTGAGGGAGGTGTGGGAGTCTGAGGAACACCTAGCATCTAGAATCTTGAAAATGGGTCCTAATTAGGGTATATCAGATGAAAAAAAAATGCTGCTGCTAGAGAATTTGGGAGGTCCCAGAAAGGAGAGATTCAGGGACTTAAAAAGTTTGGCCAGACAAATACAAAAATTAGCCATGCATGGTGGCGCACACCTGCAGTCCCAGCTACTCAGGCTGAGACAGGAGAATCGCTTGAACCCAGGAGATGGAGGTTGCAGTGAGCCAAGATCACGCCACTGCACTCCGGCCTGGGCGACAGAGCAAAACTCCGTCTCAAAAAAAAAAAAAAAAAAAATAGTATGGCCAGAAATGCTTTCTCACTTGCTGTGGTCCCTGTGCTGACCGTGCCATCCTCTTTGCCCTTTCCTTCCATCTCCTTATCCAGCCAGCCACATCTCTTCCTAACCTAGCCTAGAAGTCTCTTTCCCCTGAAGCCCCAAGTCTCCCTAAGCAGCATCATACTTGTGTCTATGCTGAACTTCTGCTTTGCTTGTGTGCTGTGCATCTTTGTGTATGTCCCTTCCTTTTGTTACAGGCAGGGGATCTCAATCCAGACCTCTAGAGAGGGTTCTTGGATCTCACACAAGAAAGAATTCAGGGCGAGTCAGCAGGGTAAAATGAAAGCAAATTTATTAAGAATGTAAAGGAGGCCAGGCGCGGTGACTCACACCTGTAATCCCAGTACTTTGGGAGGCCGAAGTGGGCGGATCACTTGAGGTCAGGAGTTTGAGACCAGCCTGGCCAACATGGCAAAACCCACTCTCTACTAAAAATACAAAAATTAGCTGGGCGTGGTGGCAGGCGCCTATAATCCCAGCTACTCAGGAGGCTGAGGCTGTAGAATCGCTTGAACTCAGGAGGCAGAGCTTGCAGTGAGCAGAGATTGCAAAAAGTAAAGGAATGAAAGAATGGCTACTCCATAGACAGAACAGCCCTGAGGGCTGCTGGTTGCCCATTTTTGTGGTTATTTCTTGATTATATGCTAAACAAGGGGTGGATTATTCATGCCTCCCCTTTTTAGATCATATGGGATAATTTCCTAATGTTGCCATGGCGTCTGTAAACTGTCATGATGCTGGTGGGAGTGTAGCAGTGAGGACTACCAGAGGTCACTCTCATCACCATCTTGGTTTTGGTGGGTTTTGGCCGGCTTCTTTACTGCAACCTGTTTTATCAGCAAGGTCTTTATGACGTGTATTTTGTGCCGACCTCCTGTCTCTGCTTTAACCATCTGGGAATGCAGCCCAGTAGGTTTCAGCCTCATTTTACCCAGCCCCTACTCAGGATGGACTCGCTGTGGTTCACACACCTGGGACACTTTTATGTCATGGACCATGGCCGTATGAATTCAGCTTTACCATATGTTAAATCATGGCACCTAAAATAAAATAAATAAAATGGCACTTAATATAGCCTGAAGCAACATGGCAATAATTTATAAATTATTCTTAGGCTTTGACATCAGTATTAAAGAGGTTCCACCATATTCTAATTCAGTTCAACCAGAATTTACTAAGAATATATTGCATTCAAGCAATTTTCTGCTTGGCCCTAGGGGATTACAGTGATAAACAAAATGTGTCTCCTGTCCTCAAGGAATTTAAACTCTCCCAGGAGGACATAAAATAACCATCTCCCCCCACCCCCAGAAAAGCATGCAAAGATTCACCAGGTAGAATCTGATGGTCTCTGGACAGACTCATGCCTCAGGGAGGGCAGAAGGGAGGGAGCTTCTGTCCTTGCCCACTCAGGGACTCCCTTTGCCATCACCACCCAGGCATAACCCCAGCATCTACCAAGGCCCAGATCCTGCTGTCCCCAGGCCTCCCCTCCTTTTGTAGGCCAGCCTTCCTTCCATCCTGCCCACTGTGCTCTAACACCACAATCAAGTCCTATTTTTGGAGTTTAGGATAGCAATTATGTAGATTGAAGTAAACCATAGGCACCGGCCTTCCAAAGGTGACACTCACCTTCCTCTAGCTATCACACCTCTAAGGAATGAGCTCCTGACACCCCACTACTACAGGTATGCCCAGATTTTTTTTTGCCGGGGGCTGCCCATGGGTAAGAGAGGCCACTGGGTATGCTCACACTGACTCACAACAGAGATCACTGAGGCGTGAAGGGCTGTCCTGCTATCCTGTTCATTGCCTTGGGGCCTAGCACAATGCTGTTCACGTGGCAATGCTTAATCAGTGTTGTAGGAATCAAGGAAGCATTAATTCATGAGTTAGTTAATTAATGACTCACCATAATGATCAAATGATTATTGTTTCCAGCCTGGAGTCACCCACATTAAATTTTTTTTCTAGAGTAAAGTTGCACATTCACTGTTTAAAAGGAAACTGATCCAGAAATGTATTAGGAAAGAAATCACTAGTAATCCCACCACACAGAGACCGTCACTGTTAACATTTTCTTTTTCTTCCAGTCTTTTCTAATGGTGTAATGTTCTTACAAAACTGGAATTATACACTGCAGAATTTTTGTATCGTGCTGCGTGTACTCTTTTGTAAACCTCTCATTATTTATAAGCATATTTAATAAAAATTCTAAAACATCATTTTTCAAGTTATACAATGTTCCAATATGTGAGTATTCCCTAGTCTATTTTTCTATGTAACCAGTCCCCTTCTGTTAGAAATGTATCTGGCTACCAGTGTTTCTGTGTGTGTGTGTGTATTTTTTTTTTTTTTTTTGACACAGTCTCACTCTATTGCCTGAGCTAGAGTGCAGTGGTGCAATCTTGGCTCACTGAAGCCTCCACCTCCCGGGTACAAGCAGTTGTCCTGCATCAGCCTCCCGAGTAGCTGGGATTACAGGCATGCACCACCATGCCCAACTAATTTTTGTATTTTTAGTAGAGATGGGGTTTCACCATAATGGTCAGACTGGTCTCAAACTCTTGACCTCAAATGATCCGCCCACTTCAGCCTCCCAAAGTCCTGTGATTACAGGCATGAGCCACTATGCCCTGCCTGTGTGTGTATTTTTGAGACAGGATCTCTGTCTTGCTGTTGTCATCCAGGATGGCATGGAGTGGCACGATCACAGCTCACTGCAGCCTCAACCTCCTGGGCTCAAGTGAGCCTTCCCGCCTCATCTTCCCAAGTAACTGGGACTACAGGCGCATGCAACCATGCCCAGCTTATTTATTTATTTATTTTTCGTAGAGACGAGGTCTTCCTCTGTTGCCCAGGCTGGCCTCGAATTCCTGAGCTCAAGCGATCTCCCTACCTCGGCCTTCCAAAGTGCTGGGATCCACTGTGCCTGGCTTTTTTTTTTTTTTTTTTTTTTTTTTTTAATGCAATGGTGATCATCCTTGTACAGGCATTTTTACATGTCAGGCATTTTATCTCCTTGTCTTTGCTCCCTTGCTCCCTCTGTAGAAAGGCCCTTTTCCTCCTTCTCTCTCTTCTCTTTTTAAACTTTTTTTGTGGGTTTTATCCCTCACTTCTGTCAAGTCACCTGAATCAAGGCACAGCCCCTATTTGCATGCTAATGTTCCATTAAAATGTTTCCTATCCCATATTTATCTTTGACAGTTCAGGGAGACTGGGCTGTTTTCCAGCCATCTGTGATTAGTTGTATTTGTGGGAAATTTCCGTGTGCAGCTTCCTGTAACTGTGCTCCTGTGCATATATGAGCCTGTGTATGTATGCGCTGATAACTCGTAGGTTGATGACGTGTGGGTAGGCACAAGTGTGCCTGTATTTGTGTGTGTCCTATGTGTGATCTGGGGTGGGTGCATGCAAGTAGTGACTGGGCTGTTGAAAAGGGCTGGAACTTGTTTCCCCACGAGGTCTGCTCTTCAGTCCTGAATGCTGTTTCCTTTGTGGAGAAACTCATTTGGTATTCTTCCTCCCTTTGGTATTCTTGGCTGGTCCTTTCTTTGGTCTTCTTTATAATTTAAGTCATTCACTCTGTGGTGATTAATGACCCCTTCCTATAATTACACCCAGCTGGTATTTGCTTCTTTGCATGACTATGCAAGGACAGTCAAAATTACTGTTTAGGGGACAGTCTGAGCTTGTGATTTACCAACTCAAAGACTTCCTGGGCCAGTTGGGTTCATCTGTGTCATCGTGGATGGAAGAGAGAACTGTTATATAGAAAAGAAATAGTGGCTATTTATTCTGAAGAAGAACAACTAAAGGACAACTAAGTCTATAAATAGTGACTGTGTTTTACCGATTGATTGCTGTCTTAACCACTAGTATTAGTGGCACCCCATGGCTTCAATTAAATTTGGTCTAGCCTGAGGGGAATCATACTGGAAGCGGGTTTTTTTGTTGTTGTTGTTTTGTTTGTTTGTTTTGAGACGGAGCCTCCCTTTGTCACCCAGGCTGGAGTGCTGCGGCATGATCTCCGCTCACTGCAAGCTCTGCCTCCCGGATTCACGCCATTCTTCTGCCTCAGCCTCCTGAGTAGCTGGGACTACAGGCACCCGCCACCACACCCAGCTAATTTTTTTGTATTTTTAGTAGAGACGGGGTTTCACCATGTTAGCCAGGATGGTCTCGATCTCCAGACCTCGTGATCCGCCCGCCTCAGCCTCCCAAAGTGCTGGGATTACAGGCGTGAGCCACCACGCCCCAGCCAGGAAGTGGTTTTTAAAGTTGGAAACAATCAGTCTGGTGCTCTGTGCCTTTGGATACTCTTCTTCAGAGCCCTCCTCTCTCTGACACATGGTGACCTTGGGAAGGCTTGTTGACCATCAGGAGCAGTGAACAGGACTGCTGGCTTGCCAACTTCAGAAATTGTCTGCAAGGGTGTTTTAAAGTGGAGCTCGGGCCGGGCGCGGTGGCTCACGCCTGTAATCCCAACACTTTGGGAGGCCAAGTCAGGGATCACTTGAGATCAGGAGTTCGAGACCAGCCTGGCCAACATGGTGAAGCCCCGCCTCTATTAAAAATACAAAAATTATTCAGGCGTGGTGGCAGGCACCTGTAATACCAGCTACTTGGGAGGCTGAGGTAGGAGAATCACTTGAACCCAGGAGGTGGAGGTTGCAGTGAGCCGAGATTGCAGCATTTCACTCCAGCCTCGGTGACAGAGCAAGAGTCCATCTCAAAAGAATAAATAAATAAATAAAGTGGATCTCACTAGCAAGCTATTGGAAACAAAGAAATTGATGCAAATTATTACAGAAAAATTTAGGTTAGGGCCAAACACCGTGGCTCATGCCTGTAATCCCAACATTCTGCGAGGCTGAGGCAGGCAGATCACTTGAGGCCAGGAGTTCAAGATCAGCCTGGCCAACATGGTGAAACCCTGTCTCTACTGAAAATACAAAAAAAAAAAAAAAAATAGCTAGGTGTGGTGGTGCATGCCTGTAATCCCAGCTACTCGGGAGGCTGAGGCAGGAGAATCACTTGAACCCATGACGCAGAGAACCCATGCAGTGAGCCAAGATCACACCACTGCACTCCAGCCTGGGCGACATAGTGAGACTGTCTCAAAAAAAAAAAAAAAAAAAAAGACAACAGAAAGAAAGAAAAAATATAGGTTAGCCATTATATTTAGGTTAGACGTTATAAATTCCTAACCTCAGATATTCAGATATGAGATATTTCAAATCACTGAAGATAACCTTAGCATGATGTATTTTTCTTTAACTTTTTATAAAGGAAATTTAACAAGTATAAACCTATTAACAACAACAGCAACAAAGCCTACAATTCTCCTCACATGAAAAAGTACCTGTTTATAAGCAAAGATGAATAATAATGAGATAAATAATTAGAAATTATTCTTTTGTGTTTCCCAAACTTGTATCTGGGGTGCTTCTTAAAAGCACAGATTTCTGGCTAGGTGTGATGGTATGCACTCGCAGTCCCAGCTACTCAGGATGCTGAAGCAGGTTGCTTGAGCCCAGGAATTCAAGTCCAGCCTGGGCAACACAGCAAGACTCTGGCTCTAAAAAATATATATTTATACATAGAAAGAAAAAAAATCACAAATTTCTGTTCATAAGCAAAATAAACTCACGACTTTAGTATCATCTCTAAATCAGACTTTATTAATTCATCCTGTCCTTTTTTTTTTCTTAGCGTCTTGTTCTGTCGCCCAGGCTGGAGTGCAGTGGTATGCTCTCGGCTCACTGCAACCTCCACCTCCTGGGTTCAAGCAGTTCTCATGCCTCAGCCTCCCGAGCAGCTGGGACTACAGGTGCCGGCCACCACACCCAGCTAATTTTTTTGTATTTTTAGTACAGACGGGGTCTCCCCATGTTGGCCAGGCTGGTCTCAAACTCCTGACCCCAGGTGATTCACCCACCTCAGCTTCCCAAAGTGCTGGGATTACAGGTGTGAGCCACCACTCCCGGCCCTTGTTCTTTTTTTTTTTCCCATAGAGGTGGGACCTTGCTATGTTGCCCCAGCTGGTTTTGAATTCCTGGCCTCAAGTGATCCTCCTACCTTGGCCTCCCAAAGTACTCCTCCTGTTCTTTAACAAGATAACATTCATCCAGTCTTTGATATGTCAGATACTGTATGATGTGCTAGAATATCATAAAGAGAGAGAGAGAGGAAAAAAAGATTAAGATCATTTTTCTTCCTAGTTTGAACATTAACTCATGTGACCAGGACACATCACTTCACACCTCGGGGCTTATTTCCTTCTTGCTGAAATAAGAATGTCAGGCTGGATGGTGTCACGCTTCCTTCTAGTTCCAACACTCAATGACTGTCTGAAATTAGTTGAATTTCCCAGCATAATATGGTTTTACTGGATTTATTCACTGAGAATGTTGTAACAGTCTTTGCCTGGAGTTCGAAAGGGACAGCTTTGCCTGGACCCAGAGACAGAGAGGCCTGATTAGAGGCTCTGCCTTCCAGATTCCTGAGCCTCCTATTTGGAAAGGATTGCTGGCAGTTTTTTTAATTCACTGAAATAGTTACATTCTAGAATGTCAAGCATAGAGAATCATTCTCTAAAGCATCCTATTTTTTCCTCCCAACTTCTCCCAGAGGTCTATAGTTGGAAGTGCACTGGGGGGAAAATGCCCCAGCCGACTGAGCTGCAAGCTCTTCCCAAGGGAAGAGGCTAAGGCGGCAGTCACAAATGTGGAAAGGTGGGAGAGGCCATCCTTACCATCATCCGCCTCAATTTCCCATGCTGAGATTTGTTCTCGAATTTTCTCTCACCTTTCTCCCTGCAGTTGGAAAGGTCTTTCAAGTTCATGAGAGAAGCTGAGGACCAACTGAAGGCCATTCCCCAGTTCTGTTTTCCCGATGCCAAGGATTGGGTTCCTGTCCAGCAGTTCACCAGGTACGAGCTGGCTTCTCCCCTTCGCAGCCCCAAAGACTAAGGCGAGACTTAGAGACGGGGTTACAGGTGGCAGACCACATGAGTCATTCCCACCGTTAAGTAATCCTGATGGGCCTGGCCTAGAGCTTTCCCCAAGGGGTGTTTTTAAAGCTTCCCTGAAGGTGAAGTCACCTGCCCAGCATGCAGACCTCCCGGGCTTCCCACTCAATCTGGGGATACTTGTTTCAGAAGCCTCCCGGAAGATAATTCTTAGCCTGGGAAAAGTTAGGGCAACATTGCCCTTCCCCGTTCTCATCCTGAAACATCTCTTCAGTCTCCTATCCAGATGTTTCTTGGATTGGGATCCGTTTACATTTCTGCTTCATCCCGAGTAATTAGACACCAGTGTTTTTATTATCAGATGTTTCCGCATTTGGCCAAACTCAGTAGGCTGCGGGTCCTGTCTTTAAGGGGTACCGCGTTCCTTGAGGGTGGCTCAGCAGTCTTTAAGGACCGTCCAAGCCCCGGGGCTGCCCTGTACAGACCATGCCCTGAGAGAGCTGCCCCAGGGCAATTCCAAGAGGGGCACAGAACTGTCCCCATCTTCCGCTGCTCCCTCACCGAGTCACATCCCTAGATGAGCAGATGTCACTGCACTCACACATGCTCAGTTCCCTGAGGACAGCACCCCAGGCTCTTCCCTCTCTTTAGCCTCCAGAGTAAATGACAGTTGTGTTTTGTACAATGGGGCAGCTCAGGTGATTGAATGATGGGAGAGCCCTTAGCTAGGCATGGTGGTGGCAGGCGCTGGGGCAGGAGAATCGCTTGAACCCGGGCGGCAGAGGTTGTGGTGAGCCGAGATCACACCACTGCATCCCAGCCTGGGCAACCGAGTGAGACTCCATCTTGAAAAAAAAAAAAAGAGAAAATGACAGGATAGCCCAGGATGGAAACAAAGCACCACATTTTGTCTCAGGCCACAGCGACACTTTAGGTCTCAGTCTCACTGACTTTTTTTTTTTTTTTTTTTTTTGAGATAGAGTCTCGCTTCTTCCCCCAGGCTGGAGTGTAATGGCATGATCTTGGCTCACTGCTACCTCTGCCTCCTAGGTTCAAGCAGTTCTCCTGCCTCAGCCTCCCCAGTAGCTGGGATTACAGGCATGTGCCACCATGCCTGGCTAATTTTTGTATTTTTAGTAGAGACAGGGTTTCACCCTATTGGCCAGGCGGGTCTCGAACTCCTGACCTCAAGTGATCCACCTGCCTCAGCCTCCCAAAGGGCTGGGATTACAGGCATGAGCCACTGTGCCCAGCCCAGTCTCACTGACATTTACTATGAAGCTATGGGTGACCAGTGTCTCAGCATGGACAGGGACAGGTGGGACAGGGAGTGGCCTTTCCTACAGCCTCCTGCAGTGTGTCCCATGGCTGCTCACTGCCACCCCTTGCTGCAGAGTGATGAGGTGTCTTTGGTTTTGTTTTGCTTTATGATACATTTGTGTTTTCCCAACCACAGTGAAACATTCTCATTTGTCTTAACTGGAGAAGATGGGAGCAGAAGGTTCGGTTACTGCCGAAGACTGCTGGTGAGTACATTCTGCTTTCAGCCTGCAAGAGCCTCGTGGACTTCCTAGTCCTGGTGCAAGAGCCAGGTCTGGCTTCCCAGTCCCGTGAGACTGAGATTCCCTGATGAGGCACAGGAGGAGAAGGAGCAGGGGGAGTGGCAGGTGAATCAGCATAGTTAAAATCACAGAAAAAATCTGGCATGGTGGCTCATGCCTATAAACCCAGCACTTTGGGAGTATGAGAAGGACAGATCACTTGAGACCAGGAGTTCGAGACCAGCCCGGGCAACAAAATGAGGCCCTGTCTCTATTTTAAAAATATATACGGCCGGGCGCGGTGGCTCACGCCTGTAATCCCAGCACTTTGGGAGGCCGAGACGGGCGGATCACGAGGTCAGGAGATCGAGACCATCCTGGCTAACATGGTGAAACCCCATCTCTACTAAAAATACAAAAATTAGCCGGGCATGGTGGCACGCGCCTGTAGTCCCAGCTACACGGGAGGCTGAGGCAGGAGAATGGCGTGAACCCGGGAGGCGGAGCTTGCAGTGAGTCGAGATCGCGCCACTGCACTCCAGCCTGGGCGACAGAGCGAAACTCCGTCTCAAAAAAAAAAAAAAAAAAAAAAAAAATATATATATATATATATATATACTAAAAAATAAAACATTAAAAAAACAGGAATTGAGGGGGCTCACCTGAGTCTTATTGGTAGGTGGGAATGTCCGTTTCCATCAGAAAGAAAATACTTTTATTTCATTTTGAGACAGGGTCTCACTCTGCTGCCTGGGCTGGAGTGCAGTGGATCATGTTTCACTGCAGCCTCGACCTCCCCAGCTCAGGTGATCCTCCTGCCTCAGCCTCCCGAGTAGCTGGGACCACAGGCATGTACCACCACACATGGCTAATTTTTTAATTATTTGTAGAGACAGGATCTTGCTGTGTTGCCCAGGCTGGTCTCGAACTCTTGGGCTCAAGTAATCCTCCCACCTCGGCCTCCCAGTGTGCTGAGATTACAGGCATGAACCACCGCAACTGGACAAAAATACTTTCTCCATTATTTTTCCTGCCAAATAAAAGACCTTTCTCTCTTTAAGCGAATTTTTTTTTTTCTAATAAAACATGCCAAACAGACCCTGATCACTTAGAGAGAACATTCAGAATGGTTGCTAAGGAGAGAAGACTCAAATAATTCAAGAATGTCCCCTTCAGAATAGTCACCTTTCAAAGTCAGAAACTTATTTCAGTGCAATGATCCTGCTAAAGCATTTTAGAATTGTCATTTTCAGGCCCATTCTTTTGAAAATCTTCAGTAATGGTGAATCTTTTTCCACTGAGAATATACTTGAGTCTCTGAAATAGGCTGAAAAACTTTAGGGTCAAGTATAATGCGTGGCACATAGTAGGTGTTCAAGAAACATTTTTTGAATTAATCAGTAAAATAAAAAGCATGGATAATTGAAAAAGGTAAGTGAGATAATAATTTTGTTGATCAAATTACTTTAGGGTTAAAGTATTGAGACTGAGGTCGGGCACAGGCTCACACCAGTAATCCTAGCACTTTGGGAGGCTGAGGTGGGCAGGTTGCCTGAGCTCAGGAGTTCAAGACCAGCCTGGCCAACATGGTGAAACCCTATCTCTACTAAAAATACAAAAAAATAGCTGGGCGTGGTGGCACACGCCTGTAATCCCAGCTATTCGGGAGGCTGAGTCACAAGAATCTCCTGAACCTGGGAAGTGGAGGGTGCAGTGAGCTGAGATCGCGTCGCTGCACTCCAGTCTGGACAACAGAGCAAGACTCCGTCTCCAAAAATAAATAAATAAAAATTTTTAAAAGTATTGAGATTGGGCAGGGTGCAGTGGCTCTCACCTGTAATCCCAGCACTTTGGGAGGAGGAGGCAGGCAGATCATGAGGTCAGGAGTTCGAGACCAGCCTGGCCAATATGGCGAAACCCCTTCTCTACTAAAAGTACAAAAATTAGTGGGGCGTGGTGGTGTGAGCCTGTAATCCCAGCTACTTGGGAGGCTGAGGCAGGAGAATCGCTTGAATCTGGGAGCTGGAGGTTGCAGTGAGCCAACATCACACCACTGCACTCCAGCCTGGTGACAGAGTGAGACTCCATCTCAAAACAAAACAAAACAAAACAAAAAAAGTATTGAGATTGATTTTTTTTTGTTTGAAAATTAGCTTAAAACTGAGTTTTCAGAAAGATCTTCAGAAATGATTTCTCACTTGAAATTATCATTATAATAAACATATAGGGATACAAAACAATTATAACAAACATTATAATAAACACAATGGGATAACAACTTACTTTATTGGGTTTTCCAGAGCTATGATATGTGGAAACATCTGGCACATGATAGTCTCGCAAAAAACATGTGGGTTCCTTTCTTCCCTGAGGTTGTCAACACTCATAATTCCCTTGTGTTTCTCTCCGAAAAGCCTGGAGGCAAAGGGAAGCGCCTTCCTGAAGTTTACTGCATTGTGAGCCGCCTGGGATGCTTCAGCCTCTTTTCAAGGGTGAGAACTTGGACCTCAGAGAAAGAGGAAGGGAAGGAACGGGAGGGCTCTAGAGGGCTCCAGGGAATACCCCCATGTCCTGGGCCTTCTATCATCTTATTCTCTACCTACTTCCCTTCCCATTTCTTCACTCCTCTCCTCATCACCCCTCTATTCTCTCACCATTGGTTCAGGAAATGAGAGTTGATAGGCCCGGTGTGGTGGCGGGGTGGCTCATGCCTGTAATCCCAGCAGTTTGGGAGTCTGAGGCGGGCGGATCACTTGAGGTCAGGAGTTCGAGACAAGCCTGGCCAGCATGGTGAAAGCCCATCCCTACTAAAAATACAAAAAAAAAATTAGCCAGGCGTG
Organism: Homo sapiens; assembly: GCF_000001405.40. Taxonomy (NCBI): domain Eukaryota; kingdom Metazoa; phylum Chordata; class Mammalia; order Primates; family Hominidae; genus Homo; species Homo sapiens. The sequence goes on along the minus strand of NC_000007.14, from coordinate 140,555,287 downwards.
GTGGCGGGCGCCTGTAACCCCAGCTACTCAGGAAGCTGAGGCAGGAGAATCACTTGAACCCGGGAGGCGGAGGTTGCAGTGAGCCGAGATCGTGCCATTGCACTCCAGCCTGGGTGACAGAGTGAGACTCCGTCTCAAAAAAAAAAAAAAAAGAGTTAATGAAGAGCCAGGTTCAGAAAGTGTGTGTGGTGCAGGGATGGCAAGATAATTGAAGTTGAGAAAGGGAGGGGTGGAAGACCCTCCCAGAATATTCCAGGTGTTTTATTTTTCTTCTTCTGAGAATTGCCTTTTGTCATATGAGCTTTGGCGTGAAAAAAGGCTACTGTAATAGATGGATAGGTGTGTACCCACGTACATATGTGTCATGTATATATAACAGTTTTGTGGAGGGGGGATTAATTATTTTAATAGTGCTCTAAGTTTATCAAAATATTCATATAATTTGGTCTTCTTTTCTGGAAAATGAGCCAACATATGAACGCATAGGAATTGCCGTATTGAATTAGCTCATCTACCCCGGTATTCTGGATTGGTATATAGGAGAGAATTACTATCCTATATGATGCTGATCTCAAAAGCTAGGTATAATCCAACATCATTTCCTGTATTAACCAGACATGAGTGTCTAATTCATAATTTTTTTTCTTTTTTTGAGACAGAGTCTCACTCTATCACCCAGGCCGGAGTGTAGTGGTGCGATCTCGGCTCACTGCAACTTACACCTCCCGGGTTCAAGCGATTCTTGTGCCACAGCCTCCTGAGTAGCTGGCATTACAGGCGCGTGCCACCACGCCTGGCTAATTTTGTATTTTTAGTAGAGATGGGGTTTCACCATATTGCCCAGGCTGGTCTCAAACTGACCTCAAGTGATCCACCCACCTCGGCCTCCCAAAGTGCTGGGATTATAGGCGTGAGCCACCGCGTCTGGCCTAATTCATAAATTTATTTTCAATCCTTCTTGAGTATATAGCTCTGTCTGAGCTTTCTTTTGGGGAATTGAAGTTCCTGCACCTACGGTCCATGAATGTTAAAGCAGTACTCCCTAAAAGCATTTTTTTTTTTTGAGACGGAGTCTCGTTCTGTCGCCAGGCTGGAGTGCAAGGGTGCGACCTCGGCTCACTGCAACCTCTGCCTCCTGGGTTCAAGCAATTCTCCTGCCTCAGCCTCCTGAGTAGCTGGGACTACAGGCACATGCCACCACACCCGGCTAATTTTTGTATTTTTAGTAGAGACGGGGTTTCACCATGTTGGCCAGGATGGTCTTGATCTCCTGACCTCGTAATCCGCCCACCTCGGCCTCCCTAAGTGCTGGGATTACAGGCACAAGCCACTGCATCCGGCCCCTTGTGGGGAAAAGAAAGAGAGATCAGACTGTTACTGTGTCTGTGTAGAAAGAAGTAGACATAGGAGACTCCATTTTGTTCTGTACTAAGAAAAATTCTTCTGCCTTGAGATGCTGTTAATCTATAACCTTACCCCCAACGCCGTGCTCTCTGAAACGTGCTGTGTCCACTCAGGGTTAAATGGATTAAGGGCGGTGCAAGATGTGCTTTGTTAAACAGATGCTTGAAGGCAGCATGCTCGTTAAGAGTCATCACCAATCCCTAATCTCAAGTACCCAGGGACACAAACACTGCGGAAGGCCGCAGGGACCTCTGCCTAGGAAAGCCAGGTATTGTCCAAGATTTCTCCTCATGGGATAGTCTGAAATATGGCCTCCTGGGAATGGAAAGACCTGACCGTCCCCCAGCCCGACACCCATAAAGGGTCTGTGCTGAGGAGCATTAGTATAAGAGGAAGGAATGCCTCTTTGCAGTTGAGACAAGAGGAATGCATCTGTCTCCTGCCGTGCCTGCGCAATGGAATGTCTCGGTATAAAACCCGATTGTACGTTCGATCTACTGAGATAGGGAAAAACCGCCTTAGGGCTGGAGGTGGAACATGCAATACTGCTTTGTAAAGCATTGAGATGTTTATGTGTATGCATATCTAAAAGCACAGCACTTTATTCTTTACCTTGTCTATGATGCAAAGACCTTTGTTCACGTGTTTGTCTGCTGACCCTCTCCCCACTATTGTCTTGTGACCCTGACACATCCCCCTCTCGGAGAAACGCCCACGAATGATCAATAAATACTAAGGGAACTCAGAGGCTGGCGGGATCCTCCATATGCTGAACGCTGGTTCCCTGGGTCCCCTTATTTCTTTCTCTATACTTTGTCTCTGTGTCTTTTTCTTTTCCAAGTCTCTCATTCCACCTAACGAGAAACACCAACAGGTGTGGAGGGGCAACCCACCCCTTCACCCCTAAAAGCATTTCTATAAAAAAGCCTTCCTCCTGCCCACCCTCCACCTAAACTCAGAGGAAACCTGAATTATACAAACATAGTACAATCTCTTCCCATGGTAGAACTTGTACTTCTCTGTAAATCTGTTAGAAAGAATTAATGCCTGGTCAGGAGGCTGAGGCCAGTAGATCACTTGAGCCCAAGAGTTCGAGGCTGTGGTGAGCTGTGATCGTATCACTGCACTCCAGCCTGGGAAAACTAGCAAGACCCTGTCTCTAATTAAAAAATAAAACACAAAAGAAGGCCAGGCGCAGTGGCTCACAGCTGTAATCCTAGTACTTTGGGAGGCCAAGGTGGGAGGATCGCTTGAGCCCACGAGTTCAAGAGCAGACTAGGCAACATGGTGAAACCCTGTCTCTACAAAAAATACAAAAAAATTAGCCAGGCATGGTAGTGTGCACCTGTAGTTCCAGCTACCTGGGAGGCTGAGCGGTGGGAGGATTGCTTGAGCCTAGGAGGCTGAGGCTGCAGCGAGTCATGTTCACACCAGTGCACTCCAGCCTTGGCAATATAGTGAGACCCTGTAAAGAAAGAAAAGAAAAAGAAAGAAGAAGGAAGGGAAAGGAGAGGGAGAGGGAGGGAGGAAGGGAGAGAGAGAGGGAAAGGAAGGAAGGGAAAATGAAAGAAGGGAAAAAGAGAGAAAAAGAAAGAAAGAAAATGAATGCTATCAGTGTAATCTGAGCCAAGGTCTCCCCTCCCCTCCACCAGAAGTGCTCATCACTTTATGTTGGGGTTGGCCATTGGCAAGGTCTAGCAGACTAGGCATTACTGCTCAGGCCAGGCTTTCATGTGATTTGTTTACATGTGAAGTAAGGTTATAGGTCATAGCCTTTGTTGTTGTCAGAATGCTTATGAACACCAGAAGTAAAACAGCTCATGTGAGTTAGGCCAGCTTCCAAGTGGAGGCTTTGAAGTTCACGTAAGCTTCACTGCTGTCATGGGCAGGGGACGTGGAGCCAGTAAATGTGCTAACATATTTCTGTGATGCACAGTCCTTTGTTTTCATGTCTGTTTTCTGACCAGGGATATTTTAGGAGTGCAGTGTAATGACTTGCCGAAGACCACACAGCAGTTATTCAGGACAGAACCAGAACCAGAGCTTTAGCTAACTGATCCCAGGAACTTGAGCTATTTCTAGGCGTGGAGCAAGGATGGCCAAAATGCATATTGTCCTTTAGAACAGAAAGGAGTCATGGAGAAGAAGAGCAGGTCTCAGAATTTCTGAAGAAAAGGGTATCAGTTAACAATTGCTATAGTAATACTGTCTAGTGAACCACAGAGGCTTCAAGATTCAATCATTTGTTCTCCCAGCTGTGAGGTCAGCTGGGGTTTGGGCTTGGCAAGTATTGTGAAGAGGCTGGGTTGGCTGATTGAGGCTGGTCTAGCTGCTCTAGAGGCTACAAGTCTGGGCGCAGGCCTGGTCCACATGTCTCCCATGCTCCTAGACAGTGAGATGGCCCACATGTGCTCTTCTCGTGGCAATGGCAGAGGCACAAAAGGGCACACAAAACACGAAGGCAGGCCTCCTAAGGCCTGGCCAGAGAACCCGCATGGCAACGCTTCTGCCTCGTTCTGCCCAGTGTCCCAAAGGCTTTTTTTCTTTTCCTTTTTCCTTTCTTTTTTTTTTTTTTTTTTTTTTTGAGATGGAGTCTTGCTCTGTCGCCCAGGCTGGAGGGCAGTGGCGTGATCTTGGCTCACTGCAACCTCCACCTCCCAGGTTCAAGTGATTCTCCTTCCCAGCCTCCCGAGTAGCTGAGATTACAGGAGCCCGCCACCACACCCAGCTAATTTTTGTATTTTTAGTAGAGACGGGATTTCACCATGTTGGCCAGGCTGGTCTCGAACTCTTGACCTCAGGTGATCTGCTTGCCTCGGCATCCCAAAGTGCTGGGATTACAGGCATGAGCCACTGTGCCCGGCCACAAGCTTTTTTTTCATTACTGTCCCCCTAAGCAGCCTTTTCAGGTGTGTTTTCCCTAACTGTCTCCCCCAAAATTCTTTTTATTTTTGTTCATATTATTGTCTTTTTCTTGTGCTAAAATATATACATAACAAAAAATTTACCATCTTAACCATTTTAACAGTTCGGTGCCATTACACTCACATTGTTGTGCAACCATCACCACCATCTATCTCCAGAGCTTTTTCATCTCCCCCAACAGAAACTCTGTACCCATTGAGGCCAGGCGCGGTGGCTCACGCCTGTAATCCCAGCACTTTGGGAGGCCGAGGTGTGGATCACCTAAGGTCATTAGTTCAAGACCAGCCTGACCAACATGGTGAAACCCGATCTCTACTAAAATTACGAAAATTAGCTAAAGCTGGATGAAGTGGCTCACACCTGTAATCCCAGCACTTTGGGAGACTAAGAGGGGCAGATCACCTGATGTCAGGAGTTCAAGACCAGCCTGGCAAACATGGTGAAACCCCATTTCTACTAAAAATACAAAAATTAGCCAGGGGCTGAGGCAGGAGAATCGCTTGAACCTGGCAAGCAGAGGTTGCAGTGAGCCCAGATCGCACCACTGCACTCCAGCCTGGGCAACAACAGCGAAACTCAGGCTCAAAAAAAGAAAAAAATTAAGTGAGTGTGGTGGTGGGCGTCCGTAATCCCAGCTACTCGGGAGGCTGAGGCAGGAGAATCGTTTGAACCTGAGAGGCAGACGTTGCAGTGAGCCAAAATCATGCCATTGCACTCCAGCCTGGGCAACAAGAGCGAAACTCTGTCTCAAAAGAAAAAAGAAACTCTGTACCCATTAAACAATAGCTTCCCATTCCCCCTCCCCTAACCCCACCCCTAACCCCACCCCTATCCCCTCCCCTAACCCCTCACCATCGCCATTCTACTTTCTATTTTTATGAATTCCAGGATTCTAGGAATGTTACAGAGGTAGAACGATCAACAGTTGTCCTTTTGTGACTGGCTTCGATTCACTTAGCATAATATTTTCAGGGTTCACTCATGTCGTAGCATGTATCTGTACTTCATTCCTTTTGTGGCTGAATAATATTCCACTGTATGTATGTACAACATTTTATTTATCCATTTATCCATTGATTGATTATTTATCCATTTATCCATTGATGGACATTTGGGTTGTTTCCACGTTGTGGCCATTGTGAATTATTCTGCTAGGAACATAGGTGTCCAAATAAATATCTATTCAAGTCCCTGCTTCAATTCTTTTGGGTATACACCCACAAATAGAGTTGCTGGATCATATGGTCATTCTATTTAGTTTTTTGAGGAACTGCCATACTGTCTTTTTAATTTTAATAATAAATTTTATTTAACACAATATGTACAAAATATTATTTTATTTCAGCATATAGTTAACATGAAAAAAATCATTGATATATTTTATGTTATTAATTGTCTATTTCGAGGGCCGGGCATGGCGGCTTACACCTGTAATCCTAGCACTTTGGGAGGCCGAGGTGGTTGGATCGCCTGAGGTCAGGAGTTCCAGCCTGGCCAACATGGCAAAATTCCGTCTCTACTAAAAATACAAGAATTAGCTGGGTGTGGTGGCACATGCCTGTAATCCCAGCTACTTGGGAGGCTGAGGCATGAGAATTGCTTGCTAGGAGGCAGAGGTTGCAGTGAGCCAAGATTGCGCCATTGCACTCCAGCCTGGGCGACAGAGCAAGACTCATTCTGGAAAAAAAAAATGTGTATTTTGAAATTCCATTGGTATTTTACACTTTTTTTTTTTAGATGGTTTTGCTCTTGTCACCCAGGCTGGAGTGCAATGGCGCGATCTCAGCCCACCACAACCTCTGCCTACTGGATTCAAGCAATTCTTCTGCTTCAGCCTCCCATGTATCTGGGAATATATCTGGGAATATAGCCTGCCACCACGCCTGGCTAATTTTGTAGTTTTAGTAGAGATGGGGTTTCACCGTGTTGGCAGGCTGGTCTCAAACTCCTGACCTCAAGTGATCCGCCAGCCTTGGCCTCCCAAAATGTTGGGATTACAGGTGGGAGCCACCATGCCCGGCTGGTATTTTACATTTAACAATACATCTGGGCCAGCACAGTGGCTCATGCCTGTAATCCCAACACTGGGAAGCCGAGGTGGGTGGATCACCTGAGGTCGGGAGTTCGAGACCAGCCTAACCAACATGGAGAAACCCCGTCTCTACTAAAACTACAAAATTAGCCAGGCGTGGTGGTGCATGCCTGTAATCCCAGCTACTCGGGAGGCTGAGGCAGGAGAATTGCTTGAACCCAGGAGGCAGAGGTTGCAGTGAGCCGAGATCATGCCACTGCACCCCAGCCTGGGCAACAAGAGCGAAACTCTGTCTCAAAAAAAAATAAAAAATAAAGTAAAAAAACCTCTGAATTCAGACTAGCCATATTTCAAGGGCTCAATAGCTACATGTGATACTTTTATAAATGGCAGTTTTTAAAAATAGAGACTGGGTCTCACTATGTTGCCCAGGCTGGAGTGTGGTGGCATGATCATAGCTCATTGCAGCCTCAAATTCCTGGGCTCAAGCAATTCTCCTGCCTCAGCCTTCCAAGTAGCTGGGATTACAGGTGTGTGCCATCTCACCCAGCTTCATAAACGGCATTTTAATTTAGACTCTTCAATTTACAATTAGATTGTGGAGAGTTTGGAATTTTTTTTTTTTTTTTTAGTTTTTTAGTAGTAGCTTTATTAAGATATAATTCACATACCATGCAATTCATTCATTTAAAGTACACAATTTGCTGAGCACAGTGGCAAGCGCCTGTAGTCTCAGCTACTCAGGAGGCTGACATAGGAGGACACTTGAGCCCAGAAGTTGAAGGCAAGCCTGGGCGACCTAGCAAGACTCCCATCTCTAAAATAATAAAAAATAAAAAATATATACAGTTCAGTGGCTTTCAGCATATTCACAGAGTTATACAACCATCACCACAATTTTAGAGCATTTTCATCACCCCAACAAAACACCCTATACCTATTAGCCGCCACTCCCTAACTCTAAGCAACCTCCAATCCACTTTCTGTCTCTCTGGATTTTTCTATTCTGGACATTTCATCTAAGTGGAATCATACATTAGATGGCCTTTTATGACTAGCTTCTTTCATTTAGCATAATGTTTTCAAGAGTCATCCAAGTTATAGCATGTATCAGCACTTTGATGGCCAAATAATATTCCATTATATGGATATAGTGCATTTTGTTTATCACTTCATCAGTTAATGGACATTTAAGTTTCTTCTGTGTTGTGGCTATTATGAATAATGCCGCTACAGACAATCATGTACAAATTTTTATGTGAACATATATGTTTTCACTTCTTTTGGGTAGGTACCTAGGAGTGCTATGTGCTGGGTCATATGGTAACTCTATGTTTAACCTTTTGAGGAACTACCAGACTGTTCTCCAGAGTAGCTTCACTATTTTACATTCCTACCAGCAGTGTATGAGATTTCTAATTTCTCCATGTCCTTGTCAACACTTGTTCTTATCCATCTTTTTATTAGAGTCATCCTAACGGGTGTGAAGTGGTATCTCATGGTGCTTTTGATTTGTATTTTCATGATGGCTATCCCCTCCCATGACATTTTCATTTCATAAATAAACTGTATATCTGTTTATGTACTGTGACCTCTTAGAGGGCTACAAACCACTGTAATATCTAAGTTTTTTCATTCCTCCCAAAAACCAGTTCTTACCCCCTTGGGGTTATATTACCTTCATTGAGAATGCATGTATTAGTACAACCTGTCACATGGCCAAACCCTAGGTCAAAGGGGCAAGGAAGTGGACTTCACTCCTGAGTAGGAGCTGCAACATTGCATGGCAAAGGGTGTGGACACACAGAGGAGAGAAGAATTGGGGACAATCATGTGTAGGGTCAAAGGGCCTGTTTTGGCCTCATGGGGAAAGCAGGGCTTCCCCATAATTCTTGAGTCACCATGGCAGGCCCACTTCACCTAGAACTGAGCTCCACCTTGGTGCTTTGGCTTCGGAATAGCTAAGCTGCTTTTCTGACCCTTGCAGATCTTGGATGAGGTGGAAAAAAGACGAGGCATCTCTCCTGCCCTGGTTCAGCCACTCATGAGAAGTGTCATGGAAGCCCCTTTCCCAGCCCTGGGCAAAACCATCCTTGTCAAGAACTTCCTGCCAGGTTCAGGAACTGAGGTGAGTTGTCAGACTCCTTCCTTCTCCCTGGGGAGGCAGTGGCCCAGACAGCCGAGTCTCCGTGCTCAGAGGGGCTGCCTTTCAGTGAGCAGTCCAATTCCTTGGTGTCTTCTCCCCACCCCTAGAGCTGGCCCAGATCACTCATCATGAGTTCCACCCTCAATCCATCCAGCCTAGGACTCTGCCCAATGCGGCAAGCCCAAGAACTATGCTATGGCAGCTGGGGTGTTCCTTTGCATGATGTTGGCCTCAGGTTAGGGATCTGCACTGAACATCCTTAATTTCTTTTAATAGCCCGTTTTCTTTCATACATTTTATTGAAACCTATTTACATTTCAAGTCTGTATCACCTCTATAACTTTATTTTTTGTTTTTGTTTTTGAGACAAAGTCTTGCACTGTCGCCCAGGCTGGAGTGCAGTGGTGTGATCTCGGCTCACTGCAACCTCTGCCTCCCAGGTTCAAGCTATTCTGTTGCCTCAGCCTCCCAAGTAGCTGAGACTACAGGTGCCTGCTGCCACACCCGGCTAATTTTTGTATTTTTAGTACAGACGGAGTTTCACCATGTTGGCCAGGATGGTCTCAAACTCCTGACCTCATTATCCACCCGCCTCAGCCTCCCAAAGTGCTAGGATTACAGGCGTGAGCCACCGCGCCCAGCCTGGGCTGGGATTTTATGAAGGAGTTTGTTTTCATCCCTCCCACCCCCTTTGCATGGCTTGGTGGACATCAGAAGAAGGACCCCATTTAGCCTTGAGTCTTCAGTTTCAGAGACCCTCAGCAAACCAGATCACCTCTGGAAACAAAGGAGGGAGGAGAATAGGCCTGGAACACTCTGGAACAACCTAGTTTCCCAGCAGAGAGAACAGCAATCTCTGTGTTGCTAGAGAACCTGAAACCATCCCATACCAGATGCAGTGGCTTGGCCATGGGGATGTAGCAGGGAGGTTACTGGAGAGGAAGCCTCACCGTTGGGGCAGCACCAGGCGGTGCAACACTAAGAGTGAAATCCACTCTCTGCTCACCGGGAGGGAGGCAGCTATTTAAAGAGAAAAAAACATGCACATGGGTACCAACTTGAGGGAATTCAGGAACATTTCAACAAGTGCAGAATAAGAAGATATACACACAGGCTGGGTACACGGTGGCTCACACCTGTAATCCCAGCATGCCTGTAATCCCTCCCTTTGGGAGGCCGAGGCAGGTGGATCACTTGGAGTCAGGAGTTCGAGACCAGCCTGGCCAACATGGTGGAACCCTGTCTCTACTAAAAATACAAAAATTAGCCAGGCATGGTGGCGGGCACCTGTAATCTCAGCTACTTGGGAAGCTGAGGCAGGAGAATCGCTCAAACCTGGGAGGCGGAGGCTGCAATAAGCCAAGACTGCACCACTGCACTCCAGCCTGGGCAACAGAGTAAGACTCCATCTCAAAAAAAGAAGATATAGACACAAAGCACAAAAGCTGAAAGCACATATCATCAGAAATGGAGTGGGATGGTGTCAGGGTTACCTAAAAAACACCTTCTTGAGGTGGCAGCGAGTCTCCGAAGTGCTGCTCAGGCCTGCTGGGCGTTCCATGCTAGTCTGGGATTTCCACCTAGCAGGTAACAGTTCCTCAAGAGACAGAGATGCTCTCCACTGGGACTCTCAGGGACAGAACCGTTTTCAAAAGTCCTATAAACTCTCCATGGGGAGTACAGATATGCTGTTGCCAGAGAGAGCCCCGCAACCATGTGGGGCCGGAAACCATTGATTTTGCCATCCTCTGTCATCCCGTTCGTCCACACTGTCCTCAGTCTCATAGCTGAGTGTGAGACGCTTGCTTCCCTACCAAAGCTACCTCCTCCGCCCCCCGTCTTCTGGCATCTTTCTTTTCCCCCAATCCTTTTGTTTTGCTTTTTTTCTTTCCCTTTTCCCCCACCAGTGGGTCACCCCTGATGAGGACCTCAGAGCCCTGGGACTGCGACACCCGTGAGAGGCCTGGCTGCGTAGCTGGGCCCCTCCTTCATGGCTGCTCCTGTTCCCTGGCAGGTGATCGAACTGTGCCGCCCGCTGGACTCCCGGCTCGAGCACGTGGACTTTGAGTCTCTCTTCTCCTCCCTCAGCGTCCGCCACCTGGTCTGTGTGTTTGCCTCCCTGCTTCTGGAGAGGAGGGTCATCTTCATTGCAGACAAGCTCAGGTACCCGCCTTGGCTACTTCTGCTAAAGCGTTTGAATGACAGTCGCTCTTGGACCCTCTAGTCTGTAGAGCAGGTGACCGCCTAGCATTGAAGAGTAAGCCCTTCTGAGATAAGGATGGAATAGGCTGGGCGCGGTGACTCACACCTGTAATCTCAGCACTTTGAGAGGCTGAGGTGGGTGGATCACTTGAGACCAGGAGTTCGAGGCCAGCCTGTGCAACATGGTGAAACTCCGTCTCTACTAAAAATAGAAAAATTAGCCAGCCATGGTGGCCCACGCTTGTTATCCCAGCTACTTGGGAGGCTGAGGCACGGGAATCGATTGAACCTGGGAGGTGGACATTGCAGTGAGCTGAGATCTCACCACTGCACTCCAGCTTGGGCAACAGAGGGAGACCTTCCCTCCTGCCCCCACAAATAAAGGATGGCCAGGCACGGTGGCTCATGCCTGTAATCCTAGCACTTCGGGAGGCCGAGGCAGGCGGATCACCTGAGGTCAGGAGTTCAAGACCAGCCTGGCCAACATGATGAAACTCAGTCTCTACTAAAGATACAAAAATCAGCCAGTCATGGTGGCTCGTGCTTGTAACACCAGCTACTTGAGAGGCTGAGGTACAAGAATCGCTTGAACCCAGGAGGCAGAGGCTGCAGTGAGCTGAGATCGCACCATTGCACTCCAGCCTGAGCAACAGAATGACATTCCATCTCAAAAATAAAAATAAAATAGGCCAGGCGCAGTGGCTCACACTTGTAATCCCAGCACTTTGGGAGGCCGAGGCGGGTGGATCACAAGGTCAAGAGATTGAGACCATCCTGGCCAACATGGTGAAACTCCGTCTCTGCTAAAAATACAAAAATTAGCTGGGCATGGTGGCGTGTGCCTGTAGTCCCAGCTACTCAAGAGGCTGAGGCAGGAGAATTGCTTGAACCCAGGAGGCAGAGGTTGCAGTGAGCCGAGATCATGCCACTGCACTCCAGCCTGGTGACAGAGCGAGACTCCATCTCAAAAAATAAAAAATAAAATAAAATAAAGGATGGAATCAGTCGGCAGCTCAGACTGGAGATCTGGGGGGCACACTGTTTTGCACTGCTGTGTGCGACTTCCCTGGCATTGGTGGGCTTTCCACTCATTCTGCCATGTGTCATACACTCTGCTATGTGGTAGGAAAACAGAGAAAAGACACAGCTGGCATGGTGGCTCACGCCTGTAATCACCGCACTTTAGGAGGCTGACGTGGAAGGACTGCTTGAGGGAAGTAGTTTGAGACCAGCCTGGGCAACACAGTAAGACCCCCATCTCTACAAAAAACGTAAAAAAAAAAAAAAAAAAAATTAGCCAGGTATGGTGGCTCGAGCCTACAGTCCCTGCTACTAGGGAAGCTGAGGTAGGAAGATCACTTGAGCCCAGAAGTTCAAGGTTGCAGTGAGCTATGATCATGCCACTGCACTCCACCTGGGCAACAGAACAAGACCTTGTCTCAAAAAAAAAAAAAAAAGAAAAGAAAAGAAAAACACAGACTTGTCTCAGTGCAGTGGGGTAACAGAGACATAAGCCGACTCTCCAGGACCACATTAGAGGCAGGTAGAGGCAGTGAGTTCTGGAGACCGAGGGAGGGCACTCACTCCCAGGGAGGCGAGTTCTGAGGGCCAACACTCAGAACAAGTAGTCAGCACATTGCAGGCAAAAGGAGCCATCCTACATAGATATGGGGACAGGTGAGGCCTAGCTGTCACCTTCAGGACTGTAAAGTAGGCCAGGCGCGGTGGCTCATGACTGTAATCCCAGCACTTTGGGAGGCCGAGGCAGGTGGATCACTTGAGGTCAGAAGGTCAAGACCAGCCTGAACAACATGGTGAAACCCCGTCTCTACTAAAAATACAAAAGAATTTAGTTGGGCGTGGTGGTCCACGCCTGTAATCCCAGCTACCTGGGAGGCTTGAAGAAGAATCGTTTGAACCCGGGAGGCGGAGGTTACAGTGAGCTGAGATTGCGCCATTGCACTCCAGCCTGGGCAACAAGAGTGAAACTCAAAAAAAAAAAAAAAAAAAAAAGAGAGAGAAAAAGAACTGCAAAGTAGTTCACTAGGGCTGGCCCAGAGAGAGGAAGATGGGGGAGGGAGAGATGAGCCGGCAGTGGTGGACAGAGGCCAGCTCACAGAAGGCTGCAGGGCCATGCTCAAGAGGACAGACCATCGTGAGGGCATCCCTCCTCACCGTTAAAGCAAATCCCCTCCCATCACACACACAAACTCAGTGCCCCATAGGAGGCCACCCCCGTCCCAGTGGGCACATTCAATAATTTGCTAAGGCCACGTCACAAAACAAAGAAGATCCGGAAGGAAATGCAGACAAGGACTTGGGTTCGTTCTGAGCTTCTAAAAAGAAGCTCATTTTTGAAATACTGAATCAGAGCCTTCTTTGCTTTGGAACTGGGGGCACAGAAGCGTGAGGGGTGTGGCTGCAGCCCCAGGAAGGGCTGAGATGCGGGGCCAGCCAACCGGGTGGTGCAGATGAGGCCACCTGAGAAGTCCATCTGGAAAGAAGCAGTGCCAAAAACAAAAAAAAACCTGAAGCACTGTGGTTTGGAGAGGAAATCTGACTCTGAACTATGGAAAACAAAAGGGAAGGAAAAAAAAAGGCATAGAAGAATGGAAGGGACAAACTCCGTAGATGTGGAATTCCTCAGGAGGCGGGGCGGGAAGCGGCCCCACCCTCTCCCCTCATGCGCCGCATCTGGTCACCTTTCTGATGCACCTCTTTGGACAGCAGCCATCTGGCTGTTCCCAGCCTGCTCCCACCCTGTGTTTTAGTTCGCTATGCACTTTTAAATGTCAGCGTGATCGTACTCCCGGTGCACTTTTGTCAGCTCAGGAAGCAGGCCCTCTCTGTAAGCCTTGCAGCTGGTGCTGGGCGCTGAGGAGCTCTCCAAGCTCCCGGGCACTGGGGAATTCAGCCCAGGGAGTTCTCAAGGTTGGAGCCCTGGAAGCCAGGATGAGTAATAACCCTTCAGTGGCCAGGATCGGATTTCATCAGCACCATAGTAACTGTCTTTATCTTCTCCATCCCCCACTCCCTCCATCCGCTAGAGGTGGAATTCTCAGGCTTGGATGTGGGGGAGGGGAAAATGATGGATTTCAGAAAGGCCTGGGCTAGAAGTGGAAAGCCAGCCAAGGAAACCCAGCACCCCCCAGGAGTGGTGGTGGGGACAGAGTCCCCCGGGAACGTGCCTGCGGGGTGAAGATGCTAGACTTGGGGAGGACCCACCCTGAGAAGATGTCTGGGAAGGGCACAGCTGGAGAGGAGCCGTGGGCCCCCTCACACACCCCAGCCTCCCCCAGACTCCCTCCAGGGGGAAGAAAACAAAGTATCATCCATTTTTCTGGTAAAAGTACAGTGAGACACCAGTCTCACTGGTGACAGAGAGAGACTCTGTCTCTAAAAATTAAGGAGAAGAAAAAAAACTTAAAAACATTAAGTGCAGGGAGAGAAAAGGTGGGAACAGAAAAGGGAAGGGGCCTTGTCAGAGACAAACACATCTCCAAAGGGCAATGCAGGAGGACATGTCAGAAGGCTCAGGGCACAAAGAAACCTGGAAATGCCAGCCAGGCTCAGTGGCTCACGCCTGTAATCCCAGCACTTTGGGAGGCCGAGGCGAGTGGATCACCTGAGATCAGGAGTTCAAGACTAGCCTGGCCAACATGGTGAAATCCCGTCTCTACTAAAAATACAAAAATTAGCTGGTCGTGGTGGCGTGCACCTGTAATCCCAGCTACTCGGGAGGCTGAGGCAGAAGAATCATTTGAACCTGGGAGGCAGAGGTTGTGGAGAGCCGAGATCATGCCATCGCACTCCTGCCTGGGCGACAGAGCGAGACCCTGTCTAAAAAAAAAAAAGAAAGAAAGAAACCTGGAAATGCCTGCCCCAGTGACGTCTGAGAGAGGACTTGACGCCTCCGCCTTTTTGCTGGACAGATTTCCGGGTGGACAGGTTGGACGCTGGGCCAGCCCCTCCCACAGAGCTGCTGTCACCAGAGACAGACAAAAATGAGCAAAGTCCAGTGGCCGAGAGTGGACCCTGCCTGGATTCCTGGGCCTTGGCTGTTCCCCAGCCACCCTCCCTGCCCTGCTCTGGGACCCCTCAACAGAGGAGACAGTCACCAGTGCAGTCCATAGGAAAGGCACTGGTGTTTCTCTCCAACCTTCCATAGTGCCTGGCATTCTGCCCTTGGAGGTTTCGTCTTTTCAAACGGCTCATGCCGTGAGTGGGTCAGATGCCAGCTGTGGCTGCCACAAGCAGGTCTCCCCACGGGCACGTTGTGCCCATCAGGGGTTTTCTTCTGCAGCAGCTGCCAAATGTCAGGCGCTGTGAGGATGGGATTTCTGTGGGAGAAGAGAAGGCAGCAGGAACGTGGATAATTGTGGTGCCCTCCTTGGAGCGAGAGCCAGGCCATGGTACAGTAATGGTGTGCGAGTGTGAGAAAGACCGTCATTGGGTTTTTAGACCCTTTACAGCTTTCAGAGGTACACATCCCTCCGCCATCACTCAGGGAGGTTTCCCAGAGTAGGGGGGACCCCTGAGCATCCTTAGCCGTTGGCCCTGGGTCTCCTCGTTCATAAGACGCGGCCCCGCATGGCTCTGACTTTCCGGGACTCCGCTGTCTTGTTTTCTCTGAAAGCAGCCCTCGCTTTTCCTGTTACAAATGGCTCCACATGCTCTCCCCGCTGCCCAATAAATCGTCCTTCCATCCTACACGGGTTCCATGCAGACCTGAAGAGATGGAAATCTGCGTAAAGAAAGGCCCGAAGAGCTCTGAGACAGGAAGAGGGTAAACAACGCGTGAGCAAAGCTGATGAGGATGACGGCAGCGACGGGGCGTGGAGTGGCCTCTGAGCGGCCTCTGTGCCGGGCGCCTTCTGAGGGTCTGACCTGCGTCATTTCATGCCCCCTACGGCCCTGTCACATGGGTAACTAACAGGCGTGCAGAGGATCCGTCATTCTGCTCAAAGAAGCAGGGAGTGGGAGAGCTGCCGGGCTTTGGAGAGGACGGAGGGAAAGCAGCTGGGCTGCAGACTCCAGGGTTGGGTGAAGGGCAGGGTCTGGGGCCCTGTCCGTTTACAGAAATGTATAAGGAAAGTCTCCCTAGCACAGGCCCTCAGGACCCGCTTTGTGCTCAGCAGTCAGGCTAACAGGTCATGGGGAAGTCTGTGCTTTTCTCCTCAGGGCCCTCCCCGCCTCCCTTACAGCCTTTGGCCTTCCAGCAGGGTCCCAGTGAGACAGGTATGATCAGGTCACCCCCAAGGCCTCCCCCAGCTTTGAAACTCTCTGACTCCATGGGCCAGGTGGAAGAATCCGTATCCACCTCGATCTGTCTGATTTATGGGAAAGTAGCCATAGGGAATTGAAGTGTTCTTTGGCCAGGCCATGACAAACAAGGGTTTGGGGACCAATGGTTGGCTGCAAGTTGCCTGACCTGGAAAATTCTGGAAAGTCTTTAGGCCAAGCGCAGTTGCTCACGCCTGTCATCCCAGTATTTTGGGAGGCTGAGGCCGGTGGATTGCTTGAGGCCAGGAGTTCGAGACCAGCCTGGCCAACATGGTGAAACCCTGTCTCTACCAAAAAGACAAAAATTAGCTGGGCGTGGTGGCACACGCCTATAATCCCAGCTACTCAGGAGGCTGAGGCAGGAGAATCACTTGAACCTAGGAGGCAGAGGTTACAGTAAGCTGAGATTGAGCCACTGCACTCCAACCTGGGCAACAGAGCGAGACTCTGTCTCAAAAAAAATAAAGAAAGAAAAAATTTTTTAAAAAAGGGCCAGGTGCAATTGCTCATCCCTGTAATCCCAGCACTTTGGGAGGCCAAGGCAGGTGGATCGCCTGAGGTTGGGAGTTCAAGACCAGCCTGGCCAACATGGTGAAACCCCGTCTCCATTAAAAATACAAAAATTAGCGGGCATGGTGGCGGGCGCCTGTAATCCCAGCTACTTAGGAGGCTGAGGCAGGAGAATCACTTAAACCTGGGAGGTGGAGGTTGCAGTGAGCTGAGATCACACCGCTACACTCCAGCCTGGGCAACAGAGTGAGACTCTATCTCAATTAAAAAAATTAAAAAAAGAAAAAAGAAAGTCTTCAGGTTAAATTACAGCTGGTACCCTCATCCCCAGTACTCCTGGGGCTGCACATGCACTCATGCCCAACCCTGCTCCGCTCACGTGGCAGAAAGCCTCCTTATTCTCCTGATTTCCAGCTGTAGCCCCTAACTTAATGAGGGCATGGAACAGGGCATGAGAACAGGACATGTCACAGACTCAGTGCGTGGCCCGGTGACATCCCAGAGAGGACCTTCGCCCACTCTAGGTCGGTAGCCACCCCCGCAGCACTCTCCCCCACAAACACAATTTATTCTCTCATCATCGCTGTGAGTCTCCCACTGCAAGAGGAAGCTTCAGGGAGTTATGGCAAAGATTGTATGAGTTATAAAAGGGTTTTAAGTTGAGCCAAAAATCTATCAAGTTTAGAATAACATTTTTGCTCTGTTTTATCTTTAGGCTGGACATTGAGTGTTCTAGTGGCTCTGTCAAGCAAGAGTTTGACAGATGGAAAGGAAAGAATGCTGTTGTGATGGCTTGTTCTGTGGTCATGACAACAGATAAATACTTCTCTACACCCTCGCCTTCATTTTCCTGATGATGAACATTTTGTTTTTTACTTTACTAATTTCAGTTCCCCAAAGTTTTGGCTAAACCTACAGACCAGGCTGAATGATAAAGTCAGAGCTGCACGTAAACAAATATGTGCAAAAAGTTTTAGAGGGAGGTCGGGCATGGTGGCTCACGCCCATAATCTTAGCACTTTAGGAGGCCAAAGCAGGAGGATTGCTTGAGCCCAGGAGTTTGAGACCAGCTTGGGCAACATAGCAAGACCCCATCTCTTAAAACAAACAAACAAACAAACAAACAAATGAAAAACACCTTAATAGGGGACAAAGTTTTTAATATTCAAGGAATTTATGAGCTGGGCATGCTGGCACATGCCTGTAGTTCCAGCTACTCAGGAGGCTGAGGTGGAAGGATCACGTGAGCCCAGGAGTTTGAGGCTAGTGAGCTATGACTGCACCACTGCTCTCCAGCTGGGGTGGACCTTGTCTTTAAAAAGCAAATTAAAAAATAAAACAAATAAGAAATTGACTTATATGTTTGTAGTGCGTTAAACCATAAGCTAAATGATAGACTACTGGCTAGTGATAAGTAGGATTAGGTGGGCAAATCTTGACACATACAGGAGTTTGAACCTTGTCTTTGACATATAGGTAACTACACAAATAAGTTCATATGTAGCTGTGCACTTTCATCCTCTTATTTGTTCGGTTTGGTTCATTTTTAATAAGTTTACACAAGCTTAAATGAGAATCCCATGTCCTTTTTAGAATTGGTTGCACCCAGCAACATTTGCCATCCCAGGAGGTTGGGCTTCTCACCACACCTCTCTAGGGAGATGAGTTTGCCCAAGGCCTAGCCGAAAGTGTTTAAAGCTGCCACCTTGCTGCTCTGGCATCCATAAGATACTTCAGAGGTCTAGCTAGTCCTCAGCATGGTTGACAGAGTCTTAGAGATAAGTACATTTAGTTCAGCAAAGTCCTATGAAAAACACAATTTTAGGCAGGTGCAGTGGCTCACGCCTGTAACCCCAGCACTTTGGGAGGCTGAGACAGATTGATCACCTGAGGTCAGGAATTCGAGACCAGCCTGGCCAACATGGTGAAACCCCGTCTGTACTAAAAATACAAAAATTAGCTGGGCATGATGGCAGGCGCCTGTAATCCCAGCTACTCAGAAGGCTGAGGCAGGAGAATCACTTGAACCCAGGAGGGAGGCTGCAGTAAGCCAAGATGGCACGACTATACTGCAGCTTGGGCAACAGAGCAAGACTCCATTTCAAAAAAAAAATACAATTTTAATAGTATAATTGTACAGCCTGATTAAATGTTAAGTATTAACCACCTATTTTTGCATATGAACACCAACAAGATACCAATTAGAGCAAGATTTAGAGTTTGGCATAGCCACAAATGCTGTTGTCTTCTAATCCAGACCCATCACTGACATATCCTGGGGCTGGAAGCTTATTCCAGTTCTTCTCTTGGAGTCGAATCCCTCCCAGACTACACTGGCTTTGAAACACTGTCATCTTCACCTTTTGGATGCACTGCAGCCACTGGAAACCTCTCAGACACGTTTCTCTGAGATTCTTTTTTTTTTTTTCCTGAGATGGAGGCTTGCTCTGTTGCCCAGGCTGGAGTGCAGTGGCATGATCTCGGCTCACTGCAACCTCCACCTCCCAGTTTCAAGTGATTCTCCTGCCTCAGCCTCCCAAGCAGCTGGGACTATAGGCATGTGCCACCACGGCTGGCTAATTTTTCTGCATTTTTAGTAGAGACGGGGTTTCACTATGTTGGCCAGGCTGGTCTCAAACTCCTGACCTCAAGTGATCTGCTCGCCTCAGCCTCCCACAATGTTGGGATTATAGGCGTGAACCACCATGCCCGGCCTTCTCTATGAATTTCTTAGTGAGTGTCACCATCATTCTTTTGTTCTGTCTTGGCTAAGGAGCGCTAGAATTACCTTCCTGTGACACCCTTCGTTCTTTTGATGGCCTCAACAAAAGCTCCTGTTTCCAGCTCCTGGCCTTTGCTCTCTCTTCTGGGTTCATCGTTTGTAGATGTTAAAGTTGGAAGGACGGCCAGGTGCAGTGGCTCAAGCCTGTAATCCCAGCACTTTGGGAGGCCGAGGCAGGTGGATCATCTGAAGTCAGGAGTTTGAGACCAGCCTGACCAACATGGTGAAACCACATCTGTACTAAAAATACAAAAATTAGCTGGGCATGGTGGCACATGCCTGTAATCCCAGCTCCTCAGGAGGCTGAGATAGGAGAATCGCTTGAACCTGTGAGGCAGAGGTTGCCGTGAGCTGAGACGACGCCATTGCACTCCAGCCTGGGCAACAAGAGCGAAACTCCATCTCAAAAAGTAAAAAATTAAAAAAAAAAAAAAGAAGCTGGAAGGACATCAGCAACGATCTAGCGATGATCTAGTCTACTTTAGTTATTTCACAGGTGAGAATCTGAGGCCTGGAGCAGTTCAGGGCTTTACCTGAGATCACGCAGAGAGTAACAGAACTAGTTGTCTTGAAGCCCAGCCTGTGTTCGTTTTCAACTGTGTGGCACACGGCCTCAGGGTTTGCAAGTACAGTGATGGAAACCAGGAGCCACTGCATGGTGACTCCCACCTCCTAGTAGGTTTCACCAGGCACCAGACCACACGTGAATTTACCTTTCACTCATGTTTTCGGGAGTGGAGCACCAATAGGAGAGCTACTTTGCTTGGGATACTAAAGGGCATTCACTGAATCAGCCTTCCAGTTCCTGGGGTGTTCCTCTAATTCGGGAAACTCTTCATTTACTTTTCTGGTAGCATCTTAGAGGAAGCTCTGTGCTGGATCCTTACTGCTTCATAGAGAGTTGGAAGCCAGCTGAGCATAGGAACACCAAGTATGGAGCAGAGGCTTGGTAGCAACCAGAACTAAAAAGTTGGCTCCAGGAAAACTTTGGCATTCCTTACAAGTGCGTCCTGATGTTCTGGAATACTGCTCCAACACTCAGGAACCACCACCCAACAGCAAAACATCCTTGGACCCAACCCTTCTCACCCATGCCCAACTTTTAACCCTGAGGCCCAGCCAACCTCCCACTGGGGCCTTCTCTTCCCTGCCCCACTTTTGTACAATTGATCACAGCTGTGAGTGCTGGCGTTTCTTTCCTCCACACCACTGTAATGCAAGCCAGCTGCGAGTGAGGACTCTCTTTCTATGTCTTCCTTCAAAAACACTGCCTCTTCTCTAGCCCCTCCACCTCCACACTCTGCAGCAAGCCCTCTTGACCAGTCATCCCTAGCATCCCCAGAACCACTGACTATTGGCATGTTCCTAAGGGACCACCAGTCCCAGGAGTGCCCACCTCCCATCCCCCTCCTTGAGGGCTCCTCGGGCCTTCACAAGTCAGGGAATAAAATTTTATTACCACTTGCATCAGGGATTGAGAGAAACAAGCTCCATCCAAAATAATCCTTTCCTGCTCTATCATTTATTTTGAGGAAAGGGCTGCCACTCATGGAATTATTCACAAAATTTGACCTTTCCTTTTAGTGTTTAGGGGCAGAATTGTTTTTAGAACATTGATGTGGGCTGGGCGTGGTGGCTCATGCCTGTAATCCCAGCACTTTGGGAGGCCAAGGTGGGCAGATCATGAGGTCAAGAGTTAGAGATAAGCCAGGCCAACATGGTGAAACCCCGTCTCTACTAAGAATACAAAAATTAGCTGGGCGTGGTGGCACGTGCCTGTAATCCCAGCAACTCGGGAGGCTGAGGCAGGAGAATCACTTGAACCCTGGAGGCAGAGGTTGCAGTGAGCCAAGATCGCACCATTGCACTCCAGCCTGGGTGCCAGAGCAAGACTCCATCTCAAAAAAAAAAAAAAAAAAAAATTAACCAGGCATTGGTGGCACGTGCCTGTGATCCCAGCTACTTGGGAGACTGAGGCAGGAGAATCGCTTGAACCCAGGAGGTGGAGGTTGCAATGAGCCAAGATCGTGCCACTGCACTCCAGTCTGGGCGACAGAGTGAGACTCCATCTAAAAAAAGAAAAAACGTTGACGAGGGCTACAGAGCAAGAGGAATAAGACCCTTCACCTGCCTGCTTGTTGCCGTATTGTCTCCAGCACCCTGTGCTCCATGGGCTCCAGCTAACGAGGTATTCATGATAACCAGGTACAGAAACGTTTGTTGCAGCCACAACAGTGGGATCAGACTACTCAAAACAAACTTACCACAGGAGATAGTCAACAAACGGGCAGCTCCTCCCACGCGGCCAGCTGGTTCCCCAGCCGAGTCGTCATCATTTCTCGCATCAAGCCTGAACACTGCTGTCCTGGAGCCCCATGCATCCAGTTCACTGAGTGAACTTTGGCTTCCTTTCTGTCACGTTTCTCCACCAGCCTCTGCATCTAGCACCGGCATTGCTGGTCATCTTTCCTGACCTTGCTCCCACGACCTTCTCCTCCAGATGGTTCACACTCACTGCAGCTGAACCAGGGCCTCCGGGTGTCCCAGGCCCTGGGGGCCTCTCTGTCACTGAAGGCAACATAGGGCTTTAGGAGTCACAAAGGGCTGTACAGCAAGGAGCCCCAAGGGGCTGTACAGCAAGGAGAAGGGAGCAGCCCCTTGTACTTCCTCCTTCTAGGAATGAGACCACAAGGAAGTAAAAATGGAGGTAGCCAGCCAGGTGCAGTGGCTCACGCCTGTAATCCCAGCACTTTGGGAGGCTGAATCGGGTGGATCATGAGGTCAAGAAATCGAGACCATCCTGGCCAACATGGTGAAATCCCGTCTCTACCAAAAATACAAAAAATTAGCCAGGCATGGTGGTGCACACCTGTAGTCCCAGCTGCTTGGGAGGCTGAGGCAGAAGAATTGCTTGAACCTGGGAGGCAGAGGTTGCAATGGGCAGAGATCGTGCCACCGCACTCCAGCCTGGCAACAGAGTGAGACACTGTCTCAAAAAAAAAAAAAAAAAAAGCAGGTAGCCTTTTCTTTGAGTTGGGAAAAAAAGTTAAACATGTTTTTGTTTTGTTTTTCTATTGCAATGATTGGGAAAAAAAACACACATAGGCTATCCTCCTTTTTATATACATTTAATTTTTTGTTTTAGAGATGAGGATCTAACTATGTTGCCCAGGCTGGACTTGAACTCCAGAGATCAAGAGATCCTCCCACCTCAGCCTCTGGGATTCAGTAGCTGGGACTACAGGCACATGCCACTGTGCCTGGATCGTAGGGTGCCTCCTCATGCCTGCATTCCTCTGAGCAGCAATCCTGCCTTCTCCAGTCTGCAGGACCCTTCTCTCCCTACTCTGCCCCATCCTACATTCAGAGTTACTTTAGCCTCATTTAGCCTCACTCTTCCTACCTTAAAAATCCAAAAGAAACTGAACTCAATCCCCAAGAACTCTTCCAGGTCTAAATTCTGTCATTCTGTAACTGTGAAGTCAAAAGTGCTTGAACCACAAGTCTGACGCGTAGAAGGAATCTTAAACACAAATACTGCATTTTTTCTTCTCCTTTAACGGACTAAAGTCAGAGTTTCAAAGACTAGGGAAATGGACCATGGATCTTCTCATGAACCACTTCGTTTCCAAGTCACATTTAGGCACTTTGGCAAACGTGCTATAAAAAGAGACTGGTTTCATGCAAAATACCTTCATGCAGGGATTTCCTTCTTAAGGTCTCTTTTATTTTTTTGAGACGGAGTCTCACTCTGTTGCCCAGACTGGAGTGCAGCAGCGTGATCTTGACTCACAACAACTTCTGCCTCTCGGATTCAAGCGATTCTCCTGCCTCAGCCTCCCTCCCGAGTAGCTGGGACTACAGGCACCCGCCACCACATCTGGCTAATTTTTTTGTATTTTCAGTAGAGACAGGGTTTCACCATGTTGGCCAGGCTGATCTCGAACTCCTGACCTCAGGTGATCTACCTGCCTCAGCTTCCCAAAGTGCTGGGATTGCAGGAGTGAGCCACCGTGCCCAGCACCCACTCCCAGTCTTCTAGTCCAAATCACTGGCTTCAAGCCCTTTTCATTGCAGCCCACAATGAGAAGCACATCTTACAATCAGACCCAGGGTATGCCTTCCCACCCGCCCCCACCACACACACAGATAGTTGTTTTGTTGTTGTTGTTGTTGTTGTTTTCCTTTGAGACAGAGTTTCGCGTTTGTTGCCCAGCCTGGGGTGCAATGGCGTATTCTCGGCTCACTGCAACCTCCGTCTCCTGGGTTCAAGCGATTCTCCTGCCTCAGCCTCCTGAGTAGCTGGGATTACAGGCACACGCCACCATGCCCGACTCGTTTTTTGTTTTTGTATTTTTTGTATTTTTAGTAGAGACGGGGTTTCTCCATGTTGGTCAGTATAGCCTTGAACTCCTGACCTCAGGTGATCCACCCGCCTCAGCCTCCCAAAGTGCTAGGATTACAGGCACGAGCCACCGCACCCGGCTCACACACAGATAGTTATTTACAGCTGGGAAACGTGCAGCACACTCTCTTATTTTCTATTCTGTTCTTTTTGTTCTTGTTTTTAATGCTGATCGCAACCCTCTAAAATGATTTCAAGACCCACTAATGGGCTGCAAACTATAGTCTGAAAAATCTTGCTCTAGAAACAACTATCCTCACTTGTATGTGAATGTTCTGATTTTCTAAGTCCTGACTTTACAACCATAGCACACGAGCATAGCAACTTTGTAGCCTGGCTCCACGCATCAACATAGATTAGTCCTAAAATAAAAAAATAAACAATTTAGAACAAAGTGAATTCAGTACATTCAGTGGTTTATAGATCAAGGAACTAAAACATAAATGGTGAGGAATTAACTAAAGCATTAACATTCTTGAATATTTGAGAGGAAGTGATGCCTTAGGGAAAGGTATCTCTGCTTTGACAGAAGATGTAGATCTAGATCCTTCGAAAGTCATAGAAGTCGGCCGGATGTGGTGGCTCACGCCTGTAATCCCAGCACTTTGGGAGGCCAAGGTGAACAGATCACCTGAGGTCAGGAGTTCGAGACCAGCCTGACCAACGTGGTGAAACCCTGTGTCTACCAAAAATACAAAAATTAGCCAGGCATGGTGGCGCATGCCTGTTAATCTCAGCTACACTGGAGGCTGAGGCAGGAGAATCACTTGAACACGGGAGGTGGAGGTTGCAGTGAGCTGAGATCATGCCACTGTACTCCAGCCTGGGAGACAGAGTGAAATTCTGTCTCAAAAAAAAAAAGAAAGACACAGAAGTCACTTCACCCTAAGCTCTGGCTGGATTCTGGATAGTATTCTCCTTAATATAAGTCCTAACTTCATTATTCTCTCACTCTTTTTTTTTTCTTGGTATCTTCCAAATGCAATGTGTTACTCTTACCCAGCTAATAAAGAAGACAGTGTAGGGATAAGAATGAAATCTTGGGGTAGCGTTTTTCTCATCTTGGGGGTGATCATTTGAAAGAAAAGATAAGGACCGAATATCAGTGCGATGCATGGATGCCATGCTGCTATTTCCTGACTCCAGTGAGTATCAGGAGAACGATTATTTGCAAAGACAGAGAACAGGAAGGTTAAGAGACAGTGGGATAAATGAACAAGATTCAATAGTACCATTATTAGTCCAGGGGCCCCCAAATTGGGGAATGGAAAAGAAGGCTATGTGTACATATATTTTTTAATTTTAATTATTTTTAATTGTCATATAAAGATGGCATATATTTATCATGTACAACAATGATGATTTTGTTGTTGTTGAGACAGGGTCTCCCTCTGTCATCCATGCTGGAGTGCAGTGACACGATCACGGCTCACTGCAGCCTCAACCTTCCAGGTTCAAGTAATCTTCACACTTCAGCTTCCTGAGTAGCTGGGACCACAGGCACATGTCACCACCAAAGGCTATTTTTTTTTTTTTTTTGAGAAACAGGGCCCCACCATGTTGCCCAGGTTGGTCTCAATCTCTTGGGCTCAACTGGAACATAATATTTTAATACACACATATATCTTGTTGTTGTTGTTGTTTTGTTTTGTTTTATTATACTTTTAAGTTTTAGGGTACATGTGCACAGCGTGCAGGTCTGTTACATACGTATACATGTGCCATGTTGGTGTGCTGCACCCATTAACTCGTCATTTACATTGGGTATATCTCCTAATGCTATCCCTCCCCCGTCCCCCTACCCCACAACAGGCCCCGGTGTGTGATGTTCCCCTTCCTGTGTCCAAGTGTTCTCCTTGTTCAATTCCCACCTATGAGTGAGAACATGTGGTGTTTGGTTTTTTGTTCTTGCGATAGTTTGCTGAGAATGATGGTTTCCAGCTTCATCCATGTCCCTACAAAGGATGAACTCATCCTTTTTTATGGCTGCATAGTATTCCATGGTGTATATGTGCCACATTTTCTTAATCCAGTCTATCATTGATGGACATTTGGGCTGGTTCCAAGTCTTTGTTATTGTGAATAGTGGTGCAATAAACATACGTGGGCACAGGCCTTTATAGCAGCATGATTTACAATCCTTTGGGTATATACCCAGTAATGGGATGGCTGGGTCAAATGGTATTTCTAGTTCTAGATCCTTGAGGAATCGCCACACTGTCTTCCACAATGGTTGAACTAGTTTACAGTCCTACCAACAGTGTAAAAGTGTTCCTATTTCTCCACATCCTCTCCTATTTTTAGTAGAGATGGGGTTTCAACATGTTGGCCAGACTGGTCTCGAACTGCTGACCTCAGGTGATCCACTCACCTCGGCCTCCCAAAATGCTATGATTATAGGCGTCAGCCACCGCACCCAGCCTGACCATTTTTCTTGAAGAGAAACTCCCAATATTTCTCCCAGTGTTTTTTTTGGTGTTTTGTTTCTGTTTTTGAGGCAGTGCCTCACTCTGTCACCCAGGCTGGAGTGCAATGGCGCAATCTCGGCTCACTGCAACCTCCGCCTCCCAGGTTCAAGCAGTTCTCCCACCTCAACCTCCTAAGTAGCTGGGATTACAGGCGTGCATCACCATGCCCAGCTAATTTTTGTATTTTTTGATAGAGATGAGGTATCACCATGTTGGCCAGCCTGGTCTTGAACTTCTGACCACCTCAGCCTCCCAAAGTGCTGGGATTACAGGCATCAGTCACTGTGCCTGGCCTCTCCCAATGTTATTATTTTTAAAAATTTCAATGCATAAAATGGTTAACCCTCAGTCATCTCTTTTTTTTTTTTTTGAGATGGAGTTTCATTCTTGTTGCCCAGGCTGGAGTGCAATGGTGTAATCTCAGTTCACTGCAACCTTCACCTCCTGGGTTCAACCGATTCTCCTGCCTCAGCCTCCTGAGTAGCTGGGCGTACACCATGCCTGGCTAATTTTTTGTATTTTTAGTGGAGACGGAATTTCACCATGTTAGCCAGGCTGGTCTCGAACTCCTGACCTCAGGTGATCCACTCACCTCGGCCTCCCAAAGTGCTGGGATTACAGGCGTGAGCCACCGTGCCCGGCAGCCCTCAGTCATCTCTAGCATATCATCTTTGACCAGAATTCTGGGTAAGGCTCAACTGTATATGAGCTTCACTTGGAACCCATTTGGAGCTGACTGCTGGCATGTGAGTACCAAAGGAGTTTTCTGTCCTTTTCCCGGATTTCCTAGGTGTTCATGCTCAGCTGAAAGAATGCTTGGAACAGAACAAAGCAAAAGCTACAGTGTTTCAATAGAAAGCATCTTCAGATCTTCAGTAAGAGAAGGAGCATTCATGAGAAAATAGGCTTTCACCGTTTGTGTTTTTGTTTTGTTTGTGTAGGGGGCAGGGAGTAAGGGTGGAAATGAATATAAATTAAAACCTTACAAGAGTCCAGGCATGGTGGCTCACGCCTGTAATCCCAGCACTTTGAGGGGCTGAGGTGGGCGGATCACTTGAAGTCAGGAGTTCAAGACCAGCCTGACCAACATGGTGAAACCCCATCGCTACTAAAAATGCAAAAATTAGCCAGGTGTGGTGGCGCGTGCCTGCAGTCCCAGCTACTCAGGAGGCCGAGGTGGGAGAATTGCTTGAACCTGAACCTGGGAGGCAGAGGTTGCAGTAAGCCCAAATCACGCCACTGCACCCCAGCCTGGGCAACAGAGTGAGACTCCGTCTCAAAAAAATTAAAAATATAAATAAATAAATAAATAATAAATAAAAACCTTACAAGAGTATAGATCACAAAAAAAGGTCAGGGCGGGAGAGTGCAGGGCGTGCAGCTCACATGTGGAAACGCACTTGTAAAAATTATCCAGGACGTTAAACTCATCCCTGTAGCTGTG
Source organism: Homo sapiens (assembly GCF_000001405.40). Taxonomy (NCBI): domain Eukaryota; kingdom Metazoa; phylum Chordata; class Mammalia; order Primates; family Hominidae; genus Homo; species Homo sapiens. The sequence continues at coordinate 140,527,686 of NC_000007.14, read as the reverse complement.
CCTGCAAGCCTCTCGCATAGGCTCTAAGTGCCTGGTGTGGCCTGTGCTGAGACCATCATGTGCTCCACCGGATCCACATCCACGTGTGTCCTTTCCTAGTCATCCTGTCTCTGGGAGGAGCCTTCTCCCCTGGAGGCTTCCTCGGGCCCTCGCTGAGTCGGCCTCTCTCCCTGTTCTCTCCCCGGCTGCAGCATCCTGTCCAAGTGCTGCCACGCGATGGTGGCGCTGATCTACCCCTTCGCCTGGCAGCACACCTACATCCCGGTGCTGCCACCCGCCATGGTCGACATCGTGTGCTCGCCGACGCCCTTCCTCATCGGGCTGCTCTCCAGCTCGCTGCCACTGCTCAGGGAGCTGCCGCTGGAAGAGGTGAGCTCCCACTCAGCCCTGTCCCCCTCCCTGCAGGGTGCGGAGAACAGAGCGGGGCGCTGGCTCTGCAGGCATCATGGAGCGGTTCTCAGAGCCAGCAGTGTTGGGGAGCAGGGCGTGGGGGCACCAGGGCTTTGTCTGGCATGGGTCCTGCCCAGAGGCTGACTCAGTCAGACCCTCAGTGACTGCAAACACTGTTTTCCCTTCCAAATGAAATGCCTGGTATGAGCACCTCTTGAGAAGGTCAGCAATGAACAATTTAGCCAGATGTCAAAACTCTTAAGTCATTAATAGCCCTCTCCTCTCCCCTGCCCTCTCGCCCACTCCCCCACATTGAGGAGCTAGCAAGATCTGGTCCGTTGTCATATCCGTTACAAATGTTTTTAATCCCCAAGTTCTGGGTGTCCAGTTTAGCATCGAAGCGGGGAAAGTCCTGCTTGGCACTTCTGGAGTTACTTAGCCCCAGCCCCTTCCTCTAAATGGTTTTGACCCGGAGGACTGGGGACTTCCAGCAGTCAGAGAAGGAAGCTTAAATAATGTTGCTCAGCCCTGAAGCTCCAGGAGGAACGCCTGTCCCTCTGTCCTGCATTTGTGTCTGGGTCCCTAGAAGCTGCTCCTCTAATTGCCCAGATAGTCCTAACGCCCCATTAAACATCACCCACCGGCCTTAGGGCTTTCAGTGCAGGCTTGAGGGCAGCCAGGAGTTCGTCTGGGTGCCCTGTGCTCCTGCAGGTGGCTCAGTTCAACCCCGGAGGGTGTGAGTGGGAAGGAAGGAGAGGTGGCCCTCCGCTCCTGGGCAGGTCTCTGGGATATGGGAGAACTCACATGTTTCCAGCTGTTGTTATGGTGACCATCCAGGCCCCTGGCTCCTCCTCCGTCACGGCCAGTGGCCTTGGCTGGGGTCTGAGTGAGGGTCGCGCTCTCAGGAGCAGCAGCACTTGTGGGACCTTTGCGCCTCAGGCACCTCACTTGCCCCACCCTGGTCCTGTCCCAGGTCTCATTCTCACTCTGAGGATGAGGGAGGAAGTGCTTTATCCTGAAAGCCTTCAGCAGTGAAAGCCCAAAGCCTAACCGAGTCTGCAGGTGGGTTTCTCTCCTCCTCTCCCCTGGAGGGAAATGATACGGTTAAGTGGGCAGCTGGGGGAAGGACAAGGCAGGGGCCCTAGGGTGGGAGCCAGGGAGGCCTGCAGCGTCTTTTGCCTACCTCAGTAGCCCACACCCTAAAAGGCAGCGTGAGAAGCTCTGCCTCAGCCAGTGTGAAAGCCAGGCGGTGAGTCCAGCCACAGCACACATGCATCCCAGCCTGCGGTGTCGGTGTTGAAAGCATGCAGCTCAGGAAGGACCCTCCCCAGCCCTGCTCTTCATTACCTGTGGCTACCGTGGCAATGTCAGGAAACCACAAATGGCTCACCTCCAGCCCCGCCCCAGCTGCCTCTCTGCATGCCAAGAAGGAAGAAGGCTATGAGTCCATCCCTATCCCAGAAGCCCTGGTGACAGTAACAGTCCCTTTCGTCTCATCTCATAGGTCCTTGTGGTTGACCTCGTCAACAGCCGGTTCCTCAGACAGGTGAGTGAGGCCAGCGACGGCCTCCTGCTCCCTTTGTCTTTACCTATTTGTTGTTTGGGGCTCAGCTCTCCAGCCTTGGAAAGGCTCTTTGGGATTGCAGAGCAGGGTGGCAGAGCTGTGTGACCCCAGGACGGGGCTGGGCTGAGGACAAGCCAGAAGGCAAGGGGCAAAAAGGAAGGGTTTGGGCAAAGGATTGCTTTCTACGTGTTCTGACACAAAATGGTTTTCTAACAATTAGAAAAAGATTCTTTGTAATCTTATAACTATAGGCACCTAGATTTTTCATTTTTAAAAATAGCTGGGTGCAGTGGCTTACACCTGTAATCCCAGCACTTTGGGAGGCTGAGACAGGTGGATCACCTGAGGTCAGGAGTTCGAGACCAGCCTGACTAATATGGTGAAACCCCATCTCTATTAAAAATACAAAAATTAGCCAGGCATGGTGGCAGGCACCTGTAATCCCAGCTACTTGGGAGGCTTAGACAGGAGAATTGCTTGAACCCAGGAGGTGGAGGTTGCAGTGAGTGGAGATTGCGCCACTGCACTCCAGCCTGGGTGACAGAGTGAGATCCCATCTCCAAAAAAAAAAAAAAAAAAGACAGGGTCTCACTATGTTGCCCAGGCCGGTCTCAAACTCCTGGCCTCAAGTGATCTTCCCACCTCAGTCTCCTCAGTAGCTGGAGGCATGCACCACCATGCCCAGCTTCAATATGCATTTACGCCTGTAGTCCCAGCTACTTGGGAGGCTGAGGCAGGAGAATAGTGTGAACCCAGGAGGTGGAGCTTGCAATGAGCCGAGATCACGCCACTGCACTCCAACCTGGGCGACAGAGCGAGACTCCGTTTCAAAAAAAAAAAAAAAAAAGAATATTTGCCCTGGCCGGGGCACACTTACAATCCCAGCACCTCCAGAGGCTGAGGCAGGAGGATCACTTGAGCCCAGGAGTTAAAGACCAGCCTGGGACAACATGGTGAGACCCTTGTGTCTATAAAAAAATTAAAAAATTACCCAGGCCTGCTGGTATGCACCTGTAGTCCCAGCAGCTACGCAGGAGGCTGAGGCAGGAGGATCACTTAAGCCTGGGAGGTCAAGGCTGCAGTGAGCTGAGATCGTGCCACTGTACTCCAGCCCGAGAGACAGTGTGAAACCCTTTCCTGAAGAAAAAAAAAAGAGAGAAGAGACAGGAAAAAAAATATGTATATACGTGTGTGCGTGTGTGCGCGCACGCACGTGCACTTTAAAAGGACTGAAAGGAAAACCCACTAAAACATTAACGCTTGTTGTCTTGGGGAGGGAAACTGAAAGGAGACAGATTATGAGTGATTTTAAATTGTTTTAGTACATTCATATATTTTTATAATGATCATCAGTTACTTTCACTAGCAGAGAAGGTAACACACATGTATTTTCTTTTTATCATTTGCTAGAGAGGCCTAACTTCTATCAGATTTTGCAAGAAGTAATTATAGTAATTACAGAAAATTTCTCTGGGCATTCTGATGGATTACTTCCAAGTGTTGCCACATTGCTGAAAAGTTCAGTAGCATTAATGCTGTTTTTTATCATTACTTTCACTTCCTCAAGGCCCACAGGGTAGGCCCTTCCCAAGACCCTCCTGCTCTGAGGCCCTGATCCCAAAGCCAGCCTTAGATCACACAGGCCATCTGCCCTGGCCAGAATCCCCTGGTTACCAGAATCCACTAGCTACCCTACAGGATGGAGCAGTGGAAATCATCTATTGAGTATCCTCTCAGTGCCAAGCCCTTTCACAGGGTAATTGTAGTCCATTGTAGCTTCACAACAAGGTACAGATTGATTGGTAGTCCATTTTACAAGTGGGGAAAACGAGGCTCCCGTTGCTTGTAAAAAGTAGGCTCGGCCAGGTGCAGTGGCTCACGCCTGTAATCCCAGCACTTTGGGAGACCAAGGTGGGCGGATCACCTGAGGTCAGGAGTTCGAGACCAGCCTGGCTAACATGGTGAAACTAAACTACTAAAAATACAAAACATTAGCCAGGAGCGGTGGCACGCGCCTGTAGTTCCAGCTACTTGGGAGGCTGAGGCAGAATTGCTTGAATCCGGGAGGCAGAGGTTGCAGTGAGCCAAGATCATGGCATTGCACTCCAGACTATGCGACAAGAGTGAAACTCTGTCTCAAAAAAAAAAGTAGGCTCAAGATTGAAACCTCAGACCTCTGGCTTTCAGTTGTATTCCTTCCATGAAACTGGAGACTGAGCCAGGCCTGCCCTGCAGTGGCTCCAGTGTGTCCTATGGCCAAGACGCAGCCACCGTGCCCATAAGCCCACCTGCTACCTCTGCTTTCCAGATGGACGATGAGGACTCCATCCTGCCCCGGAAGCTTCAGGTGGCCCTGGAACACATTCTGGAACAGAGGAACGAGCTGGCTTGTGAGCAGGACGAAGGGCCCCTAGACGGCAGGCACGGTAAGTGTTCAGCCACCTCCCAGTGGGTCTCTCCCTTCCACTCTGAGGGTCAGGGAACAAATGGGCAGTGGCCAAGGGCCAAGTAGGAATATGGGCAAGGGAGACATAAGGAGAGAAACCAGGGCCTCATTCTGTTTATCTGGATTTCATTCCCACAGTGAATTGTGGGAAAGATTTTCCCACCTCCCCCATTTTGGCCTTAAAGTACCTGTTTAAAAGGGGGGCGTGGAAATTATCTGGGCATGGTGGCACATGCCTGTGGTCCCAGCTACCCGGGAGGCTGAGGCAGGAGGATCCCTTGAGCCCTGGAGGTTGAGGCTGCAGTGAGCCACACCACTGCACTCCAGCCTGGGCAACAGAGTGAGATCCCATCTCAAAAAATCAAAAATTAAAAACTGTGGCCAGGCACAGCAGCTCACACCTGTAATCCCAGCACTTTGGGAGGCCGAGGCAGGTGGATCACCTGAAGTCAAGAGTTCGAAACCAGCCTGGCCAATATGGTGAAAACACGTCTCTACTGAAAATACAAAAATTAGCTGGCCATAGTGGCAAGCGCCTGTAATCCCAGCTACTCGGGAGTCTGAGGCAGGAGAATCGCTTGATCTAGGAGGCAGAGGTTGCAGTGGACCGAGATCACACCACTGCACTCCAGCCTGGGAGACAGAGCAAGACTCTATCTCAAAAAAAATAAAAGGCTGGGCACAGAGGCTCATCCCTGTAATCCCAGCACTTTGGGAGGCCGAGGTGGGCAGATCACTTGAGTTCAGAAGTTCGAGACCAGCTTGGCCAACATGGTGAAACCCCATCTCTACTAAAAATACAAAAATTAGCTGGGCGTGGTGGCGCATGCCCATAATCCCAGCTACTCGGGAGGCTGAGGCAGAGGGATTGCTTTAATCCAGGAGGCAGAGGTTGCAGTGAGTCAGGATTATGCCACTGCACTCCAGCCTGGGCAATGGAGTGAGACTCCATCTCAAAAAATAAAAACAAAATAAAAATAAAAACTTTTTTAACAATTTAAAATTTAAAAAATTAAGCATGGAAAGAAATGTCTTAATAACCTGGGTAACCCTCCTCCTGGATAATCGCAGTTTCCATCAAGGGAACTAGCAGTTACTGTTCTTTGATTACCAATTGGCTTGTCTCAAGGGCTCTGGCCCAGCCTGTCTGCCCTCACCGTTCCTGGCCTTTCCTCCCCTTACTCAGGTCCAGAGTCCAGCCCCTTGAACGAGGTGGTGTCTGAAGCCTTTGTCCGCTTCTTCGTGGAGATTGTGGGACACTACTCTTTGTTCCTGACGTCGGGCGAGCGTGAGGAGAGAACCCTGCAGCGGGAGGCCTTCCGCAAAGCTGTCTCCTCCAAGAGCCTCCGCCACTTCCTGGAGGTCTTCATGGAGACTCAGATGTTTCGGGGCTTCATCCAGGAGCGGGAGCTGCGCCGGCAGGATGCCAAAGGTGAGGGGCATCTTCTCTGTTGGGGCCGAGTCAGCTAGAGCTCCCTATATTCCAGGCGGCTGATGAGTAGGGAGAAAGATCACAGGGCAGGGGCACAGACAGGACTGTGTCCATCTCCCCCAGAGAGCTTGCAGTTATGCCCTGACTGAGCTGGTAGGAAGGCCCCCTCTCCTGGCTTCTCTGTTCCCTCTGCCAGCCTCTCCCAGAACCACATTCCAGTGTCTGTGGCAGGGTCTCCTTCTATCCCATTCTTTCCAAATTGATGAAATTCTCAGGCTGGGCACAGTGGGTGACTCACGCCTATAATCCCAGCACTTTGGGAGGCCAAGGCATGCAGATCACTTGAGGTCAGGAGTTCAAGACCAGCCTGGACAACATGGTGCAACCCCTTTTCTACAAAAATGTTTTAAAAAATTAGATCGGTGTGATGGTGTGTGCCTGTGGTCCCAGCTCCTCAGGAGACTGAGGTGGGAGGATCACTTGAGCCTGGGAGGTGGAAGTTGCAATAAGCCGAGATCATGTCACTGCACTCCAGCCTGGTTGAGAGAGTGAGACTCCGTCACAAAAAAAAAAGAAAGAAAAAGAAAACTGATTGGAGAGTATGAGTTACATTTAAATCTCTCTTTACAGATCACTTGGTAAGAGAGGTGTGAGACACACAAGCTTAAAAGCTACTGGAAGCCGGGCATGGTGGCTCACGCCTGTAATCCCAGCACTTTCGGAGGCCAAGGCAGGCGGATCACCTGAGGTCAGGAGTTGGAAATCAACCTGGCCAACGTGGTGAAACCCTGTCTCTACTAAAAATAAAGAAAATTAGCCAGGCGTGGTGGTGTGCGCCTGTAATCCCAGCTACTCAGGAGACTGAGGCAGGAGAATCGCTTGAACCCAGGAGGCAGAGGTTGCAGTGAGCCGAGATTGCACCATTGCACTCCAGCCTGGGCAACAAGAATGAAACTCTGTCTCAGAAAAAAAGAAAAAAAAAAACTACCTGGAAAAAGCCGGGCGCTGTGGCGCGCGCCTGTAATCCCAGCACTTTGAGAGGCCGAGGCGGGCAGATCACCTGAGGTCAGGAGTTCGAGACCAACCTGGCCAACTTGGTGAAACCCTGTCTCTACTAAAAATACAAAAATTAGCTGGGCATGGTGGCAGGCGCCTGTAATCCCAGCTACTCAGGAGGCTGAGGCAGGAGAAGCGCTTGAACCCAGGAGGCAGAGCTTGCAGTGAGCCACAGTGGCACCATTACACTCCAGCCTGGGTGACACAGCGAAACTCTATCTCAAAAAAAAAAAACCCTGGAAAGAACCCTCTGTCCATGAAAGATCAGTCAGCAATGAAGACAGAGTGCCTGAAGCTCAGACCCCAGGGGTCTGAGAAGCGGCTTAAGAGATGGCCTATCCAGCCATCCTCCCTCCACACCTCCACAGAGGGACTCCTGGAAAACTAAGCCACTTGGCCAGGGCCCTCGTACAGGAGAATGCAGGGAAATGGGAGAGCACAGACACCCCTCCCAAGCCAGGACAGTCCGGTTCAACTTTTTTTTTTTTTTTTGCGACGGAGTTTCACTCTTGTTGCCCAAGCTGGAGTGCAAAGGCGTGACCTTGGCTCACTGCAACCTCCGCCTCCCGGGTTCAAGCGATTTTCCTGCCTCAGCCTCCCGAGTAGCTGGGATTATAGGCGTGCACCACCACACCTGGCTAATTTTTTTGTATTTTCAGTAGAAAGAGGGTTTCACCATGTTAGCCAGGCTGGCCTCGAACTCCTGATCTCAGGTGATCTGCCCACCTCAGCCTCCCAAAGTGCTGGGATTACAGGCGTGAACCACCATGACTGGCCACTCCGGTTCATCTTTAAAACTGCCCGCCTGGCACAGTGTAGACGCTCGGAAGGCGTTTGTTGAATAAAAATAGGATTTCATCTATGAGGTGGCTTTATAGCTTTCCAAAGGGAGTTACTGCACAGGTGGGGCAATTATAAGAGCAATAAAATCCTTATAAAACCTCCTGATTCAGAGCATGTTTATAGGAGCAGCTTAGTCTCAGAAACAAGGTTTCTCTTTTCTCTGGTAGGGAGGAAATGGACACATTTAGAAGTGCAAAGACCAAGAACTCAAATGGCTGGGATTTCTCTTGTTAACAGGTCTGTTTGAGGTCCGAGCCCAAGAGTATCTGGAAACACTCCCCAGTGGAGAGCACAGCGGTGTCAATAAGTTCCTGAAGGGACTAGGTAAGGCCCCGGGCTCTGGGTGCCCAGCCTGTGTGCCTCTGAGCTGTCTGTCTCGGAGTCCCAGCCGGTTCCCTCCACTGGAGCCAGCGCCCTGAATAATGCAGAGCTCTACGGCCTGCGCTGGGCAGATGCTACTGGCATTTTAACCTCCTGTTCTAATCTGTCCCCAAAGAGAAAACAAAGGAAACGCTGCCCCCAGCACCTCCTTTTCTGGGTCCCCGGGCTTTCTTGCTGTCTTCTTTCTCTATGATCTCCTGCACTGTTAAATCTCAGAGGAACTGAGCTGAGGGAGCATGGCGGGAACCAGACAAGGACGTCTGGCAAGAAAGACTCGCACTGGTGTCCAAATTCCTCTGGAAAGTAGAAACGTGACACTTACAAGGACTGTAGTTTAATCAGTGAAAAGGCCCTTAAAGGGAAAGGGAGAATGAAGACAGCCAAAAAAGAGGACGGAGGCCCCAGTAGGGAGGTGTCTGCAGCAGTGAGGCCCTCCCAGAGGGCCTGTGAAGGGCGCCATATCTGTGCCTCCTGCAGGACGGAGGGCTACCTGGAAGCAGAGTGTTTTAAATACACACAGCATTGCTGGGCACTTTCTCCTCCCCTGGCTCCTGAGGGATGTGTTAATTCGGTGCTTCCTTTATTACCACAGAAGCAGCCAGCCCTCCTAGACAGCTCTGATGGTCTTCCTTTCAAACCCCCTCAAGTCTGAGGAAGACCCCACGGGGATCTCTGGAAAGAACAAAGCCCCTTTGGCTTCTCCAGAGCAAGGGATGAGGCTCCCTGGGGTGGCGTGGGGGCCCCGTTACCCGCACCACTTCTGGGTGGAAAGGGCAAGATTTATCTCACCCTCCTTTGTCTGCCTTGTGAAATGTTCTCATTTTCCTTTTTTTTAGGCAATAAAATGAAATTTCTCCACAAGAAATAACTCTCAGCCTCAAGGGAAAACTTCCTCCTAGTGCAGCCCTATGCTTTAAAAACAGTTCCTGGTGGCCTTTCTGAAAGGCTGGGTCCCAGGTTGTCACGGTGCGGAACTGGAGGCCGCGGTGGCTTCTGGCCGAGGCTGGGCTCTTCCCTGGATGAGGACCTGGGAGCCGCCTGGGAGGACAGCCCCAGAAAGGGAGCCCGAGACCAGGCGTGTCGCCGACATGCAAATGGGTTGTTTTGGTGGTTGGGTTTTTTTTTTTATCTTAGATATTAAAAGTAAGAAAAATGTGTGGGTTTTCTGTTTATTATGCCAAGGCCAAGAGGAGCCTGTCCTGCCCTACACGTTCCCCTCGTTCGTCCCATCCGGCCGCTCAGCAATGGAGCTAAGAGGAGTGGTGATGGGCAACAGAAATGAGGTGCTCCTCGGAGCGGGACTGACGACACATGAGGACTGTGAGGGGAGGAGGCGGAGCCGGTGCCTCGGGTTCAGGGAGTGAGGCCTCCTAGTGAAAGGCTGGGCCCTTGCCCTAGAGTGGAGGCTAGGGAGGAACGGGAGCTGTAGACGGATGTGGCTTCCCAGACACGCTGCTCTTCCAGAAGGGACAGTGATGCCACCTGGTGGCCGAGGCCATGGACGTCTCTCTTCCCAAATGGACCTGACTCTTCTTGACTGCCTTGTTCTCTTAGAAGAAGCCATGGAACTGTCCACTGCCTGAGTAGTCCCTGGCTTTTAGAGGCACACACACAAAAAGAGGTCAGTAAACTGTTCTAGGGGTCTTCAAGTTTACGACACTGCTCACGGCCCACCTTCCAACACATAGCCACAACTTTGACCCCGTTCCCATCTCATTCCAGGGGCCCAGAGCAGCATTAATGCAATAGTGGATGTGCACTGCCTGTACACGGTGGGGGGCGGGGGGACCTTTTGCGGCTGATGGTAACAAGATGGAGGGTGAGAACGCTGGGGCGGCGTCATGAGCCGTGTGCAGCCAGAGAGGCAGCTTGCGTTTTCTGGACCAGAAGCAGGGAGGGTGTGGAGAAGGCCAAAAACCTCAGGGCGACCTAAGAGCTGTCCTGCAGCGGGGACAGTGGGGACAGCAGGGACAGCGGGGAGGCAGGAAAAGCCCCGAACACAGCTGAGGCAGGTTCTCAGAGCAAGCCTCAGGGCCACTACCAGGTGACCCCTGCCCTCAGCTCTCACCAGCGACCCTCACAGAAACACAAAAGGGAGGGGCGCCGACCTCAACAATGGCCCAGAGGGGCCATACTGCCTGGCAGGGGTTCTCAACCTTTAGGGAGCGGGAGCAAGGGGCCTTCCGAGGATAAATAGAAATGAGGAAAATGAGGGGAGGTGACCTCTCATCCTTCCTCTTAGCTGGAGTTATGGACCCCCTCGCCCCTCCAAGTTCTACCCAGGCTTTGGTGTGTCCATTACTTTTTCAGAGGTGAAGATCCACAGTTTACATCAAATTCTCAAAGATGCTCCCAGAATGGTAGAAACCAGGCTGTGCATAAAAATTAACCTGCCTGGCCGGGCGCAATGGCTCATGCCTATAATCCCAGCACTTTGAGAGGCCAAGGCAGGCAGGTGGATCACCTGAGGTCAGGAGTTCAAGATCAGCCTGGCCAACATGGCAAAACCCCATCTGTACTAAAAATACAAGAAAAACTTAGCCGGGCATCGTGGTGCGTGCCTGTAATCCCAACTACCTGGAAGGCTGAGGCAGAAGAATCGCTTGAACTGGGGAGGAGAAGGTTGCAGTGAGCCGAGATCATGCCACTGCACTCCAGCCTGGACAACAGAGCAAGACTCCTTCTCAAAAAAACTCTGGCTGGGTGTGTGTGGGTGGGGACTAGGGGGATGCCTGAATGAGAATCCCTGAATCCTTGAGTGTGGGGGTTCAGGAATATGTATCTAACAAGCTCCTTGGATTAGTCAAGTTTGTGTGTGGGCTCAGGAATATATGTATCTAGCAAGCTCCTCAGACTAGTCAACTTTCTTAATAGTCTGCATATTTGTATATTGCCCAGAAAGGGACACTTTTTGGAATATACTTTCTTTTTTTAACTTATTTCGCATTATATTGTTTACTTAATAACTCCAAGCAAATAAATGTACATCTTTATCAACATTCCCAATGACTGCATAATATTCCATTCTGTGGGGATACTAAAAGCTATTAGTTCATCAGCCTTTGGCTCTTTATACATGCAGGACGTTTCCAGTTTTTAACATCATAACATCGAAAACAGCATCTTTGTACAAGTATCTTAGCACACTTGCCCCATCTTAATTTTCATTTTTGCTTAAAGTAAAATATACATACTTTTTTTTAAATTTATTTACTTTTTTTTTTTTTGAGATGGAGTCTCGCTCTGTCCCCCAGGCTGGAGTGCAGCGGCACGATCTTGGCTCACTGCAACCTCCACCTCCCGAGTTCAAGCGATTCTCCCCCTTCAGCCTCCTGAGTAGCTGGGATTACAGGCGGGCGCCACCACACCTGGCTAATTTTTGTATTTTTAGCAGAGACGGTGTTTCACCATGTTGACCAGGCTGGTCTCAAACTCCTGACCTCAGGTGATCCGCCCGCCTTGGCTCCCAAAGTGCTGGGATTACAGGTGTGAGCCACCACGCCCTGCCAAAATATACATACTTTAAAAATACACATACAGATATTAGTGTACAGCCTAACAAACGTTCACAAATGACCATGTGAAAGTTGCCAGAATCAAAATGGAGCCACACAGACACACAAAATACTTGTGTGAGGACATCTGCCCAGCAACTGCCTGTCCAGCCTCAGACTGGCGCCAGCCTTGTTATGGATCCTTGTAGCCAAGGATAATGATCTCAAAACAATGTGATCCTCCCTACTTTTCCTTTAAAAACCCTGTCTTCCTTTACCTCCTTGAATATGCAGCACATAGTTTTTACTATGTCCTGTGTATTACCATTGCAATGGCTATTCTCAAATAAACATGGTTTTCTTTTAGGAAAAAAAAAGAAGGTGGGCACAGAGGTCCATGCTTATAATCCTAACACTTTGGGAGGCTGAGGTGGGAGGATCACTTAAGACCAGGAGTTCAAGACCAGCCTGGGCAACATAGTGGGTCCGCCCATCTCTACAGAAAATTTTAAAATTAGCCTGGCGTGGTGGCGCACTCCTGTAGTCCCAGCTACTCAGGAGGCTGAGGCAGGAGAATTGCTTGAACCCGGGAAGCAGAGGTTGCAGTGAACCGAGATTGCACCACTGCACTCCAACCTGAGTGACAGAGCAACCTGAGTGACTTTCAAAACAAAACAAAACATCACGCCTGTAATCCCAGCATTCTGGGAGGCTGAGGTGGGTGGATCACTTAAGGTCAGGAGCTCGAGACCAGCATGGCCAACATGGCAAACCCCCATCTCTACTAAAAATACAAAAATTAGCCAGGTGTGGTGGCGGGCACCTGTAATCTCAGCCACTCAGGAGGCTGACGTGGGAGGATCACTTGAACTCAGGAGGCAGAGGTTGCAATGAGCTGAGATCACGCCAGTGCACTCCAGCCCGGGCAACAGAGTGAGACACTGTCTCAAAAAAAAAAAAAAAAAAAGGAATATCAATGAAACGAGTGACAGCATCCAGGGCCACAGGGGTCACACCCTCAGGCATATCAAAGCTGGTAAATAGAATTTTTTTTTTTTTTTTTTGGTAGAGATGGGATCTCACTATGTTGCCAGGGCTGTTCTTTTTTTTTTTTTTTTTTTTGAGACAGAGTCTCAGTCTGTCGCCCAGGCTAGAGTGCAGTGGCGCTATCTCGGCTCACTGCAACCTCTGCCTCCCGGGTTCAAGCGATTCTCCTGCCTCAGCCTCCCGAGTAGCCAGGATTACAGGCGCCTGCCACCATGCCCAGCTAATTTTATTTTTAGTAGAGACAGGGTTTCACCATCTTGGCCAGGCTGGTCTTGAGCTCCTGACCTCGTGATCCACCCACCTCAGCCTTCAAAGTGCTGGGATTACAGGCGTAAGCCACCAACCACCAGGGCTGTTCTTGAACTCCTAGGTTCAAAAAATCCTCCTGCCTCAGCCTCCCAAAGTGTTGAGATTAAAGGCATGAGCCACCACGCCTGACCTGGTCTTTTTTCTTTTAAGTCCCATTGCTCTGGATACCTTGCATAGGCTTGAAAAGCAAATCCAAAGCGGTACACGGCAGGCCCCAAAGACCCTGAGGAGCCAAGCAAGCTGTGGGAGTGGGCTTTGGGAAGGACAAGATGAGTGGAAGCCGGAGACCTGTGCAAAGGTTCATAAGAAAAGCAAAAGTTACACATGCGGCCAACAAGCATATGAGAAAAAGTTCAGTATCACTGAACATTACAGAAACACACATCAAAACCACAATGAGATACCATCTCGCACCTCTCAGAATAGCTATTATTAAAAAGTCGGCCAATCATGATGGCTCATGCCTGTAATCCCAGAACTTTCGGAGGCCATGCATGGCAGGTGGAATACTTGAGGCCAGGAGCTCAACACCAGCCTGGGCAGAGGAGCGAGACCTCATCTCAATTGAAAAAAAAAAAAAAAAAGTCAAAAAATAACAGATGCTGGAGAGATTGCGGAGAAAAACGCTTAAACCAAGCTTATCCAACCCACAGCCCATGGGCCACATGCAACCCAGGACGGCTTTGAATGTGGCCCAACACAAATTCCTAAACTTTCTTCAAACATTTTGAGGGCTGGGTGTGGTGGCTCACACCTGTAATCCCAGCACTTTGGGAGGCCAAGGAAGGTGGATCACTTGAGGTCAGAAGTTAGAGACCAGCCTGGCCTGGCCAACATGATGAAACCCATGTCTACTAAAACTGAAAAAATAAATACAAAAATTAGCCAGGGGTGGTGACGCACACCTGCATTCCCAGCTACTCGGGAGGCTGAGGCACAAGAATCACTTGAACCCAGGAGGCTGAGATTGTGGTGGGTTGAGATTGTGCCATTACACTCCAGCCTGGCGACAGAGTGAGGATTCATCTCAAAAAAAAAAAAAAAAAAAAAAAAAAGCTTAGTACCTGGGAGATGAAATGATCTGTACAACAAATCCCAGTGACATGCATTTACTTTTTTTTTTTTGAGACAGAGTCTCGCTTCGTCGCCCAGGCTGGAGTGCAGTGGCATGATCTCGGCTCACTGTAAGCTCTGCCTCCTGGGTTCACACCATTCTCCTGCCTCCACACCATTCTCCTGCCTCAACCTCCCAAGTAGCTGGGACTACAGGTGCCCGCCACCACACCTGGCTAATTTTTTTGTATTTTTAGTAGAGACAGGGTTTTACCATGTTAGCCAGGATGGTCTCGATCTCCTGACCTCGTGATCTGCCCGCCTCCACCTCCCAAAATGCTGGGATTACAGGCGTGAGCCACTGCGCCCAGCTACATATTTTTTTTTTTTGAGATGGAGTCTCACTCTGTTGCCCAGGCTGGAGTGCAGTGGAGCAATCTTGGCTCACTGCAACCTCTGCCTCCTGGGTTCAAGCAATTCTCCTGCCTCAGCCTCCTGAGTAGCTGGGACCACAGGTGCCTGCCACCACGCCCGGCTAATTTCTGTATTTTTAATAGAGACGGGGTTTCACCATGTTGGCCAGGCTGGTCTCGAACTCCTGACCTCAGGTGATCCGCCCACCTCAGCCTCCCAAAGTGCTGGGATTACAGGCATGAGCCACCACGCCCGGCCACGAGTTTACTTATATAACAAACCTGCACATGTACCCTTGAACCTAAAATCAAAATTAAAAAAAAAAAAAAAAGCAAAGCAAAAGGCAAGTGAGCAGGGCCATGTACCTGCTGGCACCTGTGAAGGCCAATTAACTTCAGTCCACGGCTTGTACAGTGACCACACCCGGCCCTCACCCAGCACCTAGCTGGAGTTCAGCAGCCCAACCTCTGACTTCTTTCTGGCATGAACAGATGCTGGCAGCAGGCCAGGGAGCAAACTGTCTGACGTTTGATCAGCCCTGGGCTCCTTACCGGTCCCTCTTGCTCTCCTCGTCCTCTGCCCATCACCCCTTCCTGCCCCAGTATAATCCTAAAAGACCACACACTTAAGATCTGAAACCGGAACCTCACAACAGGTTGTCCCTCCCGCTATAGAGCTGATTCCAGTGCCCCTCACCCTGCCACCATCCCCCACCCCTGCCCTGGGGAAATGTGGACTGGGTTGTTTTTCTGTCAGAGAACTCCAGATTCACACGGACCTGCCCTTCTCTCTCACCAGCCCCATGGACAGGAGTGAAAGAGCTATTCAACAGGGCTGTGGGTGATTGAGGAGGACTACCCACAGGTTGAGGCTGCAGTGAGCCCTGATTGTGCCATTGCACTCCAGCCTGGGCAACAGGCTTTGTCTCAAAAACAAAACAACAAAAAAAGTTAAAAAAAAATTTTTTTTAAAGAGATGGGGCTATGAGAGCCAAGGGTAAAGCCACAGATGCCCCATATCTGGAGATGGAGGCCGTTCACCGAGGACGAAGGCCAAATGAGGGCCTGCCACATCAAGCAGAGGTGTCATCGACTGTGTTTCCTGGCCTTACCAAAATTAAAAGCAAAAAGCGAGCTGAGCTCGGTGGCTCATGCATGTAATCCTACCATTTTGGGAGGCCCAGGCAGGTGAATCATTTGAAGCCAGAAGTTCGAGACCAGCATGGGCAAAAAAACAACATCAAGTCTAAAAAAAAAGGCCAGGTGTAGTGGCTCACGCCTGTAATCCCAGCATTTTGGGAGGCTGAGGCAGACAGATCCCTTGAGGTCAGATGTTCGAGACCAGCCTGGCCAACATGGTGAAATCCCATCTCTAATAAAAATACAAAAATTAGCCAGGCATGGTGACTCATGCCTGTAATCCCAGGACTTTGGGAGGCCGAGGCAGGCGGATCACCAGGTCAGGAGTTCAAGACCAGCCTGACCAACATGGTGAAACCCCGTCTCTGCTAAAAATACAAAAATTAGCCCAGCGTGGTGGTGTGCACCTGTAATCCTAGCTACTCAGGAGGCTGAGGCAGGAGAATCACTTAAACCCGGGAGGCAGAGGTTGCAGTGAGCCGAGATTGCACCACCGCACTCCAGCCTAAGCTACAGAGTGAGACTCCGTCTCAAAAAAAAAAAAAAAAAAATTAGCTGGGTGTGGTGGCGCACGCCTGTAGTCCCAGCTAATCAGGAGACTGAGACAGGAGAATTGCTCGAACCCAGGAGGTGGAGGATGCAGTGAGCTGAGATCCTGCCACTGCACTCTGGGCTGGGCAACAGAAGGATACTCCATCTTAAAAAAAAAAAAGGAAAAGGGCCGGGCGCCATGGCTCACGCCTGTAATCCCAGCACTTTGGGAGGCCGAGGTGGGCAGACCACGAGGTCAGGAGATCCAGACCATCCTGGCTAACACGGTGAAACCCCGTCTCTACTAAAAATACAAAAACTTAGCCAGGCGTGGTGGAGTGCGCCTGTAGTCTCAGCTACTCAGGAGGCTGAGGCAGGAGAATGGCATGAAACCGGGAGGCGGAGATTGCAGTGAGTCGAGATCGTGCCACTGCACTCCAGCCTGGGTGACAGAGTGAGACTCCATCTCAAAAAAAAAAAAGTTCAAATTTAAAAGGTTTTATTTTATTTTATTTATTTATTTATTTATTTTTGAGTCAGAGTTTCGCTGTTGTTGCCTAGGCTGGAGTGCAATGGCGCGATCTCGGCTCACCACAACCTCCGCCTCCCGGGTTCAAGTGATTCTCCTGCCTCAGCCTCCCAAATAGCTGGGATTACAGGCATGCACCACCACGCCAGGCTAATTTTGTATTTTTAGTAGAGATGGGGTTTCTCCACGTTAGTCAAGTTGGTCTCGAACTCCCAACTTCAGATGATCCACCCACCTCGGCCTCCCAAAGTGCTGGGATTATAGGTGTGAGCCACTGTGCCTGGCTACTATTTTACTTTTTGAGATGGAGTCTCACTGTGTTGCCCAGGCTGGAGTGCAGTGGCATGATCTCAGCTCATTGCAACCTCCACCTTCCAGGTCCAAGTGATTCTCCTGCCTTAGCCTCCCAGGTAACTGGGATTACAGGCGTGCGCCACTACACACAGCTAATTTTTGTATTTTTACTAGACACTAGGTTTCACTGTCTTGGCCAGGCTTGTCTTAATCTCCTGACCTCAAGCAATCTGCCAGCCTCAGCCTCCCAAAGTGCTGGGATTAAAGGCATGAGCCCTGTGCCCAGCCACAAACATTTTTTTAAAAAAGAAAACACTGGCCAGGTACGGTGGCTCACACCTGTAATCCCAGCACTTTGGGAGGCAGAGGTGGGCAGATCGTGAGGTCAGGAATTCAAGACCAGCCTGACCAACATGGTGAACCCTCGTCTCTACTGAAAATACAAAAATTACCAGGGCCTGGTGGCATGTGCCTATAATCCCTGTAATCAGGAGGCTGAGCCAGGAGAATCACTTGAACCCGGGAGGCAGAGGTTGCAGTGAGCTGAGATTGTGCCACTGCACTCCAGCCTGGGCGACAGAGTGAGACTCCATCTCAAAAAAAAAAAAAGAAACACCAATCTACGGTAATAGAATTCAGAAAGTGATTGTGCACTGGGATGAGAAAATGAACTAGAAAGAAGCAGGAAGGAACATTCTATGATGATGGAAGTCTTTATCTTGGTTTATGGTTACCTCGTGGTTGTACATGATTGTCAAAACTCACTGAACAGGTTGGGCAGGGTGGCTCACACCTGTAATCCCAACAGTTTGGGAGGCCGAGGCAGGTGGATTGCTAGAGCTCAGAAGCTTCAGACAAGCCTGGCCATGGTGAAACCCTGTCTTTACAAAAAATACAAAAATTAGCTTGGCATCGTAGCACACACCTGTAATCCCAGCTACTTCGAGGGTGAGGTGGGAGGATGGCTTGAGCCTGGGAGGTCAAGGCTGCAGTGAGCCTTAAGTGCACCACTGCATTCCAGCCTGTGTAACAGGAGCGAGACCCTGTCTAAAAAATAAAAATAAAAATAAAAAGGCCGGGCACGGTGGCTCACGCCTGTAATCTGAACACTTTGGGAGGCTGAGGTGGGCGGATCACGAGGTCAGGAGATGGAGACCATCTTGGTAAACACGGTGAAACCCTGTCTCTACTAAAAATACAAAAAATTAGCCAGGTGTGGTAGCGGGCGCCTGTAGTCCCAGCTGCTCGGGAGGCTGAGGCAGGAGAATGGCGTGAACCCGGCAGGCGGAGCTTGCAGTGAGCCGAGATCGCGCCACTGCACTCCAGCCTGGTGACAGAGCGAGACTCCTTCTGAAAAAAAGAAAGAGAGAGAGAGAGAAAACAAATCACTGAATATGTAAGATCTGTGCATGTTTTTGCATGTAAATTATTTCTCTTTTTTTGAGACAGAGTCTCACTGTCGCCCAGGCTGGAGTGCAGTGCCACAATCTTGGCTCACTGCAACCTCCGCCTCCTGGGTTCAAGTGATTTTCCTGCCTCAGCCTCCTGAGTAGCTGGGATTACAGGTGGGGGCCACCATGCCCAGCTAATTTGTGTACTTTTAGTAGAGATGGGGTTTCACCATATTGACCAGGCTGGTCTTGAACTCCTGACCTCAAGTGATCTGCCCGCCTCAGCCTTCCAAAGTTCTGGGATTACAGGCATGACTTACTGAGCCCCATCCCCCTGTTTGTTTGGTTTTTTTCTGCAGATACATTGGCTGGAAATGTAAATTATTTCTCAATTTGAGAAATGTAATTGAAAAAAATACTGGGGGAAGAAAGTCACCTCATCAAAAAATATCATTAGGAGAGTGAAAAGATATGTCATACACTGGGGAACAATATTTGTAACACATATAGCCAACAAAAGATTAGTATCTTTTTTTTTTTCCTTAAGACAGGATCTGGCTCTGTTGCCCAGGCTGGAGTGCAATGGCACCATCACAGCTCACTGCAGCTTGGACCTCCTGGGCCCAACCCCACTTCAGCCTCCCAAGTAGTTACAAGCACACACCACCATGGTTATGTATTTTCCTTTTCCCTTTTTTTTTTTTTTTTTTTTTGAGACGGAGTCTCACACTGTTGCCCAGGCTGGAGTGCAGTGGCGCGATCTCGGCCCACTGCAACCTCTGCCTCCCGAGTTCAGGCAATTCTCTGCCTTAACCTCCTGAGTAGCTGAGACTACAGGCGTGCACACTATGCCCAACTAATTTTTTTGCATTTTTAGTGGAGAGGGGGTTTTGCCATGTTGGCCAGGCTGGCTTCAAATTCCTGACCTCAAGTGATCTACCCGCCTTGGCCTCCCAAAGTGCTGGGGTAGCAGGCATGAGCCACCTCACCGGGTCCCCCAAAGCATAAATTTTTAATTAATATTTATGTGCACAGGAGTTCATAGAAAATTGAAACTCAAAGAAGGTCTCTTAGAATCTGGGGCTTATATACCATTTTAACAAAAGAAAGGGGTTTGGGCTTCAAGGGTTGATTGATTACTTGTGGGAAAGCGACTAGGAATACAGGAGAAACTAACGGCAGACAAGGGTTATTTTCGTCAGGCTTGTTTATGCAGACTCACCCTGCTGCCAGCTCTCTGTCTCTGGTGATAAGAGCGGCTCTCCTCTTTCTGGTACAAGAAGGGAGTTGCCTTCACAAGGGAAATTCACGCCACCTTCACTGAGGGAAATTTCTGCTCTGTTCTTAGTTGGCTAAGAGAAGGGCAGAGAACCTTCTTGTATCTGTTGATCCTCAATTGCTTTCAGCTGAAAATAATCCTATGCCAAAGTGCATCTCTTGGGGGTGGCACAACCTGATCCCCTTTCATTTGAACTGTGCGCATTGCTTAGAAAAAGCCATAATCTTCAAAAAAAAAAAAAAAAAAAAGTCATCATCCCCCTTTCATGTTATGTCAAGCCCAGCCAACTGGCATCTTTTTTTTTTTTTTTTTTTTTTTGAGATGGAGTCTTGCTCTGTCACTCAGGCTGGCATGCAGCAGCAGGATCTCAGCTCACTGCAGCCTCTGCCTCCCGGGTTAAAGCGATTCTCATGCCTCAGCCTCCCGAGTAGCTGGGATTACAGGTGCGTGCCACCACGTCAGGTTAATTTTTTTGTATTTTTAGTAGAAACAGGGTTTTACCATGTTGACCAGGCTGGTCTGGAACTCCTGACCTCAGGTGATCCGCCTTCCTCGGCCTCCCAAAGTGCTGGGATTACAGGTGTGAGCCACAGCACCGGGCCCCAACTGGCATCTCAATGGCAAACTGATTGTCTTGGCCTTTCCTGGGGGAGGGGAGGAGACTTATGCCAGCCATTACTCCAGACTCTTATCTTCCCTGCTGGGGGCCAGGGCACCAAAGGGGCCGAGAGGCACAGGAGAGAGTGAGGCATGGAGCAGCTGCATCAGCACTGCCACCTGTTTACTGTGGAACTTGGAACATGACTCCTCTCCTACCGGCCTCCTGTTCCCCCATCTGTACAACAGAAAAGATCCCTCCTGTCTCCAGCCTTGTCTGACACCTGGCACACCTGTGGCTATACCCAGGATGGGTGACCTGGAAGCCTGGTCCAGGGCCTTCAGCTGATGTTGACATTGTCAGATTCAGGAGACAGGGGGGAGGTGGAGCCCTGTGCAAAACAAGGGGGTGCCTGAGGAGGGAGGAGACGAGAGTTAGCTGTTGCCCCCATGTCTGCCAGGCAGCTAACAGCTGAGCTGACCTTAAAGTCAGGGCATGCTTCAGCTTGTCTTAACAGCTATTTATAGCTCGGGTGCCTCCTTATTTGGTAGCTGACTGCACTGCAGTCTGTGGCCTCTCTCCACAGGGATGCCTGCCTTCCTGACAAGCAGCCCAGGCTCCTGATGCAGTTCTGTCTCCTACAGGCTTTACGCAGAACAGGCTCACATCTGTGTGAGCTCTGTGTGAGCCTTACCTATTCCAAATGCCCTTTAAAGCCATTTACATAGCCGTTACATGTTTTATTGTGTTAAAATACACATAACATAATCCCAGCACTTTGGGAGGTCAAGGCGGCCAGAGGATCATTTGAGGGGCCAGGAGTTTGACACCAGCCTTGGCAACATAGCAAGACCCCCATCTATACTTAAAAAAAAAGAAGATAATGGGGTTGAGGGTGCCCTCTGTGACTGGCCAGGGGTTTGGAGGTGATCACTCTAGCCTATTTACTCTCACCAATCCAAGACACCTGCTAACCCCCAGAATCTTTAAAGGACCAGTCTTTCCACCCTGTGATGCATTTGGGGGCACAATGGGTACCCGTCTCTCCTCTCCCACCCGTTATGGGCTGAACTGTGTCCATCCCAAAATTCATATGCTGAAGTCTCAACTTCCAGCACCTCAGAATGTAACCATATTTGGAGATAGGGTCTGGAGGAGGTAATTAAGTTAAAATGAGGGCCTATGGGTGGCCTCTAACCCAACATGACTAGTGTCCTTAAAAGAAAGAAAATTGGGGCCAGGTGTAGTGGCTCATGCCTGTAATCCCAGCACTTTGGGATGCTGAGGCAAGAGGATCACGTGAGGTCAGGAGTTTGAGACCAGCCTGGCCAAGATGACAAACCCCCATCTCTACGTAAAATACAAAAAAAAAAAAAAAAAAAAATAGATGGGCGTGGTGGTGCGCGCCTGTAATCCCAGCTACTTGGGAGGTTGAGGCAAGAGAATCACTTGAACCTGGGAGGCTGAGGTTGAAGTGAGCCGAGATTATGCCACTGCACTCCAGTCCGGGTGACAGACCCAGACTCCGTCTCAAAAAAAAGAAAGAAAGAAATGTGGACACAGACACACTTAGAGAGAAAACTGTGTGAGGATATGGGGAGAAGGTGGCCATCTACAAGCCAAGGAGAGAGACCTCAGAAGAAACCAACCCTGCCAATCAACACCTTGATCGCAGACTTCCAGCTTCCAGAACTGGGGGAAGATGAGTTTCTCTTAGTTAAGCCACATTTGTGAAACTTGGTAATGGCAGCCCTAGCTGACTCTTACGACTCCCCTCCTCTGTTCTCTGATTTTACAAAGAATATCCTGAGCTGGATTCCTCCTCAAATTTGATTTTTCGGGCAAAGAGAGGTTCAAGTGGCAACGCATTGGCTGGGCTTTTGAGGCTCACCCTCCTCAATCCTCCACAGCACAGACACTCCTGGATTCCCGGGACCTCTGGACAGACACCTCTTCCCACAGGCCCCTGCTGCTTTCTCGAGGAGCCAATGTCACCGCTACCCTTTCCTAGCTCTGACGGCCTTCCAACTTGCCCACCTCACACGGGTCCCACCTCAAACCAAGCATCCCAGGCCTCATTTTAGCCATGAGGATTTCCCCAGTAGAGGCTGTGGCCAGTGAGGCAGCATTTCACATAGACACATGTCTATGTAAACACATTTAGCATAGACCATGAATCAAGACACCATGCTTCACAGGCCTGAGTCCTTCCACCCCTCCCCAGATCACAGTCCACCCCTAAAAGAATTATCCATTGAGATTCCACTCAACACATGTTCCTTTAGTATCGTCTATGGGCCGGAGACTCCAGCAAGCAATGGCACAAGAAAAATGACCCATTCCTTGTCCTCAGGAGACATCCCACCTAGTGGGGAAGATTTTTTTTTTTTTTTTTTGAGACAGACTTTTGCTCTTGTTGCCCAAGCTGGAGTGCAATGCCACGATCTCAGCTCACTGCCACCTCCACCTCCCAGGTTCAAGCGATTCTCCTGCCCCAGGCTCCCGAGTATCTGGGATTACAAGCACGTGCCACCATGCCTGGCTAATTTTTTGTATTTTTAATAGAAACAGGGTTTCACTATGTTAGCCAGCCTGGTCTCAAACTCCTAACATCAGGTGATCTGCCCGCCTCAGCCTCCCAAAGTGCTGGGATTACAGGCGTGAGCCACTGCGCCCAGCCGATTTTATTTTATTTATTTATTTATTTTAAACAGAATCTTGCTCTCACTCTGTCGCCCAGGCTGGAGTGCAGTGGCGCGATCTCGGCTCACTGCAACCTCCGCCTCCCAGGTTCAAGTGATTCTCCCGCCTCAGCCTCCCGAGTAGCTGGGAATACAGGCGTATGCCACCACGCCCGGCTAATTTTTGTATTTTTAGTAGAGATGGGGTTCGCCATGTTGGCCAGGCTGGGCCATGGCTTGGACAAGCTGGTTCTAAGTTCTGCTGCTAACTACACAGTAAGACGATAACTGAGACTACAAGTATTGCCAAGAAGAAGGTTTTAATTGGTGTTGGAGTGGGGGGTACAAGGGGTGCTGCAGCCCAGGAGATGGGAGCTCAGTCTCAAATCCGTCTCCCTGATGGACTAAAGGCAGGGATTTATATAGCAGGGAAGAAATGTAACCATGTGTTAAAAAAAACAGGAACTATGGAGGGGTAAAGAAGCAATCATGATGAATGAGGGATCACACATCATATTGTCTGGACATAGTGATCTGGTGAATTTCAGTTTTTTGATACTTTTTTTTTTTTGAGACAGAGTCTTGCTTTGTCGCCCAGGCTGGAGTGCAATGGGGTGATCTCCACTCACTGCAATGTCTGCCTCCCAGGTTCAAGCGATTCTCCTACCTCAGCCTCCCGAGTAGCTGGGATTACAGGCATGTACCACCACGGCCAGCTAATTTTTGTATTTTTAGTAGAGACGGGTTTTCACCATGTTGGTCACGCTGGTCTCAAACTCCTGGCCTCAAGTGATCCACTCACCTCAGCCTCCCAAAGTGCTGGGATTACAGGTGTGAGCCACCATGCCTGACCTGATACTTTCTTTCTTTTTGTTCTTTTTTTTTCTTTATTTTTCTTTTTCTTTCTTTCTTTTCTTTTTTTTTTTTTTTTTTTGAGAGGCTGAAAGTCTTTCCTGAGGAAGAAACTCAGATAAAACAAGCTGGTCTTCCCTGGTTCCAGGTGGTGAAGGCCCACCATTGAAGGGAACATTTTACCACACACCGTCCTTTTTTTTTTTTTTTTTTAATTATGTTGTCCAGTCTGGAAAATAGCTGGGACTATAGAGATGCGCCACTGGGCCCGGCTTACACTATACATCTTTTTTTTAAATGTGGTAAAATATATGTAATGTAACATTTACCATTTAATCAATTTAAAGTAAACAGTTCAGTGGCATTAAGTATTGTATTAGGTTGGCGCAAAAGTAATTGCGGTTTTTGCCATTGAAAGTGATGGCAAAGCTGGGTGTGGTGGCTCATGCCTGTAATCCCAGCACTTTGGGAGGCTGAGGTGAGTGGATCGCCTGAGGTCCGGAGTTCGAGACCAGCCTGGCCAACATAGTGAAACCCCATCTCTACTAAAAATACAAAAAATTAGCTGGGCGTGGTGGCGGGCGCTTGTAATCCCAGCTACTAGGGAGGCTGAGGCAGGAGAATCGCTTGAACCCAGGAGGCAGAGGTTTCAGTGAACCGAAATCATGTCATTGCGCTCCAGCTTGGGCAACAAGAGCGAAACTCCATCTCATCTCAAAAAAAAAAAAAAAAAAGAAAAAAGAAAGTGATGGCAAAAACCGCAACTACTTTTGTGCCAACCTAATACAACAATTACCATCATCCATCTCCAGAATTTTTTTTATCTTCCAAAATTCTATACCCATTAAACAACCCCCATTCCCCCTTTTTCCAACTCCTGGCAACCACCATTCTACTTTTTGTCTCTATTAATTTGACATATTTTTCTTATTTTATTTTGAGACAGGGTCTCACTGTCACGCATGGAGTGTATTGGTGAGCTCATAGTTTCCTCCAGTGTCAACCTCCTGGGCTCAGGTGATCCTCCCATTTCAGCCTCCCAAGTAGCTGGGACTACAAGTGTGCGCCACCAGACTGGCTAATTTTTTTTTTTTTTTGAGACAAAGTCTCACTCTTGTCCCCCAGGCTGGAGTGCGATGGCGTGATCTCGGCTCGTTGCAATTTCCGCCTCCCGGGTTCAAGCGATTCTCCTGCCTCGGCCCCCCTGCCCGAGTAGCTGGGATTACAGGTGCTTGCCACCAGGCCCGGTTAATTTTTGCATTTTTAGTAGAGACGGGGTTTTACCATGTTGGCCAGGCTGGTCTAGAACTCCTGACCTCAGGTGATCCACCCACCTCAGCCTCCCAAAGTGCTTGGATTACAGGCGTGAGCCACCCCGCCCGGCCTAATTTTTTGTTTTTTGTAGAGACCAAGTCTCACTATGTTGCCCTGGCTGGTCTCGAACTGCTGGGCTCAAACGATTCTCCCACCTCGGCCTCATAAAGTGTTGGAATTACAGGTATGAGCCACCGCACCCAGCCCACATGTGGATTTTAAAGCTGTCCAGAATTTTGATATGGCTTGGCATAGACAGACTGCAAGGCAGGCGCTAAGGTCTCCGATAAATGGTCAGGACTTGTTTACTTGACTCAATTAACAGGGTTGATTTGTTTTTCAGAACAGCTTGTGTGTAGAAACCTTGAGTAGAACTTGGAAACATCCCAGTTAGAAGGGTAGATAACACCAGCAAAACCGGCAGCTGCAGGGCCCAGAGCTGCCTTTCTTCCACAGCTAGAATGTAATCTGACCATGCCAGTCCTCTGCCTGAAACCACCCAGGGGCTCCCCATGGCCTGCAGGACTAAGTCCAGCCACCAGCTGGCTGCAAGCTGCCCTGGCTGCCTAGGCCTTTATGCTCCAACAATAAATGCACAGGTCGGGCCAGGTGCGGTGGCTCATGCCTGTAATCTCAGCACTTTGGGAAGTTGAGGTGGGCGGATCACCTGAGGTCAAGAGTTCAAGACCAACCTGGCCAACATGGTGAAACCCCATCTCTACTAAAATACAAAAATTAGCCAGGCGTGGTGGTAGGCACCTGTAATCCCAGCTACTCGGGAGGCTGAGGCAGGAGAATCTCTTGAACCCGGGAGGCGGAGGTTGCAATGAGCTGAGATTGAGCTGCACTGCAGCCTGGGTGACAGAGCAAGACTTGGTCTTAAAAAAAAAAAAAAAAAAAAAAAAAGAAGCAGGATGGAGTCAGTTAAGTCAGATCTCTTTCACTGTAATAATTCTGTCAGTTATAATTTTGGCAAAGGTGGTTTTATTGGCAGGGCAAGTGTCCCCTAACATCTCTCTCCTTGGCTTGCAGAGGAGTCTTCTGTGTCCTCACAAGGCCATCCCTTTATGGGTCTTTATGGGTGTCTATGTCCTAATCTCTTCTTCTTCTAAGGAATCATGTTGGATTATGGCCCATCTTAATGAGCTCATTTTAATTCAATTACCTCTTTAAAGACCCTGTCTCCAAATACAGTTACATTCTGAGGTAAAGGGGGTTAGGACTCCACATGAATTTAGGGGTGCGGGATACAATTTAGCCCATAACAGGGTCAAATTTCGTAAGGCTCTGTAGATCATGTTAAGGATTTTAATTTTAACTTTAAAATTAATCAGAAGCTGGACGTGGTGGCTCAAGTCTCTAATCACAACACTTTAGGCGGCTGAGGCAGGAGGATCACTTGAACCCAGAAGTTCAAGACCAACCTGGCCAACATAAAGAGACCTTGTCTCTACCAAAAAAAAAAAAAAAAAAAAATTTGCCAGGCATGGTGGCACATGGCATAGTCCCAGCTGCTCGGGAGGCTGAGGCAAGAGAATTGCTTGAACCCAGGAGACAGAGGTTGCAGTGAGCTGAGATTGCGCCACTGCACTCCAGCCTGGGCAACAGAATGAGACTCCATCTCAAAAAATAAATAAATAAATAAAAATTTAAAAATAAGATGAAAGGAATCTGAAACTATGAAAAAATTTTGCTGGGCGCGGTGGCTCACACGCTGGGCGTGGTGGCTCATTCCTGTAATCCCAGCATTTTGGGAGGACGAGGTGAGGTCAGGAGTTCGAGACCAGCCTGGCCAACATAGTGAAAGCCCATCTCTACTAAAAAAACAAAAATTGGAAGCGCCCAGTGGCTCACTCAGCACTTTGGGAGGCCGAGGTGGGCAGATCACGAGGTCAGGAGTTCAAGATCAGCCTGGTCAATGTGGTGAAACCCTGTCTCTACTAAATACAAAAAAATTAGCTGAGTGTGGTGGTGCACGTCTGTAATCCTAGCTTCTCAGGAGGCTGAGGCAGGAGAATTACTTGAACCCAGGAGGTGGAGCTTGCAGTGAGCTGAGATTGCACCACTGTACTCCAGCCTAGGCAAGGGAGTGAGACTCCATCTCAGAAAAAAAAAAAATTACAAAATTTAGCCGGACGTGGTGGCGGGCACCTGTAGTCCCAACTACTCGGGAGGCTGAGGCAGGAGAATCGCTTGAAACCGGAAGGCAGAGGTTGCAGTGAGCCAATATCGTGCCATTGCACTCCAGCCTGGGTAACAAGAGCGAAACTCCATCTCAAAAAATTTAAAAAAAAAAATTGTATGCAGGAGAATGTCATAAGTACCTTCGGATTTAGAAAATCACAGACTGCAATGCAGACAATAGAATGGAAGGGGTCAGAGTGGATGTTGACAGACCAGTTAGGAGGCCACTCTAACAACCCAGCAAGAAACCTGCCCAAGTCCTGGCATTTTTACTCATGAGATCTATCTCAAAGTTGGCCACTTTGCTCTGTGCCTGGCATATTTAAATAGAAGGCCAGGCATGGTGACTCACGCCTGTAATCCCACCCCTTTGGGAGGCCAAGGCAGGCAGATCACCTGACGTCAGGAGTTCGAAACCAGCCTGGCCAACATGGTGAAACCCCATCTCTACTAATAATACAAAAATTAGCTGTGGGGTCGGGGGAGGGGGGAGGGATAGCATTAGGAGATATACCTAATGCTAAATGAGGAGTTAATGGGTGCAGCACACCAACATGGCACATGTATACATATGTAACAAACCTGCATGTTGTGCACATGTATCCTAAAACTTAAAGTATAATAATAATAAAATTAAAAAAAAAAATTAGCTGGGCGTGGTGGCACATGCTTGTAATCCCAGCTACTCAGGAGGCTGAGGCAGGGGAATTGCTTGAGCCCAGGAGGTGGAGGTTGCAGTGAGCCGAGATCCCGCCACTGCACTCCAGCCTGGGGAACAAGAGCGAAACTCTGTCTCAAAAAAAAAATTTTTTTAATTAAAATTTAAAAATTGGCCAGGCGTGGTGGCTCACACCTGTAATCTCAGCACTTTGGGAGGCCGAGGCACGTGGATCACCTGAGGTTAAGAGTTCAAGACCAGCCTTGACCAACATGGTGAAACCCCATCCCTACTACAAATACAAAAAATTAGCTAGGCATGGTGGCAGTCACTTGTAATCCCAGCTACTCGGGAGGCTGAGGCAGGAGAATCACTTCAACCCGGGAGGCAGAGGTTGCAGTGAGCCAAGATTGCACAATTGCACTATAGCGTGGGTGACAAAAGCAAAACTCCATCTCAAAAATGAATAAATAAATAATTTTTTTAAAAAGCAAATAAATAAATCAATAGAGACAGGGTCTTGCTATGTTTCCCAGGCTGGTCTTGAACTCCTGGGCTCAAGGGATCCTCCTGCCTCAGCTTCCCAAGTTGCTGGGACTTTAGCCAGGTGTGGTGGAGCATGCCTGTGGTCCCAGCTACTCAGGAGGCTCAAGTGGGAGGATTGCTTGAGCCATGGAAATAGAGGTTTCAGTGAGCTGAGATTGCACCAAAAAAAAAAAAAAAGGTGGTCTCGCTCTGTTGCCCAGGCTGGAGTGCAGTGGTGCGATCTTGGCTCACTACAAACTCTGCCTCCCGGGGTTCACGCCATTCTGCTGCCTTAGCTTCCTGAGTAGCTGGGTAGCTGGGACTACAGGTGCCCGCCACCACGCCCGGCTAATTTTTTTGTATTTTTAGTAGAGACAGGTTTTCACCATGTTAGCCAGGATGGTCTTGATCTCCTGACCTCGTGACCCGCCCTCCTTGGCCTCCCAAAGTGTTGGGATTACAGGCGTGAGCCACTGCGCCAGGCCTAAGATTTTTTTTTTTAATGAAAAAACAAAGAGCAAGAACTGGCACTATGAGCACGTGCCACCACACCCAGCTAATTTTTTTTAATTTTTACAATGTTGCCCAGGCTGGTCTTGAACTCCTGGGCTCAAGTGATCCTCCCTCCTCAGCTTCCCAAAGTG
The DNA here is from genome assembly GCF_000001405.40 of Homo sapiens. Taxonomy (NCBI): domain Eukaryota; kingdom Metazoa; phylum Chordata; class Mammalia; order Primates; family Hominidae; genus Homo; species Homo sapiens. Next base: position 140,498,638 of record NC_000007.14, on the reverse strand, counting down.
CTCAGTTACAGACGTGAGCAGCTGAGCCCAACCCCTAGAGTTTGGCTCTTTTTATCAACAGGTTTCAGCCATCAATACACATGCAATTTTATTTTTTGGACAGTAGGCACACAACACTGAGCTCTATGTTAGCTAACTACCGAATCCAGAATGCACTGCTGCAGTCCCTCAGACTGAAGCCCCCAGACAAATGTGAGGCCAGGACCAGCAGCAGCCATGAAGCCAAAGAGACACTATGCACCTGGGATTATCCAAGTGTGGAAAAGGAATCTGTTCTCCCTCTACCCCACCGCTCAGGACACTCTCATCCTGGCCGCCTGAGTCTGCTGCAGTCTCACTGGGTCTGATAATTTCTGCATGGCTGGTAGAGTACCACCCAAAGATACACTAAAGTGCGCTGTGAACTGGGGAGGAGGAATCTGCTCAGCAGGAACACTAGCTCTCACTGTGTCTCTAAAAGCGCCTTTGCAAAATTAAGACAGTAAGAGAAACCTGACATTGTTGCCGCCTCCAACTTGCTTCTAATCTCCAAGCTGTCCTGGGTCATTCCTGGGAGTAGGTCAAACTAACTTTGAGAGAAATTTAGTTTATAGTTTAACCTTAGGCCGGGCGCGGTGGCTCACACCTGTAAACCCAGCACCTTGGGAGGCCGAGGCGGGTGAATCACCTGAGGCCAGGAATTCAAGACTAGCCTGGCCAACATGGTGAAACCCCTGTGTCTACTAAAAATACCAAAAATTAGCCTGGCATGCTGGCATGTGCCTGTAATCCCAGCTACTTGGGAGGCTGAGACAGGAGAATTGCTTGAACCCAGGAGGTGGAGGTTGCAGTGAGCCAAGACCATGCCACTGCACTCCAGTCTGGGTGACAGAGCCCGACTCCATCTCAAAAAAAATAAATAAATAATTTAACCTTAAAGTGAGGATGATAATGGCCCTTCCCAAAACCAAACTGCCTTTGTAAAACTAATGAAAAGCCATAAGTTTAGGATTATGAGAGGAGCCTGAATTTTGCTGAGATATAGGCATCGTTAAAGGGTAACCAGCCATTGTTCTGGAGGTCACAAGATTTGTGACTTCCCCAATTACTCCTGCAGATAACATCACTATTGTAGAAGCTAAGATTGGCCTTCTGAGATGTCCTTTCACACTTTTACATTTCTGGCTACCTGATGGCTCCACCTGCACTTGTGACTCATGACTCACCCAGTCCTGTGGACCCACCCAGAGGGGAACTCAGCATACAAGCTCCATTTTCCACAGCCCTATGACTGCATCCCCAACATTCACTCCCCAACCCCTAGTCCACTGCCCACCAAACTATCCTTGAAAACCCCTAACCTCAGGTGGCGCAACTGGCTTGAGCGATTGGAAATAAGATGTAGAACCCCCAACGCAGACACTGAGTAGAATGAATTTTTTTTTTTTTTTTTTGAGATGGAGTTTCGCTCTTGTCGCCCAGGCTGGAGTGCAATGGCGTGATCTTGGTTTACTGCAACCTCAACCTCCTGGTTCAAGTGATTCTCCTGCCTCAGCTTCCCGAGTAAGCTGAGATTACAGGCATGCCACCACGCCTAGCAAATTTTTGTATTTTTAGTAGAGATGGGGTTTCACTATGTTGGCCAGGCTGGTTTTGAACTCCTGACTTCAGGTGATCCACCCACCTCCGCCTCCCAAAGTGCTGGGATTACAGACGTGAGCTACTGTGCCTGGCAATTTGCCGAACTTTCTTGTGACAAACTATCTGGATTTTTTAAAAAAGAAAAAGCAAGAATGAATCTTTCTGGTTTTTAGTTTTGTATAAATTAGGTTTCAAATCTTTACATTTCAGAAATAGTCATGGCTGGAAATGCTGTTAAGTTTTTTGGAACTCTTTTTTAAGATTATAGTATTTCCGGCTGGGCACAGTGGCTCATGCCTGTAATCCCAGCACTTTGGGAGGCTGAAGCGGGTGGATCACAAGGTCAGGAGTTCGAGACCAGCCTGATCAACATGGTGAAACCCCGTCTCTACTAAAAAAAAAATATACAAAAATTAGCCAGGTGTGGTGGCTGGCGCCTGTAATCCCAGCTACTCAGGAGGCTGAGGCAGGAGAATTGCTTGAACATGGGAGGTGGAGGTTATGGTGAGCTGAGATCATGCCACTGCACTTCAGCCTGGGTGACAGAGTGAAACTCTATCTAAAAAAAAAAAAAAAAAAGATTATAGTATTTCCTCTAAAAAAAATTAAAACTGGCCAGGCACAGTGGCTCACACCTGTAATCCCAGCACTTTGGGAGGCCAAGGCAGGTAGATCACGAGGTCAGGAGATCGAGACCATCCTGGCTAACACGGTGAAATCCCATCTCTACTAAAAATACAAAAAATTAGCCGGGCTTGGTGGCGGGCGCCTGTAGTCCCAGCTACTTGGGAGGCTGAGGTAGGAGAATCGCTTGAACTCAGGAGGCGGAGGTTGCAGTGAGCCAAGATGGCGCCATTGTACTCCAGCCTGGGAGACAGAGTGAGACTCCGTCTCAAAAAAAAAAAAAAAAAAAAAATTAAACCAGGTATTGATATGGCAAAAACAAAAACAAAAAAAAGAAAACAAAAGAAAATCCTTAACCTCAGAGCCTTCAAGGAGATTGATTTGTAGCCAGCTTCTGTCAATTCAGCGTTCTTTACTGTTCTTTACTGCTGTGCCATGGTCTCAGAGGATTGATTTTGTCTGTGCAGCAGGCAGGAAGAACCCATCAGGTGATTCCATCTCCCCTTCGCTCTCCAGTCGGCCTTATCTCTGACCAACCTTGGCCTGGCTCCCTGGGTCCAGCCACAGTGGCGTCAGCAGGTCCTGGATCACACCAAGCAGGGCCCAGCCTCCGGGCCATACCTGCTGTTCCCTCTGGCCTGTGCGCTCTTCCCTCATGTCTTCACATGGCTCATTCTTTCCAATCCTTTAGGACTACTTTCAAATATTGTCTTAGAAGGGCCTTCCCTGACCACCGTACCTGAATGAAGGAATGAAGGAATCCGCTGATGCTATTATCCCCTAAGACTGTGGCTCATTTAGGCTGCACCTGGAAGAGACATTTTCTTTCTTTTCTTTTCTTTTCTTTTTTTTTTTGAGATGGAGTCTTGCTCTGTCGTCCAGGCTGGAGTGCAATGGTGCAATCTTGGCTCACTGCAACCTCCGCCTCCTGGGTTCAAGTGATTCTCCTGCCTCAGCCTCCTGAGTAGCTGGGATTACAGGCATGCGCCACCACGCCTGGCTAATTTTTGTATTTTTGGTAGAGACGGGGTTTCACCATGTTGCTCAGGCTGGTCTTGAACTCCCGACCTCAGGTGATCCACCCGCCTCAGCCTCCCAAAGTGCTGGGATTACAGGCGTGAGCCACCGTGCCTGGCCTGAGGCCTTTCTTTATAAAGCAAGCTATATTTTCACCAAATAAGCCTAGGAAGTTCATCAATTCATTCTCAGCATTCACTTCCTAGTTTTTGCAGAGATTAGGCTGCCCTTCCTGGCTTTTCTTTCCTGGAAGGCTGGGTTCCGCTATGGCAGAGGAGAGCTGAAGCAGCATTAGTTCAAAGAGCACACACATCACTCACACAAGCTTACCACACAATGCAGTCAGGCTTTCTATCAAACTGCAGTGCAAACTCGTGCACGTGAATACACGTAGTTCCATTTATAACTTCTTTTTTTTTTTGAGACAGAGTTTCGCTCTTGTTGCCCAGGCTGGAGTGCAATGGCGCAATCTCGGCTAGCCACAACCTCCGCCTCTGGGTTCAAGCGATTCTCCTGCCTCAGCCTCCCAAGTAGCTGGGATTACAGGCAGGCACCCCTATGCCCAGCTAATTTTATATTTTTTAGTAGAGACAGGGTTTCTCCATGTTGGTCAGGCTGGTCTTGAACTCCTGACCTCATGCGATCTGCCCAACTCTGCCTCCCAAAGTGCTGGGATTACAGGGGTGAGCCACCGCGCCCGGCCTCCATTTATAACTTTTTTTTTTCTTTTTTGAGACGGAGTCTCTCTCTGTCCCCCAGGCTGGAGTGCAGTGGTGTGATCTCAGCTCAGTGCAAGCTCCGCCTCACAGGTTCATGCCGTTCTCCTGCCTCAGCCTCCCAAGTAGACAGGCGCCCACCACCACGCTCAGCTAATTTTTTATATTTTTAGTAGAGATGGGGTTTTACCGTGTTAGCCAGGATGGTCTCGATCTCCTGACCTCGTGATCCGCCTGCCTTGGCCTCCCAAAGTGCTGGGATTACAGGCGTGAGCCATCGCACCCGGCCCATTTATAACTTTTAAATCACACACACACACAAAATCAAGAACTCCTCAGTAATAAACGGATTTTATTTATTTATCTTTTTTTTTTTTCAAGACGGAGTCTCACTCTGTTGCCCAGGCTGGGGTGCAGTGGCGTGCTCTCAGCTCACTGCAACCTCCGCCTCCTGGGTTCAAGCGATTCTCCAGCCTCAGCCTCCCGAGGAGCTGGGATTACAGGTGCCTGCCACCACAGCCAGCTAATTTTTGTATTTTTAGTAGAGATGGGGTTCCACCATGTTGGCCAAGGTAATCTCAAACTCCTGACGTCAGGCGATCTACCTGCCTTGGCCTCCCAATGTGCTGGGATGAGACACTGCACCCGTTTTTTTTTTTTTTTGAGACTGAGTGTCACTCTATTGCCCAGGCTGGAGTGCAGTGCTGTGATCTCTGCCTCTCAGGTTCAAGGGATTCTCCTGCCTCAGCCTCTCCAGTAGCTGGGATTACAGGCACACCACCACACCCGGCTAATTTTTGTATTTTTAATAGAGATGGGGTTTTCCATGTTGGCTAGGCTGGTCTTAAACTCCTGACCTCAAATGATTTGTCCACCTCGGCCTCCCAAAGGGCTGGGATTACAGGCATGAGCCATTACTCCCGGCCTGTAAATGGATTTTAAACCAAAAACAAAACAAAAAAGTCAAGGAAGTAAAGGTTCAAGCATGTAAGAGTTTTCTAAATATAGCTTCTTGGTATTTTATTTTATTTACTTTTTTAGACAGTTTCGCTCTTGTTGCCCAGGCTGGAGTGCAATGGCGAGATCTCGGCTCACCACAACCTCCGCCTCCCAGGTTCAAGTGATTCTCCCGCCTCAGGCTCGAGAGTAGCTGGGATTACAGGCCTGCGCCAGCACGCCTGGCTAATTTTTTTGTATTTTTAGTAGAGACGGGGTTTCTCCATGTTGGTCAGGCTGGTCTTGAACCCCTGACCTCAGGTGATTCGCCCGCTTCGGCCTCCCAAAGTGCTGGGATTACAGGCATGAGCCACTGCGCTGGAAGGTATTGTATTTTAAATGCTTACTATCAGCCCTTTTCTGAAATCTAATTTATCTTTTTCCCACCGGCAGGTGGCCCTAGCACATTTCCATACTTTAGGACACCTATGGGCTGATTTCAGATCAGATTTGGTAGCAGGGTACAGAACAGAGGAAGATAACCTTATTGGCATTTTTGCCCCTCCCTAAAGAGAGCCCTCCAGCAGCATAAACTATTTGGTCAGCATAATCCCCTCCAGGGGTGAGGGCTGGGGTGGGAGAGCTGAGATATCTTGCCATTTCTAGAGAGGAACTGCTCTAAGTTTTCCTGTTCTTTTCCTAAAATCCTTTTGTTCCTAACCCTTTTGAGGGAGAAGGGGAGCTTAGAGATAGGGTAAGGCCCCACAAATTCATATTTGCATTCATTGATTCATGTGTCATCCATTCATTTGGCTTTTTATTTATTTTTATTTATTTATTTATTTATTTTGAGACGGAGTCTCGCTCTGTCACCCAGGCTGGAGTGCAGTGGTGCAATTTCAGCTCACTGCAAGCGCCGCCTCCTAGGTTCATGCCATTATCCTGCCTCAGCCTCCCGAGTAGCTGGGACTACATGCGCCCGCCACCACGCCCAGATAATTTTTGTATTTTTAGTAGAGAGGGGGTTTCACTGTGTTAATCAGGATGGTCTTGATCTCCTGACCTCGTGATCTGCCCGCCTCGGCCTCCCAAAGTGCTGGGATTACAGGCATGAGCCACCACGCCCGGCGGCTTTTTATTTTTTATTTCATAAAGATGGAGTCTTGCTATTTTGTCCAGGCTGATTGTGAACACCTGGCCTCAAATGAGCCTGCCGAGGTACTGGAATTAGAGGCGTGAGCCACTGCACCTGGACTCATTCATTTGTTTACTTGACAAACTTTCTTTTCAGATGGAGTCTCGCTCTGTCCCCTGGGGCTGTAATCTCGCTCTGCCCCCGCTGGGCTCGCAGTGGCACCAGTGGCGTGATTTCAGCTCACTGCACCTTCCGTCTCCCAGGTTCAAGCGATTCTCCTGCCTCAGCCTCCCAAGTAGCTGGGACTACAGGCATGCACCACTCATTTTTTTTTTTTTTTTTTTTTAGTTCTTCAGCTAAGACAGTGGAAGAGGGGTTTTATTGTATGGTTGCTATACTCAGCCACAAGTGGACACAGAAATAGTCCAGAATGGCCGGGTGCGGTGGCTTATGCCTGTAGTCCCAGCACTTTGGGAGGCCGAGGCGGGCGGATCATGAAGTCAGGAGTTCGAGACCAGCCTGACCAACTTGGTGAAATCCCATCTCTACCAAAAATACAAAAAAATTAGCTGGGCATGGTGGCGCACACCTGTAATCCCAGCTATTTAAGAGGCTGAGGCAGGACAATCGCGTGAACCCAGGAGGCGGAGATTGCAGTGAGCCGAGATCGCACCACTGCACTCCAGCCTGGGTGACAGAGCAAGATTCTGTCTCAAAAAATAAATAAATAAATAGTTCAGAATGTCACAGATCCAGGACAAAGGACCAACATGGACAGTTTTGGTTATTACCAAGGTGGGTCTCAGAGGTGGTCTTGGCGATCAGTTGGCGATAAAGTTCCAGGTCCATTGAGAAAGCTCTAGACAGTAGCATGCAGTCCAACAACTTGTACCAGCATTCCCAGCCTCTGGCATTCCATGTTTCTGCTTCTGTGGCCTCCACGGGTGCAACAAGCTAGTGGTTTACTTGGACCTCTGCCTCATCTTTCTTTTGGGCTTCAGCCTCCTCATGTGCTTCTTCCTCCACTTGGCTCTTGTAGCACAAAGGTTTCCAAGAAGATGGCACCAAGGCCAAGAGCTCATTTTTGTATTTTTGGTAGAGACGGGGGTTTCACTATGTTGGCCAGGCTGGTCTTGAACTGACCTCAAGTGACCCACCTGCTTCAGCCTCCCAAAGTGCTAGGATTGAAGGAATGAGACAGGGTTTTGCCATGTTTCCCAGGCTGGTCTTGAACCCCTGGCCTCAAGCAATCATCCCACCTTGGCCTCCCAAAGTGCTGGGATTACAAGGCATAAGACACCTCTCCTGGTTCCAGTTAATTTTCTAATGTTTTTCTAGAAATGGAGTCTTGCTATATTGCCCAGGCTGGTCTTGAGCTCCTGGCTTCAAGCGATCTTCCCACCTCAGCCTCCCAAAGTGCTGGAAGTACAGGCATGAGCCACTGCACCTGGCCAAACTGGATTGCTTATTAAAAAAAAAAAAAAAAAAAAAAATATATATATATATATATATATATATATATAAATGTACCAAAAATTAACACAGTATTTAATATTAAAAATAACTCGGCCAGGCGTGGTGGCTCATGCCTGTAATCCCAGCACTTTGGGAAGCTGAGGTGGGCGGATCATTTGAGGTCAGGAGTTGGAGACCAGCCTGGCCAACATGGTGAAATCCTGTCTCTACTGAAATTTCAAAAATTAGCTGGGTGTGGTGGCGCGCCTGTAATCCCAGCTACTTGGGAGGCTGAGGCAGGAGAATCACTTGAACCTGGGAAGCAGAGGTTGCGGTGAGCCGAGATCGCGTCATTGCACTGCAGTATGGACAATACAGCAAGACTCCGACTCAAAAATAAATAAATACAATAAAAATAAAATAACTCATGGGCTGGGTGTGGTGGTTCATGCCTGTAATCCCAGCACTTTGGGAGACTGAAGGGGGGTGGGGGGGTGGATTGCCTGAGGTCAGGAGTTTGAGACCAGCCTGGCCAACATGGCGAAACCCTGTCTCTACTAAAAACACAAAAATTAGCTGGGCATGGTGGTGCATGCCTGTAATCCCAGCTACTCAGGAGGCTGAGGCAGGAGAATCGCTTGAACCCAGGAGGCAGAGGTTGAAGTTAGCTGAGATCATACCACTGCACTCCAGCCTGGGTGACAGAGCAAGTCTCCATCTCTAAAAATAAAAATAAAATAGGCCCGGCACGGTGGCTCACGCCTGTAATCCCAGCACTTTGGGAGGACGAGGCGGGCAGATCATGAGGTCAGGAGATTGAGACTGTCCTGACTAACACGGTGAAACCCCGTTTCTATTAAAAATACAAAAAATTAGCTGGGCGTGGTGGCGGGCTCCTGTAGTCCCAGCTAGTTGGGAGGCTGAGGCAGGAGAATGGCGTGAACCTGGGAGGCAGAGCTTGCAGTGAGCCTAGATCATGCCACTACACTCCAGCCTGGGCAGCAGAGCGAAACTCCATCTCAAAAATAAAATAAAATAAAATAAATAAGATAACAATAAAAATAAAATAAAATAACTCATAGCTGGGGCTGATGGCTCACACCTGCAATCTTAGCATTATGGGATTACAAAGGGAGGCCCAGTCAGGAGCATTGATTGAGGAGGATTTAAAAGGCAGGGAACCACTGGTCTATAAGAGAATATAGACTGTTTTTACAGGGAACAAATCATTAATTAAACTCCCTTTGGAAAGAAAATAACACATAGATCAACATTATGTTTATTGTGTAGACTACAGTTTCCAGATTAAGGTTGTCAAAACTTGTGTAACATAGTACAAACTACATCTGCTGACAATAAAATATTCCACACTGGCTTGGGAAGATGCCAGACAAATCTCTTATCCTTTAACTTTGCAGCACTTAAAGTGATTGTGTCTTATTTGTAGTCTTCTCTTTTTTTTTTATTTTTTTGAGACAGAGTCTTGCTCTGTCGTCCAGGCTGGAGTGCAGTGGCGCGATCTCGGCTCACTGCAAGCTCTGCCTCCTGGGTTCATGCCATTCTCCCACCTCAGCCTTCTGAGTAGCTGGGACTACAGGCCCCCACCACCACACCCAGCTAATTTTGTTTTTGTATTTTTAGTAGAGATGGGGTTTCACCGTGTTAGCCAGGATGGTCTCGATCTCCTAGCCTCGTGATACGCCCGCCTTGGCCTCCCAAAGTGCTGGGATTACAGGCGTGAGCCACCGCGCCTGGCCGTAGCCTTTTCTTTCAAAGGAAAAACTCCTTTAGGGCAAGGCCTAACCTCCAGCACCAGCTCAGGGAAGCAATAAAGCAGAAGTTTAAATTCCTCAAGCTCCAAGCTCACTTATGGGCTATGTGATTACAGGCAACATTTGTGCATGACTCGACAACCTCATTTTCCGGGCCTTAAAATGGCAAAGTACTCTGTACTTCTCCTACTTCTAAAGGCCATTGTGGGACCCAAACTAGATAATGTAGATGTAAGGCCTTTGAAAATCAAGTGTGGTTCTTATATAAGGATGTGCATCTGTGACATAACCTCAGGAGGTGTTTTTAGTTTTTGTTTTTGTTTTTGTTTTTTTGAGATGGAGTCTCGCTCTGCTGACCAAGCTGGAGTGTGGTGGAGAAGCTGGGATTACAGGTGTGCCCCACCACGCCCAGCTAATTTTTTTGAGACAGAGTCTCACTCTGTCCCCCAGGCAGTAGTGCAATGGCATGATCTTAGCTCACTGCAACCTCCACCTCCAGGGTTCAAGTGATTCTCCTGCCTCAGCCTCCCAAGCAGCTGGGATTACAGGTGTACACAACCATGCCCGGCTAATTTTTGTATTTTTAGTAGAGATGGAGTTTCACCATGTTGGCCTGAGTGGTTTGGAACTCCTGACCTCAAGTAATCTGCCCACCACGGCCTCCCAGTGTGCTGGGATTACAGGCATAAGCCACTGTACTCAGCCTCAGGAGGTTCTTGATTACATGTGCCCAAGGTGGTCAGATCACAGCTTGCTTTTATACATTCTAAGGAGACATGAGCCGTCAATCAACATATGCACGATGAACATTGGTTCAGTCTGGAAAGGCAGGACAACTTGAAGCCAAAAAAGGGAAGATTCCAAGCCGGGAGGAGTTTTCCAGGTCATAGGTAGATAACAGGCAAATGGTTGCATTCTTTTGAGTTTCTGATTGGCCTCTCCAAAGGAGGCAATCAGATATGCGTTTATCTCAGTCACCAGAGGGGTGACTTTGAATAGAATGGGAGACAGTTTGGCCCTGAGAAGTTTCCAGCTTGACTTTTCCCTTTAGCTTAGTAATTTACAGGCCCCAACATTTATTTTCCTTTAACACTACGTGTATTTTTTTTTTTGAGACGGAGTCTTGCTGTGTGGCCTAGGCTGGAGTGCAGTGGCGTGATCTTGGCTCACTGCAACCTCTGCCTCCAGGGTTCAAGTGATTCTGGTGCCTCAGCCTCCTGAGTAGCTGGGATTACAGCATGCATCACCACCATGACCAGCTAAATTTTTTTGTATTTTTAGTAGAGATGGGGGTTTCACCATGTTGGCCGTGCTGGTCTCAAACTCCTGACCTCAAGTGTTCCACCCACCTTGGCCTCCCAAAGTGCTGGGATTACAGGCATGAGCCACTGTGCAAAGCCAACACACTAGTTATATTTTAATTTCAGATAAACAATGAATAATTTTTAAGTATATCTCATGTCATATTTGGAATATATTTATACTAAGTACTGATTATTTAGCTGAAATTCAAACTTAACTTGGCATCCAGATTTTCTTTTAATTTTTAAATTTAATTTTTATTTTGTAGAGATAGAGGTCTCACTATGTTGCCCAGGCTGGTCTAGAACTCCTGGCCTCAAGTGATCCTCCTGCCTCAGCCTGCCAAAGGGCTGGGATTACAGACATGAGCCAGGGTCACCTGCTATTCTACATCTTTATTTGCTAAGTTTGACAACCCTATTCTAATGTCATGTAACAACAGCAATTAAAACAATAGCAAACACATATCTAATAGGTTTTGTTTTGTTTTGAGACAGAGTCTTGTTCTGTCGCCAGGCTGGAGTGCAGTGGCATGATCTTGGCTCACTGCAACCTCTGCCTCCCAGGTTCAAACGATTCTCCTGCCTCAGCCTCCTGAGTAACTGGGACTATAGGCGCATGCCACCATGCCCAGTTAATTTTTTGTATTTTTAGTAGAGACAGGGTTTCACCATGTTAGCCAGGATGGTCTCGATCTCCTGACCTTGTGATCTGCCCGCCTTGGCCTCCCAAAGTGCTGGGATTATAGGCATGAGCCACCGCGCCCAGCCTATATCTAGCAGTTATTAAATGAAGTGAATGTCCTTTGAGTTTTGCATCCATTAACTCCTTTAATATTTACAAGGAAGGTTTTTTTGTGTGTGGCTTTTTGTTTGTTTGTTTGTTTTTTGCTTTTGGCTTTATTTCTTTTCTTTTTTGTGTGTGTGAGATGGAGTCTTGCTCTGTCCTTCAGGCTGGAGTGCAGTGGCGTTATCTTGCCTCACTGCAACTTCTGCCTCCCAGGTTCAAGTGATTCTCCTGCCTCAGCCTCCTGAGTAGCTGGGACTACAGACACACACCACCATGTCTGGCTCATTTTTGTATTTTTGGTAGAGACAGGGTTTCACCATGTTGGCCAGACTGATCTTGAACTCCTGACCTCAAGTGATCCAACTGAAACCACCTTTGCAAAATTATGACTGAAACAGAGAGAGATCTAACTTAACTGACTCCATCTTGCTTCTAACCTCCAAGCTGTCCTTTTTCATTCCTGGGTGTAGGCTGAACTAACTTTGGGAGAAACTTAGTTTATACTTTATAGTTTAAACAAAGACCATAACAGCCCTTTCCGAAAGCAGACCTCCTTCTTGGCTGGGGACTAGATTGCCTTTGTAGGACTAACATTAGCCACAAGATTAGAAGTTATGGTTTAGGAGTCGTGCAGCTAGAGGCTGCAAGATTCTGACCCTCCCTAAACTTCTCCTAAGATTGGTGCCCAGCACTTTGAGAGGCCCAGGTGAGCTGATCACCTGAGGTCTGGAGTTCAAGACCAGCCTGGCCAACATGGCGAAACCCCGTCTCTACTGAAAATACAAAAAAATTAGCCCAGCGTGGTGGCGGGTGCCTGTAATCCCAGCTGCTCCCAGGAAAGAGAATCCCAGGCAAAAGAATCGCTTGAACCTGGGAGGCAGAGGTTGCAGTGAGCCGAGATTGTGCCACTGCACTCCAGCCTGGGCAACAGAGTGGGACTCCGTCTTGGAAAAAACTAATACAAAAATTAGCCAGGCGTGGTGGCGGGCACCTGTAGTCCCAGCTACTCGGGAGGCTGAGGCATGAGAATTGCTTTAACCCGGGAGGCGGAGGTTGCAGTGAGCTGAGATAGCGCCATTGCGCTCCAGCCTTGGTGAAAAAAAGAAAAAAAAGATCATTGCTTGAGATATTTTGCAGACCCTGCACTTGATGGATCACCTGGCACCACCCAGATCAATAAACTGGCTCATCTGATCTTGTGGCCCCCACCCAGGAACTGACTCAGCAAAAGAAGACAGCTCTGATTCCTAGGATTTCATCTCTGACCAACCAATCAGCACTCCTGGCTCACTGGCTTCCCCCTTCCCCCGCCCCACCAGGTTATCCTTAAAAACTCTGCTCTCTGAATGCTCCAGGAGTCTGAGTTGAGTAATAATAAAACTCTGGTCTTCCGGACAGCTGGCTCTGCATGAATTACTCTTTCTCTGTTGTAATTCCCGTCTTCATGAATTGGCTCTGTCTAGGCAGCGGGCAAGGTGAATTCCTTGGGTGGTTACACGACTGGCTAGGCTTCCCAAAGCGCTGGGATTTCAGGCGTGAGCCACCACGCCCGGTGTGTTTTGGCTTTATTTCATCAACAAGGAAACTGAGGTGGTAATTTGCCCAATGCCACACAGCCACTATGTGCAGGAACAAAAGTGCCCATGTGACTCCTATATAGCTCAGATTTCCTGCATAGTCATGATTTTAACTTTTCTGTTATCCTGACTAGTTCTATTGAACACTCCTTGCCAAGCCATGCAACTTTTGTTCTAAGTATGATCACCACACTCTGAAAATGACTATAGTTTCATGCAAAGTTGTGAAGCAGATACCCACCACCGCCTCGTTATTCCTCCTTTCTCTACCAAGTGTCCCTGCTGAAAAATCAACTGACAAAGGCAGATTAATAGAGAAAAGGCACACACATTTATTAACATGCACGGGGTATGGGTGGGGCGAATGACACAGTAATTACCCAATATCCCAGTGGGGCCCAGATAGTTGTATAGCCTTATTTCAGAGGGGAGGGAGAGATCAGAAAAACAGTAGTTCTGTTAAGGGGCAATAAATGATTACAAGGCAGAATGAACGGATAAGGGAACAGAGACTAACTTGTAAATGGTTCTCTTTGGAAACTGAATGAGCCTGAAAGACACACATTGTCTTGTAAAAGAATTTGTTCTGATGTGATTACATTCTTGGTCTTCCTTCCTGCAAAAGATCATAAGATAATAGACAGGGGGAGGAAGAACAATTGTTCTTGGAGGGTCCTTGGGTCTTTATGTAGATTGAGGAAGCCTCTTCTAACCCTGTTGATCTCTAGGGCATTTTATTCAAAACACTCATTATACCAGGGAGTCACATTTTGGGGTGAAGTTTCCTGTGTTCCTTCACTGGCCTTAACCCCAGTCAGTAGAGATGGATGAGGCAAAGATCTTCTGCTCCTACTGGAGTCCTTCCCAGCATACAGGCACCCCCCTCTGGACTCTGGCATCTGAGAAGGCATTAGTAATTGGAGAAAGTTCTGGGTACCCTCACGTCACACCAAGCCTTTACTCTGCCTACAATTAAGAACCTGGGCCAGGCATGGTGGCTCAAGGCTATAATCCCAGCACCTTGGGAGGCCAAGGCCTGGGGAGGGAAGGGGAGATAAGACCAGCCTGATTTCTATTAAAAAAACAAACAAAAACATGGGCAGGGCCCATGCCTGTAATCCCAGCACTTTGGGAGGCTGAGGTGGACCAATCACTTGAGGTCAGGAGTTCGAGACCATCTTTGCCAACGTGGTGAAACCCCATCTCTACTAAAAATACAAAAATTAGCTGGGCATGGTGGTGGGCGCCTGTAGTCCCAGCTACTCGGGAGGCTGAGGCAGAAGAACCACTTGAACCCAGGAGGCAAAGATTGCAGTGAGCCGAGATCGCACCTGCACCCCAGTCTGGGCGACAGAGCGAGATTCCATCCCACAAACACATACACATACACAACAACAATAGCAACAAAAATCACCTGGCTGTGTAGTGCTGGCACAGTAGGGTCCCTAATAAATAGTTTGGTAGGAAAGAAATGAACGAATTGCCCTTTTGCTGCATGTTTACCCCAGCACACTAAAGGAGAGATGGCTTTTGTTTCCTTTTAATACAACATGTTGTTATTTTTGTTTGGTATGGATGGTGAGCCAAGGCATAGTATTGCTGGGTAATTTTGATAACGTCAGAGATTGAGCACCTACTATATGCCAGACACTATTCTAGGTACTTGGGATACATCTCTGCAAAGATCCCAGTCCTCCAAGAGCCTGTAATCCTAGCACTTTGGGAGGCCAAGACAAGAGGATTGCTTGAGCCCAGGAGTTCGAGACCAGCTAGGACATCATGGCGAAACCCTGTCTCTACCAAAAATACAATAATTGGCTGGACGTAAGGGTGTGTGCCTGTGGTCTCAGCTACATGGAAGACTGAGGAAGGAGGATCGCATGAGCCCGAGAGGTGGGGATTGCAGTGAGCTGAGATTGCACCACTGCACTTAATCCTACACAACAGAGCGAGACCCTGTCTCAAAACAAACAAAACAAACAAAGAAACAAACAAAAACCCTGGCAGATTATTGATGAAAAGGCATACACATTTATTAATGTGCACAGGGAGAACAAGAGAGTGATGATCCCAACCCCTCAACGGGGAGGGCAAGCTCATATTCCATCTTGAGGTTACTGAAAGAATGGGGAACATATCCCAAAACAGGATATAAGGGTAAATCATATGGTGGCCAGCAGTTATGGGATGGAGAGAAGCAGAAGCCTGGCTAGCCACAGTGGTCTTGTTAGGTCATTGAAACCATGCAGGTAGCAGCCTTCAGAGACACAATAGGTAGTAAATGTTTCCTTCAGGCTTCAAACGTTGTCAGACTCTCAGCTAATGTTTCCTAGATCTGGGGAAGGGAGGGCTCCAAAGAAAGCCGGGCTGCCTCAGTGTAGATTTTCTCTGCAGATGCAAATCTTTCCCACAAAAGACAGCTTTCCTTCTATTCTTGTATTTCCAACCCTTCCAAAGAGGTATCTTATTTGTTTTTTTTCTTTTTTATTATGAAGTGGTATCTTAAAATACGTCAAAGAAGTTTAATTAATTAATTTATTTATTTTTGAGACAGAGTCTCACTCTGGTGTCCAGGTTGGAGTGCAGTGGCTTGATCTTGGCTCACTGCAACCTCCACCTCCCGGGTTCAAGAGATTCTCCTACCTCAGCCTCCCAAGTAGCTGGGACTACAGACGTGCGCCACCACACCCAGCTAATTTTTGAATTTTTAGTAGAGACAGGTTTTCACCATGTTGGCCAGGCTGGTCTCGATCTCTTGACTTCGTGATCCGCCCGCCTAGGCCTCTCAAAGTGCTGGGATTACAGGTGTGAGCCACCACACCCGGCCTGGATTACTTCTAAAACTATGAAAAGTAAAGTGTAGTTAATTTTTAATTTTGTTTAGAGATAAGGTCTCACTATATTGGCCAGGCTGGGATTACAGACACACGCCACCAAGCCCAGCTAATTTTTGTATTTTTAGTAGACACGGGGGTTTTTCTATGTTGCCTAGGCTGGTCTCGAACTCCTGACCTCATGCAATCCGCCCAACTCTGCCTCCCAAAGTGCTGGGATTACAGGCGTCAGCCACCACGCCTGGCCAGAAGTGTATATTTTGAGGTGAAGTGAAATATTTTGGTTTCCTTCGAGGGGATTGTTAGTTATCTTGCTGTGGTGTGGCCTTAGGAGATGCATTCTTTTCTGTTGTTTTTGCCACCTTCCTTGTTTGCCTGTGTTGGGCACATCGGGGTCTGATGATTAATAGGCTGATTTTCACTTTCAACGTAGAGACTACAGAAAAGTCGAACTTAAGGGCTTATGAAAAACTGCCTATGGAAACTCAGAGTTTAATATGTTGCATCTGAGTGGACAGTAGGCCTTATGGGGAAAAATAATTAAATACACTCTGAGGCCCGGCATGGTAGTTTATGCCTATAATCCCAGCACTTAGGGAGGCCAAGACAGGAGCATCACTTGAGCCCAGGTGCTGGAGACCAGCCTGGCCAATATAGTGAGACCTCATCCCTAAACAAAATTAAAAATTAACTACACTTTACTTTTCATAGTTTTAGAAGTAATCCAGGCCGGGCGTGGTGGCTCACACCTGTAATCCTAGCACTTTGAGAGGCCTAGGCGGGCGGATCACGAAGTCAAGAGATTGAGACCAGCCTGGCCAACATGGTGAAAGCCTGTCTCTACTAAAAATACAAAAATTAGCTGGGTATGGTGGCGCACGTCTGTAGTCCCAGCTACTTGGGAGGCTGAGGCAGGAGAATTGCTTAAACCCGGGAGGCAGAGGTTGCAGTGAGCCGAGATCGCGCCATTGCACTCCAGCCTGGTGACAGAGCAAGACGGTCTCAAAAAAAAAAAAAAAAGTAATCCTCAGAAGCTAGGATATTCCTTATTTCTCAGCCTTAAAATAGAAGGCTCTATTTACAAGAGCCTTCTTTCGGGCTCTCCCTTCCCCAGACCTGAGAGAGATTAACTGAGAGTCTGACAACTTGAAAAGTCTGAAAGAAACATTTACCACCTATTGTGTCTCTAAAGGTTACTACCTGTGTGGTAGCCTTTATTTGCCACAATATGGATAAACCTGCAGGACATTATGCTAAATGAAATAAGCCAGACACAAAGAACAATACTACATTATCTCACTTATACGTGAAGATGTGAAAAAGTTGAATACATAGCAACAGAGTAGAACAGTGGTTTACCAGGAGTGGAGTGGGGAATGGGGACATCAGGTCAAAGGGGACAAAGTTGCAGCTGTGTAGGATGAATAAGTCTAGAGATCTAATGTACCACATGAAGACTATGATTTTTTTTTTTTTTTGAGACGGACTCTCGCTCTTGCCCAGGCTGGAGGGCAGTGGCGTGATCTCAGCTCACTGCAAGCCTCACCTGCCGGGTTCACGCCATTCTCCTGCCTCAGCCTCCCGAGTTGCTGGGACAACAGGCACCCACCACTATGCCCAGCTAATTTTTTGTGTTTTTTGAGTAGAGACGGGCTTTCACCGTGTTAGCTAGGATGGTCTCGATCTCCTGACCTTGTGATCCGCCCGCCTCGGCCCCCAAAGTGCTGGGATTACAGGTGTGAGCCACCGTGCCCGGCGGAAGACTATGATTAATGTTAATAGATAATATTGTATTGTATACTGGAAAATTGCTAAGAGTAGAGCTTGGGTTTTTACCACAAACACATACACAAAATATTCATGTGAGGTGATATGCTAAATCTGCTTGACTGTAGTAATCACTTCACTAGGTACATGTATATTAAAACAATGTTTTACACCTTAAATACATACAATTTTAAAGACGCATTAAAAAAAAAGCTAGGATATTCCAGACATATTTTGTTACTCATTATGTATTCACTGCAGTGTGAAAAGCACAATGCAAAGGGGTTTTTTTTTTTTTTTTTTTGCTTTTTGTTTTTTTTTTTTGAGATGGAGTCTAGCTTTGTCGCCCAGGCTGCAGTGCAGTGGCTAGAGTGCGGTGGCGCGATCTCGGCTCACTGCAAGCTTCGCCTCCCGGGTTCACTCCATTCTCCTGCCTCAGCCTCGGAGTAGCTGGGACTACAGGCGCCCGCCATCATGACCGGCTAATTTTTTTGTATTTTTTAGTAGAGACGGGGTTTCACCGTGTTAGCCAGGATGGTCTCAATCTCCTGACCTGGTGATCCGCCCCCCTCGGCCTCCCAAAGTGCTGGGATTACAGGCGTGAGCCACCGCGCCCGGCCAGTACAAAGGTTTTTAAACAGATTCTCATTTAACTTTCACAGCCATCTCTGAAGTAGGTACTATTATCTATTACTATTATTATTATTTTGAGACGGAATTTCATTCTGTCGCCCAAGCTGGAGTGCAGTGGCGCGATCTCGGCTCACTGCAACCTCCGCCTCCCGGGTTCAAGGAATTCTCCTGCCTCAGCCTCCTGAGTAACTGGGACTAGCCACTACACCCGGCTAATTTTTGTATTTTTAGTAAAGACGGGGTTTCACCACGTTGGCCAGGCTGATCTCGAACTCATGACCTCAGGTGATTCGCCTACCTCAGCCTCCCAAAGTGCTGGGATTACAGGCGTGAGCCACCGCGCCTGGCCTATTATTATTATTATTGTCGTTTTTACAGAGGAGAAAGCAGGAGCACCAAGAGGTAGGATAATTTGCTAGAAGACCCATGGCTTAGAAAGGGAAGCCTGGAGATAAGGGGACCAGCCCTCTAGAGCATTGCTCAGCCAAAATACTTGGCCAAGATCACATCTCTGATACCAGGAATGAGATAACCTTTATTAAGTGTTTACCATGTACCAGGCACTAAGCTCAGTGATTTCTAAGGACATCATATAATCCTCACAGCAACCATATGTGGGTCTGCTGTCATCCTTATTCGAGAGAGGCTGAAACGGAGGCTCAGATAGAACAAGTACCTAGCTCAAATATTACTAGAGAAATGGGAAAGTGCAGATTCAAACCCAGGTCTTCCGACTGCAAGTCCCTAGTCCCCAGCCCCAGCTCCACTATATCAGCCTCTGCTAGGAAGAAAGCCGCTAACTATGGACTTTCGTCGCCGGGGTTTCGAGCCTAGGACACACCTGTACAGACCCCCGTTTGCCCCGCCCCTTTCCGGAGGAGACGTCCCCTCCACCAATGAGCGGCGCCGTGGGCGGGCCGCGGGCGCGCATGCTCTGGGCCCGCAGTTGAAGTGGCGAGAGCGCTCAGATACGCGACGCGTAGCAGGCGGGGACCGAACGGGTGCCTCAGTGTCCTTCCCCTCCCCTCGCCTGGCCTCGCCGTCCTCTCCCCGCAGCCGGACCGGAACTATGTGATCCCGGAAGTTCCGGGGCCTTTGCTGTGTGGGATAAACAGTAATGGCGGAGGCTGCAACTCCCGGAACAACAGCCACAACATCAGGAGCAGGAGCGGCAGCGGCGACGGCGGCAGCAGCCTCCCCCACCCCGATCCCCACAGTCACCGCCCCGTCCCTGGGGGCGGGCGGAGGGGGCGGCGGCAGCGACGGCAGCGGCGGCGGCTGGACTAAACAGGTCACCTGCAGGTAGGACGTTGCGCGGCGGAGCGCCGGGCGCGGGGAGGGGGCCGCGGGCCAAGCCTGCGGCGCGGGAGGGAGGAGGGCGGCCGGCCTGCGGCTAGAGGCGCGGGAGGGCGGGGACCGGCGTTGTCTCGATCTCTGCAGCCCTCGCGGCCCCCGCTGCCGCCGCGTTCCCCCAGTCACTGCGTCAACCCCCGCTGGGCCGCGGAGCCCTCAGCGCTGTCCGCGGAGGCCTGGCGGTGCGCGATTACTGCGGAGCCGCGGGGCTGCACCGCCGCTTACACTTCCCTGAGCGCTGCCTGAGCTGGCTGCGAGCGCATCGGGGAGAGGTGGGCTGGCTCCTCCCCTGCCGCTGGAAGGATGCCCCCGCCGCTGCCTCCGGCTCCCGGGGCTCGGGAGGTGGTCACTTGAGGCCGGTCTCCCAGCGATCCTCTCCGGGCCTAGACACCCCGCCGAGGGCCCCAGCGAGCTTGCCTGGCTCCCGGCCCTCTCCTCTCTCCGTGCCATCCGTTTGTAACGTCTTTTCACGTCCCTCCGTCCCTCCGCCCCCCATCCTCCGCCCAACTGTGAGAAGAAGCTTTTGTATTTCTTCTTTGTATGTTTGTCGAGGTTGGCGGTGCTGAGCTTTGTCTTAGAAGCAGGCGTTCGGGGGCCGGGGTCGTCTTCTCCACCCGCGGTTTTTTTGAGCTGCAGATTATTACCCTCCCCCAGCGCTATGTTCCTCTTTTGAAATTTACGCATCTTCCGAAGGGAGTGAAAGGGCTCTTCGCTCCCGGAAGAGAGAGAGGTTTGGTTTTGGTTTGATATGCGAGACGAAAATATTAGAAAAATTAAGGGATGGCGGTTGTATGGATGTGTATGGTTGTAAAAAACTACCTAGCTCTACGCAGAAGAGGGCATTTAATTGTACGTTTTTTATTTTCCGGTTTTTAAATAGTGATCAGTAGCGACTGTAAGCTTTTCTTTTTCTATCAGTTGAATAAATCAACTGAAATGCCGGTTTTCACCTGGGTGGTATAATTTATATGCAAGTATGTAAAAATGATTCCTAATTAGAACTTGTAGTATTAAGGGTGAAATTTGAAACCTTCCCAGTCTTTGATGTGATACATTTATCCTGGCGACCTTCGAAGGTCTCTCAGCCTTTGATATGATACATTTAAGGTGTGAAGGATAAGCTTAATTATTTTACATAATGGGATGTAGAAAGCATAAACGCAATTTCAGGTCACTTGTCTTATTCATCGGTGGATTGTAAAAGTGGAATATTGCCAGGAATGATGATTTTAAAGTTTCTACTCATGGAGCAAATTATTTGAATATCTGTTTCCCTTTTACAATGCTACAGTTGATCTATATGTGCTAGTTACATCTTTTAAAAGATTGAAACCGGCCTGTCGGGGTGGCTAGGTCGGCGTGGTGGCTCACGCCTGTAATCCCAGCATTTTGGGAGGCTGAGGCGGGCGGATCGCCTGAGGTAAGGAGTTCGAGACCAGCCTGGCCAACATGGTGAAACCCTGTCTCTACTAAGAATACAAAAATTAGGCCGGGCACAGTGGCTCACACCTGTAATCCCAGCACTTTGGGAGGCCAAGGCAGGTGGATCACGAGGTCAGGAGCTCAAGACCAGCCTGGCCAAGATGGTGAAACCCCGTCTCTACTGAAAATACAAAAAACATTAGCCGGGCGTGGTGACAGGCGCTTGTAATCTCAGCTACTCCGGAGGCTGAGGCAGGGAGTTGCTTGAACCCAGGAGGCAGAGGTTGCGGTGAGCCAATATCACACCACTTCACTCCAGCCTGGGCGAAAGTGAAACTCTGTCAGAAGAAAAACAAAAAAGAAAAAGAAAGAAAAGAAAGAGCTTAGATTTACTAGTTTTTGGGGGTTTTTTGTATAGCTTTTGCTTGAGACAGTTTTTTATTGTTGTGCAGATTCCTTGATAGGTCTGGGGTTTTAGTGTTTGACATTGTTTTCGGTTGTTCTAGGTACCAACATGATCTCTTACTTAAAACTATTTTCTCCTTTAGATAGAGGAATGTCAACTATCATTTTTTTTTTTTTTTTTTTGAGACAGAGTTTCCCTCTTGTTTCCCAGGTTGGAGTGCAATGGTGTGATCTCTACTTACCACAACCCCCGCCTCCCAGGTTTAATTGATTCTCCTGCCTCAGTCTCTGGCATTACAGATGCCTTAGTAGCTGGGATTACAGGCGTGCACCACCATGCCCACCTGACTAATTTTGTATTTTTAGTAGAGACGGGCTTTCTCCGTGTTGGTCAGGCTGGTCTTGAACTCCCGACCTCAGGTGATCTGCCGGCCTCAGCCTCCCAAAGTGCTGGGATTAGAGGCGTGAGCCACCGCACCCGGTCTATGATCCTTATCGTTCACTTTGAGCTCTCTGAGAAGAGTAGGGCCCTATTTTATCTGCAGGGCTTTCTTTCCTCAGTTCCTCAGTTTCTTTCCTCAGTTCCAGTATCATGAACAGGATACTCAGTTACTGAGTATCCTGAGCAGATACTGAGTAAATGCTTGAGTGATGTTGATAAAGTCATATACCTAGAATTACCCACTTTAACAGGAACTTTGTAAGATTCCTCTGCTTTCATTAAAAAAAAAAAAAACAAAACTTGTAAATTACCAAAGACAAAGTACTTAACAGAACACATGTGTATCTTCCTTTTTTTTTTTTTTTTTTGAGATGGAGTGTCGCTCTGTCGCCCAGGCTGGAGTGCAGTGGCGAGATCTCAGCTCACTGCAACCTCTGCCTCCTGGGTTCAAGCGATTCTCCTGCCTCAGCCTCCTGAGTAGGTGGGATTACGCCCGGCCACATGTATATTTTTTCTGGAACTACCTTATTCAATCATTCAGTAAGTAAACATTGCACGCCAGCAATGGGAGACACAATATTAGGTGTTCAAGAGAGTGCAGATGTATGTACTGTATTATAAATAAACATTTTCAATATGTTTGCTAGGTAAACATCACCTAAAGAATCAGGTAGAGGTGTGTTTTAGTGTTTGTGCTCATTTCTCCCTATAGCACATCACTCCTGTATCTAGGAATTTGACTAAAGCTATTTTCTTCACTTAGAAGTTTTGATTAGAATGTTTTTAATTGCTCGGAATCACCTGTATTTTCCTACTGGTTACATTTTTTCTAATGTTTCTCCTGGGGTTTTCATTGTGTTTTATACCTTTCCTCAGAAACTGTGTTATGCTGCCACCACCAGGCTGTTTTTCATATCTTTTATTAGAGCAATACTAAGAAACAGAAATGCTCATTGCATCTGCTACCTTGAGTTACCTTGAGTGTGTGAGGTTAGAACAGTTAATACTTAAAGAGAAGTTGTAATTTGAATTTAGACCCCTCTTTATTAGAGTGCTTCTATAATGGCAGATAAGTGTTCTGGTAGTTGAAATAATACACAAAAAAACAAGTGTTTAATTTTTAATTTTTCAAAAAACTCTTTTCTTGATTTTTATTTGTATTTATTTGTATTTTTTGAGATAGGGTCTCGCTCTGTCCCCTAGGCTGGAATGCAGTGGCAGTGTCTTGGCTCATTGCAGCCTCCACCTCCCAGGCTCAAGCAATCCTCCTGCTTGAACCTCCCCAGTAGCTGGAATTACAGGCACGTGCCACCACCCCAGGCTAATTTTTTTTTGCATTTTTGATAGAGACAGGGTTTCACCCTGTTGCCTAGGCTGGTCTTGAACTCCTAAGCTCAAGTGTTTCACCCGCCTCGGCCTCCTAAAGTGCTGGGATTACAGGTGTGAGCCACCATGCTTGGCCTTGAAAGTTGTGTTTTGTTTGTTTGTTTGTTTGTTTTCTGAGATGGAGTCTGTGTCGCCCAAGCTGGAGTGCAGTGGCACGATCTCGGCTCACTACAACCTCTGCCTCCTGGGTTCAAGGAATTCTGGTGCCTCAGCCTTCCGAGAAGCTGGGATTACAGGCACGTGCCATCACACTCGGCTAATTATTTGTACGTTTAGTAGAGATGGGGTTTCACCATGTTGCCCAGGCTGGTCTTGAACTCCTGACCTCAGGTGATCCACCCACCTTGGCCTCCCGAAGTCCTGGGATTACAGGCATGAGCCCCCGTACCTGGCCTCAAAAGTTTTTAAAAATGTGGTTAACGTAACTTAAAGATCAGCTGGGCGTGGTGTCTCACCCCTGTAATTCTAGTACTTTGGGAGGCCAAGGCAGGTGGATCACTTGAGGTCAGGAGTTCGAGACCAGCCTGGCCAACATGACGAAACCCGTTCTCTACTAAAAATACAAAAATTAGCTGGGCGTGGTGGCGGGCACCTGTAATCCCAGCCACTCTGGAGGCTGAGGTGGGAGAATCACTTGATCCCAAGAGGCAGAGGCTGCAGTGAGCCAAGATTGCACCACTGCACTCCAGCCTGGGTGACAGAGTGAGATTTCGTCTCAAAAAAAAAAAAAAAGAAAGAAGGAAATCCTTCAGAAATTCTTTATCTGAGTGCTGTGACGTCCATAGTGAAATTTATTACTTGGAAACTACATAGTGGTTGTGAGAGGAAATAAGTAATAAATATTAAATGGTATTAAAAAGATTATGCAACTGGGAAAGAAAAATTAATTTGCTATCGCTACCATGATTCACCATCACATCTAGCTGTCTTCTACAGCCTTTTATTTATTTATTTTTTTTTTGAGACGGAGTCTCAGTGGCGTGATCCTGGTTCACTGCAACCTCTGGGCCCCCCCCAACCCACTGCGAGTTCAAGCAATTCTGCCTCAGCCTCCCAAGTAGCTGGGACTACAGGTGTGTGCCACCATGCCTGGCTAATTGTTTGTTTTTTTTGTATTTTTAGTAGAAACAGGGTTTCACTGTGTTAGCCAGGATGGTCTTGAGCTCCTGACCTCATGATCCACCTGCCTCAGCCTCCCAAAGTGCTGGGATTACAGGTGTGAGCCACCGCACCTGGCCTAATTTTTGTATTTTTGGTAGATAGTGGGTTTCACCATGTTGGCCATGCTGGTTTTGAACACCTGACCTCAGGTGATCCACCTGCCTCTGCCTCCCAAAGTGCTGGGATTGTAGGTGTGAGCCACCGGGCCCACCCTACAGTCTTTTATTCTTTCTTTCTTTCTTTCTTTCTTTCTTTCTTTCTTTCTTTCTTTCTTTCTTTCTTTCTTTTTTTTTTTTTTTTGAGACGGAGTTTCGCTGTTGTTGCCCAGGCTAGAGTGCAGTGATACAATCTTGGCTCGGTGCAATCGCCATCTCCTGGGTTCCAGCGATTTTCCTCTCTCAGCCTCCAGAGTAGCTGGGATTACAGGCTTGTACCATCACACTCGGCTAATTTTTGTATTTTTAGTAGGTACCGCTTTCACCATGTTGGTCAGGCTGGTCTCAAACTCCCAACCTCAGGTAATCCACCCGCCTTGGCCTCCCAAAGTGCTGGGATTACAGGCATGAGCCACCGAACCCGGCTTTCTACCTTTTTCTAACAAGTATATATTATGTGCACAGATAGTTGGAGATAAAAAGGGGAATAAACCAGTCTTTACCCATCAGGAATTTATAATCTAGTTTGATAAATGGTATACTCACTCATTAAAAGTTAAATATCAAAGTAAGAAGTGTCACTGCAGATGAATTGATTAAATGCCTTATCTATTCTATAATTTGTAGAAATTCCTAAAGAGGTTGTTAAGATGCCTAGAGATACTCTGAGGGTGCTGTTTGGTTCTCTTGTACCCTTACAGGGTAACTTGGCAGTTTCTTGTTCTCTATGTTGGGGGCCACTATTAGGTTTCTAAGAGGCACAGCAGTAGGGGGATTCTAGTAAATTTTGTCTTTTACTGCACAGTGTCTCATGGAGACAGAGTCTGCACAGTGGAAGGAACTTCAGAAATAATATATGGCCCAGGTTTTCACCGAAGGCAAACTCAACTTGGGGTGAATCTGGATGATGTTTTTTTTTTTTTTTTTGGTGGTATCATTTAAAAACAAGACATATACTTATATTCATTGGTTTTTGTTTGGAGGAGAAATTCTTTGACGTAGACTATATCTTTTTTTCTTTTTCTTTTTCTTTTTCTTTTTGAGATGGAGTCTCTCTGTTGTCCAGGCTGGAGCGCAGTGGCTCAATGGCACGATCTCGGCTCACTGCAATCCCTGCCTCAGCCTCCCGAGTAGTTGGGATTACAGGTGCCTGCCACCATGCCCGGCTAATTTTTTGTACTTTTAGTAGAGATGGGGTTTCACCATATTAGCCAGGATGGTCTTGATCTCCTGACCTCGTGATCCATCCGCCTTGGCCTCCCAAAGTGCTGGGATTACAGGTGTGGGCCACCACGCCTGGCCCTTTTTTTTTCTTTTTGTTATGTAAGTTAAACAGTTTTCATAATCTAAGGCGTATTATTATTACATTTTTTTGAGACAGAGTCATAGTCGTGCTCCATCACCCAGGCTGGAATGTCAAAATAGTTCGTTGTAACAATGCAAAAACAAGGGCCAGGCGCAGTGGCTCACGCTTGTAATCTCAGCACTTTGGGAGGCCGAGGTGGGCAGATCACAAGGTCAGGAGATCGAGACCATCCTGGCTAACATGGTGAAACCCTGTCTCTACTAAAAATACAAGAAATTAGCCGGGCGTGGTGGCGGCGCCTGTAGTCCCAGCTACAAAGCAAAAACACAATGCAAAAACGGACTAATACACTTGCTTTACTCCTGTTTTCTTATCACCTTCTTTTTATTTTTTTTTTTTGAAATGGAGTCTTGCTCTGTCTCCCAGGCTGGAGTGCAATGGCGCGATCTCGGCTCATTGAAACCTCAGCCTCCCACGTGTAAGCAGTTCTCCTGCCTCAGCCTCCTGAGTAGCTGGGATTAACATGTGTGCCACCACACCAGCCAATTTTTGTATTTTTAGTAGAGACGGGGTTTCACCATGTTGCCCAGGCTGGTCTCGAACCGCTGGTCTTAGACCCCTGACCTCAGGTGAGCCACTCACCTCAGCCTCCCAAAGGTACTGGGATTACAGGCATGAGCCACCATGCCTGGCCCTTTCTTTGTGTTTATTTCGTATGTTTGTGTATTTACTGGTTGAATATATTAGTCATGAATACTAATTAGTTTTAATATTTTCAAGGATTGGTTTTAATCCAGTTTTGTGGTCTTTCGTCTCACAGGTATTTTATGCATGGGGTTTGTAAGGAAGGAGACAACTGTCGCTACTCGCATGACCTCTCTGACAGTCCGTATAGTGTAGTGTGCAAGTATTTTCAGCGAGGGTACTGTATTTATGGAGACCGCTGCAGGTAAGAATTTGTTTATAAATTTGTTCAGGGGTGGGTTGGAGGAAAAAGGTAAAAGACATACTTCTGATAGCTTTATATGTCACTGATTAAAAATAATGCTTTGAAAATGACTCTTGGCTGGGCAGTGGCTCATGCCTATAATCCCAGCACTTTGGGATGCTTAGGTAGGAGGATTGCTTGATCTTGGAAGTTTGAGACCAGCCTGGGTAACCTAGTGAGACCTCATGTCTACAAAATATAGAAAAATTAGCTGGGCATGGTGGTGTGCGTCTGTAATCCCAGCTACTTCGGAGGCTGAAGCAGGAGAATTGCATGAACCCGGGAGGTGGATGTTGCACTGAGCCAAGAGCCCGCCACTGCGCTCCAGCCTGGGCAACAGAGCGAGACTCCACCTTAAAAAAAAATTGGGTAGGGCTTTTCTATCCTCCTAGTTCAGAAATGACTAGGTGTATTATCTGTGGATGTTAAACAAGTAACCCTCAAATTTATTTTTTATTTATTTTTTTGAGACAGGGTCTTACTGTGTTGCCCAGGCTGGAGTGCAGTGGTGTGGTCACTTCTCACTGCAGCCTCAACTTACCAGGCTGAAATGATCCTCTCACCTCAGCCTCCCAAGTAGCTGGGACCACAGGGATGCACCACCTCATTTATTTAGTTTTTTGTAGAGATGGGGGTCTTAATATGTTGCGTAGGCTGGTCTCAGATTCCTGGGCTCAAGCAATCTTCCTGCCTTGGCCTCCGAAAAGTGTTGGGATTACAAGCATGAGCCCCAGAAACTGGCCCATCCCCAAATTTAGTAGGTTAAAACAGTGAACATTTATTATCTCAGTTTCTGGGGTTCCGGATTCTGTGAGTGCCTTAGCTGGATGGTTCTATCTCAGAGACACTTATGAGATGGCAGTCAAAATTTTAGCAAGTCATCTGAAGACTTGATGGGGACTCCAGGATATTTTTTGTGTGTGTGAGACCGAGTCTTGTCCCTCTGTTGCCCAGGCTGGAGTGCAGTGGCAAGATCTCGGCTCACTGCAACCTCTGCCTCCCAGATTCAAGCAATTCTCCTGCCTCAGTTTCCCAAGTAGATGGGATTACATCTGCGTGCCACTATGCCCGGCTAATTTTTTATATTTTTGGCAGAGACAGGGTTTCATCATGTTGGCCAGGCTAGTCTCGAACTCCTGACCTCAAGTGATCTGCCCACCTCGGCCTCCCAGAGTGCTGGGATTACAGGTGTGAGACACAGTGCCCAGCCAGCATTGTTTTTTGTTTGTTTGTTTGGGTTTTTTTGTTTGTTTTGTTTAGGATGGAGTCTTGCTCTTGTCGCCCAGGCTGGAGTGCAGTGGCGCAATTTCGGCTCACTGCAACCTCCGCCTCCTGGGTTCAAGCGATTCTCCTGCCTCATCTTCCGGAGTAGCTGGGATTACAGGCGCCCGCCACCACACCTAGCTAATTTTTGTATTTTTAGTAGAGACGGAGTTTCACCATGTTGGCCAGGCTGGTCTCGAACTCCTGACCTCAGGTGATCCACGCGGTTCGGCTTCCCAAAGTGCTGAGATTACAGCCGTGAGCCATGGTGCCTAGCCCAGTATTGTTTTTAAGAGGTCTTACTCTCATGACTGTTGGCAGGAGACTTTGGTTTCTCACCACTTGGCCTTTTTTTTTTTTCAAGACGGAGTTTTGCTGGTCACCCAGGCTGGAGTGCAATGGCATGATCTCAGCTCACTGCAACCTCTGCCTCCCGCGTTCGAGAGATTCTCCTGCCTTGGCCTCCAGAGTAGCTAGGATTACAAGCATGCACCACCACACCTGGCTAATTTTTTTTTTTTTTTTTTTTTTTTTGAGACAGAGCCTAGCTCTGTCGCCAGGCTGGAGTTCAGTGGCACAGCCTCAGCTCACTGCAACCTCCACCTCCCAGGTTCAAGTGATTCTCCTGCCTCAGCCTCCCGAGTAGCTGGGATTACAGGCATGCACCGCCACACTCAGCTAATTTTTGTATTTTTAGTAGAGATGGGGTTTCACCTTGTTGAAAGGATGGTCTTGATCTCCTGACCAGCCCACACCAGCCTCCCAAAGTGCTGGGATTGTAGGCATGAGCCACCGCGCCCGGCCCACACCCCACTAACTTTTGTATTTTTAGTAGAGACGGGGTTTCACTATGTTGGCCAGGCTGGTCTCAAATTCCTGAGCTCAGGCAGTCCACCTGCCTTTGCCTCCCAAAGCGCTGGGATTACAGGCGTGAGCCACCCCGCCTGGCCCACATGGGCCTTTTCATAGGGATACTTTAGTATCCTTGCAGCTTGGCAGCTAGCTTTCCCCAGAGCAAACAATTTAACAGAGGAGGCAAGGAAAAGCCACAATGCCTTTTATGACCTAGTGTCAGAAGTCATATACTGTTATTTCCACTGATTCTGGACTAAGTTACTAAGTCCAGCCCACATGTAAAGGGAGAGGATTGGGCTCTACCTTTTGAAGGAAGGCATATCAAAGAGTTTTGTATGTACTTTAAACCACTACCCTCGGTAAGACTTTTGACAGTGTCATAGTAAATTTTTTTTTTTTTTTGAGATGGAGTCTCGCTGTCACCCAGGCTGGAGTGCGGTGGTGGGATCTCAGCTCACTGCAAGCTCCGCCTCCCGGGTTCACGCCATTCTCCTGCCTCAGCCTCCTGAGTAGCTGGGACTACAGGCGCCCGCCACCACGCCTGGCTAATTTTTTGTATTTTTAGTATAGACGGGGTTTCACTGTGTTAGCCAGGGTGGTCTTGATCTCCTGACCTCGTGATCCGCCAGCCTCAGCCTCCCAAAGTGCTGAGATTACAGGCGTGAGCCACTGTGCCATAGTCATAGTCAATTTTAATGTCATTATCAGAAAATGTAGTGTGAGCCACTGGGTTCAAATAGAGTTCAGAACCTGACATTATTGATGGTGTGGGATATTAATGTTAAGTCATCCCACATCTGTTTATTAAGAGTCCAGTAAGGATGAGGGGAAAGAGAAGATCTTTTTCAAATGACTGTGTAGAAGTTCAGAAGTTGATCTCATAGAAACTTTGTTTAGTTGCTACTCATTTTGCCCTTTGCTAATTTGTCATTGCATTATTGCTGAAAAAGGGGGAAAATGACACAATGACATTATTCTCAAACTCTCCACCAGGCATGTCTTTTTTTTTTTTTTTTTTTTTTTTGTGAGACAGAGTCTCAGTCTGTCGCCAGGTTGGAGTGCTGTGGCATGATCTCAACTCACTGCAACCTCCGACTCCCTGGTTCAAGCAATTCTCCTGCCTCAACCTCCGGAGTAGCTGGGATTACAGGCATGTGCCACCACACCCAGCTAATTTTTGCATTTTTAGTAGAGTTAGGGTTTCACCATGTTGGCCAGGCTGGTCTCAAACTCCTGACCTCAGGTGATCCACCTGCCTCGGCCTCCCAAAGTGCTGGGATTACAGGCGTGAGCCACCGCACCTGGCCTCTCCACCAGGCATGTCTTTTGCAGTCCCAATATAAAAGGCAGAGTCATGAGAACTTCACACTGCAATGGTGAATGGACGAATCTTTGTAGTGGTATAGTCTCTGCAGGTATTGAGGCTAATTGTAAGGGAGCTGTGTTCCTTGAACTGGGTTCTAGTCTTTTGAGAGTTACTGCCAACTGTGACTGGGGCAGGAGGAGTTGAATATTGATGAGAGTGAAGAATCCAACCTCCCAAGCAGAGGGATGAGAATAGACTGTGAGATAGAATCAGAAAGCTATAGATAATTAGCAGTTGGTCCTTATTTCAGAAGAAGTGCTCATCTGAATGGACTGTGTAGATGGAGTGAATGAAAAAAATGAAGGTTAAATTGAAGAAATCTGTGCTAAGCCTCTGCATTTTTTTTTTTTTTTTTTTGAGACAGAATTTCGCTCTTGTTGCCCAGGCTGGAGTGCAATGGCATGATCTCGGCTCACCGCAACCTCCACCTCCCGGGTTCAAGTGATTGTCCTGCCTCAGCCTCCCAAGTAGCTGGGATTACAGGCATGTGCCACCATGCCCAGCTAATTTTGTATTTTTAGTAGAGGCGGGGTTTCTCCGTGTTGGTCAGGCTGGTCTTGAACTCCTGGCTTCAGGTGATCCGCCCGCCTCAGCCTCCCAGAGTGCTGGGATTACAGGCGTGAGCCACAGCCCCCTGCCTGGGCTCTGTGTATTAACCATCTTATTTTTCAGGCAACTTTGCCCGCCCCAAATAGTTTGAGACCAGAGGAAATTAGGTAGGTTCCCTATTTTGGTGAGCCTCTGACGTTGAGGCAGATGCAGATGGCTCCAAGTTGAAAGGGACTGGGCACAGTGGCTCATACCTGTCATCCCCGCGCTTTTGGGAGGCTGAGGTGGGCGGATCACTTGAGGTCAGGATTTCAAGACCAGCCTGGCCAACATGGTTAAACCTCGTCTCTACTGAAAATACAAAAATTAGCTGGGCATGGTGGCACGTGTCAGTAATCCCAGCTACTTGGGAGGCTGAGGTGGGAGAATCACTTGAACCTGGGAAGGTAGAGTTTGCAGTGAACCTTGATTGTGCCACTGTACTCCAGCCTGGGCAAAGAGTGAGACTTCGTCTTAAAAGAAAGTGGGGGAGGGGGCGGCTGGGCTTGGTGGCTCATGCCTGTAATCCCAGCACTTTGGGAGGCTGAGACAGGAGGATCACCTGAGGTCGGGAATTTGATATCAGCCTGACCTGTGGAAAACCCCGTCTCTACCAAAAATACAAAATTACCCAAGCATGGTGGCGCATGCCTGTAATCCTAGCTACTCTGGAAGCTGAGGCAGGAGAATCACTTGAACCCGGGAGGTGGATGTTGTGGTGAGCCAAGATCGTACCATTGCAGTCCAGCCTGGGCAACAAGAGCGAAACTCTGTCTCAAAAAAAAAAAAAAAGAAAAAGTTGAAAGGAACCTTAATTGGTTTGTTGTTTGTTTCTTTCTTTGTTTTGAGATCTGGTCTTGCCCTCTTGCCCAGGTTAGAGTGCAGTGGTGTGAACACGACTCACTGCAACCACCACCTCCAGCTAAGTTTTTTTATTCTTTTTTTTTTTTTTTTTTTTTTTGAGACGGAGTCTCGCTCTGTCGCCCAGGCCGGACGGCGGACTGCAGTGGCGCAATCTCGGCTTACTGCAAGCTCCGCTTCCCACGTTCACGCCATTCTCCTGCCTCAGCCTCCCGAGTAGCTGGGACTACAGGCGCCCGCCACCGCGCCCGGCTAATTTTTTGTATTTTTAGTAGAGACGGGGTTTCACCTTGTTAGCCAGGATGGTCTCGATCTCCTGACCTCATGATCCACCCGCCTCGGCCTCCCAAAGTGCTGGGATTACAGGCGTGAGCCACCGCGCCCGGCCTTAAGTTTTTTTATTCTGTTTGTAGAGACGGGGTCTCCCTATCTCACCGAGGTTGGTCTCAAACTCCCAGCCTCAACTGATGCTCCCACCTTTGCCTCCCAATATGCTGGGATCATAGGTGTGAGCCTACTGGGCCTGGCCTCTTAATTTTCCTTTTAATAAGGATGTAGCTGCCTCTTTTCTAGAACTCTTTAGAGGATGAGCCAGAATTGAGCTGGGTTTAGATCTCTTAGCATAAAGTGAAAGGAAGTAGAGAAACTATAGTAGTCTACTTGAAAGTTTGGTGATAATTGTTGAGTACAGGCTGATATAGGTGATTATTAAAAGGTTGATTGTGGACTAGCTAAAGAAAGAATCTTAAAGAGAGGCTTGCTCTATGACTGCTTGTTTTCCTGTTAGAATGATATCTAGGAACTTCAACCTTATCTTTTTTTGTTTTTTTTGAGATGGAGTCTCGCTCTGTCACCAGGCTGGAGTGCAGTGGCGTGATCTCGGCTCAATGCAATGTCCGCCTCCTGGGTTCAAGCGATTCCGGTGCCTCAGCCTCCTGAGTAGCTGGGACTACAGGCGCGCACCACCATGCCCAGCTAATTTTTTTGTATTTTAGTAAAGACAGGGTTTCACCATGTTGGCCAGGATGGTCTCGATCTTCTGACCTCCTGATCCGCCCACCTCGGCCTCCCAAAGGGCTGGGATTACAGGCGTGAGCCACCACACCCGGCCACCTACCTCTTACTCTTAGTGTTGGGATCTCTTTATGTAACTTGCTCAAAGCCCAGGGATTTCCCTCTTCACAGAGGGAGTAGATCATTGATAATGAAGGATAGCATCATAGCCCCAACAGTTGAGAGGATTTTCTGCATCAGTGTTTCGTAATGGTGGTGCTTTTGTTTAGTGAGGCCAGTTCTTTGTTGCTCGGGACTGTTTTGCATATTGCAGATATCTAGTCTAGTATTTTCCCAGAATGCCATTAGAACTCCCAGTCTTTGTTTCTGGACACCCTCTGGGGAAAGGGGCAATATTGGCTTGGTTGACTTCTTTCTTTTTTTTTAGATGGAGTCGTGCTCTGTCGCCCAGACTAGAGTGCAGTGGTGCAATGTCACAACCTCCACCTCCCACCTCAGCCTCCCGAGTAGGTGGGATTGCAGGCATGTGCCACCATGCCTGGCTAAATTTTGTTATTTTTAGTAGAGACAGGGTTTCACCATGTCAGCCAGGCTGGTCTTGAACTCCTGCCCTCAAGTAATCCACCTGCCTCGGCCTCCCAAAGTGCTGGGGATTACAGGTGTGAACTACCGTGCCTGGCCTGGTTTGGTTGACTTCTTGTTTGGAGTTTTGGTTTTTGGACCAACTGAAGAATCCAATACTTTAAAATACTAAAGGCCACAGAAGCAATGGGGTGGGAGTTGTAAACCAA
This sequence comes from Homo sapiens, assembly GCF_000001405.40. Lineage (NCBI taxonomy): Eukaryota > Metazoa > Chordata > Mammalia > Primates > Hominidae > Homo > Homo sapiens. Next base: position 140,465,105 of record NC_000007.14, on the reverse strand, counting down.
CCAGGGAAAGGGTTATTTTCTCTTACAGAGACAGAAAAATTGATTAAACTTCCTTAGACATTTGTACTAGGCTGGGCGGGGAAGATGGCTTGAGCCCAGGAGACCAACTTAGGCAACATGGCAAAACTACGTACCTACAAAATAAAAATTAGCTGGGTGTGGTGGTGTGTACCTGTAGTCCCAGCTACTGGGGAGACTGAGGTGGGAGGATCACCTGAGCCCAGGGAGGTTAAGGGCGCAGTGAATTGTGATTGTGCCACTGCTCTCCAGTCTGGGAGACAGAGTGAGACCCTGTCTCAAAGAAAACAAAAAATATAAAGCTTGTAAAAATAACTAATTTTTTTTTTTTTGGAAATTATCTTTTAAACCAGGGAGTTTTGTTTTGTTTGTTTGTTTTTTTGAGACTGAGTTTCACTCTTGTTGCCCAGGCTGGAGTGCAATGGCACGATCTTGGCTCACTGCAACCTCCGCCTCCCAGGTTCAAGCGATTCTTCTGCCTCAGTCTCCCGAGTAGCTGAGATTACAGGCATGCACCACCATGCCCAGCTAATTCTTTTGCGTTTTTAGTAGACACGGGGTTTCTCCATGTTGATCAGGCTGGTCTGGAACTCCTGACCTCAGGTGATCGCCCACCTCGGCCTCCCAAAGTGCTGGGATTACAGGTGTGAGCCACCGTGCCTGGCTTATTTTGTTTTTTAAGGGACAGGATAGTCTTGCTCTGTCATCCAGGCTGGAGTGCAGTGGTGTGATCGTGACTCACTATAGCCTCAAATTCCTGGGCTCAAGTAATCCTCCCACCTCAGCCTCCCAACTAGCTGGAATTATAGGCTGGAGCCATGAAGCTTGGCTCCAAGGGAGTTACTTAATCTGAAAAGTAAGGCTTTGGGCCTGGGCGCGGTGGCTCACGCCTATAATCCCAGCACTTTGGGAGGCTGAGGCCAGTGAATTGCTTGAGGTTAGGAGTTCAAAGACTAGCCTGGCCAACATGGTGAAACCCCGTCTCTACTAAAAATACAAAAATTAGCTGGGCTTGGTGGTGCCGCATCTGCAATCCCAGCTACTTGGGAGGCTGAGGCAGGAGAATCACTTGAAGCCGGTGAGCTGAGATTGCACCACTGCACTCTAGCCAGGTGACAGAGTGAGACTGTCTCAAAAAACAAAACAAAAGTAAAATGAAAAGTGAGGCTTTGGGCTGGATTTCTTTTTATTTTTTTTTTGAGATGGAGTCTTGCTCTGTCGCCCAGGCTGGAGTGCAGTGGCGCGATCTCAGCTCTCTCACTGGAAGCTCCGCCTCCCAGGTTCACGCCATTCTCCTCCCTCAGCCTCCCGAGTAGCTGGGACTACAGGCGCCTGCCACCACGCCCGGCTAATTTTTTGTATTTTTAGTAGAGACGAGGTTTCACCGTGTTAGCCAGGATGGTCTCCATCTCCTGACCTTGTGATCCGCCCACCTTGGCCTCCCAAAGTGCTGGGATTACAGGCGTGAGCCACCGCGTCCAGCCTGGGCTGGATTTCTAAGGATACTTGCTGCTCTAACATTTCAGAATACTGCCATCCAGTAGAACTTCATGCAGTACTGGAAATGTTCTTCATGTTGCTATCTAACGGTAGCTTCTAGCTCCATGTAGCTTTTGAACACTTGCAGGTATAGCTAGAGGAAGGACTGAAGAACTGAGTTTAAAATTGTATGTAAGTCTGAAGAGTTAGATGTGGGCAGTGGTTGGCTGTACTGTATAGAGCAGCTTTAGAGTCCCATTAGACCTAGAACCCCATCACTTAGTAGGACAGTGAGGTCATCTCTAAAATGATAGAATACTTCCCCACAGTTCATGAGTGAAAGTGAAAGAGCATATTCATGATAGTTTCTTCCCTTATCCTTCAGCTTATAGGATTCCACTCTATAGAACAATGCATTGGGTTTTTGTGGATGATAGCAGGATACTCAGCTTACTTTTGCTGCAAGGCGAGGTAGTTTACCTAAGGCTTAAGAGGAGGAATATGAATGTCTTTGGAGATGGTGGTTTCACCATGTTGGCCAGGCTGGTCTCGAACTCCTGACCTCAAGTGATCCACCTGCCTTGGCCTCCCAGAGTGCTGGGATTACAGGCATGAGCCACCGCGCATAGTCTTTATTGGTTCTGAGTTGGAGTCTAGCTCTGTCACCCAGAGTGGAGTGCAGTGGTGCGTTCTTGGCTCACCGCAACATCCGCTTCCTGGGTTCAAGTGATTCTTGTGCCTCAGCCTCCCAAGTAGGTGGGATTACAGACGCACACCACCACACCCGGCTAATTTTTTTGTATTTTTTAGTAGAGACGGGGTTTCACCGTGTTAGCCAGGATGGTCTCGATCTCCTGACCTCGTGATCCACCCACCTCAGCCTCCCAAAATGCTGGGATTACAGGCGTGAGCCACTGCGCCCTGCCTAATTTTTTTATTTTTAGTAGAGACGGAGTTTTGCCATGTTGCCCAGGCTTGTCTCTAACCCCTGAGCTCAGGCAATCCACCCACACCTCAGCCTCCCAGAGTGCTAGAATATGAATGTTTGAGGTAATAATAACAATGATTAAAGACCAGCTCAGTAAAATGTTTGCCATAAGCTGGAGTAGAGCCTTTAGTTAGATTTTACTTTATTTTTGCGTATAAACATAGGCACCTATAACACAGATGACCCAAAGTTAGTAATGTTTCATTATAAGAACCACTTGATAACAAACTATAAATTATGTAGCACAGTTAAATTTACTATATGCATAATTAATACATAGCATCTGAATAAAACTCGGTGTGCCGAGCACGGTGGCTCATGCCTATCACTTTGGGAGGCTAAGGCAGGAGGCTTGCTTGAGCCCAGGAGTTGGAGACCAGCCTGGACAACATAGGGAAACCTTGTCTCTACAAAAAATAAAAAAAGTTAGACCAGCATTGTGGCACACACCTGTCGTCCCAGCTACTCAGGAGGCTAAGGCAGACGGATTGCTTGAGCCCAGGAGGTCGAGGCTGCAGTGAGCTAAGGTCACGCTACTGCACTCCAGCCTAGGAGATAGAGTGAGTCTCTGAAAATCAGTCAATTTCTTAGTGTAAAATGCTAAAAGAATTGTGATAATTGTCTTTTCTTTTCTTTCGAGATGGAGTTTTGCTCTTGTTGCCCAGGCTGGAGTGCAATGGCACCATCTAGGCTCACTGCAACCTCCGCCTCCCAGGTTCAAGTGATTCTCCTGCCTCTGCCTCCCAAGTAGCTGGGATTACAAGCATGCGCCACCATGCCTGGCTAATTTTGTATTTTTAGTAGAGACGGGGTTTCTCCATGGTGGTCAGGCTGGTCTCGAACTCCCAACCTCAGGTGATCCACCCGCCTCACCCTCCCAAAGTGCTGGGATTACAGGCCTGAGCCACCACGTCCAGCAGGAACTGTGAGAATTTTCTCAGGCAGAAAGATGCTTGCTATGCTTTGCTTTTTTTTTATTATTTTTTGAAACAGAGTCTCACTCTGTTGCCCAGGCTGGAATGCAGTGGCCTGATCTTGGCTCACTGCACCCTCCACCTCCCATGTTTAAACAACTGTTATGCCTCAGCCTCTCCTGAGTAGCTGGTATTACAGGTGTGCGCCACCATGCCCGGATAATTTTTTATTTTTAGTAGAGACCAGGTTTCGCCAGGCTGGTCTTACACTCCTGGCCTTAAGTGATCTGGCCTCCTTGGACTTCCAAAGTGTTGGGATGACAGGTGTGAGCCACCGCACCAGGCCAGAAAGAAGGTTCTTGAAGGAAATAGATGTATTTTCCCCACGTATTTGGAGATGGTGGTGGTTTAATGTTTACAGATGAAAAGGAGAGAATGCATAGGGGCAAAATTTGGAAGGGGAAATGGTGAATGGATGGATTTTCTTAGAAAAAGAATGTACATATTGTGTATTGTATAAATATTGTCTCTACCTTTTAATAGTGACAGCATTTTATTTGATGTGTTGGTAAAATGTTCCACATGTCTGCTTATTGACCTTGTGTCAGCCTTGCTTTGAAATCAGTCAGTTTTGCCTGCAGGGTTTCTGGCAGAGTTACCATGGGAACTATAGACTGTCAACTATCTGAAACTCCTAATTAGAGTGGAATTTGAAGTAATAAGTGGTATATAGCCAGGGGTATGGGCCTACAGGCCAAATCTGGCCAAAGGCCGTTTTCATAAATCAAGTTTGATCGGAACAGTTACACATTCCTTTAAATAGTGCCTACACCTGCTTTTGCACTGCAGTTTCAGAGTTGAATACTTGTAGTTGTGATGTTGATTGTATGACCTACAAAGCCTAAAATATTTGTGTATTTGATGCTTTAAACTTTGGTGACCCCCAGTCTATTGCCTTCCTACTCAAAAGTATGGTCTCTGGACCAGCAGTCTTGGCATCACACATGGTATAACTAAATATGCAGAATCATAGGCTTCTCTCTGCACTCACAAATACAGGCACATTGATGCTCAAAGAGAATCCAAGGAATGTATTAGGAATATATGGCCGTACGTGGTGGCTCACACCTGTAACCCCAGCACTTTGGGAGGCTGAGGTGGGTGGATCATCTGAGGTCAGGAGTTCGAGATCAGCCTGGCCAAACGGCATCTCCACTAAAGATACAAAACTTAGCCAGCCTTGGTGGCTGGCGCCTGTAATCCCAGCTACTTGGGAGGCTGAGGCAGGAGAATCCCATGAACCCAGGAGGCAGAGTTTGCAGTGAGCTGAGATCACGCCACTGCACTCCAGCCTGGATGACAGAGCAAGACTCCATCTCAAAAAAAAAAAAAAAAAGAAAAGAAAAAGGTATATATGAAGTTAGGCAGTGAGTGCTTACTTTTTTTTTTTTTTTTTTTTTGAGACGGAGTCTCACTCTGTCGCCCAGGCTGGAGTACAGTGGCATGATCTCGGCTCACCACAACCTCTGTCTCCTGGGTTCAAGTGATTCTCCTACCTCAGCCTCCCGAGTAGTTGGGATTACAGGTGCGCCACCATGCCCAGCTAATTTTTGCGTTTTTGGTAGTGACGGGTTTTCACCACATTGGCCAGGCTGGTCTCGAACTCCCAACCTCTCTGGTGATCCACCCACCTCAGCTTCCCAAACTGTTGGGATTACAGGCTTGAGCCACCACGACTGGCCGACTGCTTACTTTTGAATTTTTTCTTAGATATGAACATAGCAAACCATTGAAACAGGAAGAAGCAACTGCTACAGAGCTAACTACAAAGTCATCCCTTGCTGCTTCCTCAAGTCTCTCATCGATAGTTGGACCACTTGTTGAAATGAATACAGGCGAAGCTGAGTCAAGAAATTCAAACTTTGCAACTGTAGGAGCAGGTTCAGAGGACTGGGTGAATGCTATTGAGTTTGTTCCTGGGCAACCCTACTGTGGCCGTAGTAAGTATTCTGAAGAAGAAAATAAGAGTTAGAGGGCTGGATAGCAGTTCATCCATTTGCTTAGTTTTGACAACTTTCCCCTTTCTGCTTCTATTCCTTTTTTAGTTTAATCTTAGTACAGTACTTTAATTTGGATTACCTAAGATTTACAGATAGAGTGAAGGAAATTTTTAATCCCAGTGAAATGAATTCAGAATGTTTTGAAAAACTGAATCCTTTCGAGTACTTTTTGAAATTAAATTTCAGTTACCCAAGACATAGATAAAGAAGCAATTTTTTTTTTTTACAAGTCTAATCTTGGAAATAACAGCGGTAGAAAAAATTCCTTTCTTTCAAGTGAAGAAGTTAGTTCAGTAGACTGTTTTGGTATTTCATTGCAGTTTTATTTTCATTTTTTGCGGTTAGATTCTCAGTTCTCTTATAGTTCATGCCTTATCTATTTGGACCTTTACCACCCTCTTACACATTTTCAGCTGCGCCTTCCTGCACTGAAGCACCCCTGCAGGGCTCAGTGACCAAGGAAGAATCAGAGAAAGAGCAAACCGCCGTGGAGACAAAGAAGCAGCTGTGCCCCTATGCTGCAGTGGGAGAGTGCCGATACGGGGAGAACTGTGTGTATCTCCACGGAGATTCTTGTGACATGTGTGGGCTGCAGGTCCTGCATCCAATGGATGCTGCCCAGAGATCGCAGCATATCAAAGTAAGTCTTTAGGGAGATGTGTGTGTTATTAGATGTGAGAATCATTATTTGCCCTTTCACAGCATTGTGGGTTTATTTCAGAGAAACATTTGATGAATTGAATGGTTATCAGTGAGTAGGGAAGTTTTCCTTTCTTGGGCTTCTTGGATGCTTTATCAAGAAGTCATATTTCCAGTGAACAAAATTAACTGGGCATGGAGGCATGTGTCTATAGTCCCAGCTACTTGTTAGGCTGAGGCAAGAGGATCGCTCAAGCCCAGGAGGTTGAGGCAAAAGAAAAAAAGAAGTCCTACTTCCAGAAACTCAGACTATAGACTTCTAACATTTTTTTCCTCTTTTAAAAAATAATGTTTCTGAGATTCACATTGAATATGTTTAATCTTTTGAAAATGCACATTTCATTGGTTTTTAGTATATTTACAGAGATGTGCAACCATTACCATTTTACTAATTTTAGGATAATTTGATCATCCTACACCCATTAGCAGTCACTCTTTATTCCAGCCTTCCTCCAGCTCCTGGCAATAACGAATCTGCTTTGTCTCTGGATTGGCCTATTGTGGACATTTCATGTAAATGGAATCCTGTAATGTGGTCCTTTGTGATTGACTTCACTTCTTTCACTTAACATAGTGTTTTCAAGGTTCTTTGTGTGGTTGCGTGTAGCCGTTCTTAGTTTTGATGGCTGAATTATTGTCTTTGTATGGCTAGACCACATTTGTTTTTCCATTCATGAGTTGATGGACACTTAGATCATTTCCAGTTTTTGGCTATTATGAATAAGGCTGCTAGGAACATTTGTATATAGGTTTTTCTGTGAAGATATGTTTTCCGTTACCTAGGAGTGGAATTGCTGGGTTACATAGGAACTCTGCTTTACGTTTTGATGAACTGCCATACTTTTCCACAGTGGCTGCAGGATTTTACATTTCCAGCAGCAGTGTATGGGAGCCAGGGTAGGTTCAGAAGACATTGTGTTAGAAACTTTAACTTTATTGGAGCAAAGTTTGCTTCTAATCATTTCCATCTCTTTTAAATTTCCATCTTTTTAAATGTGGTTTTAGGGTGTGAGGCATGTTATAAGGTAGACATAATTTGATCCCTATCTTCAGCGTACTTTTGTGAATTTAGGCAGGATAAATCTCTATACGTTATATCTATATATTGAGGTAGTAGAACCTACCTCTGAATATATGTATATATGTTTTTTCTTTTAAAGGTTTAGGAAAAGACATGTTTAGTGATGATGTGAGATTATGGATGACATTGCTCTTCTGCAGTGTTATTTTTTTTATTTTTATTTTTTTTTGAGACAGAGTCTTGCTTTGTCCCCCAGGCTGGAGTGTAGCAGTGCAGTCTCGGCTCACTGCAGCCTCTGCCTCCCGAATAGCTGGGACTACAGGCATGCACCACCACGCCTGCCTCAGTTTTGTATTTTTAGTAGAGATGGGGTTTCGCCATGTTGACCAGGCTGGTCTCGAACTCCAGGCCTCATGTGATCCACCCAACCTTGGCCTTCCAAAGTGCTGGGAGTTTTCTGCATTTTTATGTTTCCTATAATCATGTTTTTTATAAGTTAAAATATGATGTCCACACAAAAATTGGTACATGAATGTTCTTGGCAGCATTATTTATAATAGCCCCAAAGTGGGCTAATCTAACCTAACCTAAGTGTGCATCAGTCTATCAAGCTGAGTAGTTGAAAAATCTCGATGAAGTTGTTTTTCTTTAAAGGCATAAGAGAGTTTACGTGCCTGTCACCCTTATTTTCCGACAGGTTTTAACTAGGGTCTTAACCTCATGTAGAAACCAGAAATAACAAACAGTATGGAAAACCGTCTTTAATGTAGTTGAGCTCCAGGTTTGGGGTAGAGAAAATTGGGTAATTTTTCAGTTCCCGAAGTTGAGTCCTCATAGTTTGATTTTCTAGTATTGTTAAGTACCACCGCAAAAACAAACAAACAAAAAAAAAACACCACACCTGTGTTTACTTGTCAGCAAAGCTAATTTTCGTGTCAGCTTGGGAACATTGTTTTTTCAGTTGACTATTTGATTCTTTGACTGTGAATCATTAACTGTTGCTCAAGTTTTTCAGGGTTCAATGACTGGATTCCACTTGTTCTCTCTCCACCTTCTCTAGTCGTGCATTGAGGCCCATGAGAAGGACATGGAGCTCTCATTTGCCGTGCAGCGCAGCAAGGACATGGTGTGTGGGATCTGCATGGAGGTGGTCTATGAGAAAGCCAACCCCAGTGAGCGCCGCTTCGGGATCCTCTCCAACTGCAACCACACCTACTGTCTCAAGTGCATTCGCAAGTGGAGGAGTGCTAAGCAATTTGAGAGCAAGATCATAAAGTGAGACTCCTCCCCAGTCTTCATTTGTGCTTTCTCTTTTGGGGAAGAATTTAGTAACTTGTGCCAACTTTCAACCAGATGGACCGCATTTAAATGCATGCATTTTATCTTGAAACTGGGATATTCTAATGGGGATTTCTTCTTTGTATTTCAGCTAGCTTCTAGGTTAGTTGGTCTATCTACTTTTATTTGAATGAGGAAACCCTGTGTATCAGTTAGAATCTTCGTGCTTTTTCTGAGGAGATTGTGTTTAATGGATTATTAGCCAGTTTAGGCTCAGTGAACAAACTGATCTAGCTCTGAATGTATGTTTCCTGACGTTTTACATTTCCACTTTCCTATTCCATTCATTAAGCTAGCCAACAATCCACCATCCTTTAAAGATTGTTCTCATAACTGAACAAAAACCACATAATCTAAACAGAGCAAAGCTACAAGAAATAAATTTATTTAAACGAAAGAAAAAGGAGTCTGTGTGAAATGTCTTCTTTTGTTTTTGTTTTTTACCTAAGTTATATTTTTCAAAAAAAAAAAAAAAGAACTGGCTAGCCCTTGAGTTGGATTTATAAAGGAGGTTGCCTTGCTTGAAAGAAATGGTCAGTTGTGTGACAGTATGTGGAACCCTTTCAGGAAATGCCCACGTGCCTTTCAGTTAAGTCTTTAAGTCTGGAGGCGACACACCAGGGTGTGTCCTTGAAGAGTGGGCCTGTAAAAGGGGAATTTGCATTGCAGCCTGTTCATTGTTTCCCAGGTCCTGCCCAGAATGCCGGATCACATCTAACTTTGTCATTCCAAGTGAGTACTGGGTGGAGGAGAAAGAAGAGAAGCAGAAACTCATTCTGAAATACAAGGAGGCAATGAGGTATGAGCACTGCAGCCTTTTCTCAAGCGAAGAGCCCAACAGAGCTTGGGTTCACTTTGAAAAGAATGGTGCTGCATTATACACTCCTACCTCCTTCCTACCCTTCTTTGACTTCCCAGGACAGTTTATTTTGTCACCCTGATAACATCCAGTATATATCTTGCTATAACACAGTCCTTGGGGTCCATGCCAAGGGACTGTGTTATAAAGAGGTCTCTACTGTTGACAAGTAAGGCCCCATGAGTGGGGTTCTACCTTATTCTGAATCCGTGTCATAGCTGTCCTATGTTCTCATGTGTTGGCTTTCTAGAAGATTTTCTCTCTATGGCATCTGCTTGTACTAGAGCTATTAACCAGCATAGACTTGAACAGAGTTACCGGTTTCTAGTTAGTGTTTCTTGCATTGGCACACACATGTTTATAAGAACACATCTTGGGGAGGGCTGTAAGCTGACATACTGGTTCTATCCCTACCTGTTTAAAGAAACCCCGGATGATAGTCAAATACAGACCTGAAATCCACTGTGAATAAGGGTTGCGATATTTTCCTTTCCAGCAACAAGGCGTGCAGGTATTTTGATGAAGGACGTGGGAGCTGCCCATTTGGAGGGAACTGTTTTTACAAGCATGCGTACCCTGATGGCCGTAGAGAGGAGCCACAGAGACAGAAAGTGGGAACATCAAGCAGATACCGGGTAACTCTCACTGTTTTTTTAAAGGAGGGGAAATTCCAAGGTATCAGTTGAGTCCTGCACATATTGGGGTAGGGGAAGGAGAAGGTTAACGCTCAGGTCTGGGAGCGAAAGTGTAGAGTATTAAAGGAGGAAACAAACCTCAGAAAACTGGGAGGGATAGGAAAGGAAGAAAAAATGTGTGTTAAAGCTCTAGCCTAAACGATTTCCATGAAGTAACCAGAGGGGAGGAAGTGGTAAATGGAAACCCTAACTAAGAAGTCTGGTTCGTCATGCCCTCTGGTGTGCTGGACGTTTTGCCTTATAAACAACAGGATAGAAGATACTGCTCGACAGTGCCATCCCTATCATGGCCTTGTTTTTTACAGGCCCAACGAAGGAACCACTTCTGGGAACTCATTGAGGAAAGAGAGAACAGCAACCCCTTTGACAACGATGAAGAAGAGGTTGTCACCTTTGAGCTGGGCGAGATGTTGCTTATGCTTTTGGCTGCAGGTGGGGACGACGAACTAACAGACTCTGAAGATGAGTGGGACTTGTTTCATGATGAGCTGGAAGATTTTTATGACTTGGATCTATAGCAACCTTGCGTGGCGTGTGAACTGGTCTGCTGACCTCAGACAGCAGCTGTCCCCTGTGGTGGTGTGGCAGTGCCTGTGTTCTCTCCTAGGCAGGCCTCTCAACTCCAGGTGCTGTCCTAAGAATTTTTACCCAGGGCCTGTCTTCTCAACCCCTCACCTTTCCCTGAGGAGTGTGTTGTTTTCCCTGTTGAAAAAAGTTACAAAAATAAATCTTAAAGTTAGTTTTTTGTAACACGAATTTAACTGTCAGACAGTTAGTGTAGGTGTGTTGCGTCATCTGTTTTCAACCAGATTGCATTTATGGACTTTTCACACACTCATTTTGAGGACCCCAGGTTCAAAAGTAAAAGCAGTGGCCCTGCTTTGGGGTCCAAGAATAGGAGTGATGGGTGAAGGGACCTAAGCTGGCCAATAGCCCTCTGCCCCAGACATGGGATGTGGATCCTTGAGGTTTCTGGTGAAATCTGCACATCTGTGTTTTTATATCTGTTCCCTACCCTGTAATCCCTACCACGTGCACTTGTTCTGTGGTTTTGGTCTCTTGTTTAATTGCACACAAGTAATACTACTGGGTAACCAGAATCAGGTGTGAATGTGTTGAGATTTTTTACTGTTTTGCATGATAGGAAAATTGAGAAAGAATACGTATAAAAGATAGAGAGGCATAACATCAATGCAGAGTTGGAAGTTGGCTCCCAAGGGCTGACATGGTGTGAGTGTGTGGGTGTGTGATAAGCTTCTCATCCCTGCATAGATGCAGTATTCTTAGCCTTAGTAGAAAAACCTGGTTTAGTGGTTTAAGCCTTGTGTGGCAGATAGATCTTAAAGGGCAAAGCAGTATATTGGTAGTTGTCAATATAGCAGTGCTAGCTCTGTCTATATAAATAGAGAAATGGGGTTAGCCATAGAGGTTAAAACTACCTGGTTATCCCATATAATAACACAAACTGGGTCTTGGATACACAGTTGTATTTAATGTTTTACGATCTAGCCTTTCCAGTACAGGCACTTTCTGAGAAACCTTTGTCCTCACTTGAGGCATTTTGTTGTCGGGTTTTTGTGTTTGTTTTTGTGGGTATTTGCCTCATTCCACCCCTGAGCTTTCAGGTAGACAGACGTGATTCAAAACTCTGTTCTAAGGTGTTTATTGTAGTGGAGTAATGGGTTTGCAGTGATAAGTCATACTTTTCCACCGAAAGGGAGGGCTTGGGAATCCCTGAGATTAGCTAAAGTTAAGTTGTTGGAAGAATTCCTTGATTGGAAATTGTACCTTTGTGTTTTGTTGCTCTGTTTCCTGAAAATAACTCGGGGATGCTCCTGGTTTGTCCATCTACTGCTTTGATTCCTTGGATCCCACCCATTCTTTCACTTTAAGAAAAAACAAATAATTGTTGCAGAGGTCTCTGTATTTTGCAGCTGCCCTTTTGTAAGAAGCACTTTTCCCAAATAAAACAATTAAAAAAAAAGTTGGCTGTTCTGTGTAATGAGCTGTTTTTGAAATGTGCCGATGTCAAAGAATAATGATGTTTTTCTTTCACTGACTCTTCGATCGGTCCCTTGTCGGATATTCGGGAGGATAGGTACTTTGAGAAATGTGTGTGAGAGAGAAAGGGAAACCTTAACTAGCCGGGGTCATCAAACAATCCTATACTTGAAAATGTTCAAGACTAACGCTGGGCCACCTGTTGAGCAAAAGGCACTGGCAGTTTTCTGCTACCATGCACTTGCGGTTGAACTTGCTTCATGCCCTTAGATAACGGGGGAAGGTCATAATATAATTGTATTTTGAAAGCTTATTGTTCTGCATAATTATTTCGTGAATTTTTAAGGAGTTTTCATTATTGTGAATTTTTTGTGAGTAAGAACCATTCTGCTACTCCCATGGAAGACCTTCAGGTGACCTTTTTTCCACACTTGTAAAAATAACTGCTCCTCGATTTTAGTATTTATGTTAAGAATTTATGGCTGGGTGCGGTGGCTCACGCCTGTAATCCCAGCACTTTGGGATTACAGAGGCAGGAAAATCACTTGAACGTGGGAGGTGGAAGTTGCAGTGAGCTGAGATCATGCCATTGCACTCCAGCCTGGGCAATAGAGTGAAAAAAATAAAGAATTTGTGCTATGGGGGCCGGGCACGGTGGCTCACGCCTGTAATCCCAGCACTTTGGGAGGCCGAGGCGGGCGGATCACGAGGTCAGGAGATCGAGACCATCCTGGCTAACATGGTGAAACCCTGTCTCTACCAAAAATACAAAAAATTAGCTGGGCATGGTGGCGGGCCCCTGCAGTCCCAGCTACTCGGGAGGCTGAGGCAGGAGAGTGGCGTGAGCCAAGATCTCGCCACTGCACTCTAGCCTGGGCGAAAGAGCAAGACTCCAACTCAAAAAATGCTATCGGAAAATGTTTAAACATCTAGGAATCATTTCTGAGTGGGCTTATACTGTGGTCATGATAACAACTGGGGATCCACTGAGTAGTCTGGTCTGTTTCTGTAAGCTTGTAGCCCAGCAGCTAACTCCCAGGGGAGTTAAGTCCACCCTCAGGTGTACCAGTCAGGCTATGCTGGGGACATGCAGAGGGATGGGGAAGAGCCTGAGAATGGGTTGGGAGTGCTGGAGCTAGGAGGTGGAGAGAGCCTTGAGCAATTCTGGAAAGTAGGAAGAAGCATCGTTTGCATATCTGAATCTGCAACAGGGAGAGGGGGATAGCAAGGTCCAGGGAGTGGCAGTTGGTCACTTCTGGGATGGAGAGAAGTGTATGTTTAGAGCAACTCTTTTGTATCTTGGAAAAGGCAGTGGAAGCTTCTGTACTAGTCCGAGTAGTCTGTAATGTGGATTGCTACCCTCAATGGCTGCATTGAGAGCGAGTTCTCTTCTTTCCCCAAGTGTTAATTGCCTGTTGCAAAAGAAGCTGAGGTGTAAACATTGATGGGTGGAACGTCTCACCTTCTCATTTGCACAAAACTACAATTTCAGCCTCTTCCCTGCCACTGTACACAATAAGTGATTTCACATCATGCCAGTGATTTGGGGGAGAGAAGGGGCTTGATATTAATAAAGGTAGTTGATAAAGGAGGAGAAAGAGGCTTGATATTGATAAAGGTAGATATTGAAATGGTAGTCATAGTACTGGCAACAGATTTCCAACCCTGCTTTGTGGCTTCGTGGTTCAATTGCAAGGCCCAGCTGACTTACCTAGGCTGAAATGTGAGAAGTGTCATTGCCAGATGAAAGTTTAAGATCCCATACGTGATCCTCTTTCCAGGCAATTGGTAAATTTTGCAAAGTGGCTGTTCTACCAGCCTGGGTCACCATGCTGGTACACTTAGTTAACCCATGAGGGACATGGAATATGAGCAACCCATAAACCTTTGGGGTGAGAAGCCACTGAGCCAAACAGCCTGCCCTGTCTTGAAATCTTGTTTAAGCTGTCATTTTATAAGGAAAATTAAGCAAAATCCTTTTTTTTGTTTTGTGTTTTGTTTTTTTTTTGGAGACGGAGTCTTGCTCTGTCAACAGGCTGGAGTGCAGTGGCGCGATCTTGGCTCACTGCAACCTCTGCCTCCCGGATTCAAGTGATTCTCCTGCCTCAGCCTCCTGAGTAGCTGGGCTACAAGTGCATGCCACCATGCCTAGCTACTTTTTTTGTATTTTTAGTAGAGATGGGGTTTCACCATGTTGGCCAGGGTGGTCTCCATCTCCTGACCTCATGATCCGCCTGCCTCAGCCTCCCAAAGTGCTGTGATTACAGGCATGAGCCACCTCGCCCGGCTGAGAAATAATTTTTAAAAACATACTTGTTCATCTGAAGTGGTTAATACAAACTCACTCTCATGCAGTGGCCGTATTTTATTACTTTTCAGTGTCCAGGACTTATTTCACAAACCTTTAAACAAGTTTACAGTGTTGATAAAGGAAGTGCTCTGTTGCAAATTGTCTTAAGACAGCGCTTATTCCTTTGTATTGAATGACAGGAAGAGATCCATTGCTGATAATAGAATATGCCTCAGATCTTACTTCCCCAGAACTAGCCTGGGCACTTTGTTTAGTTCACTAGGTCTTTATCTCAGCCCCTCATCAGTGTATAGAAGAAATAACACCACACAGTACCTGAGCAAATAAAAGCATTTTTTAGGTTCTAGTGATGAGCTTTTTTTGTGGGATTTTGCTCCAATCACCCCAGCTGGAGTGCAGTGGCGCAGTTTCGACTCACTGCAACCTCTGCTTCCTGGGTTCAAGCGATTCTCCTGCCTTAGCCTCCTAAGTAGCTGGGACTACAAGCGCACGCCACCACGCCTGGCTAATTTTTGTATTTTTAGTAGAGACGGGGTTTCCCCATTTTTTTTTTTTTTTCCTGAGACAGAGTCTTGCTCTGTCACCCAGGCTGGAGTGCCGTGGCACAATCTCGGCTCACTGCAACCTATGCCTCCTGGGTTCAAGCTATTCTGCCTCAGCTTGTCAAGTAGCTCAGATTACAGGCGCCAACCATGACGCCTGGCTAATTTTTGTATTTTTAGAAGAAGCGGGATATCGCCATGTTGGCCAGGCCAGTCTGGAACTCCTGACCTCAGCCTGGAACTCCTGACCTCAGGTGATTTGCCTTCCAAAGTGCTGAGATTACAGGCACCACCACGCTCGGCCTAAAACTGTTAATGGATGACCTTTTTAGTAAAATGAAGGTATCCACATATTTTACAGATATTTGAGTCCTTGTGCATACAGGCACTGTACTAGTGCTAGAGATGCTGTGAGCAGAACACAGTTTGCAGAAGTGCTCATCAAACTAGCCCACTTGGTCCCTTCCACTTCCCAGGCCCTTTGCAGTTTGGTTGGTGCTGCATGGCTAACTCACGTCATGTGCCGTGTGCCCTCCTTGTCATCGTCTCTGTTTCATGGAGGTATTGGAAGCCATGTGTTAAAGTGGCAGAGTCACAAGACAGGAGGGATCCTGGATCTCTGTGTCATGGATAGAGGGAGAGCTCCCACCCCCAAAATCAGATTTTGTATAAACAAGAGATAAATTGAGATTTGGGAGATTTTGTTTTGTTTTGCCAGTAGCCTAATATGAAATATCCTAATAAGGCAGTTGTGGCCCTTCATAAAACTGGTGACTGCTTTCGATAGGGGGCCTGGGCTAGTGTGGCCATGGAAAGGTCATTTGAATTGAGATCTGAATGGCAGAAAAAGTGCCCTGCAGACAAGACATCCTGTGTTAAAGCCTGAGGCAGGCAAAGGCAAGACATCCAACAGCTTTTCCTTGACATCACCATTAAGGACACTCGATGGCCTACAGGACACATTGAATTTCCTGTGTTAGGTATAGCTTTTACTTTCAGAAAAGTATACATGCAAGTCAGTAACATTATAACAATGTCTAACATTTATAGGAATAATGTTGGATTGCCTTAAAATACCAAAAACATTCTTCCTACAATTTAATGCTTTACTAAACTGCAACACACTCACCTGATCATGACCTGCTGCAGTTGGAACCAGTCTCCACAGCAGGGCTTCTCAGCCTTTAACGTGCAAATGAATGAGAGGAGGAGGTTCTTGTTAAAATGCAGATTCTGATTCAGTGGGTCTGGAATAGGCACAAGACACTTATTTGTATTTTTTGAGACTGGGTTACTCTGTCACGGGCTGGAGTGTAGTGGTGCCATTGTGGCTTGCTGTAGCCTTGACCCCCTGGGCTCAGGGGATTCTTCTGCCCCAGCCTCCTGAGTAGCTGGGACCACAGGCACATGCCACCATGCTCAGCTAATTAAATTATTTATTTATTTATTTATTTATTTATTTTGAGACGGAGTCTCACTCTTGTCGCCAGGCTGGAGTATAGTGGCACGATCTTGGCTCACTGCAACCTCCGCTTCCCGGGTTCAAGCGATTCTCCTGTCTCAGCCTCCTAAGTACCCGGGACTACAGGCGTGCATCACCACACCCAACTAATTTTTGTATTTTTATTAGAGACGGGTTTCATCGTGTTGGCCAGGATGGTCTTGATCTCCTGACCTCGTGATCCGCCCGCCTCGGTCTCCAAAGTGTTGGGATTACAGGCATGAGCCACCGCACCCAGCCAATTAAAAAAAAAAATTCAAACTTGGTTCCATAGGCCAAAACCAGTAAGAGCAAATCCTGCAGGCAAATGCATGTAGAGGAATTTTGATTTAAGATTTGAAATAATTTACAACTGTAAACGACCATATGGAAGTGCAGACTGTATTAAGAGGTAAGGAGGTGTAGCAAGGGTACTGGTAAAAGAACTACAGACACCCTTTTATCCTGCTGGCGTTCAGTAACCAGTACAATCTAGCAAGGTAGTGGTCAATAAACCATCATGGATGCGACGTTGAAAGGCCCAGTCCTTTCTTTAGTCTGATTTTTGAAGTATTCTAATAATAACAGCTGTTATTCTATTACTTAAGCCAGTAAGTCTTCAGTAAACATATTTCTGGTGTGATGGGTGGCGTCAGGGAAGTGGTTGAGTTTGAGAGGAAACATGCGATTTCAAAAGCATTGAATGTAGAACTTTTTGCTCCTAATCGCAGCCCCATTATCTTTCACCACTATGCATACTGCTGGGTGCCGCATATGTCCCCCTTCAATCCCTTTGTTCTTCTCCCCATCAAGGCTTGTTGACTGCCTCCTTCCATCACACCCTAGAGACCATCTATGAGCTAAACTTTAGTCTTGATCTATTTCTCATGCCAGCACTTCTCTTTTTTATGGAGATCTAATTTACATACCCTAAAATTCACCCTTTTAGAGGGTACAATTTAGTGGTTTTAAAAATACAATGTTGGCTGGGCGCAGTGGCTCATGCCTGTAATCCCAGCACTTTGGGAGGCCAAGGCAGGCAAATCACCTGAGTTCAAGAGTTTGAGACCAGCCTGGTCAACATGGTGAAATCCCAACTCTACTAAAACTATACAAAAATTAGCCGGGCATGGTGGCACGCACCTATAGTTCCAGCTACTCAGGAGGCTAAGGCAGGATAATTGCTTGAACCCGGTAGGCGGAGGCTGTGGTGAACCGAGATCGCACCACTGCACTCCAGCCTGGATGATAGAGTGAGACTTAGTCTCAAAAAAAAAAACAACAGGCCGGGTGCAGTGGCTCACGCCTGTAATCCCAGTACCTTGGGAGGCTGAGGTGGGTGGATCACCTGAGGTCAGGAGTTCGAGACCAGCCTGACCAACATGGAGAAACCCCATCTCTACTAAAATATACAAAATCAGCTGGGCGTGGTAGCGCATGCCTGTAATCCCAGCTCTTGGGAGGCTGAGGCAGGAGAATCTCTTGAACCCAGGAGGTGGAGGTTGCGGTAAGCCGAGATCGCACCATTGCACTCCAGCCTGGGCAACAAGAGCAAAACTCTGAACTCCGTTTCAAAAACAAAACAAAACAAAAGAAAAAGAGTGTGCAATACTCACCACTAAGTTGAGAACATTTTCATCACCACCCCCCTGAAAACCCCTACACCCATGAGCAGTCAGTCCCTATTTCTCTGTTTCCCTATCCCCTGGCAACCACTAACCCATGCTACTACTCCATAGAGACAGGATTTCTGTCTATGGATCTGCCTGTTCTGGACACTTCATATAAATGGAGCTGTATAATCTGCGGCTTTTTGTGACTGGTTTCTTTGACTTAGCATAATGTTTTTGTTTCATCCATGCTGTAGCATTTATCAGTACTTCATTTCTTTCAATGGATGGACAGTGTTTTATTGCAGGGGTCCTCAACCCTCGGACCGTGTACAAGTACCAGTACGAGTACCAATCCGTGGCCTGTTAGGAACCGGGCCGCACAGTAGTATGTGAGCGGCAAGCAAGCATTACTCCCAGAGCTCCACCTTCAGTCAGACCAGGGTTCCGCCGCTGTTGTGAACTGTGCGTACAAGGGATCTCGGTTGCATGCTGCTTATGAGAATCTCATGCCTAATGATCTGAGATGGTTTCTTCCTGAAACCATCCCTGCCACCCCCTGTCCATGGAAAAAATTGTCTTCCAGGGAACCAGTCCCTGGTGCCAAAAAGTTTGGGGACTGCTGTTTTATTGTATGGATATACCACATTTTGTTTATTGATTCATGACTTGATGGACACTGAAGTCATTTCCACCTTTTGGCTATTATGAATAATGCTGCTATGAACATTTGTGTACAGGTTTTTGTGTAAAGATATGTTTTCAGATTCTTTGGGGTGTATACCTAGGAGTAGAATTGCTGGGTCATATGGTAACTGTTTAACGTTTTGAGGAACTGCCAAACTGTTTTCCAAAGTGGCTGTACCACTTTTCATGCCTGTCAACAATGAGTGAGAGTTCTAATTTCTCCACTTTTTTTTTTTGTTTTTTTTGGAGATAGAATTTCGCTCTTGTTGCCCAGGCTGGAGGGCAGTGGTGCCATCTCAGCTCACTGCAACCTCTGCCTCCCAGGTTCAAGAGATTCTCCTGCCTCAGCCTCCCAAAATGCTGGGATTACAGGCGTGAGCCACAGGGCCCGGTCTTATACCACTGTCTTCAAATGAGAACTTGTGTGATGCTTTATAAACCATTTTCATGGCTGTCTTATTTGATCCTCACATTTCTGTAAAGAAGTTAAGCCCTTATTAGTCTTATTTTGCAAATGAAAAAACTAAGGTTTAGAAGTTAAACAACTAACCCTGTCTAACAGCTAGTGTGTAAGTGCTACAGCTTTGGACTCCAAATCTATGTTTCTTTACATAGATCAGCTACTGTTGGCTGCCTTTGTGGACCTATCTCACGTTTCTGGGTGATGTTAGTAGATTTACATTCTTCCTCGCTGTACTATGCCTGTTATCAATTGTCTATGGCTTATCTGTTTTCTTTTGACCCTGTGGAGTCCTAAACCTCAAGATTTCAGGGGATGGGCAGGCACGGTGACCTGTAATCCCAGCTACATGGGAGGCTGAGGTGGAAGGATCACTTGAGTCCAGGAGTTTGAGGCCCACAGTGTCCTATGATTACGCCTGTGAATAGCCACTACACTTCAGCCTTGGCAACATAGTGAGACCCTGTCTCTTGAAAAATACTGGGGGCGGTGGTGGGGGGCTGCTGATTTGTTCTATTTGGGTTTTTTTTTTGAGATGGAGTCTTGCTCTGTTGCCCAGGCTGGAGTGCAGTGGCACAGTCATAGCTCACTGCAGCTTCAAACACAGTGGTTCAAGTGATCCTCCTGCCCCAGCCTCCCAAGTAGCTAGAACTACAGGCATGTGACATCACACCCAGCTACTTTTTGAATTTTTGAGATGGAGTCTTGCTGTGTTACCCAGGTTGATCTTGAATTCCTGAGCTCAAGTGATTCTCCCACCTTGGTGTCCCAAAGTGTTGGGATTACAGGTACGAACCACTGGCCTGGATATTGATTTTTTTTTTTTTTTTTTTTTTTTTTTGAGACAGAGTTTCGCTCTTGTTCCCCAGGCTGGAGTGCAGTGGCGCAATCTCGGTTCACCGCAACCTCTGCCTCCCGGTTTCAAGCAATTCTCCTTCCTCAGCCTCCCGAGTAGCTGGGTTACAGGCATGCGCCACCATGCCTGGCTAATTTTGTATTTTTAGTAGAGACGGGGTTTCTCCATGTTGGTTAGGCTGGCTTCGAACTCCCGACCTCAGATGATCCGCCCACCTCAGCCTCCCAAAGTGCTGGGATTACAGGCATGAGCCCCCCGCCCAGCCTGGATATTGATATTTGAAAATGAAAAATTGAAGCAGATTCTATTATTATCTTTATCATTATTATTATTATTATTATTATTTTGAGACAGAGTCTTGCTCTGTTGCCCGGGCTGGAGTGCAGTGATGCAATGTGGGCTCACTGCAATCACCACCTCCCGGGTCAAGCGATTCTCCTGCCTCAGCCTCCTGAGTAGTTGGGACTGCAGGCGCCCGCCACCACACCTGACTAATTTTTGTTTTGTTTTGTTTTTGAGATGGAGTCTTGCTCTGTCGCCCAGGCTAGAGTGCAGTGGCGCGATCTTGACCCACTACAACCTCTGCCTCCCGGGTCCAAGCGATTCTCCTGCCTCAGCCTCCCGAGTAGCTGGGATTACAGGCGCTGGCCACCGCGCCTGGCTAAGTTTTGTATTTTTAGTAGAGAGGGGGTTTCACCATCTTGGCCAGGCTGGTCTCGAATTCCTGACCTCGTGATCCGCCCGCCTCGGCCTCCCAGAGTGCTGGGATTACAGGTGTGAGCCACGGAGCCCAGCCAAACCAATTCTATTATTGCCTTTGACGATAATGAATCCTCAGAAACTCGTCTCAATGACCCGGAGTTTTGCTAACCACCTGCAGGGGGCGCTGATCTGTGCTTGCCTTGCTGCATCCTTCCCCACCTCTCGTTCCCTTCCAGTGTCTATTCCAACCCCTGGACTCGGATGATAGGGTGGAGCTCAACCTGATTTGCCCTGGCTCACCCAAATAACCTTGCACTGAGTGAACTGGAGTTTCCTCATGATCTAAGAGAAAGTGTACACAGGCCGGGCCTAGCACATTTCAAGCACAGCTTCCCCCTGATTTTCCTGCAGTTAGATGGGTTTGGGCTACTCCACCCAGCCATCTAGCCCTTCTCCACCCCACCTCCTCCTCCCTATTTAGCTTCTTTTACAGACAGCTGCACAATTTTACTTTGGAAGACACTGAAATACATGTATGAGAGGTATATCTTGGAATGGATACATTTCTCTCTCTGTCGTGTGTGTGTGTGTGTGTGTGTGTGTGTGTGTGTGTGTGTGTGTGTGTTGAGAATGATGAGGGGTTAATATGATGGAGCCCAAATCTGGTGCTGGCCATTATCTGAGAGGGAGTTTAGCATAATTGTTTTTGTTTCTTTATTTGCTTGTTTTGTTTTGAGACAGAGTCTGGCTTTTTCACCCAGGCTGGAGTGCAGTAGTGCGATCTCGGCTCACTGCAACCTCCGCCTCCTGGATTCAAGTGATTCTCCTGCCTCAGCCTACCCAGCAGCTGAAGTTGCAGGCAGGCACCACCATGCCTGGCTAATTTTTGTATTTTTAGTAGAGGCGGGGTTTCACCACGTTGGCCAGGCTAGTTTCAAACTCCTGTCCTCAAGTGATCTTCTCGTCTTAGCCTCCCAAAGTGCTGGGATTACAGGTGTGAGCCACCACCTCCAGTCTAGCATAATTGTTAAAAGTGGACTCTGGAATCAGATTGGTGGGGTTTGAGTCCTGGCTGTGCCATTCACTAGCTGTGTGACCTTAATGTCTCTGTGTCTCATAGCTTCATTTTAAAAAATAGGAATGATAAACAGTACACACTCCAAAATATAGTTGATAAATTAAGTATTTGCTACAGTGCTGGGACATAGTAACTGCTATATGTGTTTGTCACTATTATTACTATTGTACTAATATTACTATTAATACTAATAGATTTTTTTTTTTTGAGATGGAGTTTTGCTCTTGTGGTCCATGCTGGAGTGCAATGGCGAGATCTCAGTTCATCGAAACCTCCGCCTCCCGAGTTCAAGTGATTCTCTTGCCTCAGCCTCTCAAGTAGCTGTGATTACAGGCGCCCACCACCACGCCCAGCTAATTTTTTTGTATTTTTAGTAGAGACGGGGTTTCATCATGTTGGCCAGGCTGGTCTTGAACTCCTGACCTCAGGTGATCCGCTTGCCTTGGCCTACCAGAATGCTGGGATTACAGGCGTGAGCCACCTCCCCAGCCAATAGGTCTTAAAAGTAAGAAAGTGGGGGAGATTCAGAAAAAATTTATGAACATAGGTATATTAACTGAAAGATTCCCTCACATGTGAAAGTGCATTTGACACCAGCAGACAAGATAAAATATTAAGACGTTTTATAATGTAATTTTTGTATTCTTCCAAAATGTACATTTTGTTCAGAAATATTTATGTTGGGTTAAAAAGTAAAAAACAAGCGGCCAGGCATGGTGGCTCACGCCTGTAATCCTAGCACTTTGGGAGGCTGAGGTGGGCAGATCACGAGGTCAGGAGTTAGAGACCAGCCTGGCCAATATGGTGAAACCCCATCTCTACTAACAATACAAAAATTAGCTGGGCGTGGTGGCAGGCACTTGCAGTCCCAGCTACTCGGGAGGCTGAGGCAGGAGAATCGCTTGAACGCAGGAGGCGGAGGTTGCAGTGAGCTGAGATCGAGCCACTGCATTCCAGCCTGGTGACAAAGCAAGACTCCATCTCAAAAAAAAAAAAAAAAAAAGTAAAAAACAAAGCACACAAACATGCACACACCAAAAAACCCAAATTTCCTCTTGGAACTTTTGTTTATTCTTTCTTTTTTTTGAGACAGGGTCTTGCTCTGTTGCTCAAGCTGGAGTTCAGTGCCTCGATCATGGCTCACTGCAGCTTCGATCTCCTGGGCATACTCTTGCCTTAGGCTTCCCCCCCACCCCAAGTAGCTGGGACTACAGGTTCATGCCATCATGCCCGGCTAATTTTTTATTTTTAAATTTTTTATAGAGATGGGGTCTCACCATGTTGCCCAGGCTGGTCTCAAAAACCTGGGCTCAAGCAATACTCCCACCTCAGCCTCCTAAAATGTTGTGATTACAGGCGTGAGCCACCATGCTTGGCCCTCACTTAATTTCATATCATTTACTTGTTACCAATTATACAATTTTGAGGATGTGAAAAAAATGCTAGAATTAATTAACACACAGTACCATATCTATAAAGCAAAGCCTGCCTGAGGCAGTTTCACAGTGCCAGTTATGGGACTGTGGTAAACTTCAGAGAAGTTGTCCCTGTTTTTACAGCAGACAAGACCCTGTGGCCTCTAATTCAGGGAAATTGGTAGATTTTATGGGTCCCTTTCAAGTGCACACTATAATTTCAACAGAAGCAAAGGCTGGTTAATTACAGGTCGATGGTTTTCAGGTGACCATGTTCTCCTGTTGTGTAACTTGTTGGTAGGACAATTTCAGTGGTAAATAATCCCATAAAGTACACGATCCCAGAAATTGATGAGATTTTCAAAATATTTATTGGGATTCATGTGCAGATAAATGCAGGTGGATTGATGTGTGCCATTAGGGTTGTATTTGTTCCTCAAGTTTTGTGTTCCTTCTTTTGTGTAATTTTTTTTTTTTTTTTTTTTGAGACAGAGTCTCACTCTGTTGCCCAGGCTGGAGTGCAATGGTGTGATCTCGGCTCACTGCAACCTCTGCCTCCCAGGTTCAAGCGATTCTCCTGCCTCAGCTTCTCGAGTAGCTGGGATTTCAGGCACCCACCACCACGCCCGGCTAATTTTTGTAGTTTTAGTAGAGACGGGGTTTCACCATGATGGCCAGGCTGGTCTTGAACTCCTGACCTCAGGTGATCTGCCCGCCTTGGTCTCCCAAAG
Source organism: Homo sapiens (assembly GCF_000001405.40). Classification (NCBI taxonomy): domain Eukaryota; kingdom Metazoa; phylum Chordata; class Mammalia; order Primates; family Hominidae; genus Homo; species Homo sapiens. Next base: position 140,441,161 of record NC_000007.14, on the reverse strand, counting down.
TGCTGATTATAGGCGTGAGCCACTGCGTCCCGCCTTGTGTGTGTAATTGAAACATACATTTTTGTCTGGGCATGGTGGCCAAATCCCAGCACCTTGGGAGGCCAAGGCAGGCGGATCACTTGAGGTCAGGAGTTCGATACCAACCTTGCCAACATGGTGAAACCCTGTCTCTACAAAAAATACAAACTTTAGCCAGGCATATTGGCACGCACCTGGAATCCCAGCTACTCGGGAGGCTGAGGCAGAAGAATCGCTTGAACCTGGGAGGCAGAGGTTCCAGTGAGCCAAGATCATGCCATTTGCACTCCAGCCTGGGTGACAGAGCAAGACTGTGTCTCAAAAAAATAAACATTTTAGTGTCTCAGATTGTTGAGTCATCTGAAGTTCATTGTTAAGAGAGGGAGCTCAGTTTCAGCTGCCTCCTCATAGAAGCTGAAGACCTCTTTTGTCTCCAGGTGGGCCATATAGTTCAAAGCCTTACTTTTCCTCCAGGAGCAAATCATCCAGCCCCTGACAAGGCAGTGCATAAAGAGCTTTGCTTTTTTTTTTTTTTTTTTTTTTTTTTTGAGAGAAGGTCTCACTCTGTTGCCCAGGCTGGAGTGCAGTAGCATGATCTTGGCTCACTGCAGCCTTGACCTCCCAGACTCAAGTGATCCTCCTGCCTCAGCCTCCCGAGTAGCTCAGACTACAGGCATGCACCATCACACCCAGCTAATTTGTATTTTGGTAGAGACAGGATTTTGCCATGTTGCCCAGGCTGGTCTCAAACTCCTTGGCTCAAGCCATCCTCCCACCTCACCCTCCCAAAATGCTGGGACTACAGATGTGGGCCACCATGCTGGGCCTTACCAATTCATTCTCAGCTCCTCGGGATTGCCTTAATTATTTTGTGAGTTTGACTATGAATTTACAACCATTTATAAATTTTTTTTTCTTTTTTGAGATGAAGTCTTGCTCTGTTGCCCAGGCTGGAGTGCAGTGGCGTGATCTTGGCTCACTGTAACCTCCGCCTCCTGGGTTCAAGAGATTCTCCTACCTCAGCCTCCCGAGTAGCTGGGATTACAGACGTGTGCCACCATGCCCAGCTACTTTTTGTATTTTTAGTATAGATGGGGCTTCACCATGTTGGCCAGGCTGGTCTTGAACTCCTGACCTTGTGATCCGCCCGCCTCAGCCTCCCAAAGTGCTGGCATTACAGGCGTGAGCCACCGCGCCTGGCCCATTTATAAATATTTTATCCAGTGTTTTCAGGTATATATAGTAAGAAGATTTCAGGTTACCTAATCAGCAAAATCCTGGAGCCAAGTGTCTCCTGTCACTTATTGGAATGTTACCTTGGGCAAGTTATTTAACCTTAATCTCTTTGTAAAATGTGAATAGTAGCTATCTCAAGTGACAGTTTTGAAAATGAAAAAGAGCTTTACCTCTACTAGGCACGCAAATATGACATGTTACTGCCTCTGTGGTTCATTCCCAGTTGATGAGGGAAAGCTCTTTTTTACCAAGAGTGACAGTTAACAAATGTAGCAGAAACGATAGAATTTGAAAAGCACCATTTTATAACCCTTGATGAAACTGATTCAGACAGGTATCATCAGTGGGTGGTGAAACCAGTTAGTGAAATGTCAGTATTTGCATAGTCCAAAGTATCAGCTCAATAAGGACATCTTACTGCAAAGGAGGAAATGTGCTTTTTCACAGAGAGATCTTCAGTCTCCACTTCCAACAAGTGAGTGAACCCAGTATTTGCAAGAAGAGATGACCTTCAGGCCTGATACAGCAGCAAGCGTGGAGCATCACCCCAGGTCATGGTCTTGCCCAAAATGTTTAGCCCTAATAACAAGCCTCTAGACCTGACTTCCAGCAGATGGAGAAAATAGTGGGTATAAGAAATTAACCTTGGCCGGCCCAGTGGCTCACGCCTGTAATCCCAGCACTTTGGGAGGCTGAGGCAGAAGGATCCCTTGAGCTCAGGAGTTCCAGAGCAGCCCGTGGTCCGAGCTACTTGGGAGGCTGAAGTGGGAGGATCACTTGAGCCCAGGAAATTGAGGCCATAATGAGCTGTGATCGTGCCACTGCACTCCAGCCTGGGCAACAGAGTGAGATCCTGTCTCAAAAAAAAAAAAAAAAAGAAAGAAAAAAAAAGAAATTAACCTTGAAGAAACAAATTCAGAATTCTAAAAGACAATTCCTTTATCTTCAAACAGCCAGCGTTATGGGAAAAAGTGAGGAGTCTGGAGAAAGACGACAACTAAATGTAAGATGAAAACACGTGACTGGATCCTGGTTATTTTTATTAATATTATTTTTAATTGAAAAATCATAATTATATACATTTATAGGATACAATGTATTGTATATACCATGGAATGATTAAATCAAGTTAATTAACAACCATCTCCCTTTCTTTACTGGTGAGTCATTTGAAATTTACTCTTAGCTATTTTGAAATATATATTATTTTACTTTCCTTTTTTTTATTTTTTTGAGACGGAGTCTTGCACAGTCACCCAGGCTGGAGTGCAGTGGCGCGATCTCGGCTCACTGCAAGCTCCGCCTCCTGGGTTCACGCCATTCTCCTGCCTCAGCCTCCCAAGTAGCTGGGACTACAGGCGCCCGCCACCACGCCCGGCTATTTTTTTTTTTTCGTATTTTTAGTAGAGACGGGGTTTCACCGTGTTAGCCAGGATGGTCTCGCTCTCCTGACCTCGTGATCCACCCGCCTCGGCCTCCCAAAATGCTGGGATTACAGGCGTGAGCCACCGCGCCCGGCCTCCTTTTTTTTTTTTTTTTTGCGACAGAGTTTTGCTCTCTTGCCCAGGCTGGAGTGCAGTGGCGTGATCTTGGGTCACTGCAACCTCTGCCTCCTTGGGTTCAAGCGATTCTCCTTGCTCAGCCTCCTGAGTAGCTGGGATTACAGGCGTGTGCCACCACATCCGGCTAATTTTTTGTATTTTCAGTAGAGACGGGGTTTCACCGTGTTAGCCAGGATGGTCTCGATTTCCTGACCTCATGATCCGCCCACCTCAGCCTCCCAAAGTGCTGGGATTACAGGTGTGAGCCACTGTGCCCGGCCTTTTTTCCCTTTTTTGAGACAGAGTCTTGCTCCAGCACCCAGGCTGGAGTGCAGTGGCATGATCTTGGCTCACTGCAACCTCTGCCTCCTGGGTTCAAGCAATTCTTGTGCCTCAGCCTCCTGAGTAGCTGGAATTACAGGTGCTGGAATTCTGTTGTTTTTTTTTTGTTTTTGTTTTTGTTTTAATACAAAAATGTAAGCCGGACACAGTGGCTCACTCCTATAATCCCAGCACTTTGGGAGGCCAAGGTGGGTGGATCACAAGGTCAGGAGTTCGAGACCAGCCTGACCAACATAGAGAAAACCCATCCCTACTAAAAATACAAAATTAGCCGGGCGTGTTGGTGCATGCCTGTAATCCCAGCTACTCGGGAGGCTGAGGCAGGAAAATTGCTTGAACCTGGGAGGCGAAGGTTGCAGTGAGCTGAGATCGTATCATTGCACTCAAGCCTGGGTAACAAGGGCAAAACCACCTCAAAAAAGAAAAAAAAAGTAAAATTACCAAAGACATTTTGGACTGAATATTAGATGGTATTAGTGAATCACTGTAAATTTCCTTGGATGTGATCATTGTATTTAGGAGAATATTCTTTTTTAAAAAAAATTGTTTTTTTTGAGACAGGGTCTCAGTCTGTTGCCCAGGCTGGAGTGCAGTGGCACCATCTTGGCTCACCGCAACCTCCACCTCCTGGGTTCAAGCGATCCTCCTGCCTCTGCCTCCCAAGTAGATGGGATTGCAAGCGTGGGCCATCATGCCCAGCTAGTAGGAGAATGTTCTTATTTGTAGGAAATGCATGTTAAAATTTGGGGGGCTGAAGTGTGATATCTACTATATATCAAATATGGGAAAATTATAACAAAATTCAAATCTAGGTATGTGGGTGATGGGTAGACATTCATTGTTCTATTATTTCAACTTCTTTCTGTGTTTGAAGTTTTTCATAATAAAAAGTTAGGAGACGTCGGGTGTGGTGGCTCATGCCTATAATCCCAGCACTTTGGGAGGCTAAGGTGAGTGGATCACTTGAGGTCAGGAGTTCAAGACCCCGTCTGGTGAACTCCCGACAGAGCTCAGGTGAAACCCCGTCTCTAGTAAAAATACAAAAATTAGCCAGGAATGGTGGTGGGCACCTGTAATCCCAGCTACTCAGAAGGCTGTGGCAGGAGAATTGCTTGAACCCAGGAGGCGGAGGCTGCAGTGAGCTGAGATCGCACCACTGCATTCCAGCCTGGGCAACAAAGCAAGACTCTGTCTCAAAAATTAAAAAAAAAAAAAGAAGAGAAATGTTATTTTTTCACATCTCACTAGGTATCTAGAATACAGTCAGGAAGGGAAAAAGCTTGGAAACTCTGCAGTCCATGGCAGCAGAAGGCACTGAGGGGCTGGGGAACTAGAAGGATGTTTGCGTGCATGGGTGGGGGTCGGGGAGTTGCTGCATAAAAGCCAGGGAAATGAAGAAATCCAAAGATGAAGTGCTGGCTAATATAAGCCAAGTTGGCATTATATTATAAATAGTGATCAAAGAGAATTAATGATGGCCACCCAGGTTCCCAGCTCTTTCATCACAAGTTTCTTGTGTGACTACATAAAGAACCTCATCCTGCTGAAGAAGAACCTCGTCTTAAACCACCTCATTCCAACAGCCTGAGAAGCATAGGAGTACATTGTGGTGCTAAAGCCGGGTGCCCTGGTGCCACCTGCGATCCCAGCTACTGCTACTCGTGAGGCTGAGGCTGGAGGATTGATTGAGCCCAGGAGTTTGAGCAACCTAGTTGAGCCTGGGCAACCTAGCAAGATCCTGTTATTTATTTTTATTTATTTATTTATTTATTTAAGACAGGGTCTGGCTCAGTCACCCAGGCTGGAGTGCAGTTGCAGATCTGGGCTCACTGCAACCTTCGCCTCCCAGGCTAAAGCGATCCTCCCACCTCAGCCTTCCAATTAGCTAGGACCACAGACTCCCACAACCAGGCCTGACTAATTAAAAAAACTTTTCTGTAGAGATGGGGGTTTTCTCTCTATATTGCCCAGGCTGATGAGCTCAAGCGATCCTCCCGCCTCGGCCTCCCAAAGTGGGATTACTGGCATGAGCCATCGCGCCTGGCCTGAGGCACTGTTAACACACACACACGCACACACACATAGACCCCAAAGAGAAGAATGCCAATGACACGCTGCTGCACGAGCCTGCGAGAAATGGGACTACAGGGTGGCTGGCTGCTCCAAGCTGCATGTTGTGATGTTGTAGAATTAACTGATAATAGCGCTCAGCCGGCGGCCCGCGGACCGGGCGTCACAGGCGGCTCCTCCGGGCGCGTTGCGCTGCGGGTTTCGCTGCGGCCTGTGGGCCCCAGGCCAAGCCTTCGTGCGCCCTAGCTCAGGAGGGCCCTCCTGGACCCTGGAGCGGACCCTCATCGTGGTGAAGCCAGATGGGGCACAGCGGCGGCTCGTGGGGGACGGGATCCAGCGCTTTGAGAGGTGGCTTCACGCTGGTGGGGAAGGACGCAGGCGCACAGCGCGTCCTTGCCGGGCACCGCGAGGGCCCGCGAGGGCCCGCGGGGGAAGCCCTGCTACCCAAGGCCTGCGAAGGGTCCAGTGTGGTCCCGCGCCCCGGGACCATACAGGGAGATTTCAGCGCCCACATCAGCAGGAACTTCTTCCAGGCAAGCAACTCCGTGGAAGGGGCTCGGAGATGGATCCCGCTGTGGCTCCCGAGCAGGGACCTGGTGAGCTGGGCACGGCGCCAGCACAGCCGCAGCCACCCAGCCTGAGGCCCAGGCCGCCCTCCCAACTCCCTCGGTCAGCAAGAACCCAGGCCCACACCCATATCTGCCTCTCCCAAACCGCTTTCCTGTTCACCTCTGCCCACCCCCAGCCCAGAGGAGTTTGAGCCACCAACTTTAGTACCTGTAATCTCAGCTACGCAGGAGGCTGAGGCAGGAGGATCCCTTGAGTCCAGGAGTTCAAGACTAGCCTGGGCAATGCACCACCACGCCTGGGTAATTTTTGTATTTTTAGTAGAGATGGGGTTTCACCATGTTGGCCAGGCTGGTCTTGAACTCCTCAAGTGATCCGTCTGCCTTGGCCTCCCAAAGTGCCAGGATTACAGACATGAGCCACTGCACCTGGCCCCTAGAATTTTTATTTTTATTTATTTTTTTATTTTTTTTGAGACGGAGTCTCCCTGTCGCCCAGGCTGGAGTGCAGTGGCGCGATCTCGGCTCACTGCAGGCTCCGCCCCCCGGGGTTCACGCCATTCTCCTGCCTCAGCCTCCCGAGTAGCTGGGACTACAGGCGCCCGCTACCTCGCCCAGCTAATTTTTTGTATTTTTAGTAGAGACGGGGTTTCACTGTGTTAGCCAGGATGGTCTCGATCTCCTGACCTCATGATCCACCCGCCTCGGCCTCCCAAAGTGCTGGGATTACAGGCGTGAGCCACCGCGCCCGGCCTAGAATTTTTAAATGGAATAAGGTAGGAGTCTCTCCAAAGAGGGAGTTTTCTTTGAAGATTACATCTTGGTCAGTGGATTCATCAAGAAATGTAGGAGGGTTTTCTGTACTGAAGTTGTTTGAACCCTGCTCTTCACCCCAACCCTTCTGCAGGTTTTAGTAGGTCTGAGCTGGGCGGGCAAATGTCATCTTACTCTTCTCACTTTCCTGGGGTTCATAATGGAGACCACTTTCCCCAGAGGCTTCACCCATGACCAAGTGAGAAGATAGTCCAGGGGCCCAGTGTGGTGGCTCACACCTGTAATCCCAGAACTTTGGAAGGCTGAGGCGGGAGAATTGCTTGAGCCTAGAAGTTTGAGACCAGCCTGGGCAACATAGCAAGACTCCATCTTTTTTTTTTTTTTTTTTTGAGATGGAATCTCACTCAGTTGCCCAGGCTGGAGTGCAGTGGCTCAATCTCAGCTCACCACAACCTCCTCCTCCCAGGTTCAAGCAATTCTCCTGCCTCAGCCTCCTGAGTAGCTGTAGGTGTGCACCACCATGCCCGGCTAATTTTTGTATTTTTAATAGAGACAGGGTTTCCCTATGTTGGCCAGGCTGGTCTCTAACTCCTGACCTCGTGATCTGCCCACCTCGGCCTCCCAAAGTGCTGGGATTATGGGCGTGAGCCACCACGCCCAGCCACAAGACCCCATCTTTACAAACAATACAAAAATGAGCCGGGTATGGTAGTGCAAGCCTGTAGTCTCAGCTAGCTATTCAGGGGGCTGAGGTGGGAGGATCACTTGAGCCTGGGAGGTCAAGGCTACAGGGAGCTGTGATTGTGTCACTGCACTCCAGATTGGGTGGCAGAGTGAGACCATATCTCTAAAAAAAGAAAGAAAGAAAGGAAGGAAGAAAAAAGATAGTCCAGAGAACCTAAGGAGCACTACCTTGGCCTCTGCTGTGGGCCAGGCAACCCGAGGCCTCTCCAGGATTCCTCATCATGAGTGACACACAGCCTCCCTCCAACACCCAGTCAATTTCATATCTCCCTGATCTCTCTGTTCCTATGCCCTGGAAATTTTGCTGCATTACCCATGTGTGATTTGATCTTGGAACCTGTTAGGAAATTATTCTAGAAATGGCGTTTGTCAGAACATGCTGGCACCAAGAAGCTGTAAAAAGGTTCTTTCTGGAGCTGAAGGGCACAGGGCTTGGAATAGTGGCAGGAAGGGTTTTGCAAACCGTCTTTCTGAAGAGACACCACCCCAGAACTTCACATCCCCCACCATAACTCTTCCCTGGGCAGGCTGAGGGGCAGGCACCAGCCACAGGGGCTCTGTGAGGCTGGGTGTTGGTAGTTCAGGGCTGTTTGCTCCATGGATGGACAATGAAGTCCTTTACCATCGCTTCTTGTGAGGACAGTGCTTTGACATGTGCATTTTCAGGTAATGTGAGTTTTTCAAGAATTTCCTTATGTCATCAAGAGTATTTGTGCCAACACATGGAGTAGAGAAGGGCTTTATTCTCAAGGAACTAGTAGGCCACAGGGAAAATGCACCCCTTTCCACCTCTTCCCAGGTGACAAGGCCTTAAATACCAAACCAAGTGTCCAGAAACTGAGCTTCAGTTCCCTGATGGCTGCTGAACAACATGACCATGATTCCCTATTGCCTTTGTCTTGCTTTTATATTTTCTTTTCTTTTTTTTTTTTTTTGAGATGGAGTCTTGCTCTGTCACTCAGGCTGGAGTGCAGTGGCACAATCTCGGCTCACTACAGCCTCTGCCTCCCGGGTTCCAGCGATTCTCCTGCCTCAGCCTCCTGGGTAGGTGGGATTACAGGCCCACGCCACCATGTCCAGCTAAGTTTTTGTATTTTTAGGATCGATGGGGTTTCGCCATGTTGGCCAGGCCGGTCTTGAACTCCTGACCTCAGGCGATCCTCCCGCCTCAGCCTCCCAAACTGCTGGGATTACAGGCGTGAGCCATATTGACTGGCCTGGTTTTATATTTTCAAAGCATTTTCACAGCCATTCCCTCTCTTGGTCCTCACAAGAGTTTAATTAAGCAACTGCATCATATGCTTGAGCAAAGGGAATTCATAGAGGTGTGTGACTTGTCCAAGGATACGTAGTGCCCAAGCCCAGGGGTTTGAGTCTCATACCATCACCCTCTCCTTCTATCACGGGCCAGGTCTGCCCAGGTGGGTCACAGAGAGCTGTGGGCCCCTGCCTTGGCTTGTTTTTTTTTTTGTTTTTTTTTTTTAATTGATCATTCTTGGGTGTTTCTCGCAGAGGGGGATTTGGCAGGGTCATAGGACAATAGTGGAGGGAAGGTCAGCAGATAAACAAGTGAACAAAGGTCTCTGGTTTTCCTAGGCAGAGGACCCTGCGGCCTTCCGAAGTGTTTGTGTCCCTGGGTACTTGAGATTAGGGAGTGGCGATGACTCTTAAGGAGCATGCTGCCTTCAAGCATCTGTTTAACAAAGCACATCTTGCACCACCCTTAATCCATTCAACCCTGAGTGGACACAGCACATGTTTCAGAGAGCACAGGGTTGGGGGTAAGGTCACAGATCAACAGGATCCCAAGGCAGAAGAATTTTTCTTAGTACAGAACAAAATGAAAAGTCTCCCATGTCTACTTCTTTCTACACAGACACGGCAACCATCCGATTTCTCAATCTTTTCCCCACCTTTCCCCCCTTTCTATTCCACAAAACCGCCATTGTCATCATGGCCTGTTCTCAATGAGCTGTTGAGTACACCTCCCAGACGGGGTGGTGGCCGGGCAGAGGGGCTCCTCACTTCCCAGTAGGGGCGGCCGGGCAGAGGCGCCCCTCACCTCCCGGACGGGGCAGCTGGCCGGGCGGGGGGCTGACCCCCACCTCCCTCCCGGACGGGGTGGCTGCCGGGCGGAGGGGCTCCTCACTTCTCAGACGGGGTGGCTGCCGGGCGGAGGGGCTTCTCACTTCTCAGATGGGGCGGTTGCCAGGCAGAGGGTCTCCTCACTTCTCAGACGGGGCGGCCAGGCAGAGACGCTCCTCACATCCCAGATGGGGCGGCAGGGCAGAGGTGCTCCCCACATCTCAGATGATGGGCGGCCGGGCAGAGACGCTCCTCACTTCCTAGATGGGATGGCGGCCGGGCAGAGACGCTCCTCACTTTCCAGACTGGGCAGCCAGGCAGAGAGGCTCCTCACATCCCAGACGATGGGCGGCCAGGCAGAGACGCTCCTCACTTCCCAGACGGGGTGGCGGCCGGGCAGAGGCTGCAATCTCGGCACTTTGGGAGGCCAAGGCAGGCAGCTGGGAGGTGGAGGTTGTAGCGAGCCGAGATCACGCCACTGCACTCCAGCCTGGGCACCATTGAGCACTGAGTGAACGCAACTCCGTCTGCCATCCCGGCACCTCGGGAGGCCGAGGCTGGCGGATCACTCGCGGTTAGGAGCTGGAGACCAGCCCAGCCAACACAGCGAAACCCCGTCTCCACCAAAAAAATACGAAAACCAGTCAGGCGTGGCGGTGCGCGCCTGCAATCGCAGGCACTCGGCAGGCTGAGGCAGGAGAATCAGGCAGGGAGGTTGCAGTGAGCCGAGATGGCAGCAGCACAGTCCAGCTTCGGCTCGGCATCAGAGGGAGACCGTGGCAAGAGAGGGAGAGGGAGACTGTGGGGAGAGGGAGAGGGAGAGGGACAATGGCACACTCTTGTCGCTCTTGGCTTGTTGACTGAGTGGGGCTGGGCACATGCACACACGCTGCCAAGTACCTGCCCCCAAACACAGGAGGCCACTATATTGGTGACAGACCTAGGAAACTGGCAGAAGTTGGACACTTTCTGGTAGAAGGTGTCCTGGTAGAGACAGTTGATTGAGTGAGGAAGGACCTGTGGATATGGCTGCCGTACCTCTCGGAACTTTAGTGCAAATTCTTATTTGTTTATTTATTTATTTATTTTTGAGACGGAGTCTCACTCTGTCACCCAGGCTGGAGTGCAGTGGCACCATCTCGGCTCACTGCAACCTCTGCCTCCCAGGTTCAAGTGATTCTCTTGCCTCAGCCTCCTGAGTAGCTGGGATTACAGGCATACGCCAACACACCCGGCGAATTTTTGTATTTTTGGTAGAGATGGGGTTTCACCATGTTGGCCAGGCTGGTCTCAAACTCTTGACCTCAGGTAACCCGGCCTAATGCAAATTCTTAACTGGACTGTGGAAGCCAGGGTTTGGCAGCTGGTCTCAGAGCTTGCCCTTTGTGAACAAAGTGAGGAGAGGAGGGTTCTGTGAGGAAGGGCAGACACTCCAGCAAAAATGAGGGACTCACATGACTCCTCTGGGGTGCAGCTTGTTTAGGGGAGCTGCTCAGGCAGCTGGTGTCTTTGTGTGGAGCTCTCTCCTCCCAAAGCCAGCCTTAGAGCCCTCCCTCCACCCGGCACCAAGCAGCCATCTCCATCCCTTCAACACCTGTCTGGGAGGCCTGGAGTGGAGGATACTTGTGAATAGAAAAACAATCTCCCAGTGGGGATGTCCCACACCAGGACGATGGCTGTCCCAGCGGTGATCTTAGGGGTTCCCAGAAGGCCACCTTCTCTCTAGATGCCTTTCTTTTCCTGTGATCCTGCGAGCTGAAGTCCTGGCTACAGTTCCAACCTTACAGCTTTATCTCTAGGTTTGTGTGTTTGATTCCCATCAAAATACGGATGTGTCAGGGAACACTAGTACTCCAGGCTGCCATTGGTCTCTGACCTGAGATCTCCTCCTGGGGGTGAAGGAGGAGGGGAAAGAGGGCGAGGTTTGCTTTCAGGGGAGGCTGCGTGGCTGCTCCTCAGAACAGGAGAGGGCTAGCCCCCACAGGAGGCTCGGCAGGCTGTTCATCTTGATCGGTGCCCGCCCTGAGTCGGCTCTGGGACACACACTGAACAGATTGATGGATCCATTCCTCAAGAATAGACTAATCAACAAAGAATGAAAACTCTGTCGCAAGACAAGAAATTTCTAAAAGGCACCTTAACTGAGAAAAATTAAGAGTGCTTCCTGATGATGGTGGAGAACCGGGAGGAGGCTTGTGCTTCGTAGGTCTCCTAGCTTTGCTCTTCTTCTCTGTGGTTGGCTTAGTTTATGGATATATTCCGAAGGTCAGAATTTAAATTCTGGCTCCTACCTAAGGACTCCTTGCAGACCAAGAAATGTATAAAGGAGCAGGAGAATAACTTAAGGCCAAGGAGAAGACCAGTCCAGGGAAAGAGCCCTAAAGACTGCCTTCCTCTCACTGAAAGGCAGATAGGCTGTGATTGGGGCCCTGATACCCAGATGCTAAGAGTGGAGCAGGGGGCTGGGCGCGGTGGCTCACACCTGTAATCCCAGCACTTTGGGAGGCCGAGGCGGGCGGATCACCTGAGGTCGGGAGTTCGGGACCAGCCTGACCAACATGGAGAAACCCTGTCTCTACTAAAAATACAAAATTGGCCAGGCGTGTTGGCACATGCCTGTAATCCCAGCTACTCAGGAGACTGAGGCAGGAGAATCGCTTGAACCCAGGAGGTGGAGGTTGTGGTGAGCCACGATCGCACCATTGCACTCCAGCCTGGGCAACAAGAACGAAACTCTGTCTCAAAAAAAAAAAAAGGGCTGGGCACGGTGGCTCACGCCTGTAATCCCAGCACTTTGGGAAGCCAAGGGGGGAGGATCACAAAGTCAGGAGATCGAGACCATCCTGGCTAACACGGTGAAACCCCGTCTCTATTAAAAATACAGAAAATTAGCTGGGTGTGGTGGCATGCGCCTGTAGTCCCAGCTACTCAGGAGGCTGAGGCAGGAGAATCGCTTGAACCTGGGAGGTGGAGGTTGCAGTGAGCTGAGATGACACCACTGCACTCTAACTTGGGCAACAGAGTGAGACGCTGCCTCAAAAAAAAAAAAAAAAAATGTGGCGCAGGGAAAGGGGGAACTGAGAGCTACTGCTGGATGAGAGGATGCCAGGAAGTCCAAGGGTGTTAAGAGGAGCAGCAGGCCAGGTGCAGTGGCTCAAGCCTGTAATTCCAGCACTTTGGGAGGCTGAGGCAGGTGGATCACCTGAGGTCAGGAGTTCAAGACCAGCCTGACCAACATGGTGAAACCCTGTCTCTACTAAAAATACAAAAATTATCCAGGTGTGGTGGTATACCCCCGTAATCCCAGCTACTCGGGAGGCTGAGGCAGGAGAATCACTTGAACCTGGGAGGTGGAGGTTGCAGTGAGCCAAGATCACACCATTGCACTCCAGCCTGGGTGACAGAGCGAGACTCCGTCTCAAAAAAAAAGAGGAGCAGCAGAATGCGGCTGGTACCTCTTTTCCCCTCCACTGGCATCACAAACCAAAGGGACCATTTGCTTTCCCCAGACCTCACACAACTTCTGGCCATGAGAAGCAGCTCAGTAAATGTCAGCTGCAATCATAAGTGGTGTTTGTCCTCCGGAAGCCCCAGGTGAGTGTCCACAGTTCCCTGGGACCCTGGAGGGGCTCCGTGGCCTGCTCCTGCTGCCTGCCCTGATGTCCCCTAACACAGTCCTGGAAACGAGGGGTGCCTGGTGACTTCCAGCCTCCTCTTACGTGTTTAGTTCTGAAAGCCGCAGTTACTCCATCCCAGAAGGCACCAGCTGCTCTCTGGCCATATCTTACAGAAGGGGCAGTACAACACTGGCTTGATATTCATCTATGAACCAATTTAATTTTAATTTAAAAATGACTTCTGATCTGGCAGATGATTTGGGTTCTAGAAAGAAATTGTGCCAGGCATGGTGGCTCATGCCTGTAATCCCAGCACTTTGGGAGGCTGAGGTGGGAGAAACCTGTGAGCTCAGGAATTGGAGACCAGCCTGGGCAACGTAGCAAGACTTCATTTCTACAATAATAATAATAAAAAAAGGCCAGGTGCGGTGGTTCACACCTGTAATCCCAGCACTTTGGGAGGCCACGAGACAGGTGGATCATGAGGTCAGGAGTTCGAGACCAGCCTGGCCAACGTGGTGAAACCCTGCCTCTACTAAAAACACAAAAATTAGCTAGGCGTGGTGGCGGGAGGCTGTAATCCCAGCTACTAGGGAGGTTGAGGCAGGAGAATCACTTGAATCTGGAAGGCAGAAGTTGCAGTGAGCCGAGGTCACACCATTGCACTCCAGCCTGGGCAACAAGAGCGAAACTCTGTCTCAAAAAAAAAAAAAAAAGGGCCGGGCATGGTGGCTCATGCCTGTAATCCCAGCACTTTAGGAGGCCGAGACGGGTGGATCATGAGGTCAGGAGTTCAAGACCAGCCTGACCAACGTAGTGAAACCCAGTCTCTACTAAATATACAAAAAAAATGAGCTGGGCGTGGTAGTGAGTGCCAGTAGTCCCAGCTACTTGGGAGGCTGAGGCAGGAGAATTGCTTGAACCCAGGAGGTGGAGGTTGAGGTTGCAGTGAGCCGAGATCATGCCACTGCATTCCAGCCTGAGTGACAGAGTGAGACTCAGTCTCAAAAAAAAAAAAAAAAAAAAAGAACAGGCATGGTGGCTCATGCCTGTAATCCCAGCACTTTGGGAAGCCAAGGTGGGCAGATCACCTGAGCTCAGGAGTTCAAGATCAGCCTGAGCAACATGGTGAAACCTTGTCTCTACAAAAAATACAAAAATTAGCCAGGAGTGGTGGCGTGTGTCTGTAGTCCCAGCCACTTGGGAGACTGAGGTGGGAGAACCTCTTGAACCCAGGAGGTAGAGGTTGCAGTGAGCCAAGATCCCACCACTATACTCCAGCTTGGGTGACAGAGTATGACCCTGTCTCAAAAAAAAAAAAAAAAAAAAGAAAGAAAAAAAATTGCAGGTGTCTTCCCCTATCCCAAGAGGGTGGCCAAGTCAGCCCTGCTAGAATAGAGTGAATTCCAGTTCCATCTCTATCAGACAGTTCCTGACCATTTGGCAAGATGGTACTTCTGGTATTTCTGCTAAAAGGCTTCGCTCCCCAAAGTGAAGACCTGAGGTGTGAATGTCAGGAACAAAATGATAGCAGCATTCTGGTTTCTCATTGCAGGCTTTCGTTCCATTCTCCCTGCCTGAGCTGTTTCAAACTGTTCCAGAATGTTCCAAACAGCCTCTTCTCTCTCTTGCTGTTTTGCCTTCCTCCTTTCCTTCACTACCCTCTTCTTCAAGCAAGAAACAAAATTCAGTAGAAAGCAGCAGAAGCTCTAGGGAGACAGAAAAGTGAAAGGGGAGAAGAGTACACTTCGTCCTCCCTCTCCTAGCCTGAAGTCCTGCCTTCTCCAGGAGTCAAGAGTCAGTGAAAACAATGGTGCTGGTTTTCCTGAGAGTCAGCAGCTATGACCTGTGGTGTGAGTCAAGGGAGAAGTGTGGCCCATCCAGACTGGGAGGATTAGGGGTGAGCGGCAAGTCCACGCTGGGGTCTAAAGCGCCACTGGGGCAACACTACGGTATCCTGGCTACCTTTGGTTTCAGAGGCGGCCTCTTTGGTGGGTGCAACTGGCTTTGCAAACATCTTAGCAAGTGCAGTGGGTCTTTTCACTTGGACCCTGGGCCATAAGAACGGGGCTGGAGTCCAGGGGGAGGCCGTTCAGGGCACTCTCCCCATATAGGTGCAGGCTGTTGCGCGCGATCAGCTCCTTGGCCATGAGCACGAAGACTTCTTCTATGTTCTTTGACTCCTTGGCAGATGTCTCCAAAACGGCCAGGAGGCCGTACTTCTCAGCCAGTGTGCAGGCATCCTCGAACAGGACGTGCCGCTTTTCCCAGAGGTCACATTTATTTCCTGGAAGGAAAAGATAAGCCGATATTCCATTGAGTAACTTAATCTGGTTTCTTTCAAAATGAACTTTACAAGTAACATTTTAGTTCTTCAATAGGCATGCATGCATTCATTCACAAATGGTCATTGAGGGCACATTTTTTTGTTTCTTTTTTTTTTTGAGATGGAGTTTCACTCTTGTCGCCCAGGCTGGAGTGCAATGGCGCAATCTTGGCTCATTGCAACCTCCGTCTCCCAGGTTCAAGCGATTCTCCTGCCTCAGCCTCCCAAGTAGCTGGAATTACAGGCACCTGCCACCACGCCCGGCTAGTTTTGTATTTTTAGTAGAGAAGGTGTTTTGCCATATTGACCAGGCTGGTCTTGTACTCCTGACCTCAGGTGATCGCCTGCTTCGGCCTCCGAAAGTGCTGGGATTATAGGCATGAGCCACTGCACCCGGCCCTTGCTCCTCTTTTTACTCTCTTTTTCTCCCCCTCAAACAGCAGAGTGTTGGATGCTGTGTGAGATGGAGCTCATTTAGCTGAGTAGACTGTGATCAGGATTTGCTGGATTGGAGGTGCATAAGGGAAGACTTTGTTTTGTTTTGTTTTGTTTTGTTTGAGATGGAGTCTCACTCTGTCACCCAGGCTGGAGTGCAGTGGTGCAGTCTTAGCTCACTGCAACCTTTGCCTCCCAGGTTCAAACGATTCTCGTGCCTCAGACTCCCGAGTAGCTGAGATTACAGGCCAATGCCACCACGCCTGGCTAATTTTTGTATTTTTAGTAGAGACAGGGTTTCACCATGTTGACCAGGCTGGTCTTGAACTCCTGGCCTCCAGTGATCTGCCCACCTTGGCCTCCCAAAGTGCTGGGATTGTAAGCATGAACCACCACACCTGGCCTAAAGGACTTTCTGAGAAAGCTATAATTTACATACAATAAAAGTTTGCCTTTGATTTCCCTGAGGCAGGAATCTAAAGATAAAATTACTTTCCCACAGGATTTCTTCTACCAGACATCAAGATTTATTACAAAACTGTAGTAATTAAGACAAGCTAGACTATTGTTTCTCAACCTGGTTTTCATTCCTGTCCCCACAAGAGCCTCTGTAGATATTTTTTTCCATAATTCCCCCTTCTTCCATAAAACATGTTTAAACCTTTTATTTTGAAACAATTATAGATATATGGGAAGTCATTATATATGTATATATAGATATGTGTATATATATATATATATATACACACACATATATACACACACACATATATATATATATATATATAGAGAGAGAGAGAGAGAGAGAGAGAGAGAGAGAGGGAGAGGTCCAGTTTACCCTTCACCCTGTTTCCCCCAATGGTAATATCTTGTATAACTATAGCACATTATCAATACCAGGAAATTGACATTGGTGCTATCCACAGACTTTAATCAGATTTCCTGTCATGAGGCCAGGCTTGGTGGCTCATGCCTGTAATCCCTGCACTTTGGGAAGCCGAGGTGGGTGGATAACCTGAGGTCAGGAGTTCGAGACCAGCCTGGCCAACATGGCGAAACCCCATTTCTACTAAAAATACAAAATTAGCTGGGTGTGGTGGTGCATGCCTGTAGTCCCAGCTACTTGGGAGGCTGAAGCAGGAGAATCACCTGAACCCAGGAGGCAGAGGTTGCAGTGAGCTGAGATCGCACTATTGCACTCCAGCCTGGGTGACAACAGCGAAACGGCATGTCAAAAAAAAAAAAAAATTATCAGCCAGGCACAGTGGCTCACGCCTGCAATCCCTGCACTGTGGGAAGCCGAGGCGGGTGGATCACCTGAGGTCAGGAATTTGAGACCATCCCAGCCAACATGGTGAAACCCCGTCTCTACTAAAAACACAAAAAATTAGCTGGGTATGGTGGCACGCGCCTGTAATCCCAGCTACTCAGGAGGCTGAGGCAGGAGAATCACTTGAACCCGGGAGGCGGAGGTTGCAGTGAACTAAGATTGTGCCACTGCACTCCAGCCTGGGTAACAAGAGTAAAATTCTGTCTTAAAAAAAAAGGAAAAAAAAGTTTCTTGTCATGAAATGAATAAATGTCCCAAGCACTTATTTGTGTGTATGTTTGTAATTATACACAATTTGATCACATGCGTAGATTCCTTCAATCACCACCACAGTCAAAGCACTGAACAGTTCTATTCTCACAAAGCTCTCTTTCATGCTATTCCTTTATAACTCTCACCACCCCCGGTCCTCCGCCCCTGCTAACCACCAATCTATTCTAGTTCCAGAATATTATATAAATGGATTCATATATGTAACCTTTTGAGATTGTCTTTTTTCACTCAGCATAATTCCTCTGAGATCCATTCAAGTTGTTGTATAAATCAGTAGTTTGTTTTCTGTATACCACTAGTAGTTTTTATTGCTGAGTAGTATTCCATAGTATGCATGGACCAACATTTGTGTTTTTTTTTTTTTTGAAATGTAGTCTCTCTCTGTTACCCAGGCTGGAGTACAGTGGCACCATCTTGGCTCACTGCAACCTCTGCCTCCCAGGTTCAAGCAATTCTCCTGCCTCAGTCTCCTGAGTAGCTGGGACTCCAGGCGCATGCCACCATGCCCAGCTAATTTTTGTATTTTTAGTAGAGACAGAGCTTCACCATGTTGGCCAGGCTGGCCTTGAACTCCCGACCTCAGATGATCTGCCCACCTTGGCTTCCCAAAATGTTGGGATTACAGGCGTGAGCCACCACGCCCAGCCAAGGACCAATATTTGTTTAACCATCTACCTTATTTATTTATTTGTTTATTTGAGCAGAGCCTTGCTCTGTCGCCCAGGCTGGAGTGCAGTGGTGCTATCTTGGCTCACTGCAACCTCCGCCTCCCAGTTTCAAGAGATTCTCCCGCTTCAGCTTCTCGAATAACTGGGATTACAGGCATACACCACCATGCCTGGCTAATTTTTGTATTTTTAGTAGAGACAGAGTTTCACCATGTTAGCCAGGCTGGTCTTGAACTCCTGACCTCAAGTGATCCACCCGCCTTGGCCTCCCAAAGTGCTGGGATTACAGGTGTGAGCCACGGTGCCTGGCCTTTATTTATTCATTTTTTTTGAGACAGGGTCTTGTCCTGCCACCTGGGCTGGAGTGCAGTAGCATGATCATAGCTCACTGCAGCGTTAACGTTCTAGGCTCAAGCAGTCAGCCTCTCAAATCACTAGGACTACAGACATGCACCGCCACCCATGGCTAATTTTTTTTTATTTGGTGATGGGGTCTCACTTTGTTGCCCAGGCTGGAGTGCAGTGGAGTGATCTTGGCCTATGAAAATGTAATACCACAGATGTACTGTGTATGGCCCTTTGGAGGGCCATAAACCATTGTAATATTGAGGATATTTTCACTCCCAAGAGCATGAATGGACTAGATCAATGGAGAGGAAAAACAGCTCAGAAACAAACTCATGTATAAATGTGTACTCTACAAAAAGATGGTGCCACAGAGCAGTGGAAAATGTTGCCTTTTTTTTTTGAGACAGCGTCTCACTCTGTTGCCCAGGCTGGAGTACAGTGGCATGATCTTGGCTCACTGCAACCCCCACTTCCCAGGTTCAAGTGATTCTCCTGCCTCCGCCTCCCGAGTAGCTGGGATTACAGGCACCCACCACGACGCCCAGCTAATTTTTGTATTTTTCTAGTAGAGATGGGGTTTTACCATGTTGGCCAGGCTGGTCTTGAACTCCTGACTTTAGGTGATCAGCCCACCTCAGCCTCCCAAAGTGTTGGGATTACAGGCGTGAGCCACTGTGCCTGGCTAAGGTTGCCTTTTTAGTAAATGGTACTGAGACAATTAGATCTTTATACAGAAAAATTTTGGACCCATACCTTTCACCATACACAAAAAATCAATTACAGGTAGATCTAAATGTAAAAGGCAGAGTAATGATAATAATCAATCAATTAAACTTTAAAAGGTAATATAATCTTGATGATTTCAATTAAGAAAAAATTTCCTAAATAGGACACAGGAAGCAATCATTATTAAAGAAAAGATCAATAGATTGAAATATATTAAAATTAAGAGTGTCTGTTCATCACAATACACCATCAAGAGACGAAAAGGCTGGGTATAGTGGTTCATGCCTGTAAACCCAGTGGTTTGGGAAGCCGAGGCAAGAGGATCACTTGAGCCCAGGAATTCAAGACCAGCCTGGGCAATACAGCAAGACCCCATCTCTACAAAACATAATAAAAAACTAGCTGGGGCTGGGCATGGTGGCTCACACCTGTAATCTCAGCACTTTGGGAGGCTGAGGTTGGTGGATCACTTGAGGCCAGGTTCAGACCAGCTTGGCCAACATAGTGAAACTTCATCTTTACTCATAATATAAAAATTAGCTGGGCGTAGTGGCACGTGCCTGTAATCCCAGCTACTTGGGAGGCTGAGGCATGAGAATCGTTGAACCTAGGAGGTGGAGGTTGCAGTGAAGCAAGATTGGGCCACTGTACCCCAGCCTGGGTCACAGATCAAGACTCTGTCTCAAAAAACAAAACAAAACAACCTAACTGGACATGTTGGAATGTGCCTGTCGTCCCAGCTACTTGGAAGATTGAGGCAGGAGGATTGCTTCAGCCCAGGAGTTCGAAGCTGCTGTAAGCTAGGATGGCACTATTGCACTCCAGCCTGGGTGACAGAGTTGGACCCTATCTATAAAAAATAAAACATAAAAGGCCAGGCGTGGTGGCTCATGCCTGTAACCCCAGCACTTTGGGAGGCCAAGGCGGGTGGATCATGAGGTCAGGGGTTCAAGACCAGCCTGACCAACATGGTGAAACCCCGTCTCTATTAAAAATACGAAAATTAGCTGGGTGTGGTGGTGGGCGCCTATAATCCCAGCTACTCAGGAGGCTGAGGCAGGAGAATTGCTTGAACCCGGGAGGTGGAGGTTGCAGTGAGTCAATATCGCGCCACTGCACTCCAACCTGGGCGACAGAGCAAGACTCAGTCTCAAAAAAATAAAAATAAAATAAAAAATAAGAAAACCAAAATATTCCTTCCTTCAGGTATTTTTAAGAAGAGAGAGGGAAAAGTTACTCCACAGGGTGGAAGATGATGTTTGCAACATATGTAACTGACAAAGGGCTGGGGCCTCCTTCAAGAGAACCTAGTGCCCAGAATGCAGGTCACAGACAGCCCAACAGGACCCTAGTGCAGCGCCCTAGTGGGGACAGCACCCCATCCCCCATACCATGAGGGCACTCATGCACATCCATGCTGCAGGATGCAGGATTCGATTCCTCTATCAGGCAACCTTGGCTTTTGAGCACCCCACTGCCTGAAAAATAAACTTTCTTTGAATTGTGCTTAGTCTAAGACTCTTCCTACCTACTAAGCCATCCTTCCTCCGTTCTCTCCTTCCCAGGGGCAGGTCTACATCTCATAGAAGACTCCCTGCCTCCTTCTGCTCCTTCTTCTTCTTCTTTTTTTTTTTTTTTTTTTGATATGGAGTCTCACTCTGTTGCCCAGGCTGGAGTGCAATGGTGCGATCTCAGCTCACTGCAACCTCTGCCTCCTGGGTTCAAGCGATTCTCCTGGCTCAGCCTCTTGAGTAGCTGGGATTACAGGCGCCCACCACCACGCCCAGCTATTTTTTGTATCTTTAGTAGAGACGGGGTTTCGCCATGTTGGCCAGGCTGGTCTCGAACTCCTGACCTCAGGTGATCCACCTGCCTCGGCCTCCCAAAGTGCTGGGATTACAGGCATGAGCCACTGTGCCCAGCCCTGCTCCTTCTTCTTTATCCCTCACAGCTGTTTCTCCCAGTAAATCTCTTGCATGTCTATCTCATCCTGTCCCAACATCTGCTTCCTGGAGGACCCACACTGACACAGACTCATTTTCAGAAGATATAAGCTACTGTTAGGAATTGACAAGAAAAAGATAACAAACAGAAAAATAGGCCTTGGACTTGAAAAGTATTTCACAACAGAGGATATCCGAATAGCTAACAAACACCTGAAAAGGTGTTCAATCTCATTAATAAACAGGGAAATGCAAATGAAAAACACTAGTGATCTCATGACACACTTCTCAGGATGCATGGAAGTAAAAGGACTAATAGCACCAGATGTTGGTGAGGATGTAGAACAACTGAAACCCACACACACTGCTGATGGGAGTACACACTAGAACGACCACTCTGGCAAGTGGTTTGAGATTATCTAGAGCTGCATGACCATGCAATTTTGCTCCTGGGTATTACTCAACAGAGATGTGTGCCCATCGGCATCAATAAACATATACCAGAATGTTCGGAGCAGCAATTTTCCTAGTTGCCCCAAAATAGAAGCAACTCAAATGTCCATTGCCAAGAGAACAGAGAAATACTCTGTAGGGTGTTCTTGCAAAGGAATAGTATACGAATTATACAAAAGAATAGATTACAGCCACATGCAACGATGGATGAAACTGTTAAACAATATTGAGGGAAAGAAACTTAGGCAAAAAGGTATGATTTTGTTTATATATAACGTACAAAACAATAGCAAAACAAGACGAGGCACAGTGGCTCACACCTGTAATCTCAGCACTTTGGGAGGCTGAGGTGGGTGGATCACTTGAGGTGGGGAGTTCAAGACCAGCCTGGCCAACATAGTAAAACGCATCTGTACTAAAAATACAAAAATTAGCTGGGCGTGGTGGCACATGCCTGTAATCCCAGCTACTTGGGAGGCTGAGGCATGAGAATCACTTGAACCTGGGAGGTGGAGTTTGCAGTGAGCTGAGATCACGCCACTGCACTCCAGCCTGGGCAACAGAGTGAGACTCCATCTCAAAAAAAAAAAAAAAACAAACCACAAAACAAACAAACAAAAAACCCACCAAAACAAAACTGCAGTATTTAGGGATGTGGGCTTAGGTAGTAAAATGATTAAAAAAGAAAAAAGCAAAGAAGTGTTTATCATAAAAGCACTTGCCTTTGGGGCAGAAGGAGTGTGGAGTAATAAAGTGAAAGCTGGTGGGGGAGAAGAGTGGGCTGGCAATATTCTTTTTTTTTTTTTTTGAGACAGGGTTTCACTGTGTCACCCAGGCTGTGGTGCAGTGGTGTGATCACAGCTCACTGCAGACTCTACCTCCTGGGCTAAAGCAATCCTCCCAATTCAGCCTCCTGCGTAGCTGGGACTACAGGCGCATGCCATCATACCCAGCTAATTTGTAATTTTTTTGTAGAGATCGGGTCTCCCTATGTTGTTCAGGCTGGTCCGACCTCTGCCTCCCAAATCCCTGTTGGGATTACAGGTGTGAGCCCACACCCAGTCAATATTCTTCTTTTTTTTTTTTTTTAAGAGACAGAGTCTGTCTCTGTCACCCAGGCTGGAGTGCAGTGGCGCAATCTCGGCTCACCGCAACCTCTGCCTCCCGGGTTCAAGCAATTCTCCTGCCTCAGCCTCCCGAGTAGCTGGGACTACATACAGGTGCATACTGCCACGCCCGGCTAATTTTTTTTTTTTTTTTTTTTTTTTTTGTATTTTAGCAGAGACGGGGTTTCACCATGTTGCCCAGGCTGGTCTCCAACTCCTGAGCTCAGGCAATCCACCCGCCTCAGCCTCCCAAAGTGCTAGGACTACAGGTGTGAACCACTGCACCTGGCCAATATTCTCTGTCTTGACCCAGCTGGTGTTTGCTCAGCTGTTCCCTTTGAGATAAATTAATGTGTACTTTTCTTTATATACATTAATATGTCCCAATAAAAAATATTTTGAAAATCTTTTCCCATAGTCACTGTCACCAACCTGCCCAGTGTCAAAGCTGGACTTAGATCATAATGATCCCCAAAGAAGTTTAAATCCAAGACCATTTTCAGCAGACATTAGCACATTTGAGTGCTACAATAGGCTAGGAACGGGGGCCCATGGAGACCAGGCTCTGGCCTCAGGCAGCTGTCAATGCTAACAGGGTCTTTGCAGGTGTGATTAATTTGAGGATCTTGAGATGGGGAGATTATTCTGGACTAGCTGGGCAGGCCCTGAATGCAATCACAAGTAACCTTACAAGGGGGAGGTAGAGGGAGACTTGATCCCACACAGGCAGGAAAAGGTGAGGCACACAGAGCCAAAGATGGCACCAGAAGCCAGAGGAGGCGAGGGACAGTCTCCCCTACAGCGTCCAGAGGGGCACGGCCCTGCTGACACCTCCATTTCAGCCCCGCAGGACTGATTTCAGACTTGTGGCCTCCAGAACAGTGGGTGAACACATCTGTTGTTTTCAGCCCCCAGCTCGTGGCAGTTGGTTACAGCAGCCACAGGAAGCTCGTATAGCATGCACCTTCAAGAGAACCATGCGTGTGTTTTTAGCTGGTGAGCCTGAAGCTCTGGGCTGAGCTCTGCTTCTAGAAGAAAGGAATGACAGTCCCTGGTGGAAGAAGGGATGTGGTGGGAAAAGGAACCCCTGCAGCCAGGAATCTGATCTACTCCCTGCATCCCACTCCATCTGTGGATTTGATTTTTTTTTTTTTTTTAAGAGATAGGGTCTCCATCTGTTACCTAGGCTGGAGCACAGTGGCTCAGTCATAGCTCACTGCAGCCTTGAACTCCTAGCCTCAAGCAATGTGCCCACCTCAGTCTCCAGAGTAGCTGAGACTATAGGCGTACACCACTGAGTCCAGCTAATTTTTTTTTTTTTTTTTGAGACAGAGTCTCGCTCTGTCACCCAGGCTGGAGTGCAGTGGTGCGATCTCGGCTCACTGCAGCCTCTGCCTCCTAGGTTCAAGTGATTCTTGTGCCTCAGCCTCCCAAGTAGCTGGGACTATAGGCACTCACCACCACACCTGGCTGATTTTTTTTTTTTTTTGTATTTTTAGTAGAGATGGGGTTTCACCATGTTGGCCAGGCTGGTCTCAAACTCCTGACCTCAAGTGATCCACCTGCCTCGGCCTCCCAAAGTGCTGGGATTACAGGTGTGAGTCACCGCACCCGGCTTAATTTTTTATTTTTTGTAGAGACGGAGGTCTCACTATGTTGCCTGGGCTGATCTCAAGCTCCTGGCATCAAGCAATCTTCCCACCTCAACTTCCCAAAGTGCTGGGATTTATAGGTGTGAGCCACGGCGCCCAGCTGGATTCTAACTTTTATGACCTGCTCCTTCCACCTGCTCCTCCACCACAACTAGATCAACAGTGCTGATGTCCACGGGTCCACCCGCCAACAGCCAGGGCTGCACACTCTGGGGTGAGCCAGGTGCCTGGAGGAAGGGAAAGGATCTGAAGTTTGCTAAGTGCACAGTGACAGACGGCCCTGCCCCAAGGAAGGGCTTCTTCATTTTGTTAGGGAGGCAAGACAGACACACAGAACATTAAATGGCCAGACAAGAATGTACCAATCCAAGACAGCAATAAAATAACATATGCTATGGACCCGGTGAGCTGCATGAGTTGTTTGTAGTACTGGTATACAACCCCCAAATCCCCTAAACTCTGAAACTCCACTCCTGGGCAGCTGTAACCAGTGCATTTCTTGATAATTCATTTGACAGTAAAATCTGAGCTAAACTAGCTATTTGAAGTTTTTTTTTGTTTGATTGATTGATTGATTTTTTAGACAGAGTTTTGTTCTTGTTGCTCAGGCTGGAGTGCAATGGTGTGATCTTGGCTCACTGCAACATCCACCTCCTGGGTTCAAGCGACTCTCCCGCCTCAGCCTTCTGAGTAGCTGGGATTACAGGTGCCCACCACAAAGCCCAGCTAGTAGAGACGGGGTTTCTCCATGTTGGTCAGGCTGGTCTCGAATTCCCGACCTCAGGTGATCTGCCCGCCTTGGCCTCCCAAAGTGCTAGGATTACAGACGTGAGCCACTGCACCCGGCTGTTTGTTTTAAAAATAAAAATAAAGATGGGGTCTTGCTATGTTGCCCAGGCTGATGTTGAACTCCTGGCCTTAAGCAACCCCCCACCTCAGCCTCCCAAACTACTGGGATTACTGACGTGAGCCACCACACCTGGCTTGAATAATTTTTTTTTTTTGAGACAGAGTCTTGCTCTGTCACCCAGGTTGGAGTGCACTGGTGTGATCTCAGCTCACTGCAACCTCCGCCTCCCGGGTTCAAGCAAGTCTCCTGCCTCAGCCTCCTGAGTAGCTGGGACTCCAGGCGTGCACCACCACATCTGGCTAATTTTTGTATTTTTATTACAAAATAATCCGCCCGCCTTGGCCTCCCAAAGTGCTGAGATTACAGTCATGAGCCACCATGCCCAGCATTGAAGATTTTATTCAACCTGCTCTGTATGACTATTTACACATCTGACTGCATAAATAGTAATGTATTTGGCCATGCGGCATTGGCCCAGACCCTGCTGAGGGTGTTATGTAACACAGAGTACATTTTTCTAAAATCTGACAAATTCTGAACTCTGAAATATTTGGCCCTGAGGGTTTTTGTTGAGTGATTGTGGACCTGTAATATAACAGGACTTTAAGTGGAAAGTTTGGCTGAGATCTTTAGAGGGACAAATATCAGATGTTGAAGAAAGTTATGAGACAGAGCATCCAGGATAACCTACAAAAAAGGTTGGCTCCCTGCAATCCCAGCACTTTGGGAGGCGAGGTGTGTGGATCACTTGAGGTCAGGAGTTTGAGACCAGTCTGGCCAACATGGTGAAACCCTGTCTCTACTAAAAACACAAAAATTAGCTGGGCGTGATGGCAGGTGCCTGTAATCCCAGCTGCTTGGGAGGCTGAGACAGGAGAATCACTTGAACCCGGGTGGTGGAGGTTGCAGTGAGCCGAGATTGCACTACTGCACTCCAGCCTGGGCGACAGAGCAAGACCCTGTCTCAAAAAAAAAAAGAAAAGAAAAGAAAAGAAAAAAAAAGAGGTCAGGTCTGATGGAGTGAGGGTAGGAGAAAGATGGGAAGCCAGACACCCCCAGAAGAAAGCAGGGCTGGGACCTGAAGTACCTTGTGAACCATGTTCAGGAATATGTACATCATTCTAAGGGAAATGGGGGCCTCTGAGGGTTTTACATGGGGACATTAGGAGGAGCTGGGCCCCCTGTAGCCAGCTAGAGGAGGAACAGCTGTATAAATCAACATGCAATCAACCCCTGACACCGGGGTCATTCCTGTGCTGATAAAGTGGCTTCAAGGAGCTGGGGATAAACTTCTGAGACAGAAAGAAGCACGTGTATGAGGCAATGTGTGCCGGGACACTTCCGTGAGGGACAACACGAATTTTTCTGGATTCAGGCAGGGAGGCCACGAACAGAAAACAGGAAGGCTGCTGTGTCAGCCCTCTGGCATGGACACCTTATAAACTGGGAGACTAGGACACTCCAAATCATCTTTGGGGGCATTTCTAGAACCAAGGAAGAAGTGAGGCAGAGATGCTTGTTATGAAAGACAGACTAGGGTATAAATACCAAGCAAACATTCTGAGATTCCTGGAAATCCTGCAACATCCTGGCATCTGTCACCCTTCTCTGATGCATCTGTTTCACAGAGTGATTAAAGACGGAGCTGGCTGGGGGAGAGGCAGCTGGGATCCTGTGGGCTGGAGACAGGTCGCTGCCTTCAGAGATAGCACAGAGGGGCCGGGGGTGGTGGCTCATGCCTGTAATCCCAGCACTTTGGGAGGCTGAGGTAGGCAGATCATCTGAGGTCGGGAGTTCGAGATCAGCCTGGCCAACATGGTGAAATCCTGTCTCTACTAAAATAAAAATTAGCTGAGTGTGGTGGCGGGAGCCTGTAATCCCAGCTACTTGGGAGGCTGAGGCAGGAGAATTGCTTGAACCCGAGAGGCAGAGATTGCAGTGAGTCGAGGTCATGCCACTGCACTCCAGCCTAGGCAACAGAGTAAGACTCCGTCTCAAAAAAAGAGAGAAGGTAGCACAGAGGGAGGCATCTGAGGTTGGGCAGCTTCCCACTCAGCCCTGAGGAAGAACTGCCTCCACTGTGTCCTCGAGATGCATGACCTTAATACAAAGGTGGATCTGGTCCACATTCCTGGGGAAACCGCATGTAGCTTAGAACTGCTTCATTCCCAAGTGAGATGCGTGCATTCCGCCTTTCTCTGGGAGCCACCATTGCTGGGTTTCCTTTTGTCCCTGGAGGGCATGGGCTGCATCTACCTGTCCACCCCGGCCGTTTGTATGCCATGGCACAGCTCTCCCATCTTTGCTCTACTAGGACATAACAGTTGCCTTTTATTATTTATTTATTTATTTTTTAAGAGACCAGGTTTTGCTTTCTCACCCAGGCTGGAATGCAGTGGTATGATCACAGCTCACTGCAGCCTCAAATTCCCAGGCTCAAGTGATTCCCCCCACCCCAACCTCTCAAGTAGCTGGGACTATAGGCCTGTGCCACCACATCTCACTATTTTGTTTTGTTTTAGTTTTTGTAGAGATGAAGTCTCACTATGTTGACCAGGATGGTCTCAAGCTATCCTCCCGCCTCAGCTTCCCAAAGTGCTGGGATTACAGGCATGAACCACCGTGCCTGGCCCAAAGACATTCATCACAGAAATAGAAAAGATTATCCTAAAATTTATATGGAACCATGAAAGACTCAGAATAGTCAAAGCTACCCTGAGCAAAAAGAACCAACCTAGAGGAATCACATTGCCTGACTTCAAATTATACTACAGAACTATGGTAACCAAAACAGTGTGGTACTGATAAAAACAGACACATAGACCAATGGAACAGAATCCAGAATCCAGAAATAAATCTATACATCTACAGTAAAGTCATTTTCGACAAAGGTGCTAAGAACATATGTTGGCGAAAGGACAGTCTCTTCAATAAGTGGTGCTGGGAAAACTGGATACCCATATGGAGTGCAATGGTATAGTCTCAGCTTACTGTAACCTCTGCCTGCTGGGCTCAAGCAATCCTCCCACCTCAGCCTCCTGAGTAGCTGGGACTGCAGGTGTGCACCACCACGCTCAGCTAATTTTTTTTATTTTTTGTAGAGATGAGGTTTTGCCATGTTGCTTAGGCTGGTCTTGAAACCCTGGGCTCAAGCAATTTACCTGCCTCGCCCTCCAAAGTGCTGGGATTACAGGCATGAACCACCACGCCCCATCTATGTTTATGTATTTTAATGTAAATTATTGGTAAACACTTAGAAATTGCCTCTTCTTTCTTTTTAAGAACCCACTGTACCCAATAAATAGATATACCTACTAGATACCCATAAAAAATTAAAAAACAAAACTCACCTGTTCACTCTGCAGTAGAGATGTCAAAAATAAAAATAAAGGGCCAGGCACAATGGCTCATGCCTGTAATCCCAGCACTTTGGGAGGGCCAGGCAGGGGGATCACTTCAGCCCAGGAGTTCGAGACCAGCCTGGGCAACATGGCAAAACCCCGTCTTTACAAAAAATTAAAAAAAAAAAAATGGGCTGGGCATGGTGGCATCCAGCTTAAAGGCACTTTCTGAGGCCCTATCCATCACTTACACATTTTTTTTCCCCCCGACGGAGTGTTGCTCTGTCACCCGGGCTGGAGTGCAATGGCACAATCTCGGCTCACTGCAACCTCTGCCTCCTGGGTTCAAGCGATTCTCCTGCCTCAGCCTCCCGAGTAGCTGGGACTACAGGCGCCCACCACTACGCCTGTCTAATTTTTTTGTATTTTTAGTAGAGACGGGGTTTCACCGTGTCAGCCAGGATGGTCTGGATCTCCTGACCTCGTGATCCGCCCGCCCCAGCCTCCCAAAGTGCTGGGATTACAGGTGTGAGCCACTGTGCCCGGCTGCATCACTTACACTTTTAAGATTTCATTTTCCACTGTCATTAGAAACATGCAGAAAGCTGAGCATCCTCAGAGGAGAGTAAACAAAAGTTAAAAACTTCAAAAATGCCATACCAATCAGCATAATGACCACATTTGCAGCTCCATATTTCTCTATCTCATGAATCCAGTGAGGGATGGACTCGAACGTGGACCGCCGGGTGAGGTCATAGGCGATGATGGCTGCGTGGGCACTGCGGTAGTAGCTTTGGGTGATGGTGCGGAAGCGCTCCTGGCCAGCTGTGTCCCACACCTGCATCTGGAGAAGGACAGGAAGGAGAGTCCAAATCAGGGGTTCCCACAGGTAATGGGAACTCCTTCACCTACATCTTCTTAAAAACACAGTTTTCTGGGTCTCACTTCTAGATATTCAGACCCAGTAGATCTGGGGTGGGACCCAGGGATCTATTCTTTCAGTTGCTCCCTGGATGACTTGGATATCCTCCTTGGTTGGGGAACGACCATCTAAGACAAGCTTGTCCAACCCGCAACCCACGGGACACATTTGGCCCAGGACAACTTTGAATGCAGCCCAACACAAATTTTCAAACTTTCTTAAAATATTATGAGTTTTTCTGCATTTTTTTTTTTTTTAGCTCATCAGGTATCATTAGTGTTAGTGTAATTTGTGTGGCCCAAGACAATTCTTCTTCCAACATGGCCCAGGGAAACCAGAAGCTTGGACAGCCGATTTAAGGGATGCTGCTGTCAGAGAGATGGACCTATTTTTTTTGAGATGGAGTCTCGCTCTGTCGCCCAGGCTGGCGTGCAGTGGCGCCATCTCAGCTTACTGCAAGCTCCGCCTCCCAGGTTCACACCATTCTCCTGCCTCAGCCTCCCGAGTGGCTGGGACTACAGGCGCCCGCCACCATGCCCAGCTAATTTTTTTGTATTTTTAGTAGAGACGGGGTTTCACCGTGTTAGCCAGGATGGTCTCGATCTCCTGACCTTGTGATCTGCTGGCCTCGGCCTCCCAAAGTGCTGAGATTACAGGCGTGAGCCACTGCGCCCGGCCGAGAGGTGGGCCTATTTTATCCTGGGGTCTTGTGTTCTTTGCCTTTTCTCCTGACTCATCACTTGGTCCAGATTTGGGGGCTCATCTTTTGAGTCTGCCCGTGGATCTGAATACTGGCAAAGGTGATAATACTGGCCGAACTGTTCTGATTTTAAAGGAACACTCAAGCTGTTCATGTTTGGAATGTTCTCACAATAATACCTCCCAAATTAGCCACCCAAGCGGCAGCACCAATTCACACAGCCTCTCACAGTGTCTGAGGGTAGCAATTTCTTCATATTCTCATACTATTTATATAAAATTTATTTTTTAGAGAAAGTTTGCAAACATACACCAAAGCTAGAGATAATAGAAAAATGAGGCTGGGTGCAGTGGCTCATGCCTGTGATCCCAGCACTTTGGGAGGCTGAGGTGGCGGATCGCTTAAGCTCAGGGGTTTGAGACCAGCCTGGGCAATGTGGTGAAACCCCATCTGTACGAAAAATACAAAAAGGCCGGGCGCGGTGGCTCACGCCTGTAATCCCAGCACTTTGGGAGGCCGAGGCGGGTGGATCATGAGGTCAGGAGATCGAGACCATCCTGGCTAACAAGGTGAAACCCCGTCTCTACTAAAAATACAAAAAATTAGCCGGGCGCCGTGGCGGGCGCCTGTAGTCCCAGCTACTCGGGAGGCTGAGGCAGGAGAATGGCGTGAACCCGGGAAGCGGAGCTTACAGTGAGCCGAGATTGCGCCACTGCAGTCCGCAGTTCGGCCTGGGTGACAGGGCGAGACTCCGTCTCAAAAAAAAAAAAAAAAAAAAAAAAGAAAAATACAAAAATTAGCTGGGCATGGTGGCGCATGCCTGTAGTCCCAGCTACTTGGGAGACTGAGGCAGGAGGATTCCTTGAGCACAGGAAGTCGAGGCTATAGCGAGCTGAGATCATGCGCCACTGCCCTCCATCTGGGCAACAAAGTGAGACCCTGTCTCAAAAACATAAAAAAAGAACCTCATACACCTATCACCCAGATTCAATAATTAATGAGATTTTGTTACTTGCTTCATCTAGCCCTTTCTGTTGATTTCTTTGAAGTATTTTTTAATTTTTTAAATTTTTATTTATTATCTTTTTTTTTTTTTTTTTTTTGAGACGGAGTCTCGCTCTGTTGCCCAGGCTGGAGTGCAGTGGTATGATCTCGGCTCAGTGCAAGCTCCGCCTCCCGGGTTCACGCCATTCTCCTGCCTCAGCCTCCCAAGTAGCTGGGACTACAGGCACCCGCCACCAGGCCCGGCTGATTTTTTGTATTTTTAGTAGAGACGGGGTTTCACCGTGTTAGCCAGGATGGTCTCAATCTCCTGACCTCGTAATCCACCCACCTCGGCCTCCCAAAGTGCTGGGATTACAGGCGTGAGCCACCACGCCCAGCCTATTTTATCTTTTTGAGACAGAGTCTTGCTCTGACTCCCAGGCTGGAGTGCAATGGTGTGATCTCAGCTCACTGCAACCTCTGCCTCCTGGGTTCAAGTAATTTTCATGCCTCAAGCCTCCTGACCAGCTGGGATTACAGGCATGTGCCACCACGCCCGGTTAATTTTTTTGTATTTTTAGTAGAGATGGGGTTTCCCCCCGTTGGCCAGGCTGGTCTTGAACTCCTGACCTTGGGTGATCCGCCTGCCTCGGCCTCCAAAAGTGCTGGGATTACAGGCATGAGCCACCGTGCCTGGCAGTTTATGGCATTTTTGAGTACACAGAAAATTTGACCTCTTTCTTTTTTTGAGACAGAGTCTCACTCTGTCGCCTAGGCTGGAGTGCAGTGATATGATCTCGGCTCACTGTAACCTCTGCCTCCCAGGTTTGAGAGATTCTTGTACCTCAGCCTCCCAAGTAACTGGGACTACAGGCACGCGCCACCATGCCTGGATAATTTTTGTATTTTTAGTAGAGACAGGGTTTCACCATGTTGGCCAGGCTGGTCTTGAACTTCTGACCTCAAGTCATCCACCCGCCTCGGCCTCCCGAAGTGCTGGGATTACAGGTGTGAGCCACCTTGCCTGGCCACTAGAAAATTTGACCTTTTAAGGCCAGGTTTGGTGGCTCACGCCTGTAATCCCGGCACTTTGGGAGGGTGAAGTGGGAGGATTGTTTGAGCCCAGGAGTTTGAGACTGGCCTGAGCAACACAGGAAAATCCTGTCTCTACAACAAATTTAAAAAAGGAGTTGGGCATGGTGGGGTGCACCTGTGGTCCCAGCTATTCAGGAGGCTGAGGTGAGAGGATCGCTTGAGTCGGGGAGATGGAGGCTGGAGTGAGCTGTGATTGTGCCACTGCACTTCAGCCTGAGTGACAGAGCAAGACCCTGTCTCAGGCTGGGTGTGGTGGTTCACATCTGTAATCCCAGCACTTTGGGAGGTAGAGGTGGGCGGATCACTTGAGGTCAGGAGTTCGAGACCAGTCTGGCCAACATAGTGAAACCCTATCTCTACTAAAAATACAAAACTTAGCCCGGTGTGGTGGTGTGCACCTGTAAATCCAGCTACTTGGAATGCTGAGGCATGAGAATTGCTTGAGCCCAGGAGGCAGAGATTGCAGTGAGCTGAAACTGTGCTCCTGCACTCCAGCCTGGGTGATGGAGTGAGACTCTGCCTCAAGAAAACAAAAACAAAAACAAAAAGCCCTGTCTACACTCCCCCACCCCCCCAAAAAAGCAAATTTGACCTTTATATAGTTAGAGAAATGTATAAATTTGACCTTCACAGTTAGATTCAGCAGTATTTTCCTTATTGGCTTCTGGGTTCGTGTCTCATTTAAAGCCTGATTTTCCCATTCCATGATGAGAAAATAAATACTCCCATGTTTTCTTCCACTATTTGTATGATTTCATGTTTTGTACTGAAATCTTTTATTGCTCAGACATGTGCTTTGTTGTTGGGAATTCTGGCTAAAAAAGGTGGAACTGGCCAGGCGCGGTGGCTCACACCTGTAACCCAGCACTCTGGGAGGCCGAGGTGGGTGGATCATGAGGTCAGGAGATAGAAACCATCCTGGTAACACCATGAAACCCCATCTCTACTAAAAATACATAAAAAAAAAAAAAATTTGCCGGGCGTGGTGGCGGGCGCCTGTAGTTCCTGTTACTTGGGAGGCTGAGGCTGGAGGCTGAGGCAGGAGAATGGCATGAACCCGGGAGGCGGAGCTTGCAGTGAGCCGAGATCGCGCGAGACTCCGTCTCAAGGAAAAAAAAAAAAAAAAAAAAAAAAAAGGTGGAACCAGTCCCGTCCCGGTGCCCTCTGACCTTCACTTTTTTGCCGTCAATATCAAGGGAACGCACGGTAAAGTCCACTCCAATCGTGTTCTGCTGTGTCTCAGTGTAGACTCCAGACTTGAAATGCTGCACCACACACGTCTTCCCCACATTGGAATCCCCAATGAGGATAATCTTGAACAAATAGTCAAAGTTCTCATCTGCTGCCCTGGCTGAGCTGGAGAAGTGCATGGTTCTTGCCACCTAGAACAGAACTAGGAAGAAAGGATGGAATTCAGCACCAGGAACTGGGGATCCAGTACAAGACAAGACGAAGGGAGGTCATTACCTTCACAGTGCTACATCCTTGTGAGAGGACGATGCTAATGATGCTAGTCGGGCACAGAGGAGTTGTCCCCATAAGCTGACATCTGCCCTACGTGTGTTGATCTTACTTTAGGGGTGCTCTTGGAATAAAGAGGTTCTACTGCCATTCTCTGGTGGGTCCAGTGGACGGTCAACACCATCAGATAAAAGCAGTGATATATCCTAGGCCTGGAGACGAGGTGCCACATGCTCCATCAGAGTGCCCGGAGAGCAGGAGAATGGCAGAGGAAATGCCCACAGCAGTGACTCACCTGCCATTGGAGGTCCCACTAGTGTCAATTTCACCTGGGGAGAAAGATTCCCAACTGCTGTAAGACTGACCATCCAGGCCGTGCACGATGGCTCATGCCTGTAATCCCAGCTCTTCGGAAGGCCAAGGTGGGTGGATCACCTGAGGTTGGGAGTTTGAGACCAGCCTGACCAACGTGGAGAAACCCCATCTCTACTAAAAATACAAAGTTAGCTGGGTGTGGTGGCGCATGCCTATAATCTCAGCTATTCGGGAGGCTGAGGCCAGAGAATCACTTGAATCCGGGAGGCGGAAGTTGCAGTGATCCGAGATCATGCCTTTGCACTCCAGCCTGGGCAACAAGAGCGAAACTCCACCTCAAAAAAAAAACACCCAAAAAACAAAAAACTACTGACCATCCAGGTAGCTAGCAACGAGGACTGATAAGAGGTGATTGGTAAGTCAGCTTGGGGAAGAGTGACATGACCTTTTTGTTCTGTTTGGAGCCTAATTTTTTTGACCAGGAAATTAGGATTTTGAGAATATTCAAAATTAAAACCATGGCTATAATGTTATGGCATATTTTACCAAAGGCTGGTTATGGCATATTTTACCAAAGGTTTTTTTTTTTCTTTTTTTTTTGAGACAAAGAGTCTCGCTGTGTCGCCCAGGCTGGAGTGCAATGGCATGATCTCAGCTCACTGCAACCTCTGCCTTCCAGTTCAAACGATTCTCCTGCCTCAGCCTCCCGAGTAGCTGGGACTATAGACCTGCACTACCACACCCAGGTAATTTTTGTATTTTTAGTAGAGACGGGGTTTCACCATGTTGGTCAGGCTGGTCTCGAATGCCTGACCTCAAGTGATTTACCTGCCTCAGTCTCCCAAAGTGCTGGGATTACAGGCCTGAGCCATCACGCGCCGCCAGAAAATTAAGGTTTCTAATGACAGTGTTTCACAAACTAACTGATTATCAGAATTATCTGAGAGTATCATTGAAAAATATATATTTCCTTTTTTTTTTTTTTTTTTTTTGAGACAGAGTTTCACTCTTCTTGCCCAGGCTGGAATGCAATGGTGTGGTCTTGGCTCACTGCACTGCAACCTCCGCCTCCTGGGTTCAAGCGATTCTCTTGCCTCAGCCTCCCAAGTAGCTGGGATTACAGGTGCCTGCCACCACGCCTGGCTAATTTTTGTATTTTTAGTCGATACAGGGTTTTGCCATGTTGGCCAGGCTGGTTAGGAACTCTTGACCTCAGGTGATCTGCCCGCCTTGACCTCCCAAAGTGTTGGGATTACAGGCATGAGCCACCATGCCCGGCTGGAAAATAAAGGTTTTTAATGACAGTGTTTCACAAACTAACTGATTATCAGAATTATCTGGGAATATCATTGAAAAAATATATTTTTGGAGCTCATCCCAGACTTGCTAAACATATTTTACCTTGTTCTTTTAAAAATTATTTCTTAGTATTCTTTTTTTTTTTTTTTTTTTGAGACAGAGTCTCGCTCTGTCACCGAGGCTGGAGTGCAGTGGTATGATCTCAAAACTGCACTGGGCCAGGTTTTGTGTTTTGTGTTTTTAACTTTAAAATATGTTTAGTGCGCCAGGCCGCAGTCGCTCATGCCTGTAATCCTAGCACTTTGGCAGGCCGAGGCAGAAGGATCACTTGACGCCAGGAGGTTGAAAGTAGTCTAGGCAATATAATGAGAGCCCTGCGCCCCCCCTCCCCGCCCATCTCTATTAAAATAATAAGAAATAGGCCAGGGGCAGTGGCTCACACCTGTAATCCAAGCAATTTGGGAGGCTGAGGCAGGCGGATCACTTGAGGTCAGGAGTTCAAGATCAGCTTGGCCAACATGGTGAAACCCCATCTCTACTAAAAATACAAAAAATTAGCCGGGCGTGGTGGCATGCACCTGTAATCCCAGCTACTTGGGAGGCTAAGGCAGGAGAATGGCTTGAACCCAGAGGGCAGAGGTTGCAGTGAGCCGAGATCGCACCATTGCAGTCCAGCCTGGGCAACAAGAGCGAAACTCCGTTTCAAAAAACAAACAAACAAACAAACAAAAACACAAAACCAAAAACCTCTGTCTCTCTTCCCTCCCCTCCCCTCCCCTCTTGCTCTGTCTCTTCCCCAGGTGATTCTGATGATGAGCCAGGTTTGGAAAACACCAATCGACCAAGTCACCTACCTGAAACTTACTCCCACCATCAGCATCCCTGGCTTAAATGTCCACCTATGCTTAAATATCTCTGATCACAAGGAACTGACTACCTCCTGAAAAATTTCCATTTTGCACTGGGCAGCTCTCACTTCTGTGGGATTGACACCTCCCTCCATGAGGTTTCCATCTGTCTAGCTCCGTGCTATCCTTACTCTGCCAAGACACATCACATTCCTGTTCCACATGACAGCCCATCAGATATTTGAAGCAGCAAGAATATTCCCCCAAGGAGAATATCCCCATCCTCTTTAACTGTTCTTCCTGAGAGTGTGTTCGGACTCCTCATCCAATTGCTCTAAAAGTAACTGAAACCTGATCCCACTTAATGATTACATTTGATGTGCTGCAAATTGCCCCTGCCTTGTGACATCCTTCTTCACCTCTCCGTTTTACTTTGGTTTTCTCTAAAGTCATAGACAAGGACACTCTGTCTCATCACACAAGGTAAAATGCACTCAAATGTCCAATCTGCATGCAAAAACCCAGGGCTTTAAGGCGATGAAGAAGGATCCCATACCTCTCTTGGACCTCTCTGAAATCACATATGGGTAGATGATCCAGCAGACAACAGACACAATCAAACCACTTTTTTCCTGTCTGACTTTTCAACTAAAGACAGCCATTCCACTTCCGGTGTCTTGGTCTTATCACTGTAACTTGAGCTGAGACTTTACTTCCATGTCTCCCCCCACCCTCAGGAGTCCTCAGGGTTTCCACTAAAGCCCCCTTTCATTGAGCCTACAAGCCTTGCTGGGAGGCACAGGCAGCGTCCACCCCGATGATGTCCTCCCGCCGGCATCCCGCAGCCTTCGCCTTCCTGGTTCACCTGTCGCTTACCTGTCTCGCTCTCTCACCTCTGCTGGTCAGCAGGTAATGTTTTCGCTTTCTTCTGGGTTTGCTTTTCAGCCCCCCAGTGCCCCCTTCTTCCTCCTGCCTCGCTGCTTGGTGGGAAGTGTAGTTCTGGCCCCAGGTGTCGGGTTTGGCGTCCTGAGAAAGTGAAAGGAAAGTGCAATCCCTCCCACCTGCCCTGAGTCCGGAGCTGCCTCAGGGTACAAAGCGCCAGGTGAGGGCGGCCAGCACAGGGCAGGGCGCAGAGCCGGCTTTCTCACCAGCCTTCGCCGGCCTAGCGGAAAGCCCTCACAGGAAGGAACAGCCAGTGAATTAAACCAGTGCTGGCCCATACGACACTGCCCCTGCTCCTTTCTTCTACTTTACCTTGTCTTGTGGGCTTTTGCGTCCTTTGCTCTCAATTTGTCCTGGTGTCCCTTGTTAGGAAACAATTTCAGAATGTATCTCATGTAGTAACAGCGACTGTTTTGCAAAATGTTTGGGTCAGTTGTACATGTGCATATTGTACTGGGTGATGTAAAAAAAAAATTTTTTTTTTTTTTTTGGAGACAAGGTCTCACTCTGTCACCCAGGCTGAAGTGCAGTGGCACCATTCATGGCTCACTGCAGCCTCAACCTCCCGGGCTCAAGCAATCCACCTGCCTCAGCCTCCTGAATATCTGGGACTACAGCTGGCCTGAGGGTTGTTAGTTGAGATAACACCAACTAAAGGAGGATATAGATCTTAAGTAATTTATTTTATTATATATACATATTTTTTAGAGACAGGGTCTTGCTCTATGGCTCAGGCTGGAGTGCAGAGGCATAATTATGGCTCACTGCAGCCACAACATCCCAGGCTCAAGGAAGCCTCCCACTTCAGCCTCCCAAGTAGCTGGGACTACAGTCATACACCACCATGCCCCACTATTTATTGTTTTTAGAGCTGGGATCTCCCTATGTTGCCCATGGTGGTTTGACACTCCTGGGTTTGGCCAGGCATGGTGGCTCATGCCTGTGATCCCAGCACTTTGGGAGGCTGAGGTGGGCAGATCACCTGAGGTCAGGAGTTCGAGACCAGCCTGGCCAACATGGCAAAACCCCATCTCTACTAAAAATACAAAAATTACCCGGGTCTGGTGGTGAGCCTATAATCCCAGCTACTCTGGCAGGAGAATCGCTTGAGCCTGCGAGGTGGAGGTTGCAGTGAGCCAAGGTCGCGCCACTGCACTCCAGCCTGGGTGACAGAGTGAGACTCCGTCTCAAAAAAAAAAAGAAAAAAAGAGAAGAAACTCCTGGGCTCAAGTGATCCTCCTGCCTTGGCTTCCCGAAGTGCTGGGATTACAAGGCATGAAACCACCGTACCTGGCCAGATTGTAAGTAATTTAAGTCTTTGTTTTGTAGATCTGAATATCTCTTTGTGAGGAGTCAGAGAAAGGAGATGATGCAAAGAGAAGGAAGCAAAAACAAAACTAAAAGAACTTTGAAGGTATATGAGAAGAAAAAGCTGAAAAGAAAATGTCTGCCTCACTCCCTCAAAAATTCTACCATAGAGCAAAGGTTGACGTCCAGAAAACCTCAAGTTTATCAGTCCCAGATGCTGGCAGTAGAAGCATAAAGCTGAGGTGAATTTTCCTTACTATTTTTTCCCCAGAGTCTAGAACAGTAACTGCCTCCCAATGTCTATCACAGGGACCAGATTTTCTCCACTACATAGGATGTGATATGTAGGCAGTTAAATGGCATTATAGACACAATAAGCAAAATTGAAACAGAGACACCCTGTTGGATAAAATATTTACATCGGTGTCCTGTTTCCAAACTGTGGGCTGAGACCTATAAATGAGTCATGAAATCAACCTTTGTGGGTTGCAACCAGCATTTTCACAAGAAGGGATTAAGAAACAACTTCAGAATGTATCTTGTGTAGTAACAGTGACTACTGTTTTGCAAAATGTTTGGGTCAGTTGTACACATGCATATTTTACAGGGTGATGTAAAAAAAAAATGTTTTTTTTGAGACAGGGTCTCACTTTGTCTCCCAGGCTGAAGTGCAGTGGCACCGTCATGGCTCACTGCGGCCTCAACCTCCTGGGCTCAAGCAATCTTCCTGCCTTAGCCTCCTGTATATCTGGGACTACAGGTGTGCACCATCATGCCCAGCTATTTATTTCATTTTTTTGTAGAGCCAGGGCCTCACTTTGTTACCCAGACTGGTCTCGAACTCCTGGGATCAAGCAATCCTCCCACATCAGCCTCCCAAGGTGCTGGGATAACAGGCGTGGGCCACCGTGCCTGGCCTGAAATGTCTTTTTAACTGTAGGCTGGGGTCCGCAACGTTTGAGAAGCACTGAAATACAGGGCAATTTATTCACTGTCCAAGAACATTACTTCTATGATGTCTTCAGATAAATTTGAAAATATTTGTCTTACCCAAAATTCCAGTTACATATCCATTTTCAGGATACTCTCTTCTGAGTGAGATAAACTCAACACTGGCAGGTATAGCAAGAAAACAAAAGACTCTGCCAAATATTGCTGCAGGGTGAGAACCACCAGCACAATGTGGAAATCCAGTGTAGGTAAAGATTCGCCCCAAATGTGTGATCAGGAAATAAAACCTGTTAGGTGTCAGTGTCATGAAGTTCAGTGTCCAAATGTTGTCTTTCTTCTGGTAATGGTTACTTTTTTTTTTTTTTTCCTGAGATAAGGTTTAGCTTTTGTCACTCAGGCTCGAGTGCAATGGTGCGATCTTGGCTCACTGCAACCTCCACCTCCCGGGTTCAAGCGATTCTCCTGCCTCAGCCTCCCGAGTAGTTGGGATTACAGGCACCCGCCACCACGTCCAGCTAATTTTTGTATTTTTAGTAGAGATGGGGTTTCACTATGTTGGCCAGGCTGGTCTGGAACTCCTGACCTCAGGTGATCCACTTGCCTCGGCCTTCCAAAGTGCTGGGATTATAGGGGTGAGCCACCGCACCTGGGGTGGTTACTGTTTAAAAAAAAAGTCACCTGACTCAGACCCACTGAGCACTTGGAGAACATCTACAGGTAGAAAACAAATGTTACAAATATTTAAATATCCTGATGGTTTTGGAAGTCAAGGGGAGAGAGATCTTACCTCTGTCTACCACCCAACCCTCTCCACCAAGGTCACTATAAATACAAAGAGCATAGCTTGGGCTACAGGAAAGAAGGCATTCATATGTATAAATGTGTGTGTATATATACACTGTTTTTTCTTTTTTAAGAGACTGGGTCTCCCTCTGTCACCCAGGCTGGAGCACAGTGGTACGATCATAGCTCACTGCAGCCTCCAAAGGTGCGGCTGAAGTGATCCTCCTACCTCAACCTCCCTAGTAGCTGGGATTAAAGATACACACCACCACATGGCTAAGAAGGCATTCTAGCCCTGAGTGGTGGTGACACAGGTTATATACTTGAAGTATACACACACACATATATATGTATACACCCATATGTAAATATAACACAAAAAACTATGTATTTCACTCTATGTATATATATTTACCATTTTAACCGTTTTTAAGTGTACAATTCAATGGCATTAAATACATTGTTGTGCAACCAACATCACCATCCATCTCCAGGACTTTTTTGGCATCCCAAACGGAAACTCCATAGCCATTAAACAACAATTTCTCATTTCCCCTTCCCTCCAGCCATGGGCAACCACCATGCTACTTTCTGACTCTATGAATTTCACTACTCTGGCTACCTCATATAAGTGGAACTGTACTGTACTGGTCCTTTTATGTCTGACTTATTTCACTTAGCATAATGTTTTTGAAGGTTCGTCTATGTTGTAGTATGTGTCAGAATTTGCTACCTTTTTTAGGCTGAAAAATAAACGATTCACAATATATTTTTAAAAATAAAAGTAACATATTTGGCTCATTTATTTTTGCTCACCCTGACATCATATTTCTCCTTGGATGCCTAGAGACAAAACTACCACTGTATAAGGGCTAGAAACAAAACTACCACTGTATAAGGGCAAATAAAAATGAAAAATAACAGGCTTAATTCCTCTGCTGAAAATAAAGAGACTTCTCAGCCTTCTCTCTGTTCCTTCAAAATTTCTTTCTCTGTCCTTTTCGAATGTACACAAATCTTTATAACGGCGAAATGAGCCTCTTGCCAGTATCACAACTCAGAAATGTATCCTCAAGGACTTGGGGGTCATCTTTTTGAAATTCAGACGTGAGTTAGTGCCTGTATCTTCCAGTTCCTACATGAGGGTAAGAGACTAAATTAGTGGGTATGGGCGCCTTGCTCCAATTTGTAAAACTACCTCCTGCTATAAAGATATGCGAACTTTGGCCGGCTGCGGTGGCTCACACCTGTAATGCTAGAACTTTGGGAGGCCAAGGAGGGCAGATCACGAGGTCAGGAGATCGAGACCATCCTGGCTAACACGGTGAAACCCCGTCTCTACTAAAAATACAAAAAAATTAGCCAGGCGTGGTGGCGGGCGCCTGTAGTCCCAGCTATTCGGGAGGCTGAGGCAGGAGAATCCCTTGAACCCGGGAGGCGGAGCTTGCAGTGAGCTGAGATCACGCCACTGCACTCCAGCCTGGGTAACAGAGCAAGACTCCGTCTCAAAAACAAAAAACAAACAAACAAAAAGATATGCGAAGTTTAAAAAACGAACAACAACAACAAAAAGTTATGCGAAGTTTGTTTTGCTTCTGGATAAAGCCAACATGAGTGGTCTCCCCAATTACTACTATTAAGTAAGGAGGAACTATGTTTGACAAAAGGTGTTGTCAAGTTCTGTTATTTGAAGACTAGTGATTGTTTATCTTGAGAACAGGTATGTAATGGTTGTTGTGGAGATTTTCTGGATTAAGAGAAGTTTTTTTTCTTTAAAATTCGAACAAGTGTCTGTATTTTTTCCCTTTATTTAAGAAACGGTGGCGGCGGTGGTGGTGGTGGATGGGGGGCGGCTCTCACTACCTTGCCCAGGCTGGTCTCAAACTCTTGTTCTCAAATGATGCTCCTACTTCGGCCTCCCAAAGTGTTAGGATTACAGGTGTGAGACACTTGTGTTGGATTTTTTTTTTTTGGAGGCAGGGTCTCGTTCTGTTGCCCAGGCTGGTGCAGTGGAGCAATCACAGCTGCCAGCCTCAAACTTTTGGGCTCAAGCGATCCTCGCACCTCGGTCGCCCCAGTAGCAGGGACCACAGGCACATGCCACTACTCCTGGCTAATTTTAACATTTTTTGTAGAGATGGGGTCTGGCTATGTTGCTAAGGCTGGTCTTGAACTACTGGGTTCAAGTGATCCTCCCTTCTCGACCTCCTAAAGTGTTGGATTACAGGCGTGAGCCCACTGTGCCCGGCCTGCATTTAATTAGACACCTAAAATTTAGGCCGGTCAGTAGCACACTTAGCAGCACGTTACTTTTTATAAAAACAAAGACCGAATACCGCTTTTTTGAAAAAAAAAAAAAAAAAAAAAAAAAAAGGATGCACCAGTTCTCCCCATATCATTTCTTCTCTCTACCTCTCGTCTTTTGCAGCTAACATTACTGGCCAGGTCCGCAGCAGCAGAGTTCTGTGGGCTCCCAGCCTCCGCCCTCCTCGCCCTCCTCCGCGCCGGCAGGTGAGGCCGCGTGGCGGGACTACAACTCCCAGCGTGCCCCGCGACGGGAGGGTCACGTGGGCGTCCGGAAACCCTGGTCGCACCGCCAGGGGTGAGCTGGCGGCGGGGGAGGCGGGCAGCGGAGCCAAGCTGACCCGGCGAGCGGAGCCGGGGCTGGAGAGCGGCGACCACTGCGGATCTCGGGTGCGCAAGCGGTGATGCGTGGGGCCGAAGACCTGCTGGGGCGGGGGCGGGTCCAATCCGAGGGGCTTCCCGGGTCGGGAGGGCGGTGGGGAGATGTAGGTGGCGGCCCCCCTTGGGTGGGGCGCCCAGGCAGGGTCGGCCGCTCGCCCCCTCCTTCTCCTCCCTGGGCCCGGGCCTGGGGTCCCGGCCGTCACGGGGAGGCTGCGATGGGGTGGATGGGGAGGAGAAGGACCCCCGGGGGACCCTGCGGCCCGGCCCCGATCCATGCGGCAGAGGCTTTTGTGCTCCTCGCCCGCCTGTCCTCCGGCCGTGGGTCTGGGAGATTCTGACTTGATCAGAAAAGGGCTTGTCGTTCGGACCAGGGGAGAGGGGATGCTTTTCAGGTAGGTGGGGAAGGAAGCTCTTTGGAAAGGATGTATAGAGGTCAGAGAAGAAGCGTGGTCTCAGTGAGTGACTGGTTTTGTTTTCTGGTAACTAGCATGAACTCAGTCAAGGAATTTGGTCAAATTATTCGTCATTCCCTCCTTATTCTTCGCAGGGTGTGTTCTGTTTATTCTCAGTTTTGACAGGAGATAATGGGAATGTGTCCCCGGAGTT
Source organism: Homo sapiens (assembly GCF_000001405.40). Classification (NCBI taxonomy): domain Eukaryota; kingdom Metazoa; phylum Chordata; class Mammalia; order Primates; family Hominidae; genus Homo; species Homo sapiens. The sequence continues at coordinate 140,397,818 of NC_000007.14, read as the reverse complement.
TTTAGTGTTTTTTTGAAATGTAAGATGGTAGGCTATCTCGTGGTAACTCTTACTGAAAAGTTTATAGTTTATAGGGAGGAGTGGTTCCTGGGGTGAGCAAAATCATTCAGTTGTTATCTTTTTGTCCACCGGTTTATTTCTACCTTTACACAAATTTATACATACATAAATATATATAACAGTTGTTGAAGGGAATGTCTTCAGTGCTTTGGTGCTTAAATGATTTCTTTTCAGTTTGTTTGATGTTTCTTGGATACTAGGCTCTATACTAAGAACTCCATATAAATTATCTCATTTAATTAATACATGAGGAAATTGAGCTTCGGGTTGGGCGCGGTGTCTCATGCCTGTAATCCCAGCACTTTGGGAGGCCGAGGCCTGTGGATTCCTTGAGGTCAGGAGTTCAAGACCAGCCTGGCCAACATGGTGAAACCCCGTCTCTACTAAAAATACAAAGATTAGCTGGGCGTCGTGGCGCATGCCTGTAATCCCAGCTACTCGGGAGGCTGAGGCAGGAGAATCGCTTGAACCTGGGAGGCGGAGGTTGCAGTGAGCCGAGATCACACCACTGCACTCCAGCCTGGGTGACAGAGCCAGACTCTGTCTTTTTTTTTTTTGAGACTGAGTTTTTGTTCTTGTCGCCCAGGCTGGAGTGCCGTGGCACCATCTCGGCTCACTGCAACCTCCGCCTCCCGGGTTCAAGTGATTCTCCTGCCTCAGCCTCCCGAGTAGCTGGGACTACAGGCGCCCGCCACCACGCCAGGCTAATTTTTGGATTTTTAGTAGGGACGGGGTTTCACCATATTGGCCATGATGATCTGGATCTCCTGACCTCGTGGTCCGCCTGCCTTGGCCTCCCAAAGCGCTGTAATTACAGGCGTGAGCCACTGCGCCCGGCCTCAGACTCTGTCAAAAAAAAAAAAACAAAAAAAAAAACAGAAATTGAGATTCAGAGAAGCTACTTTTAAGTGGAGGGTCTTAGATTCCATACCTGGCTTGTCTCTTGAATGACACCATTCTTCTATTAGTGTTTGATTTCGAGTCTCTGCCTAAGAAGGTGACCCGGAAACAATACTTTTATAAAAGTTAAGTCAACAGTATCTTGCTGCTTTCTAGCTGTCAGGATCAACTGCCTTGTTCATTGTTTAAGGTTCTGATTTGTGCTCTGTTCATCAGTGTTAATGTCATGTCACTGCAGTGACCATTAACTTGATTATAAATCCTTTGGTAGAAGAGGGAAAGATTTTTATCTTGAAAACTAGTTGTCTTTGGAACATGTCCAAAAACAGGGAGGAAGAATGTGGTTTTGGAAACCCTGGAATAAAATGAGAGATATTTACAGATAAATGCCAAGTATTTTATGCCTGTGGTAATGAGATAATTTAAGAAGAGATAAAAATTACAGGAAGACGGATGAATTAATGAATAAAAAGGATTTATGAGGTTCAAGTAAATGGCTTCGTATGAGATAATGTGGGATAAAAAAGATACTTGTGGCTGGGTGCAGTGGCTCATGCCCATAATCCTAGGGCTTTGGGAGGCTGAGGCAGGAGGATCTATCTCTTAAGGCCAGGAATTTAAGACCAGACTGGTTAACATAGCAAGACCCTGTTTCTACAAAAACTAAGAAAATTAGCCAGGTGTGATGGTGCCCACCTGTAGTCCCAGCAACTTTGGAGGCTGAGGCAGGAGGATCGCTTAAACCTAGGAAGGAGATTGAGGCTGCAGTGAACTATGATCACGCCACTGCACTCCAGCCTGGGTAACAGAGTGAGACCCTGTCTCTGAAAAAAAAAAAAAGATAGTTGTATGAGTGTGAGCATTGAGACGCTAAACTGCAACATATACAATACTGTAAAAATGGTGAACTCAACTATACATTTAATAATTTCCCACATTCTTCTTTACACTTTGAAAACACATAATCTTTTTACTGTGCAGACATAAAAACTGAAGTCTGGGAGGTGAGTAATTGCCCATCTAATGCCCCTCTCCTTTGAGTGTGTAAGAGAACCACTCTTACCAGTAAGATGTTTTTTTTCCCCATCCTTGGTATATACCTCTGAGTTTAGGTGTGCTAGTTCTTTTATTTATTTATTTATTTATTTTTTGAGACAGAGTCTTGCTCTGTTGCCCAGGTTGGAGAGCAGTAGGGGGATCTCGGTTCACTGCAACCTCCGCCTCCTGGGTTCAAGCAATTCTCCTGTTTCAGCCTCCCAAGTAGCTGGGATTACAGGCACCCACCACCACACCTGGCCAATTTTTGTGTTTTTAGTAGAGACAGGGTTTCGCCATATTCGCCAGGGTGGTCTAGAACTCCTGACCTCAAATGATCCACCTGCCTTGGCCTCCCAAAGTGCTGGGATTACAGGTGTGAGCCACCGCACCCAGCCTATTTTTATTTTTTTATAGCTCTTTTTTTTTTTTTTTTTTTTTTTTAATTTGAGATGGAGTCTCGCTTTGTCACCAAGGCTGGAGTGCAGTGGCACCATCTCAGCTCACTGCAGCCTCCGCCTCCCGGGTTCAAGCAGTTCTCTGCCTCAGCCTCCCAAGCAGCTGGGATTATAGGTGCCCACCACCACACCTGGCTAATTTTTATATTTTTAGTAGAGACGGGGTTTCACCATTTTGGCCAGGCTGGTCTTGAACTCCTAACCTCGTGATCCACCTGCCTTGGCCTCCCAAAGTGTTCAGGTTACAGGCATGAGCCACTGTGCCCGGCTTTATAGCTCTTTTTTAATGCATGAAGGGTGTGATAGTTCTAACTATTGTATTTTATCCAGCTTGGAGTATTTTCTATTTTAACCTTTACCCTTAAATGATATAACATAGGATCTAGAATTAGATCTGAGTTGGAATGTGCACTCCATCGTTTGAGAGAGATTGCTTTCTTTTTTAAAAAATTTTATGAGGGCTGGGCACAGTAGCTCACACCTGTAATCCCAGCACTTTGGGAGGCTGAGGCAGGCGGATCACGAGGTCAGGGGTTCGAGACCAGCCTTGCCAATATGGTGAAACCCTGTCTCTACTAAAAATACAAAAATTAGCTGGACGTGGTGGTGCATGCCTGTAGTCCCAGCTACTCAAGAGGCTGAGGCAGAAGAATCGCATGAACCTGGGAGGCGGAGGTTGCAGTAAGCCAAGATCACGCCACTGCCCTCCAGCCTGGGCGACAGAGCGAGACCCTGTTTTTTTTTCAGATGGAGTCTCGCTCTGTCGCCCAGGCTGGAGTGCAGTGGTGCAGTCATGGCTCACTGCTGCCTCAGCCTCCCAGGCTCAAGTGATCCTCCCACCTCAGCCTCCCAAGTAGATAGGGCCACAGGTGTCCGCCACCACAACTGGCTGATTTTTGTATTTTTTGTAGAGATGAATGAGGTCTCCCTATGTTGCCAAGGTTGGTCTTAAACTCTTGAGCTTAAGTGATCCTCCCACCTTGGCCTCCCAAAGTGCTGGGATTATAGGCGTGAGCCACTGGACCAGACCTAGAGATTACTTTCTAATATCTGTTTTCTCATCTGTAAAACATTGAGAGAACTAAATGCAGTAATGCATGGTAGGTACCTAGCATGGTGCCTAGTACTTTGTAAGCATTCAGTGTTCTGCTGTCAGTCAACCAATTCATTGATTCAAAAAAAAACTTTTTTTTTTGATATGGGGTCTCACTCTGTTGCCCAGGCTGGAGTGCAATGGTGCAACCTTGGCTCACTTCAGTCTCCACCTACCGGGTTCAAGCGATCCTCCCGCCTCCACCTCTCGAGTAGCTGGGACTACAGGTGTGCACCAGCATGCCCCGCTGATTTTTGTATTTTTTGTAGAGACAGGGTTTCACCATATTGCTCAGGCTGGTCCCGAACTCGTGGGCTCAAGCCGTCTGTCTGCCTTGGCCTCCCAAACTGTTGAGATTACAAGTGTGAGCCATCGCGCCCGGCCCAAAAAATCTTTATTGATCGTTCTCAGTGCTCTGCTGGGTCCTGTGGATGTGGCTGTGAGACTCAGGACACAGAGAGCCACTGCTTTTATGGAGCTTACAGATGAACAGTAGACATGGAAACAATTAAACCAGATAACTGGGAGAGATGCTCTGAAGGAAAGAAATGGCGAAAGAGATGAGAGAGGTAGTAACCAGGGGAGACCATTTTAGATAGGGTTATCAGGGAGCTCACTCTAGGGGGTGACATTTCATTGACTAGCCAAGAAAAGGAAGGAGCAAGCCATTTGCCAAGAAGCAGGACAAAAACACTCCTCTCGTGGAAGAACAAACACAAAGCCCGAAGCAAGAGGAGGCTTGATGGGTTCAGGGACAGGAGAGGGATTTGGTGTGGGGAGTTGGTGTTGGTGAGGGTGGGAGGTAGGTGGGCACAGTAGAAAGGAGACAAGCTAGATCCTCACCAGGCGGCCTGGCAAAGGATTGGGAACCACCCAGCTGCCCAGTGGGGGCCTGGTTAAATATCTAAAGATTCCTTCATGTCAGTGAGGACGGCGCACGTGTTCAGCTCTGCAGGTGCTGATATGGATGGACCTCCAACCTCTGGCAAGTGAAGAAAATGCACAACAGATAGTGTGTGCTGTGTGCTTGCATGTGTGATCTTGGGGGCTCTGCCTGGTATGTGTGCAGAGGCACAGATTGTGCCCCTGAAGGAAAGAGAGAAGATGTGAAAGAAACTGGTTAGGAGATCAGGGTGGACTGAGGACACAGGAGGAAGTTGTATCCTTTGAGTTTTTTTTTTGGGACGGAGTCTTGCTCTGTCACCCAGGCTGGAGTACAGTGGCGCGATCTCAGCTCACTGCAACCTCCACCTCCTGGGTTCAAGCGATTCTCCTGCTTCAGCCTCCTGAGTAGCTGGGATTACAGGCGCATGCCACTGCTTCTGGATAATTTTTGTATTTTTAGTAGAGACATAGTTTCATCATGTTGGCCCGGCTGGTCTCAAACTCCTGACCTCAGGTGATCCGCCCACCTCAGCCTCCCAAAATGCTGAGATTACAGGTGTGAGCCACTGCACCCAGCCATATCTTTTGATTTATACCTTAGGCATATAATACCAGTTGAAAAGTAATGAAATAAAACAAAACCCAACCTCTGCAGTTTAGATATTGGCTCAGGCAGGCTCCTCCTCCATCTGTACCAACCCATCTGTCAGCCCTGTCCCTCCCCAGCCCTAAGCGTCCTATTTACCTGCAGAGGTTAGACAGGCTTTAAAGGCTGTGGCAAAGAATCTGTCTTTTTGTCTCAGTCTTGGGAAGGCAGTAAAGGGTTTTAAGCAGAAGCTGTCAAGGTAGGCAGGTAGGAGATGCTGCTGGTGGTTTATCTTAGGGCGGTGGCAGTGAGGATGGAGAGAAGAGGGTGGCGGTGAAGAGGACCAGAACCGAGAGGCTGGGGAGTGAGCTTATCCATCTGGAGGCTGGGATTTGGGATATATTTTGGAGGTGAAAAGGACTGGATTTAGTAATGGGTTGGATGTAGAAGTTAAGGGAAAAGAAGTAAAGGCTACCTCATAGTTACCTTGGTTGACTATAAGGAATGGCAGTACCTTTGCTGAGATAGGGAATACCAAGGGTTGTTGCAGGTGGTTAGCGACTATCTGGGCTGGTGGAGGTTACACGGACACCTTTCAGTCCCACTGGAGTATAGCTCCAGCCAGGACCTTCAGTTATCTTCCTGCTTAGATGCTGTCCACTGAGAGTTCCAAGTTGGGAAAGAGAAAGGGAGGGGAGAGGGTTTTCCGTAAGGAGAGTTCCCCATACAGGCCACCAAAATGTTGCAGGTGATCAGTGACTATCTGGGCTGGTGGTGTAGGCAGTGAGAAGAATTTACCAAGACAGTTATAGGTATAGAAAGGCAGATTTATTAGAGAAGGTCTGAGAGTATGTTTGCAAGGAAGCAACAGGCAGGTCAGCAAGAGAGGAGCTGACTGCAAGGAGATAAAAGCTTGCTGGAGATTTTATAGGATGGTGCTGTGTGCTGAAGAGGGCTTTGTGCAGTACAGATAACAATAAGGTTGCATTGAGCTAACTTGCATTTTTCTATCAGCTGAGTGTCTGGTGATTACTGGGTGCAGGAAGATTGTGAGTTACTTGCTCAGGAGGGGTATATGTCCTGGACCACGAAGAAAGGCAGACTTATAGTTTATCTGCTTATTCTTTTTAGTTTCCCCTGATCCCACCAGCCTGACTCCTTTTTCTCTAATTAGAACTCCACAGGGGAGGGATAGATTTGGAGGGAGAAATGAAGAGTTGTGTTTTATCTTATTGTTTAATTTTTTGAAATGGAGTCTCACTCTGTCGCCCAGACCGGAGTGCAGTGGCCTGATCTCGGCTCACTGCAACCTCTGCCTCCCGGTTTTAAGTGATTCTCCTGCCTCAGCCTCCCAAGTAGCTGGGATTACAAGGCACACGCCGCCACAACCGGCTAATTTTTGTATTTTTAGTAGAGACAGAGTTTCACTATGTTGGCCAGGCTAGCCTCGAGCTCCTGATCTCAAGTGATCTTCCTGCCTTGGCCTCCCAAAGTGCTGGGATTACAGGCATGAGCCACTGTGCCTGGCCTAAGAGTTCTGTTTTAGATTTTGGAGGGATATTAATTGGTCATTTGGATCCTGGAGGGTCTAAGTTAGAGCCATGAATCTGGGAATTGTTGACATAAAGGTATGATACCAGAGGAAGGAGGAGAGAAAGATGTTGGAAGTTTAAAAAGAGAAGTGTGAAATCGCTGTCACAGGTTGAGAAAGCAAAATTACTGGGAAGTGTGGTAGGCTTGCTGGGCAGTGTTGCATGCCCTTTGAGGTTTGTGGTTTTGAATCTAAAAAGTGAAATCAGCCTGCTTGAGTGATTTTTCTGTGGCAAAACTCAGCTGCTTTGGTGCAGGGAAGGAGGAGGACAGAGACAAGGAAGGGCACTGTAGATTCTAAGTTGGTAAGGCAGGAAATGAGGACAGGAGGGGGATGGATGAGGGAAAAACAAGGCTACTGAATTGGGAGCCTTGTTGAGGTCAGATGACTGTTGAGGTGTGGTATATTCAGGTAAGTGATCTGCAAGGAAAGGAAGTAGAAGATTTGAAATCCAGCTACCAGGCTTCAGCCTTGTGTGGGTTTTTATTGGGGGATGGAGGAGAAGGGTGGTGGTGAAGAGAACCGGAACTGAAAAGGCCCAGGAGGGAGCTTATCCACCTGGCGGTGGGGATGGAGGTTGGGTGACCATGGGACGGGAGTGCGAGGGAGATCAGTCCCTGACATCTATGGGGAACAGCAGGCTATAGAGCCCCAAGGTGTGAGTTTCAAAGAAGCTGGGGTCTTGGCAAGAAGAGAGCGGCCCAGAAACGGCCTTGGGGAACAAAGAGAACATGGAACGCTTGTGTCCTTGAGGCATGTAGGTTGGGGGAGGGAAGATTGCACCTCTTGAAAGGCCTTAGGGGAAGTGAAGGTATAGGGAGCACCCGGAGTCTTGTGAGGATATAGTGCCTGCTAACCATGTAACTAGGTTTCTAGAGAGGAAAGATACGAGGCTTGCTAACCGTGTATCTCTGTTTCCAGAGAGCATGGTCAAAAGGGCTGGGGGTGGGGTGTGTGGGAAGACTGGGCAGATGAGATGAATGGGGCAGAGTGGGTATGTGGTAGCTTCATGTATGTCATCTCTTTTACTGCTGACCACTCCCCTGCCCACTCTGCAGTAGACTTTCTTCAGAGAGTTCCTAATACGAGACAGTTGGGTTTTTTTGTTTTGTTTTGTTTTTTGAGGCAGGATTTTCCTCTGTCACCTAGGCAGGACTGTGGTGGCATCATCATAGCTCACTGTAGCCTTGAAGGCCTGGCCTCAAGTGATCCTCCTGCCTCAGCCTCCCCAGTAGCTAGGACTACAGTGCATGCCACCCCATCTGGCGAAATTTTAAATTTGTTGTAGAGACGGGGTCTGTTGCCCAGGCTGATATTGAACTACTGGCCTCAAATGATCCTCTTGCCTTGGCCTCTGAAGAACAGCTTTGAATTTGGGTTGGAAAGGACTCTAAATACCACTATAGAAAGTGAAATTAGAAATAATAATTGGGGGAAATTTTATATCCCAAAGCAGCGTTGTAGAAGGCAGCGTTGCCTTCCACCTGGACGTGTTGCTGCAGTGCGAAGTCATCTTTTACTTAGCAGTGATTGCGCACTATTGTAACCGCCCAGTGGGTTCACCTTGCCTGCTGCCTAGACAGAGCCAATTTATCAAGACAGGGGAACTGCAATGGCAAAACAGTGGTTCTCACAGAGCCGGCTTTGCAGGAGATGGGAGTTTTATTATTACTCAAATCAGTCTCCCCGAGCAGTCGGGGATCAGAGTTTTTAAAAATAATTTGGCGGGTAGGGGCTTGGGAAGTAGGGAGTGCTGATTGGTCAGGTTGGAGAAGGAGTCACTGGGGGCTGAAGTGAGTCTTTCTCTCTGTCTTCTGTTCCCTGGTGGGATGGCAGAGCTGGTTGAGCCAGATTACCGGTCTGGGTGGTGTCGGCTGATCTATCGAGTGCAGGGTCTACAAAATATCTCCAGCACTGATCTTAGGTTTTACAATAGTGATGTTATCCCCAGGAGCAATTTGGGGAGGTTCAGACCCCAGAGGTTGCATGACCCCTAAATTGTAATTTCTAATCTTGTAGCTAATTCGTTAGTCCTGCAGAGGCAGACTGGACCCCAGGCAAGAAGGGGGTCTGTTATCAGTTTTGTTTCAGTGTCAAACCATGAACTGAATTCCTTCCTAAAGTTAGTTCAGCCTATGCCCAGGAATGAACAAGGACCTTCCTTAAGGGTTAAAAGCAAGCTAGAGCCAGTTAGTTCTGATTTCTTTCACTGTCATAATTTCCTCAGTTATAGTTTTGCAAAGGCGGTTTCACTATTGTGTTCCATTCTGGAAATTACCATTTTTAATGGGTAGTCTTCTAGGACTAAGAAAAACTTCACTATAAAAATCACAAGTTAGTGATTGTGAACTTGCTTTGGAAAGTAGAAGATGGCTTAATGGTTCTGGATTTTTTTTTTTTAAAGATGGAGTCTTGCTCTTGTTGCCCAGGCTGGAGTGCAGTGGCATGATCTTGGCACTGCAACCTCTGCCTCTCAGGTTCAAGCGATTCTCCTGCCTCAGCCTCCTGAGTAGCTGGGATTACAAGCGCCCGCTACCACGCCCAACTAATTTTTGTATTTTTGGTAGAGACGGGGTTTCGCCATGTTGGCCAGGCTGGTCTCGAACCCCTGACTTCGTGATCCTCCTGTCTCAGCCTCCCAAAGTGCTGGGATTCCAGACGTGAGCCACCATGCCTGGCCAATGGTTTTCTGGATTTTATTTGATGGCAAGAATCTTGCCAGTATTTTTTTTTTTTTCTGGAGAGAATGGAAGCAAAGGAATCCTTTCTCTTTTTTTTGGTACAGGGTCTCACTCTGTCGTGCAGGCTGGAATGCAGTGGCACAATCTCGGCTCACTGAAACCGCTACCTCCCAGGCTCAAGTGATTCTCCCATCTCAGCCTCCTGAGTAGCTGGGACTACAGGCACGCACCACCACACCTGGCTACTTTTTGTATTTTTTCTGGAAACGGGGTTTTGCCATGTTTCCCAGGCTGGTCTCAAACTCCTGGGCTCAAGTAGTCCTCCCACCTCGACCTCCCAAATTACTGGAATTTCAGGCATGAGCCACCATGTCTGTCCAGAATCTTATTTTTAACAAGGATTTTTTTTTTGTCTTTTAAAATAATTCTAATGGGGGTTTGGGGAGATGTTGGCCAAAGGATACAAAATTTCAGTTAGGAGGAATAAGTTGAAGAGATCTATTGTACAATATGGTGACTATAGGTTTTGCTTTTTTGAGACAGGCCCTCACTCTGTCACCCAGGCTGGAGTGCAGTGGCACAATCACGGCTCACTGAGCCTCTAACTCCCAGGTGATCCTCCCATCTCAGTCTCTGGAGTGGCTGGGACTATAGGCTTGTGCCATCACACCCGACTAATATATATATGTTTATATATAATATATATAATATATTTATATTTATGTATAATATATATAATATATTTATATTTATGTATAATATATATAATATATTTATATTTATATAATATATAGTATATTTATATAATATATATAGTATATTTATATTTATATAATATATATAATATATTTATATATAATATATTTATATTTATATAATATATATATTTATATTTATATAATATATATATTTATTTAGATGGAGTCTCAGTCTTTTGCCCAGGCTGGAGTGCAGTGGCGTGATTTCAGCTCACCGCAGCCTCCACCTTCTAGGTTCAAGTGATTTTCGTGCCTCAACCTCCCGAGTAGCTGGGATTACAGGCGTGCATCACCACGCCCGGCTAATTTTTTGTATTTTTAGTAGAGATGGGGTTTCGCCACATTGGCCAGGCTGGTCTCGAACTCCTGACCTCAAGTGATCCACCTGCCTTGGCCTCCCAAAGGGCTGGGATTACAGGTGTGAGTCACTGCACCCGACCTGGCTAATATTTTTGTATTTTTTTGTAGAGATGGGGTTTTGCTGTGTTGCCCAGGCTGGTCTGAGACTCCTGAACTCCAGCAATCCACCCGCCTCGGCCTCCCAAATTGCTGATATTACAGGCCTGTGAGCCACTGTGAGCCACTGTGCCCTACCGGTGACTATAGTTAATGACAATGTACTCGATTTTGAAAATTGCTAAAAGAGTAGATTTTAAGTTTTCTCACCATAAAAAATAAGTAGTGAGGTAATGGATTTATTAACTAGCTTGATTGAGTCATTCCACAATGTGCACATATTTTAAAATGTGTTGTACATGATAAATATATATAATTGTATTTGTCAATTAAAAATACTATAATGTTAAAATTCTTGTTGCTGACAAATATCGGTTGATAATTGTGTATTCAGTATTCATTAATAGAGTCTACAACCATACCTGCATACCACCCTGAACATGGCCTGCCTTGTCTGACTTTGGAAGCTAGGTATGGTGGGGTCTGGTTAGTGCTTGGGTGGGACACTGCCTGGGAATACCGGGTGCTGTAGGCTTTAAAAAATAAAAATTCACCGATTGAGAAAATACTAAATGACAAGCTACAGTGAATTCAGAAACACTGAAATGAAATTTGGTTTTGAAATTTGGTTTTATTAATTATAACAGCATTTACACATACTTGAAAAATGTTACACATTTGTTCAGTGTGTATTTAGAGTGGTAAAGAGAGTATTCTTCAAAAAGTAGGATGTGCTTGATGGACTCAGACTTGACAAAAACTCCTGTACACCCCAGGGTCCCTGAGCTCATGGATGATTGGAAATCACTTCTGTGATAGATAGGATACATGTGCAAGGTATTATTATTATTATTATTATTATTATTGTAATTGCATAGGACCAAATGTCGTAGTATTCGTCTTAAATGTCATTATGCACACAGCAGGTGAATGTTTAAAACTATTTTCCTGGGCGAGGTGGCTCACGCTTGTAGTCTCAGCACTTTGGAAGGCTGAGGCGGAAGGATTCCCCGAGGCCAGGAATTCAAGACCAGCCTGGACAACATGGCAAAACCCTGACTTAACATAAATACAAAAAATAAGCTGGATGTGGTGGCATGTGCGCCTGTATTCCCAAAGAATTGCTTGAGCCTGAGAGGTCAAGGCTGCAGTGAGCTGAGGTTGTGCCACTGCACTCCAGTCTGGGTGACAAAGTGAAACCTTGTCTCAATAAATAAATAAATAAATAAATAAGGCCAGGCATGGTGGCTCACACCTGTGATGCCAGCACTTTGGGAGGCCAAGGTGGGTGGATCATCTGAGGTTAGGAGTTCGAGACCAGCCTGGCCAACATGGTGAAACCCCGTCTCTACTAAAAATACAAAAATTAGCCAGGCATGATGGCGGGCGCCTGCAATGCCAGCTACTCGAGAGGCTGAGGCAGGAGAATCTCTTGAACCTGGGAGTTGGAGGTTGCAGTGGGCCGAGATCGTGCCACTGCATTCCAGCCTGGGCAACAGAGCCAGACTCTGTCTCAGAAATAAATAAATAAAAGAAAGAAGAAAATAAAGCCTACTTTTCCAATGTGCTTATTAAGCCTTTTCTCCCCAATCATTATAGCTTAGGAAAAGATGGTCTATTTAGAAACTACATCCAAATGGCCTCAAATGTCTTGGTAGTTTTTTAAAGCTATTAATATAACTGTACAGCCCTAGGTTATGCAGCTCTATTGCCAATGTACTGTAATTTCAATCTGTTGGAGCATTTATTTTTGGAATTATGATTTTACATGATACATCATTGAATTTCATATCCCATGCCCTTTCCTGGAGTACATACTACAGTGTTTTGAGGTGGGAAGGTGTCCAGTTCAAAGAGCTACGATTCATAGAGAATGATTAAAGTTTTGAGTTTTTCCACTTGGGTTTCATGTTTAATTTTCAGGATGGAAGTAAATTTAGTCATAACACTAGTAGTTCTTGTTTTTGTAACTTCCTGGAATTACAGACAGGAAGTTTATTTACATTTTGTGAGTGGAATTTTATAGTCCTACTCTGCATGTAATTTTATTAACATTTCCCAAGAAGAATGACTTTAAAATGAAATTAGCTAAATTCTACTGATTTGGAATTAATCCTTGGCAGATCAGTGGCTAATATAATTATCTGAATATGTCACATACATTGTTACTTTTAGCCTTACAACTCTCAAATGAAATAAGCCATTTTATGGATGACCACTTATGATTTATAGAGCATGGCTTGTCCCAGGGGCTAACAGCTAGTAAGGAAAACAACTGTCATGTGTACATAATTGTAACCACCTCAACTTTGTTTCTTTTATCTACAAGTTGCAAGAATGGCCTTTCTGCTGGGTCTCTTAGTCTTTAAGGTTTGGGTGCATCTGTTGAGCTGTGGCTAGTGAAAATAAGTAGTGTAACAGTTCCAGTGAACATAGATCTGAGAGCCAAGCCCTGTGATTCTTTCTTGAGTATTGGAGCTCTTGAATGTGTTCCCTACCTTGACTACTGTTGTAGATTTATCATACAAGCCATTTTGTGGATTTTTTCCCTTGAATATGAGGATAAATTACATTACTTTTTTTGGTGCGGCGGGGGGCAGGCAAGGTCTTACCCTGTGGTACAGGCTGGAGTGCAATGGTGCGATCATAGCTCCCTGCCTCCTTGAACCCCTGGGCTCAAGCAATCCTCCTGCCTTAGCCTCCTGAGTAGCTGGGACCATAGACATGAGCCACCACGCTTGGCTGTTGTTTTTTTTTTTTAGTTTTTGTAGAGATGGGGTCTCACTATGTTGCCCAGGCTGTTCTCAAACTCTTGGACTTAAGTGTTCCTCCCACCTTGGCCTACCAAAGTGTGGGGATTACAGGCATGAGCCAACATGCCCAGCCTAAAATATAGTACTTTTCTAATGCTGTGGGTGTTTCCCTTCCATTATAAAAATTATATAGATGTTTATTATAGGCTTTTTAAGAAAGTATATAGAAGAAAATTAAAATTATCCATCATTTCACTACCCGGAGAGAACTACTATATTCCCTATTTATTTGTAAGTATTATGTGAACACAGTTAATTAGATTTATAACCGGCTCCCACTTTTTTTCACTTGACATTTTCTCATGTCATTAAAAAGTCTTCGTGACAAATGATTATAAATGATTCAGCCATTCAGACATACCATAATTTATTTAATTATTCCCCTATTGTTGTATATTTGGATTGGTTCTGCAGACTCATAACTGGAGACATTAAGTTTAGCTGCTTACTTTATGCGTAATTGTTCTTGGATATCAGAGCATGGGTGCAGCTTTTAGAGAGTACAGTCAAATGAAAAGGCATTGGGGCCAGGCACAGTGCCTTATGCCTGTAATCCCAGCACTTTTGGAGGTCAAGGTGGGCAGATCACTTTGAGCTCAGGAGTTCGAGACCAGCCTGGGCAACATGATGAAACCATGTTTCCACAAAAAATATAAACATTAGCCAGGCATGGCGGCTCATGCTTATAGTCCCAGCTACTTGGGAGGCTGAAGCTGGAGAATCGCTTGAGCCTGGGAAGCGGAGGTTGCAGTGAGTCGAGATCGTGCCACTGTATGCCAGCCTGGGTGACAGAGTGAGACCCTGTCTCAAAAATTAAAAAAAAAGCCACTGGAAGTAGTGGAAGGAGATGGCAAGGGGTGGCCTGACCTCTTTCTCTGTTTCTTTGACACAAATTTTTTCATTTTGGGGAGATACTGGGGGGCAGACAGGGGTTAGGCAGCTTGCCCAGAGTCTTGCAGTGGGACCTCACCTCAAGGCAATAGAAGATCATTTAGAACATTGTATTTAATCATTTTGTTTTGTTTTGCTTAGAGTCAGGGGTCTCACTTTGTTGCCCAGGGTTGACTGCAGTGGCGTGATCATAGCTCACTGTAACCTCGAACTCCTGGACTCAAGGGATCTTCCTGTCTCAGCCTCTCCAGTAGCTGGGGTACTACAGGTGTGAGCCATTGTGCCCAGCTCCTTCTTTCTTTTAATATTAAAAATCTCCTCCAACACTTTGTGAAAAATACTTTTGTTTATAGGCCTAAACACATCTGTATTTTTTAAGGAATAGATCCCTGGAAATTCTTTTTTTTTTTTTTAAGTGAAAGCAAGCTTATTCAAAAGTAAAGGAATAAAAGGGCAGCTACTGCATAGAGAGAGCAGCCCAGAAATTGAATTTTTGTGTCAAACACTCTTGATGAACATGGCTAGATTGTCCTCCTATGATATTATACTAATTTTTACTTCTTTCAGTAGCATATGGGAGTTCAGGAACCATTATACCCTGAGCTGCATTGAGCACAATCTTCTTTAACTATCCAAACGCTTTCTTGCCTTAATTACATTTCTAATATTACTAGTGGGATTGAACTTTTATTTCTCAAGTTTAATAGCCATTTCATTTCTTCTGAGTTGTCTATTTCCTTTGCTCATTTTTTCTATAAGAATGAGTGATTTTCTTATCAGTTTGTATGAGCTCTTTCTATTAAGATATAATCTTTTGTCCAGGATTTTTTTTTTTTTTTTAAGAACTACCTAATAGCTTTAACATAATTACTAATCCAGTTTTCTGGTGTCAACTAGGCCATAAGATTTTTTTCCCACAAGGCCTGATTATATGGTGACTGTAAATCTAAATAATACAGTTTTTGGATACTCTGCCTATGTTTAATAATGTCCATAATGTGTTTTGTCTTTCCAGAAGGAAGAAATGATGTAAATCACTCATCCAAACCTTAAGGTCAAAGGTGAGAAGGAAGGTCAGGAAGAACATGGCCTGGCCAAATGTTTTTCAAAGAGGGTCTCTGCTGTCCCAGTTCAGCCATCATCATGTTGTAGTGTTCCTGCTCACTTTCTTCAGGTAAGCATGTTGCCAAAGCTGCTCTCCTGCTTTTTTTCTTTTTTCTTTTGAGGGAGATATTGCATGGCAAGTGTCAAATGCACTGATGGGCATACACTTATAATGTTAGTTATTCCTTCTGTTGTAGTCTTGATAGCTGTAATATCGTAGTTCTGGAGGGCTGTTTTGCCCTCCAGAGGACATTTGGCGGTGTCTAAGATAGTTTTGGTGGTCATGAGGGGAGAGGAATGCTACTTGTAGTTAGTGGTGGAGACCAGGGATGCTACTAAACGTCCTCCCATGCACAGGACAGCTCTCCACAACAAAGAACGTTTCATCTGCAAATGTCAACAGTGTGGAGGCGGAGAAGCCCTGATCTATTTTTTTTTTTATTTTGTACTTTTTTTTTTTTAAAAAACATATCTCACTTTTTTTTTTTTTTTTTGAGACGGAGTATCACTTTGTCGCCCAGGCTGGAGTGCAGTGGCATGACCTCAGCTCACTGCAACCTCCGCCTCCTGGGTTCAAGCTATTCTCCTGCCTCAGCCTCCCGAGTAGCTGGGATTACAGGTGCGTGTCACCATGCCCGGCTACTAAATAGAGATGGTTTCACTGTGTTAGCCAGGATAGTCTCAATCTCCTGACTTCGTAATCTGCCCACCTCGGCCTCCCAAAGTGCTGGGATTACAGGCGTTTATTTTCATCACCCTGTTTGGAGAGAGAAGTCCTCTATTTGTTAAAAGCAGGAGCTGGAGAACAAAGGTGATCTTAAGTGGTTCTCTTAGTAACATAGCATACATCAGGCCATTGGGTGTTAGAGGCATGCTGTAAGTGACCTTGTTACTCAGCTTTTTTTGACATTTCTGCTGAGTAGATTTTGTTTATTAATCTTTATGAAAGGCGCCAGAAATAATGATTATTTATTTATTTATTTGAGATGGGATCTCACCCTGTCGCCCAGACTGGAGTGCAGTGGTGTGATCACGGTTCACTGCAGCCTCGAACTCCCGGGATCAAATGATCTACCCGCCTCAGCCTCTTGAGTAGCTGGGACCACAACCATGAGCCACCATGCCTGGCTTATTATTATTTTTTATTATTATTATTTGTAGAGATGAAGTCTTCTTATGTTGCCTAGGCTGGTCTTGAACTCCTGGGCTCAAGCAATCCTCCCACCTCAGCCTCCCAAAGTGCTGGGACTATAGGCGTGAGCCACCGTGCTTGGCTCATCCTTTTTTTTTTTTTAAAGAGAAGAATTCTTGGCCAGGCACGGTGGCTCATGCCTGTAATCCCAGCACTTTGGGAGGCCGAGGTGGGTGGATCACCTGAGGTCAGGAGTTCGAGACCAACCTGGCCAACATGGTGAAACCCCGTCTCTCCTAAAAATACAAAAATCAGCTGGGCGTGATGGCACGTGCCTGTGATCCCAGCTACTCGGGAGGCTGAGGCAGGAGAATTGGCTTGAATCCAGGAGGCTGAGTTTGCAGTGAGCTGAGATCACAGCACTGCACTCCAGCCTGGGCAACAGAGCGAGACTCTGTCTCAAAAAAAAAAAAAAAAAGAAGAAGAAGAATTCTAAAATTGTTCAGTGTCATGCTTATAATCCTGGCAATTTGGGAAGCCAAGTGGTGGGAGGATCGCTTGAGCCCAGGAGTTTGAGACCATCCTGGGCAACATAGCAAGACTCTGTCGCTGCAAAAAATACAGAAATTTTTGTAGCCTGAGTAGCCTAAGTAGCTAAGATGACAGGTGCACTGGGCGTGGTAGAGTGCCCCTGTAATCCCAGCTACTCAGGCTGGGCTGGGAGGCTGGCTTGAGCCCAGGAGGTGAAGCCTAGTGAGCTATGATCATAACTGCACTCTAGCTTGAGTGACAGAGCGAGATCCTGTCTCAAAAAATAAAAAGAAATAAAATTGAGAGAGCCTCTCTGAATCTATTTTGGTTCAGGTGGCTGCCCACCAAATAAAATAAAATAAAATTGAATAAAAGAAATGGGCCTATACCTGTGATTTTATTGAATGCTGTTTCTCTTTGCTATTCATTCATCTGTATTCTCTCTATTTTGTAGTTATTCGTTGCTCCATGCTTCACGAAAAACATTTAGCAATGTCAAAGTCAGTATCTCTGAGCAGTGGACCCCAAGTGCTTTTAACACGTCAGTTGAGCTGCCTGTGGAGGTAAGCAGAACAGAGTGCTGGGATGGATCGAAGTAGGAGACCGTGCCCACCCCTAGATTGTTCTTAAGCTCTTTTTTGCATCTTTTACTTGCCTAGACTCTGAAATGGCTCACTGTTTCCTATCACATAAGAGCCAAACTATTCTAATTTCAAAGCCTGCTCTGACTCAGTCCCATTTTACCTCTCCAGCCGGCTTGTTTCTAACTGTTGAGAAATCACACCTTTTGACAAGGCTGTTTTTTCACTGGCTTTCGTTAGTGCTGTGCTCGTTTCTGTCTTTGAGATTTTGCACATTATCTTTTATGTGCTCTTTTGCCCTTTTCCACCTATTTAAAGTTTGCCTTTCTCTTTGTGTCAAGATAAAATATCACTTTTTTTTTTTTTTTTAAACAGAGTATCATTCTGTTGCCCAGGCTGGAGTGGAACGATCTCTCAGAAAACATCTCTGCAACCTCCACCTTCTGGGCTCAAGCGATCCTCCCACCTCAGCCCCCTGAGTAGCTGGGACTACAGTCGCGCACCACCATGCCCAGCTAATCTTTTTTTTTTTTTGTAGAGATGGGGTTTCACCACGTTGCCCAGGCTGGTCTTGAACTCCTGAGCTCAAGCAATCCACCCGCCTTGGCCTCCCAAAGGGTTGGGATTATAATGTGAGCCATCACGCCTGGGTAAAATGCCACGTTTTCAATCAAGTTTTTTCCCAACTTCTGATTTTTCCCTTCACTAAACTCTTGTACACTGTCTTGCATATTGTAATGTCTTGGTATTTCAATATTTTCTAATGGTTTCTTTTTTTTTTTTTTTCTTGAGACAGAGTCTCGCTGTGTCGCCCAGGCTGGAGTGCAGTGGTGCGATCTCAGCTCACTGCAAGCTCCGCCTCCCAGGTTCACACCATTTTCCTGCCTCAGCCTCCCAAGTAGCTGGGACCACAGGTGCCCGCCACCACGCCTGGCTAATTTTTTTTGTATTTTTAGTAGAGACGGGGTTTCACCATGTTAGCCAGGATGGTCTCGATCTCCTGATCTCATGATCTGCCCGCCTCGGCCTCCCCAAGTGTGGGGATTACAGGTATGAGCCACCATGCCTGGCCTGTTTCTTTTTTTAATTTAAATTTTTTTGTAGAGACAGGGTCTTGCCGTGTTTCCCAGGCTGGTCTTGAACTGGGCTCAAGCAATCTTCCTTCCTTGGCTTCCCAAAGTTTTAGGATTACAGATAGGAGCCACTGTGCCCAGCCTGTTTCATTTGTTTGTATCTTGCTTACGTGCCTTGAAGTCAGGCGTGATCTCGGCTCACTGCAACCTCCACCTCCTGGGATCAAGCGATTCTCCTGCCTCAGCCTCCTGAGTAGCTGGGATTACAGGCATGCACCACCAAGCCTGGCTAATTTTTGTATTTTTAGTAGAGAAGGGGTTTCGCCATGTTGGCCAAGCTAGTCTAATTCCTGACCTCAAGTGATCTGCCTGCTTCGGCCTCCCCATAGTGTTGGTATTACAGGCGTGGGCCACTGCGCCCGGCCAGAATCATAAATCTTTTTTTTTTTTTTTGTGAGATGGAGTCTTGCTCTATCGCCAGGCTGGAGTGCGGTGGCATGATCTCGGCTCACTGCAACATCCGCCTCCCGGGTTCAAGCGATTCTCCTGCCTCAGCCTCCTGAGTAGCTGGGACTACAGGCGCATGCCACCACGCCCAGCTAATTTTTGTATTTTTAGGTAGAGACAGGGTTTCACCATGTTGGCCAGGATGGTCTTGATCTCTTGACCTCGTGATCCTCCTGCCTCGGCTTCCCAAAGTGCTGGGATTACAGGTGTGAGCCACCGCTCCCGGCCCAGAATCATAAATCTTAAAGATGGAAGTGGTCTTAGAGAGATCACGTACCCTAACCTCCCAGATTGGAATCTTTCTTTGTCATTCTTGGAAGATAATCATCCAGCTTCTGCTTCAGTAGTTCCAGGCAGAAGAAACTCACTGTTGTGTGAGGTGGATGCTTACATTTTTATTCAACTTTTGAAGAAAATTCCTCCCTGTCTCCCTAAGTTTCTGTTTAGGCAAAACATTCCTGGCTCCTTCAGCTGTAGTTTAGTGACACTGAGCACTAATTGTGGGATTTCAGGTACAGCCTGAACAATATACAGAAAAATAGGATTTCATTTAGGCACTAGATTTCTGGTTGTACTGCCTAAGGCTGCCTTTATTTTTAAGGTAACTGGGTTGGGGGTTCCCAAGACCACCCCTAGTTTGGTGATTAACTAGGAGGACTCAACATAGAGTACGTGTGGCTGTCATTTATTCCAGTGAGAGGATACAAGGTAAACTCAGCAAAGGGAAGAGGCCGGCCTGGCGTGAGGCCAGGCCAAGCTTCCCAGAGGCCTCTCTCATTAATTTTAAATAAAAAAATTTTTTTTAAATTATTTTTTAAGAGACGGGGCTCTTGCTATGTTGCCCAGGCCGTACTTGAACTCTTGGGCTCAAACGATCCTCCTGCCTCAGCCTCCTGAGTAGCTGGGACTACAGGTGTATGCCACCATGGCCAGCTAAAAAAATATTTTGCTTATATATTTTTAAAAGTTAAAAAATTAAACAGAAAAACATTTCTTAAGTGCTCTAAATAGCATCCTAAAAAGTACTTTTTATAGCTTTCATTTTTATGCATAGCTCTGGGTGTTTTACAAAAAGAGTTCAGTAGACACAGTTACCTTTAGAATTTATAATGGGTTCACTGACATCGACAAACATTGGAAATAGTGAGTAAACATAATAACATAAAGTCTATGTCTATAGATAATAATCATTAGATCTTATATTTGAGAACAACTCAGCTAAAAACTATAATAAAAATTTGTACAGTTCTTACATGAGAATAGTGCTAGAGAATCTAAAATTATCTCCAGGAGAAGGAAGGAGAATTTAAAGTGTCTTGGGCCAGGTGCGATGGCTCAGGCCTGTAATCCCACCACTTTGGGAGGCCTAGGCAGGAGGATTGCTTGAGCCCAGGAGTTTGAGACTAGTCTGGGCAACATAGAGAGACCACCGTCTCTACAAAAATGAAAACAAAAACAAAACAAAAAAAAAAACACTTTGGGAGGCCGAGGCGGGCATATCACTTGAGGTCAGGAGTTCGAGACCAGCCTGGCCAACATGGCGACATTCCATTCTCTACTAAAAATACAAAAATTAGCTGGGTATGGTGATGCATGCCTGTAGTCCCAGCTTCTTGGGAGGCTGAGGCAGGAGAATGGCTTGAACCTAGGAGGTGGAGTTTGCAGTGAGCCGAGATCGTGCCATTGTACTCCAGCTTGGGTGACAGAGTGAGACTCTGTCTCAAAAAAAAAAAAAAAAAAAAATTAGCTGGGTGTGGTGGCACATACCTGTACTCCCAGCTACTTAGGAGGCTGAGGTGGGAGGATCATTTGGTCTCTGGAGGTCAAGGCTGCAGTGAGCCATGGTTGTGCCACTGCACTCCAGCCTGGGTGACAGAGCAAGACCCTGTCTCAAAAAGTGTCTTTGGACATTCCATCTCAACCTTATGCACAGCTACTTGGCAGATTCCCACATAAACGTGTTCTGCTCGCCTTATGCAAAGAACTTCATGCATAAGTTGGCCTGTCATCCATCCTCTGCTCACCACTTTGAGGAAGCCCTTCCATGTCTGTGAGCCTCCCCTGCCCCCCTGGATAGCCCTTATTCTGTTATAAACATTCTCACCTGGGAAACTCACACAGGGAACTTTAGTGTGTGCACAGGAAGTACCTCAACATCGAGCAAGTGTAGTAGCTTATATAGTCCCCCCAGCACAATACAAGAAAACCCTGCAGTACATTCAGGCTGATAAGTTCACATCAAACGTACGCTCAGACCAGGTTGAATCACATTTAGCATGTTGACTTAGTTGTGTTGGTGACTTTCATTAAACATGGGATGGTTCACTATGAATACTTGGAACATTTCTAACCGAGTAGTATAGTCATACTGATCTGAGCAATGTTATTGTTAATTTTCTTCTTTTTTTCTGTTACCCTGTTTCCTGAATCTGTTTGTTAGTCCTACTTTGTTCTTTTAGTTTTTGGTTTCGTTTTGTTTTCCATTTAAGTCAACAGTCAAAAAGTGTATTTCAACTGAATTCTGGCAGTGAAGCAGAAAAAAGCTGTTTAAAATCTGTTAATTCTTGTGAAAGCCACACCTTCAGGGAGTTTTTGGTAACTTCTTGGAGGAGTAAAGGAAACCTACAACTTTGAGCAGCTGCTTAAGTTCCTTGTCTCTAGCTCACACTGGTGCATGTACCCAGCAGGGCTTAATCATGGGTCCTGATGAGTCTGGTGGGCACACAAGGATGGAACACTGCGGTTGCAGGGAAAATGTGGGAATGTCACTCTAATTGAAGACATTTAGGGCCCCAAATTGGCATTGCTGAAAAGACTGTTTGATGTCAGCTGTGTGAGCCTGCACTGCTTTCTCATCTTCGATAGAATGCATCTTCACAGTATGTGTGAAGTGGCATTAAAGTAACCAGATTGGTGCCAGAGGCCACTTAGAAATTAGTTCCGGTGCTTTGGAATCACACTTTATTATTTGTTTATGATTTGGGGATTTTATTTTTTGTTAAAGATACATTTCTTTGATTCTTTCGTAGTTCGTAAGCTGGATTATTGAGTATTCACACACGTGTGTGAGATGTGCCACCCTTGAACCTTGTTACAACGTGGGCACATTATTCACTTGACATGGATTAAAAATAAAGATGTTTCTTTAAAATTGCTGATTGTGATTTTTGTCTTTAATATTCTTTTAGATTTAATTTTTTTTTTTTTTTGAGACGGAGTCTTGCTATGTCGCTCAGGCTGGAGTGCAATGGCGCTATCTCAGCTCACTGCAACCTCCGCCTCCCAGGTTCAAGTGATTCTCCTGTCTCAGCCTACGGAGTAGCTGGGATTACAGGTGCACATCACCATGCCTGGCTAATTTTTTGTATTTTAGTAGAGATGAGGTTTCACTGTGTTGCCCAGGCTGGTCTCGAACTTGAACTCCTGAGCTCAGGCAATCCACCCGCCCCCGCCTTCCAAGGTGCTAGGATTACAAGCAGGAGCCACTGCACCCAGCCTGTTTTTTTTTTGTTGTTTTTTGTTTTTTTTTTGAGGCGGAATCTTGCTCTGTCACCCAGGCTGGAGTGCAGTGGCACAATCTCGGCCCATTGCAACTTCTGCCTCCTGGGTTGAAGCGATTCTTCGATTCTTCTGCCTCAGCCTCCCAAGTAGCTGGGACCATAGGTGCGTGCCACCACACCTGGCTAATTTTTGTATTTTTAGTAGAGATGGGGTTTCACCATATTGGCCAGGCTGGTCTCAAACTCCTGGCCTCATGATACCCCCACCTCGGCCTCCCAAAGTGTTGGGATTACAGGTGTGAGCCACCGCGCTGGCCTTGTTTTTTAAGACAGGGTCTTGCTCTGTTGCTCAGGCTGGAGTACAGTGGCATGATCATAGCTCACTGCAGCCTTGAAGTCCTGGGCTCAAGCCATCTTCCCATCTCAGCCTCCTGTACTCAGACACTGTACTCTGGCACTACAGGTGTGCACCACCATGCCCAGCTAATTTATTTTTATTTTTGTAGAGATGGTGGGGGTCTCACCATGTTGCCTATGCTGGTCTCGAGCTCCTGGTCTCAAGGGATCCTCCTGCCCTCAAGGGATCGTCCTGCCTGGGCCTCCCAGAGTGTTGGATTATAAGCATGAGCTACCGCACCCGGCCTCTTTAATATTCTAAAATCTAAATTCATTTTTTTTTTTTTTTTTGAGATTGAGTCTTGCTCTGTCGCCCAGGCTGGAGTACAGTGGCGCGATCTCAGCTTACTGCATCCTCTGCCTCCTGGGTTCAAGTGATTCTCCCGTCTCAGTCTCATGAGTAGTGGCACTACAGGCACATGCCACCACGCCCGGCTAGTTTTTGTATTTTTTGGTAGAGATGGGGTTTTGCCATGTTGGCCAGGCTGGTTTCAAATTCCTGACCTCAAGCGATCGACCTGTCTTGGCCTCCCAAAGTGCTTGGGATTGTAGGCGTGAGCCACCGTACCTGGCCTAAAATCAAAATTTCTTTCTGTAACAACCCATCTCAGAAATGCCAGGATATTATAATTAGTAAGTACCTCAGAAATGATTTAGTTCAAGGATTTTCTAGCTTTTTGGTCATAGCACCCCAAAATGTTTTTGGTTATATGGGTTTATATCTATAGATACTAGTTTAGAAATTAAAGCTGAGAATTTAAAAAATACATTGGAGTTTTTGGGATTGCTTTTTAATGAATTAAATAAGCCAATAAGTATTAACATAAATAACATCTTCTGAAAAATGACTTTTTCAAAACAAAATAATGAGTGGCATTGTTTTACATTTTTGCACATCACTTCGTGTCTGTTAATAGGAGATAGTGGGTTTTCATGTCTCCTTTGAATTCAGTGTGTTGCGGAGTTTATTCAGAGATCCTTTAGCTGGGCATGGTGGAGTGTGTCTGTAGTCCCAAATACTCAGGAAGCTAATGCTGGATCGCTTGAGCCCAGGAGTTCAAGAGCAGCCTGGGTGACATAATGAGACCCCATCTCAAAAAAAAAAAAAAAGAAAAAAAAAGTTCTTTGAGATATAGGAAGAAAATTTGGCCTTTCACAGGTTTGAAGTTAGAAAAGAGAGAAGTGTTTTTGTAGCCTTTTCAGTTAATTGTGGATGTTCATTTGTCTTTGGTACTACAGTGAAATTTTGATAAGTGATAATTTCTTAAAAGTTAGTTCCAGTGATGGAATCTGAAACTGTATCAGTGCACTTTGGAATACTCTTGCATTAAGACATATTTGTGTTGTTCTTTGGTTCTTTAAAGTGACAGGCTCGTTTCATTCATTTTTGAGGAAATAGATGCCAAGTACCCAAATCTGAATAACTAGTTTCTCAGTCATTCTTTCAAGTCGAAATATGTTCCAGCTGCTTTGGTATCAGAAGTGATTCTTGCAGACTTTCTACTTACTCACACAGAATATGAAAAATTATTGGCCAGATGCAGTGGCTCACTACTGTAATCCCAGCACTTTGGGAGGCCGAGGAGGGGGTGGGGCAGATCACGAGGTCAGGAGTTCGAGACCAGCCTGACCAACATGGTGGAACCTGTGTCTACTAAAAATACAAAAATTAGCCGGGCATGGTGGCATGTGCCTGTAGTCCCAGCTACTCAGGAGGCTGAGGCAGGAGAATCGCTTGAACCCGATAGGCGGAGGTCGCAGTGAGCCGAGATCGCGCCATTGCACTCCAGCCTGGGCAACAGGGTGAGGCTCTGTCTCAAAAGAAAAAGAAAAATTATTGTACTCAAGGCCTACAGTTTATAAAATTAAAAATTTTTACTGCTTCATGAAGGACAGTCTTACGTGACACTGGCTTTTTTTTTTTTGAGATAGAGTCTCACTCTGTCACCCAGGCTGGAGTGCAGTGGCACAATCTCGATTCAGTGAAACCTCCTCCTCTCAAGTGCAAGCAATTCTACTGCCTCAGCTTCCTGAGTAGCTGGGATTACAGGCGCCCACCACCACACGTGGCTAATTTTTGTAATTTTAGCAGAGATGGGATTTCACCATGTTGGCCAGGCTGGTCTTGAACTTTTGACTTCAAGTGATCCGCCCTCCTCGGCCTCCCAAAGTGCTGGGATTACAGGTGTGAGCCACCCCTCCCAGCCGACATTGGCTTTTTAAAATCCTGTTTTGGTTTTTTATTGTGAGCATGCTGCAGTGAGCAATATGGTGATCACTAGTGCTGTTTGGCATTACTACCTTGGTTTATGCTAAGGTGCAGCAGTTTCTCTCCACTGCTCTTGCATTGTCAGTGCAGAAGGGAGCAAAGTTGAAAGGACATCACATTTTAATGTGGTGCAAAGAATTTTGACCTTGCAGACCCCCTTGGAGCAAGGCTCTGGAGGCCTCTCTGTCTCCCCTAGTTCTGTGGACCACAGTTGGAGGGCTATGATCTGGTCCATCTCCCATCCTATTGAAGAACCCTTTCTGTATCTTTGAGAAATTACCTTTCCGTTTCCCTCAGGGATGTCTATTGCGGGGGAAATTCACTACACTGTGAAGCAGCCCATTACATTTTTGAAAGTTCTGTAAACTAGGCTGGGCGCAGTGGCTCACACCTGTAATCCCAGCACTTTGGGAGGCCGAGGCAGGTGGATCACGAGGTCAGGAGTTTGAGACCAGCCTGACCAACATGGTGAAACCCCGTCTCTACTAAAAATACAAAAATTAGCTGGGTGTTGTGGTGGGCGCCTGTAATCCCAGCTACTCAGGAGGTTGAGGGAGGAGAATCACTTGAACCCAGGAGGCGGAGGTTGCAGTGAGCCAAGATCGTGCCATTGCACTCCAGCCTGGGTAACAGAGCGAGACTCCGTCTCCAAAAAAAAAAAAAGTTCTGTAAACTAACTCAGATCTCTTTTCCACTGCTGGCCCTAGATAAAGTTGAGGATAATTTTTCACAGATTCCTTGTGTCTCTTTTTTTCAGCATAAATTTGTATTTCCATTTCCTTCAGTGGTTCCTCTCATGGCCTGGTTTCATATATCCTGCTCATCTTTCTTTAAAATGAAAATGAATGGACATTATTTAATTCATTACAAAAGATATTGACAAAATAACCATGGGTTCTTTTCACTGTTAGACCCTGTATAAATATGTGTAAGACTTGGTTCTTATTCTAAAGGAATTTTAAAAACTGGATTTAAACACAGCTGAAGAATATAAACATCCTGCGGAATCATACATGGCATTTTGCAGTTAGAAAGAACGTAGCTCTCGGTCGGGCACGGTGGCTCACGCCTGTAATCCCAGCACTTTGGGAGGCGGAGGCAGGTGGATCACGAGGTCAGGAGATTGAGACCATCCTGGCCAACATGGCGAAACCCCGTCTCTACTAAAAATACAAAAATTATCTGGGCGTGGTGGCACGTGCCTGTAATCCCAGCTGAGGGAGGCTGAGGCAGGAGAATCACTTGCACCCAGGAGGTGGGGGTTGCAGTGAGCCAAGATTGTGCCACTGCCCTCTAACCTGGGCAACAGAGTGAGACTCTGTCTCAAAAATAAATAAATAAATAAAAATAGAAAGAATTCGTTTTGTGGTTCTGCAGACTGGCCACTGAGGTGCTGTGAGAGCTGCTCAGCTGCTTTGTCGTGAATGGGTTGTAGTTGGGCTGCAATCTCCCTTCCCTAAGCTCCTGGGGTTGCTAGGTGGGGCTTGGGATGGCCTCCTCCTGATTTTAGACTGGTGGATATTCCCAGGCCAATCAACTCTGACCTTGAACAGCTTCTTCAGTTTACTCCAGTGTGTTATACAAAGATCGTTTTCTATGTGTGCCTATGAAGAAGTTGAGAAGTATTAGGATGAGTGGCCTCTCTAGGGCAACAAATACTTAGGACTAGAGTTGGGATTATAAGTTTTCTGAGTACCAGACTAGAAGGATAATAAAGTTGGCAAGACATTGTGATTTAATTGAAGTAGGTTAATGAAGGACACTTTTTATCATTTTAAAAATTAAGATGTGAATTTTAGTTACCTTTTTAGTATTCAGTTCTACAATTTTTGACAAACACATATAGTGTTGTAACTATTCCAAGATATAGAACATCATCCCCCAGATTCTCTTGTACCCCTTTTTAGTCAGCCCTAGGCAACCACTGACTGGAGGAAATTGTTTTTGAAGAGTATTGTAAAATGTTTCCTTAGATGGAGTTAGACATAATTTCTCCCATCCAAGTACTAACCAGGCCTGACCCCACTTAACTTTCCACATCAGATGAGATCGCGTGCTTTCAGGGTGGTATGGCCCTAGATGGTAGGCATAATTTCGAATTAATTGGATATTGGATTCTGCCAAACAAAAAGATTATCATCAGAATTTATTTCTTCTAAATGTCTGCTTTTAAACTTACTGCCCCACTTTCTCACTTAAGACTTCGTCACTAGCATTTGAGCATTCCAATGATACACATTTGAGGTGATACATTAATTGCCCTTATTTGATCATGACATGTTGAATATATGTTGAACTATCACACTGTACTCCCTCAATATGTACAATTACTATGTGTCAATTAAAAATAATAAAAGCAAAAAAAAAAACTAGTTATTTCTTTCTTTTCTTTTCTTTTTTGTTTTTTTGAGACGGAGTTTCGCTCTTGTTGCCCAGGCTGGAGTGCAATGGTGCAATCTCTGCTCACCACAACCTCCGCCTCCTGGGTTCAAGCAATTCTTGTGCCTCAGCCTCTTGAGTAGCTGGGATTACAGGCATGTGCCACCATGCCTGGCTAATTTTGTATTTTTAGTAGAGACAGGGTTTCTCCATGTTGGTCAGGCTGGTCTCGAACTCCCGATATCAGGTGATCTGCCCTCCTTGCCCTCCCAAAGTGTTGGGATTACAGGCGTGAGCCACTGTGCCCGGCTATACTAGTTATTTCTAAATACATTTGAAGTAAAAGTTGTTCTTGAGCATTACTGGTGCTTTGGAAGTGTTTGTGAAGGGGCTTTGGGAAACAGAAAGCCCTGGCAGATTCTACAGGGACTGACCTGTTCCTGCTGTCTTACTGTAGATCTGGAGCAGCAACCATTTGTTCCCCAGTGCAGAGAAAGCGACTCTTTTCCTCGGCACACTGGATACCATTTTCCTCTTCTCCTATGCTGTGGTAAGTTTTGGAACTCTAGGGCTTAAAGCTAAAGAAAAATGTAAATATAAATGACCCTGAGCCTTACAAAATTTGTAAGGGATTTTGAATTTGCTGACTGAGGCAGAGTTCAGTATTTCTGAAGTTTATATTGTTTGTTCTTCCCATTCATTTATTCATTCATTCGACAGATATTTATTGCTCATCTAGCATATGTCAATGGGAATTTATCCCGAACAACACAAAATGCCCTGCCTTTATGGACCTGTATTCTTGGAGTTAGGGGAGACAGACAGTAACCAAATGCTACAAATAAATTATAGAGTATATTTGAAGGTGGTAAGTACAACGGAGGAAAATAAAGCAGAGAAGGGGGACTAAAGGGGCCTGGGTGAGGTTGTAATTTTAAGTAGCACAGCCGGGAGACCTCAGGAGGCAGCGGGCATTTGAGTGAAGACCTGAGCAGGTGAGCGAGTCGGTGTGCTTGGATCAGAGCTGCAAGAAGAGAGGCCAGAGATGCGGTGGGGCTCAGATCTGTAGGGTTTTGGTACCTTTGGGGCGGCTTTGGCTTTAACCTTGAGTGAGATGGGAGCTGCTGGAAGGTTTTGTGCAGAGCAGCGGCAGGACCTGACTTAGGTTTGGATAGGTGCACTTGCTCTGGGAGCCGAGTTCTTTTGAGGTGAAGGATGATGGTGACTTGGGTCCAGCGCAACAGTAATAGAGGTTGGGGGGAAGTAGATTTTAGCGGTGTTTTGGAGGTAAAGCCAATAATATTTTTTCCCTCTTGAATGTGGAATGTAAGAGAAATGTGTCAAGAACACCTCCAGGGTGGAAGTGTCATGGCAGAGGGGAGACTGGGGAGATAGAAAGCTTTGATGACTCGCTTTTGGATGCATTACATTTGACCTCTGCTGCCCAGATGATGAAGAGCAGACACTTGGTCATTGAGTGTGGAGTTCAAGGTGTAGGTTCAGTCTGAAGATACATGTTTTTGGAGTCCTTGGCCTTTATTATTATTATTATGTTTTTAATTTTTTATTTTTGAGACAGAGTTTTGCACTTGTCGCCCAGGCTGGAGTGCAATGGCACAATCTTGGCTCACCACAACCTCCACCTCTCGGGTTCAAGCAATTCTCCTGCCTCAGCCTCCTGAGTAGCTGGGATTGCAGGCATGCGCCACCACGCCCGGCTAATTTTGTGTTTTTTTAGTAGAGACCGAGTTTCTCCATGTTGGTCAGGCTGATCTGGAACACCCAACCTCAGACGATCCGCTTGCCTCGGCCTCCCAAAGTGCTGGGATTACAGGCGTGAGCCACTGCGCTCGGAGTCCTTGGCCTTTAGATGATTTATAGATCAAAACTGTGAGGCTGCGTGAATTGATCAAGAGAACAGGCGAGGGCGGGGAAGAGGTGTGAAACCTGAGCCCTAGGGCTTCCAGTCCTCAGAGGTGGGTGAGGAATGGGCCAGGTAGCGGGGGTGGAGTGGTAAGAAAGGTGGGGCTGGGCGCGGTGGCCCACGCCTGTAATCCTAGCACTTTGGGAGACCGAGGCAGGTGGATAACTTGGGGTCAGGAGTTTGAGACCATCCTGGCCAGCATGAAGAAACCCCATTTCCAATAAAAATACAAAAATTAGCCAGATGTGGGTGCCTGTAGTCCCAGCTACTTGGGAGGCTGAGGCAGAAGAATTGCTTGAACCCGGGAGGAGGAGGTTGCAGTGAGCCGAGATTGCGTCACTGCACTCCAGCCTGGATGACAAAATGAGACTCCATCTCAAAAAAAAAAAAAAAAAGGAAGGTGGGATCCTGGAGAGGTAGCACCCTGGGAGACATTCCACGGTGGCGAGGAGTAATTCAGCGTCAGGATAGGCAGCTGGCGTCTCTGTCTGGCTGTAGGAACAGCTGTGGTGGATGCCACATTAGAGTTCTGGAGCTGATGGTGGCAGCAGCTGGAACGTGGACTGTGAGAGGAGCCTTCCTTTTCTCCCCAGCATATAAGATGCTGTCTTTAAGTATGCCTTATTTCTGTCTTTAAGTGTGCCTTATTAAAAACGCCTTTTAATTCTCAATGTCCAGGCAATGTGAAATACTGGGTAAAAGTTCTGAAGTAGTTTCTAAATGTTTATTTGGTTAGTTATTTTTATTTATTTATTTAATTTTATTGTATTATTATTTTTTGAGACGGAGTCTTGCTCTCTTGCCCAGGCTGGAGTGCAATGGTGCTATCTCAGCTCACTGCAACCTCCGCCTCCT
Source organism: Homo sapiens (assembly GCF_000001405.40). NCBI lineage: Eukaryota > Metazoa > Chordata > Mammalia > Primates > Hominidae > Homo > Homo sapiens. The sequence continues at coordinate 140,367,360 of NC_000007.14, read as the reverse complement.
AGTTCCAGTGATTCTCCTGCCTCAGCTTCCTGGGTAGCTGGGATTACAGGTGCACACCATCATGCCCAGCTAATGTTTGTATTTTTAGTAGAGATGGGGTTTCATCGTGTTGGCCAGGCTGGTCTCAAACTCCTGTCCTCAGTTGATCCACTTACCGCTGCCTTCCAAAGTGCTGGGATTACAGGCGTTAGCTACCATGCCTGGCCTATTTTTTTTTTTATTTGAGATGGAGTCTTGCTGTGTTGCCCAGGCTGGAGTGCAGTGGCACAATCTTGGCTCACTGCAACCTCTGCCCCCTGGGTTCAAGCAATTCTGCTGCTTCAGCCTCCTGAGTAGCTGGGACTGCAGACATGTGCCACCATGCCCTGCTAATTTTTTTTGTATTTTTAGTAGAGATGGGGTTTCACCGTGTTGGTCAGACTGGTCTCAAACTCCTGACCTCAAATGATCCGCCCACCTCGGCCTTCCAAAGTGCTGGGATTACAGGTGTGAGCCACTGCGCCCAGCCTATTTGGTTAATTATTAAGAGTATCTTTTCTTCAAAGAGGAAACAGAGAAACAGTTGGAACAGTTCTTTGGTCATTCATTTAGTCTACCTCCTCACCTTGGGTATTTTCTGTATAAAATCCCCATGTAGAGGCACGGGGCTTTGGCTGGAGCTGGTGACAGGGTGCTCGCTTCTCTTCGAGCCACTCATTTCTTTCAGGGACCAGTTTAAGAGGCAGTGTAGTCTAACTAGCTGTGTTAAACTTGGTTGCGAAGTAGAATTTAACCTTTTTTTGGTGTTTAGTTTCCTCATCTATGGAGTCATCTATAGGACTAGATTTAGGACATAAAGGATCAATGCCATGAAAAATCAATGGTCATGGTTTTTTTTTTATCTTGAGCTGCACTTCCTTCTGTAACTTATGGGCATTTTGCTTTCTGCAGCAAAACAGAATGTATTGATTCTGGTGGGGCACGGTGGCTCACGCCTGTAATCCCAGTACTTTGGGAGGCCAAGGAGGGCAGATCACCTGAGGTCAGGAGTTTGAGACCAGCCTGGCCAACATGGCAGAACCCCATCTCTACTGAAAATACAAAAATTAGCCAGGCAAATTCAGTTAGGACCAGGTGTTTCTAATAAATTGACTTATCTCTAAAACTTGGCTGGGCGTGGTGTCTGACGCCTATAATCCTAGCACTTTGGGAGTGGGGAGAATTGCTTGAGGCCAATACTTCAAGACCAAACTGGCCAACATAGCAAGAACCCATCTCTAAAAAAACAAAAATTGGCAGGCCTGTAGTCCCAGCTACTCGGGAGGCTACGGCAGGAGAATTGCTCGAACCTAGGAGACAGAGGCTGCAGTGAGCCAAGATCACATCATTGCATTCCAGCCTGGATGACAGAGTGAGACTCTGTCTCAAAAAAAAAAAAAAAAAAAAAAAAAAAAAAAAAAAAGCATGTATTGTTCTGTCATCTGAAGCAGAATTGAGATTTTCTTCATCCCTTTTGTTCTGTGTAGCATAAGTCCATATGAGGGGCAGCTAGACAACATAGAATCTACTTTAAGGCTGACATGCTTCTCTTAAGATGAGGAAGCTTGATGATAATGAGGGAGAAACGTTCATATTTAAATTTATCTTCTCATTTTTTTTTTGAGATGGAGTCCCACTCTATCGCCCAGGCTGGAGTGCAGTGGTGCCATCTCGGCTGACTGCAAGCCCCGCTTCCTGGGTTCAAGTGATTCTCCTGCCTCAGCCTCCCAAGTTTCTGGGATTACAGGCGCAAGCCACCATGCCTGGCTAATTTTTCTGTTTTTAGTAGAGACAGGGTTTCACCATGTTGGTCAGGCTGGTCTTGAACTCTTCACCTCAGGTGATCCACCTGCCTTGGCCTCCCAAAGTGCTGGGATTACAGGTGTGAGCTACTGCACTCGGCCAATTTTTTTTTTTTTAGAGATGGGTTCTTGCTATGTTGGCCAGTTTGGTCTTGAACTATTGGCCTCAAGCAATTCTCCCCGCTCCCAAAGTGCTAGGATTACAGGCGTGAGACACCACGCCCAGCCAAGTTTTAGAGATAGTCAATTTATTAGAAACACCTGGTCCTAACTGAATTTAGGTTTTCAGTCAAGATATTTTATATATTTATGGAAGAAACCTAAAGTGTGCTGCGCTTAAGGTCTTCAGTCTCACTTCCTGCCATGATCTCAGCATTTTAATTCCTGCCACTCAGTGGGAGGAGAGCAGAAGGCAGAACCTGTCTCCAGCTAATTATTGTCTCTGCCTTCCTACTCTCCCTGCCTTGGGATGTCATGAAACCCAAGGGTCAGATTCAACAGGCAGCTAGTGTGCCCTGGAACCTTCTATTCCACTTTTTACAAGGTTGGAACTGAAACTGCAGGGCGTGTGGTAACACGTTAACCCAGAGTGCAGATGGCTAAGAGGAATCCCTTTGGGATAGCTTATCACTGATGGGTAGGAATTAATCTAGTCTAGAAAATGAAGTATATTTGTGTGCTTGTTTTATTAGAGTCATTCTTATTTATTTATTTTTTTCCAGTTAGGGAATCAAGTAAAACCAAAGTTTGCCCTGAACTTTGGTGTGTTTGTGGTAGAGTGTGCCCGCTGCCATTTCTTTTTTTTTTTAATATTTTTTTCCTTCTATTTTCATAACTTTTTTGTTTTCACTGTATTACTGACCATGTTATCCAGCCCACTGCCATTTCATGAAACATTTGTGAAACTCCTGTAGACAGGTAGCCTCGGCATGTGTATAAGAGTTAATTTTAAATAATATCTGTGTTTGTCTCATTTGCTTTGCAGTGCATGTTACTTTTTCATACTGTGTTATTATTTAGAGCTGTAAAAGAAAATGCTTTATTTTTAGGGCCTATTCATCAGTGGCATCGTTGGGGATCGGTTGAATTTGCGATGGGTTCTGTCTTTTGGCATGTGCTCTTCTGCATTAGTGGTAAGTTGAAAGGTCTTATTATTATTATTTTGGTCAGGTATTTTAGAATCTAAGTAATCTCCCTACTTCTCTGTAGAATAGAATAGTAAGATTAATCCTCATTGTTCGAATCCCTCATTTGCCTTTTCACTTAGATGAGTCTTTTTTTTCCCCCCCGAGACAGAATCTTGCTCTATTACCCCAGGCTGGAGTGCAGTGGTGCGATCTCAGCTCACTGCAACCTCTGCCTCCCATGTTCAAGCGATTCTGCTGCCTCAGCCTCCTGAGCAGCTGGGACTATAGGTACAGCTCACCACGCCTGGGTGATTTTTGTATTTTTGGTAGAGACGGGGTTTCACCATGTTGGCCAGTCTTATCTCCTGGCCTCAGGTGATCCTCCTGCCTTGGCCTCCCAAAGTGCTGGGATTACAGGCATGAGCCACTGCGCCTGGCCAGATGAGTCTTTTTAAAGTAAGATTCTAATCAGGTTCCTTTGTTGTCCCTCAGGCACCAGCAGAGTTAATTAATAGTCTGAATAAATGGCCTGGCATTCACTACACCCTGGCCCCAGCCTGCCTTCCCATCATATTTGTCACTCTGCTTCATCGCTTTGCTCCAGCCAAGCTGGACTGCTTTCCAGGCCGCTAACATCCCGCTCCTTTCTTTTTTTTTTTTTTTTTTTTTTTTTGAGGCGGAGTTTTGCTCTTTTTTTTTTATTTTTTTATTTATTTTTTTTTTATTGATCATTCTTGGGTGTTTCTCGCAGAGGGGGATTTGGCAGGGTCATAGGACAATAGTGGAGGGAAGGTCAGCAGATAAACAAGTGAACAAAGGTCTCTGGTTTTCCTAGGCAGAGGACCCTGCGGCCTTCCGAAGTGTTTGTGTCCCTGGGTACTTAAGATTAGGGAGTGGTGATGACTCTTAACGAGCCTGCTGCCTTCAAGCATCTGTTTAACAAAGCACATCTTGCACCGCCCTTAATCCATTTAACCCTGAGTGGACACAGCACATGTTTCAGAGAGCACAGGGTTGGGGATAAGGTCACAGATCAACAGGATCCCAAGGCAGAAGAATTTTTCTTAGTACAGAACAAAATGAAAAGTCTCCCATGTCTACTTCTATCCACACAAACCCGGCAACCATCCGATTTCTCAATTTTTTCCCCACCCTTCCCGCCTTTCTATTCCACAAAACCGCCATTGTCATCATGGCCCATCCCCAATGAGCCGCTGGGCACACCTCCCAGACGGGGTCGTGGCCGGGCAGAGGGGCTCCTCACTTCCCAGTAGGGGCGGCCGGGCAGAAGCGCCCCTCACCTCCCGGATGGGGCGGCTGGCCGGGCGGGGGGCTGACCCCCCCCACCACCCTCCCTGACGGGGCGGCTGGCCGGGCAGAGGGGTCCTCACTTCCCATTAGGGGCGGCCGGGCAGAGGCGCCCCTCACCTCCCGGCCGGGGCGGCCGGCTGGGCGGGGGGCTGACCCCGCCACCTCCCTCCCGGACAGGGCGGCTGGCCGACCCCCCCCCCCGCCTCCCTCCCGGACGGGGCGGCTGGCCGGGCAGAGGGGCTCCTCGCTTCCCAGTAGGGGCGGCCGGGCAGAGGCGCCCCTCACCTCCGGGACGGGGCGGCTGGCCAGGCGGGGGGCTGATCCCCCCACCTCCCTCCCGGACGGGGCGGCTGGCCGGGTGGGGGGCTGACCCCCCACCTCCCTCCCGGACTGGGCGGCTGGCCGGGCAGGGGGCTGACCCCCCCCCCCACCTCCCTCCCGGACGGGGCGGCTGGCCGGGCAGAGGGGTCCTCACTTCCCAGTAGGGGCAGCCGGGCAGAGGCGCCCCTCACCTCCCGGACGGGGCGGCTGGCCGGGCGGGGGGCTGACCCCCCACCTCCCTCCCGGACGGGGCGGCTGGCCGGGCAGAGGGGTCCTCACTTCCCGGTAGGGGCGGCCGGGCAGAGGCGCCCCTCACCTCCCAGACGGGGCGGCTGGCCGGGCGGGGGGCTGACCCCCCCCCCCACCTCCCTCCCGGACGGGGCGGCTGCCGGGCGGAGACGCTCCTCACTTCCCAGACGGGGTGGCTGCCGGACGGAGGGGCTCCTCACTTCTCAGACGGGGCGGTTGCCAGGCAGAGGGTTTCCTCACTTCTCAGACGGGGCGGCCGGGCAGAGACGCTCCTCACCTCCCAGACAGGGTTGCGGCCCAGCAGAGGCGCTCCTCACATCCCAGACAGGGCGGCGGGGCAGAGGCGCTCCCCACATCTCAGACAATGGGCGGCGGGGAAGAGGCGCTCCTCGCTTCCTAGATGGGATGGCGGCCGGGAAGAGGCGCTCCTCACTTCCTAGATGGGATGGTGGCCGGGCAGAGACGCTCCTCACTTTCCAGACTGGGCAGCCAGGCAGAGAGGCTCCTCATATCCCAGACGATGGGGGGCCAGGCAGAGACGCTCCTCACTTCCCAGACAGGGTGGCGGCTGGGCAGAGGCTGCAATCTCGGCACTTTGGGGGGCCAAGGCAGGCAGCTGGGAGGTGGAGGTTGTAGCGAGCCGAGATCACGCCACTGCACTCCAGCCTGGGCACCATTGAGCACTGAGTGAACGAGACTCCGTCTGCAATCCCGGCACCTCGGGAGGCCGAGGCTGGCGGATCACTCGCGGTTAGGAGCTGGAGACCAGCCCGGCCGACACAGCAAAACCCCGTCTCCACCAAAAAAAAAACGAAAACCAGTCAGGCGTGGCGGCGCGCGCCTGCAATCGCAGGCACTCGGCAGGCTGAGGCAGGAGAATCAGGCAGGGAGGTTGCAGTGAGCCGAGATGGCAGCAGTACCGTCCAGCTTTGGCTCGGCATCAGAGGGAGACCGTGGAAGGAGACCGTGGAGAGAGAGGGAGACGGAGAGGGAGAGAGGGAGGGGGAGGGGGAGGGGGAGGGGGAGGGGGAGGGGGAGGGAGAGGCTGTGTGTCCGGAGTTTTGCTCTTGTTGCCCAGGCTGGAGTGGAATGGCACAATCTTGGCTCACCACAACCTCCACCTCCCAGGTTCAAGCGATTCTCATGCCTCAGCCTCCTGAGTAGCTGGGATTACAAGCATGCACCACCACACCTGACTAACTTTTTTATTTTTAGTAAAGACGGGTTTCTCCATGTTGGTCAGGCTGGTCTCGAACTCCCGACCTCAGGTGATCCGCCCACCTCGGCCTCCCAAAGTGCTGGGATTACAGGTGTGAGCCACCGCACCTGGCCCTATCCTGCTCCTTTCTATCTCGGTGCTTTTGTTTCTCCTGTTCTGCCTGCCTTGGATGGTCCCCTTTTCAGCTCTCCATAGTCTAACTCACAGTCTCCTTCAAGCATTGGCCAAATGACACCTCTTTGAGAATGTCAGTCCCGCTTCTGAGCTGCAGTGCCTGTTTCTTTGCAGGCACTTGAAACAGTCTGCCGCTTAGCTTGGTTATTTCTGGTTCAGTCTTGCTTTCCCTTAGGGTGGGTATGCAGTGGTTAAAATCACAGATTCCCTAGACAAGGACAGCCTGGGTTTCTGTCTGTCTTCTGTGGTTTTCTAGCTTATGATTTCTGTGAGCTTCAGAGGGAGATGGGCATATTAGCTCTCCCCGGGTGGCAGTGAGGACTGTGAGTTTCTGTATGTGAGGCATTTGAAACAAGTGCTGTGTAGGGGAGGATCCATATCTGATTAATCTTTTTTTTTTTTTTTTTAAACGGAGTCTTGCTCTGTCACCCAAGCTGGAGTGCAGTGGCATGATCTTGGCTCACTGCAACCTCCACTTCCCAGATTCAAGCCATTCTCCTGTTTTAGCCTCCTGAGTAGCTGGGACTACAGGTGTGCACCACCATTCCCGGCTAATTTTTGTATTTTTAGTAGAGTCAGGGTTTCACCATGTTGGCCAGGCTAGTCTTGAACTCCTGACCTCAGGTGATCTGCCCACCCCAGCCTCCCAAAGTGCTGGGATTACAGGGGTGAGCCACCGTGCCCAGCCTCCATATCTGACTAATCGTCATTGCTTACTAGCTTCTAGTCAGGAATTTTTGTTGATTAAATGAAACCATGGAGTTTAGTTAGACCCTAATTTATTATGATTATTATTTTTTTAGAGATAAGGTCTCGATTTGCTGCCCAGGCTGGAGTGCAGCGGTGTGATCCTGCAGCCTTGAACTCCCAAGCTCGAGCAATCCTCCCATTTTAGCCTCCCGTGTAGCTGGGACTGTAGGTGTGTACCATCATGCTTAGCTAATTTTTAAATTTTTTAGTCATGGGGTCTCACTATATTGCCCAGGTTGTTCCTTGAACTCCTGGCCTTAAGTGATCCTCCCTCCTTTGCCTCCGCAAACACTGGAATTACCGGCACAAGTCCCTGCGTTTGGCCTACTATTGTTTTTCAGTGTTTGTCATTTGAGTGTAAGTAAAACCTTTTTTCCCCTTGACATTTTAGAGATGGAAGCACTTTATTTATTTATGAGTTGCTCACCCACACATAATAAACATATTATTTTAAAACCTGTGTACAGACTTTTTTGTGTTTTATGTATTTTTTAAAAACTGCAGTTTGTACATAAACTTGCCCTTTTTAAGCATATTGTTCAGACTTTTCAACAAATGAGTAGTTTTGTGACCGCCCCTTCTTTCTCCAGCCCCTGGCAACCCCTGATCATTTTTCTGTGTACAGTTTTACTTATTCCAGAATGTCTTGTAACTGGAACTAGACAGTATTATACATACTATTTTTTAATCATGCAGAGTATTCTCAGAATAGAGTTTGACTGTAGATAAAATGTCCACTTGAGCAAAATGCCTGGAAAAAAGCAGCCCCTTGATGAAAGCTGCTAAATGATTCAGCAGATCACAAGTTTGATAGGTTTCGCTTTCGTTGATTAACTCAGGAGCTGTAGCCATAACAGTGGCTGGCATGCGCCCCGTGCCTCTGCCCATAGCAGCACCTGGCACTGCTCCGGGAAAGGTGGCCTCCCTGGGCTCGTTCTGTCCTCACAGCAGCCCTCTGGAGGTTGCTGTTCCCTCCACATGCACAGTCTGAGGGTGAGGAGATGGAAATACATGTAAAATGAGGAATTACTTTTTTTTTTTTTTTTTGAGACAGAGTCTCGCACTCCCGCGCAGGCTGGAGTGCAGTGGCACGATCTTGGCTCACTGCAAGCTCCACCTCCCAGGTTCATGCCATTCTCCTGCCTCAGCCTCCTGAGTAGCTGGGACTACAGGCACCTGCCACCACGCCTAGCTAATTTTTTATAATTTCATTAGAGACGGGGTTTCACCGTGTTAGCCAGGATGGTCTCGATTTCCTGACCTTGTGATCTGCCCTCCTCGGCCTCCCAAAGTGCTGAGATTACAGGCGTGAGCCCGGCCTGGAATTCACTTTTTAGCCTTGAAGATGTCAGTTGGAGGGCTGATAGCTTAATGACTTTATGTCTTTGGCATCTCCTCCTCTCTGGTGGGCAGTGATTGGGTGGCTGCCTCCTCACTGTGGCTCTGAGCAGGACCTTTGTGATGCTGGCCACGTGACTTACAGGCACTGGCTGTGTGAGTGTATCCTTCACGTGGTCTCTACTCTGAAGCAAGTGGGTAGAGTGGCGTCCACTGAAAGTGTCAGTGTGGCTGTTACATATTCCTTTTGTTTCCTCCTCTTCAAGGTGTTTGTCTTTGGTGCGCTCACAGAATGGCTGCGTTTCTACAACAAATGGCTGTACTGCTGCCTGTGGATTGTGAACGGCCTGCTGCAGTCCACTGGTTGGCCCTGTGTGGTTGCTGTTATGGGCAACTGGTTTGGGAAAGCCGGGTATGCCACTTCCTTCCTCTCTAATTTCTCTGTTTAAGTGGTTTCCATGGTGGATTTTTCAGACTTGTCAAAGTCAGTTACTTTGCTGCCTTAGATACCACCCACATCTTTCGTTAGCAAGTCAGAGTTGTTCAGGGAGAGAGGGTTTCACGTCAGTGTGCGTTGGAAATGGTGTGGACCTTAGAAGTCATCCAGCCTAGGAGACACACTCCTACCACTCTTTGGGCTGTGGGCAGATTCTGAGTGTGGGCCAAGGCAGGAGGTCTCAATTTTTTATTTTACTCATCGTTTCTTTATAGAACATAAAAATCTCATTTACTATCCATCATGTATCTTCCTTTGGGTTTTGCCTTCCCTGCCCTTTTTTGAGAGTGATCTTATTTAACCTTTTTACATTAAAGATAAGGAAATTAAGGTCAAAGGTTATTCATGTTGACCTGCCCAAGGTCATGTAACAAGGGCTCTAATTAGACTCAGATGAAGAACGCCAGACTTTGGGGCTTGATCAAATGGGGTATTTTTTCCCTCTAAACCTTCAAGGAGCTTTTTTTTCTTTTTTGTTTTTGAGACAGAGTCTTGCTCTGTCACCAGGCTGGAGTGCAGTGGGGTGATCTCGGCTCACTGCAACCTTCGCCTCCGGGGTTCAAGTGATTCTCCTGCCTCAGCCTCCCAAGTAGCTGGGATTACAGGTGTGTACCACCATGTCCAGCTAATTTTTTTTTTTTTTTTGAGATGGAGTTTTGCTCTTGTTGCCCATTGCAATGGCGCGATCTCGGCTCACTGCAACCTCCGCCTCCCAGGTTCAAGCGATTCTCCTGCTGTAGCCTCCTGAGTAGCTGGGATTACAGGCATGTGCCCCCACACCTGGCTAGTTTTGCATTTTTAGTACAGATGGGGTTTCTCCATGTTGGTCAGGCTGGTCTCGATCTCCTGACCTCAGGTGATTTCGCCCGCCTCAGCCTTCCAAAGTGCTGGGATTACAGGCATGAGCCACCGCACCCAGCCATAATTTTATATATAAATGGAATCATACAGTATGTACTCTTTTTTTGAGTCATCTTTTTTTTTTTTTTTTCCTGTAGAGAAAGGGTCTGTGTTGCCCAGGCTGGTCTCAATTTCATGGCCTCAAGCTATTCTGCCTCGGCCTCCCGAAGTGCTGGGAATATAGGCATGAGCCACCACACCCAGCCTTTGTGTCTTCTTTCATTCAGCATAATTATAAATTTATTCATGTTTATTCATTCACCTGTGGATGAACATTTGGGTTGTTTTCAGTTTTGGGCGGTTACAAATAAAGCTCCTGGGAACATTTGTGTACAAATCCTTGTGTGGACATATGCTTTCATTTCTCTTGGGTAAATATCTAGGGGTAGAATGGCTGGATCATATGCTAGGTTTGTATTTCCCTTTTTTTTGTTTTTCCCCAGGACAGAGTTTCGCTCTTACTGCCCAGGCTGGAGTGCAATGGCGTGATCTCGGCTCACCTCAGCCTCCACCTCCTGGGTTCAAGCAATTCTCCTTCCTCAGCCTCCCGAGTAGCTGGGATTACAGGGGCCCGCCACCATGCCCAGCTAATTTTTTGTATTTTTAGTGGAGATGGGGTTTCTCCATGTTGGCCAGGCTGGTCTTGAACTCCTGACCTCAGGTGATCCACCCACCTTGGCCTCCCAAAGTGCTGGGACTATAGGCGTAGCTACTGCGCCTGGCTGCGTTTACCATTTTAAGACACTGGCAGTCTCTTCCAAGGTGGTCGTACCATTTTACATTCCCATCAGCAGAGCATAAGGGTTCTTATTGCTCTGTGCCCTTCCCAACACTTGGCGTGCTTGGTGTTTTTTGATTTTAGCCATTCTAATAGGTGTGTAATGATATCGCATTGTGACTTTAATTTCCATTTTTCTAATATCTAATGACGTTGAGCATCTTTTTAAAAACATTTTTGCTTTGTTTTGCTTTTGAAACAGGGTCTCGCCCTGTCACCCAGGCTGGAGTATAGTGGTGCGATCTCGGCTCACTGCAACCTCCGCCTCCTGGTTTCAAGTGATTCTCTTGCCTCAGCCTCCCAAGTAGCTGGGATTATAGGTGTGCAGCCACCATGTGCAGCTAATTTTTGTATTTTTAGTAGAGACGGGGTTTCGCCGTGTTGGTCAGGCTAGTCTCAAACTCCTGACCTCAAGTGACCTGCCCACCTCAGGCCTCCCAAAGGCTGAGATTACAGGCGTGAGCCCTCGCCTGGCCACTTGAGTGTTTTTTCGTGTGCTTCTTTGTATATTTTTTTGTGTGAAGTATCTATTAAAATCTTTTGCCCACTTTTCAAAGACTTTGTATTTTGAGATGATTGTAGATTCATGCTTTTTAACATACTATTGCATTGTCTGTTGTCATATTTTACTGAGTTTTGAGGGCCTTATATTCTGGATTTTTTTGTTTTGTTTTTTTTTTTTGGGAGGTGGAGTCTCGCTTTGTTGTCAAGGCTGGAGTGCAGTGGCGTGATCTCGGCTTACTGCAACCTCTGCCTCATGGGTTCAAGCTATTCTCTTGCCTCAGTCTTCCGAGTAGCTGGGATTACAGGCGCCTGCCACCACGCCCAACTGATTTTGTATTTTTAGTAGAGATGGGGTTTCTCCATGTTGGTCAGGCTGGTCTCGAACTCCTGACCTCAGGTGATCTGTCCGCCTTGGCCTCCCAAAGTACTGGGATTACAGGTGTGAGCCACTGCGCCCAGCCCATTTTAGTGTATTTTTAAAAACTTTTTAAATAGCATGTTTAGTCTTGGTAGTATGCACCTTGGTTGTTTTGGCTGTTTTGTATTTTGAACTGCCCAGAGTATCTCTTCTGACCATGGCCCTTTGTCTCCCACTGTTTTCCATCTTAGACGAGGAGTTGTTTTTGGTCTCTGGAGTGCCTGTGCTTCGGTGGGCAACATTTTGGGAGCGTGCCTAGCTTCTTCTGTTCTTCAGTATGGTTATGAGGTAGGTATTGTTTTCTAGCTCTGGTGCTCTCTCTCTCTCTCTGTGTGCACATGTGTATTGCTTTTTATGTATTAAATAATACTGTGGCCATTTAAAACTATGTAGAACTGTGTCTGGATAGGGCAAGGCTTGTATTAAAAGTAGACAAACTTCTGGCCGGGTGTGGTGGCTCACGCCTATAACCCCAGCACTTTGGGAGGCCAAGGCAGGCGGATCAGCCGAGGTCGGGAGTTTGAGACCAGTTTGGCCAACATGGTGAAACCTCGTCTCTACTCAAAAAATACAAAAATTAGCTGGGTGTGGTGGCGCATGCCTATAATCCCAGCTACTCTGGAGGCTGAGGCAGGAGAATCGTTTGAACCCACGAGGCGGAGGTTGCAGTGAGCCAAGGTCGCACCGCTTCACTCCAGCCTGGGTGACAGAGTGAGACTCTGTTCAGAAATAAATTAATTAAAAAAAAAAAAGTAGACAAACTTCTGATATATTCATTAAAAGTAGATAAACTTCTGATATATTCAAACACATAAAAAATTATTCGTAACAAAAACACTATGGAGAGTCTAAAGACATATAACCAGTTGAGAAGTATTTGCAACTCATGTTACAGATAAAGGACTAATCTGGGTCAGGCATGGTGGCTCACGCCTGTAATCCCAGCACTTTGGGAGGCTGAAGTAGAAGGATCACTTGAGCCCAGGAGTTCAAGATCAGCCTGGGCAATATAATGAGACCTTGTACCTACAAAAAAACTAAAAAATTAGCTGAGTGTGGGGGTGTATGCCTATAGTCTCTGCTATTCAGGAGGCTGAGGTGGGAGGATTGATTGCTTGAGCCTGGGAGCTGGAGGGTACAGTGAGCCAAGATACACCACTGCACTCCAATCTTGGTGATGGAGCAAGACCCTGTCTCAAAAAAAAAAAAAAAAAACACCAAAAAGCAAAGACTAATCCCCCCTAATATGTAAAGAGCATCCATGAATTGATAAGAAAAAGACCAACAACAGAAAGATACAGAATTTGAATGTATAGCTCATGTAAAGCATGTAGGAATGGCTTGTAAACATATGTAAAATATTCTACTCACTGCTTATTCATTTAATAAATATTTAACTCCCTGTATATGCTCTTGGAACTATAGAATATAGAACTGACCAACAGGGACAAAAATCTCTGTTCTTATGGAACTTAGCAGGGAAATGCAAATTAAAGCTATGTTGTTTAAAAAAAAAAAAGGAAGAAAAACTATACTGTATACTTATTAGACTAAAAATCCAAAAGTTTGAAAACATGTTGTACTTTTAAGAACCTGAAGAGACAGGCATTGCAGTTGAAAGACTAACAGAGTCACTAACTCATGGAGGGGTCAATATGGAAGTGTCTGTCAAAATTACAACTACGCACACTGAGTAGTTCCACCTCCAGGAATTATTCACACAGATGAATAGACTAAAACACATGCAAATGATGCATCTACAAGATTCTTTATTTTGGCATTGTTTATAATAGCCAAAGAGTGAACACAACTGTCAGCGAACAGGGACATAGTTCAACCATGATAAACCTGTTGAAAGCAATGCTGTGCACCTGTGAAGTCGAATGAGGAAGCTCTGTATGAACTGATAGCAGTGCACTGCAGCAATCTCAAAAGTGTGCTAAGTGGGCCAGGTGTGGTGGCTCACGCCTGTAATCCCAGCACTTTGGGAGGCTGAGGCAGGTGGATCACGAGGTCAGGAGTTCAAGACCAGCCTGGCCAACATGATGAAACCCTGTCTCTACTAAAAATACAAAAATTAGCCGGGCGTGGTCACGGGCACCTGTAATCCCAGCTACTCCAGAGGCTGAGGCAGAGAATTGCTTGAATCCAAGAGGCGGAGGTTGCAGTGAGCCAAGATCATGCCATTGCACTCCAGCCTGAGTGACAAAGCGAGACTCCGTATCAAAAAAAAAACAAAACAAAACAGTGTGCTAAGTGAAGACAGCAAGGGTGCAAAACTGTGTATTGAATGCCATTTATGTAAGAAGGAAGAATGAAAGAGAATATGCTTGTATTAGCTTGTATGTTTCCAAAACAATTTCTGGGCAGTAAAAATGAACAACAATGGTTATATGTTGGGAAAATCGGGAGAATTGAGCAGATGGGGAAGGTGGGGTAGGAAGGAGAGTTTTTACTGTACTTTCTTTTTTTTTTTTCCAAGACAGAGTCTCACTCTGTCACCTAGGCTGGAGTGCAATGGCGTGATCTCAGCTCACCGCAACCTCCTGGGTTCAGGAGATTCTCCTGCCTCAGCCTCCCGAGTAGCTGGGATTACAGGTGTACGCCACCACGCCTGGGTAATTTTTGTATTTTTAGTAGAGATGGGGTTTCACCATGTTGGCCAGGCTAGTCTTGAACTCCTGACCTCAGGTGATCCGCCCACCTCGGCCTCCCAAAGTGCTGGGATTATAGGTATGAGCCACCGTGCCCAGCTTGACTGTACCTCTTATTCCTCTGTTGCTTGAATCATGTGAATATATTACCTACTCAAAAACCTAAATTATTAAAGGTAAGTTCGCTCTTTTAAAAGGTAGATACATTTTTAAACAGCTCACCAAGAATTTTGGTGTAGTTAGGGTCAGTGAGAAGTCCTTCATTCCCTTCATTCATGGCCACCTTTATTCTAGGCTTCTTAGCCTCACACCTGGATTGTATAGTTGGTTCAGATGAAAATTTCAGTTCACCTTCTGAGCTGCTCTCAGATTTGACTTCTGGAAACACTAATTTTGTCACTCATCGGTTTAAAAATTCAGTGTCCACATCAGGTTCCATTCTCTGTTAAATAAAAATTCAGCTGTGCAGCCTGGGGGTTGAGAGTCTTTAATCTAGCTGTCACCTTTCCAAATCAGTTTTCTTCCTGATTATCCCCTAGCAGAAGCCCTCTCCTTGAGTCGTGCAGTAAGCTTTCTATCTCCTTCCACCCTGTGTCTTTGCTTACCGTGTGCCTGGAAAGATGGGCAATTGACTTTGATTTTCCATTCTTCCCTAAGACATTGTCTTACTGCTTCAACCTCTTCAGCTCTTTCCTTCATCTGGATTCCCGTATATGTTTCTCAGTAGGATTGGGCCTTCTCATCTATTCAGCTTCTTGGTGCTTTATAATATTGTTTCATGTATTTAATCCCCTCAACTGTATGTAATATCTTTGAGGGCAGATACTGTCTTTTATGAGAGGCTATGTGATACAAAGACCTAGATTTTTGGAGCTAGTCTAATTTCACAATCATAACAGTACCACTTAGTATCCAGGGGAGCTTCATTCTCCTCTCTGAGCCTCATACAATCACCAGGAAGAATTAAATGAGAAAACACGAGTAGAACACTTTGCATGGCGCCCGGCCCAGTAGAAGCTCTGGGTGCTCCCTTGCTTCCCGGTCTCCCTTCCCACCTCTCCCCCACCCCCACCTTCCCCCACACACCTTTAATGAATGTGCTTGTGATGACTGTCCCCAGATATGTAAGGACCACCTTTCACCCCTCTCCTCCAGTATGCCTTTCTGGTGACGGCGTCTGTGCAGTTTGCTGGTGGGATCGTTATCTTCTTTGGACTCCTGGTGTCACCAGAAGAAATTGGTGAGGAGAAGCCGCCCCTTCTATTCCGAATGTCTTACTATTATGGCCGAAAGGAAATCTGAGGCCAAGAAATCGAATCTCTTTTTTCCTAGGAAAACTCTGAGCTCCTTTTAGTGAGTGAAAGGAGAACAGTACTGCCGTTTGAGTCCTGTCGACATTGTAGCCAGCCCCTGGCACAGCTGGACGTGTTTGAGGGGAGTGATGCACGTCTTTTATAGATACAGGAAAATCTTCGCATTTGCAAATTATTTTTATAATTGAGACACTGGCAAGGAATGAACATAGATGTATTTCTGATTTCACTTCTTGAAACATTTCTTTTCATCCATAAAAATGATGCACAAAAAAGATACTTAACCTGTAGTTAAATACAGATTACATACAAATGAAACCACAGAAGCAAACAGATGTACAATTCTTCTATCTTTTGAGTATTTTTAGATAGACTGTGTGACTTTAATTGACCTTAGTTGACCTCGGTCTCTGGACCTTCGTTGCTGCTTCTGTAAAATGGAAATAAAAATAACATCACCTCATAAGTAGGGATGTATGCAGAGCCCTTCACACGTGGTAGGCACTCCATAAACAGTGGCTGTCGCTGTTATTTTAGGTCTCTCGGGTATTGAGGCAGAAGAAAACTTTGAAGAAGACTCACACAGGCCATTAATTAATGGTGGTGAAAATGAAGACGAATATGAGCCGAATTATTCAATCCAAGATGATAGTTCTGTTGCCCAAGTCAAGGCGATAAGCTTCTACCAGGCATGTTGCCTTCCTGGAGTCATACCGGTAAGGACCGCTTACATCTTACCACAGCCAGGGAGGTATGAGAGCCCGTGACATCTCCTCTGCCTGAGATAAAGCTTCCTTAAGTATTGAGCCTCTGTTGGATACTTTATTTTAGGAATATACGTGCTGAGGAATGTTGTCTAGTGCCCCTCAGCTTATCTGATCTCTAATGCAGGGGTTGACAAACCTTTTCCATGAAGAGGCAGAGAATAAATATTTTTGACTTCGGGGAACCATCCAGTCTCTCCCCCAACTACTCAGCTTTGTAGAACAAAATAAGCCACAGAAAACATGGGACAGTTAGACGTGGCCAGACTTGGCCAAAGAGCTCTGCTTTCCTGACCCTGATCTGGTATGTGATTAAAAAGGCAAAATTGATAATTTTTAATGTGTGCTTTTGGGCCTTTCGAAGTATTATAGAATTATATGTGGACCAAGAAGAAGGGTTGTGAATGGTTCCTAAGTCTGCCTTGCCCCCTTTTATTTTTTATTTATTTATTTATGATTTTGGGACGGAGTGTCGCTCTGTCACCCAGGCTGGAGTGCAGTGGCGCAGTCTCGGCTCACTGCAACCTCTGCCTCCCGGGTTCAAGCGATTCTCCTGCCTCAGCCTCCCGAGTAGCTGGGATTACAGGTGCATGCCACCATGCTTGGCTAATTTTTTGTATTTTTAGTAGAGACAGGGTTTCACTGTGTTAGCCGGGATGGTCTCCATCTCTTGATCTCATGGTCTGCCCACTTTGGCCTCCCAGAATGCTGGGATTACAGGCGTGAGCCACCGCGCCTGGCTTGCCCCCTTTTAAAGGGTCCAGAAGAGAGCACTCCACAGTCTTTCTTGGTAATGCATTCCAGTGTTTTCCACAGCCTGTGCAGTCAGGAAAGCCTTCTAACGTCTACACTAAATCCCTTCTGCTGCAGTTTTTCTGTCTTGATGTTTCGGGCACTCTAGCACTGGAGTGGAAGTTAAGAGGCCTAGGTTATGTTTCCAGCTTACCCACTAACTTTCTGTGACACCTGGGGTGAGTCACGCAACCCGTCCGTGTGTCTCAGTTCCCCTTCCCATGGAATAGAAATTATTCCACTCTTCCCTGGGGCCTGTAACATTGGGCTGTTGTGTTTTGAACAAGCACCTGTTGTTATTTCATTTGTCAATGGTGCTTTATGAATGTGATCCCTCAGGTAGAGTGATCTGTAGGCCATCTTAATACATGCCTGTCAATCCCCTTCTGTCAGTGCCTCCAAGCTGAGAGAACTAACATTTCCAACAAAGTTAAGTATGAATTAAAATGTAATTTTCCACAATTCTTTAACCCAGTGATGATATATGATATAAGAGAAATGCAGGTTGCTTTAGACCTGTTCTTATGCTATTGATTATTATCTTTTAACTGGTTTTTAAAGTACTCTGCTGGTAATAGTTTAATTTTTGAGAAAGAACTTTGTCGTGACTAAATATGGACCTCTTTTGCTGTTCCTTTGTTCTTCACAAGCTATTGTTCTCTGACATGGGCAGGGATGTAAAGGAAATCTAGTTAACTTAATTCCTTTGTCTTTGTAGCAGGCTGTCTGGTCAGAATGCACTCGTGATTGGGATTTGGCTCTCTAGGGGGTGGCTGTTGCCTGCCAGGGAAGCTGTTTTAAAACAAGTGATACCTAGGGAATAACTGGCAGCTCCAGGGAAAAGAATATACTAGCCAGACACCCTTTGAAGTCAGCCCCTCTGTCCCCCCCCCCTTTTTCCTTTGATGCTGAATGTCAGGATTTCCTGGTAGTAATGTGTTGAATATAGGAGTCTCAGCCCCACCACCATCTTCATGCAGCTGCAGCATTTTTTTCCCCTCAAGGGAGAGCCACGAGGCCGATGATGACATGTTCTTTCATTTTTGACTCGCCAGAGAGACTCTCTTCTTTGCCACCAGACCAGGGAATGTGGAGCTTTTGAAAACTAGTGTGAAAGGAATTATCATGCTGCTGCTTTTCTTAGACCGTGGAACTGTAGTGTAGTCCCTTTGCTGTCCATTGTTCACAGTGTTGCCTTGGCAAGGAGTAGAATAACCAACCCCGTTTGGCTGCTCCCAGTAAAGGCCGTGATGCTTCCTGGACTTCTTTGCCTATGGTTAACGCTGGTTAGTGGCATGAATACCATTCCTCTTTGTGTGAATAAAGAAATATGGGTATGTGCTCTGCCTTATAGGTTCAAAACACTGGCTTGCTTCTACCAGAGAACTGATAGGAGGAGAAACTGGACACAGCTAAGAAGTAGCCATAGGTGTTTTTTATTCCAAAGGCCTGCTGTACATGCCTGTCTAGAAGTTAACAGGGATGAAGAGCAGAGGGAGACTAGCTGAAGTCAGGCATGTGGGAGTTTGTAGAGATGTTTAACTGTAAAATCAGGTTCTGTTCATCCTAACTTCCTTTATTTTGTTTTGCTTTTAAATGACATTAAAAATGGTAGTCGTGCTGTGCTATTTGTCCCTCGCTGATAGTTGAATGCTTTTCTTGTAGTACTCACTGGCCTACGCCTGCTTGAAGTTAGTGAATTACTCCTTCTTCTTCTGGCTCCCCTTTTATCTGAGTAACAACTTCGGCTGGAAGGAGGCGGAAGCCGACAAGCTGTCCATTTGGTACGACGTTGGAGGGATCATAGGTATGCCGGTGATACATCTTTTCCATAATAAAGAGTTAGTCACTAGTGATCTTTTACTGGGTTGTGAAATCTGGCCTCATTTAAAGTTTTATTACTTATTCTACAGCCATTTTCCCTAAACTGTCCTACTAGTAAACAGCCAAACTCAAAAAAAAAAAAAAAAGAAAAGAAAAGAAAAGAAAAAACAAGAGGTCCATAGAAAGGAAGACCTAGCCTAAGGCAGCGCTGTGATTTATTGGACTCTTTTTTCTTAGTCCTTTGTTGATGGATCAGTTCTTTTGTCTCGGGAAGCACATGGGAATCTCTTTAAATGCAATCCTTTCATACGGCTTTCTCAGTGATATCTTAGCTCTAAAGCTAATTGTATGTCAGAGATCCAAGTTAGAATATGAACGTGTTCATTGTATCTACCTCCCACCTTCCCCACCTTCCCCAGCCTAATAAGGAAGAATACACCAGTCCCCCACTTATCTGTGGTTTCACTTTTCGAAGTTTCAGTTACTCTTAATACCGTACAATAAGATATTTTCAGAGAGACCATTCATATAACTTATGTTACAGTATATTGTTATTATTTTCTATTTTGTCGTTATTGTTAATTTCTGTGCCCAACTTATAAATTAAACTTGATCGTGGGTATGTATGTATAGAAAAAAACATAGTATGTATAGAGTTTGGTACTGTCTGTGGTTTCAGGTATCCACGGGGGTCATGGAACATATCTGCTGAGGATAAAGGGGAAATACACCTTAGTGTGTAGGTCGTCAGATCATAGAGGTAGACGTAACAGCAGGGATTAATTTTTGTGAATGTTTTACAGTTGTTTCATTATAAACAAAGATTTTAATAGTGGTTTTTTTTTTTTTTGCTGTAGCTAGAAGTATCAACAAGGAGGTAATAAGTATGAACAAGGAAGTAAGGCAGAGGAGCAGAATGTATTTTAGTGGGTATTACTTACATGGCTGTGCCAGATCTTAATAACCTTCAATAATGTTAACATTTAGAATTGTGGTGAGACTCAACTGCCGTGAGCTTGTGAAAGCACACAGTCTGTGCTAGGCAATCTGCTATTACTGTATTTGAACTTGGCTGCCCGTATTCTTAAATCCAGAGCCAAAGGTGAGGTTGCCACCGTTAGACCTCACCATATTCTGTATCCTCTGAAGTTGAAATTGTCCAGCTGCCTGCTATCTGATAAGGACACACCAGATGTCCAATAGCCCCTACAACTCAGAATGGTGCTGTATGTGACATTGTTGCTTGAAAGATTCATATCCCTGCTTTTTAAAGATTGTGTCCTATTAGCAAACCATAACTGCTAAATTTTATTTTAGTGAATATTTACTAGCCACTTTTTTTTTTCTTTTTTTTTTTTTTTGGAGATGGGGGTACTGCTCTGTCGCCCACGCTGGAGTGGCACGATCTTGGCTCACTGGAGCCACAACCTCCTGGGCTCAAGCGATCCTCCCTAAGTACCTGGGGCTACAGTCATGCACCACCACACCCAGCTAATTTTTTTGTATTTTTTGTAGAGATGGCATTTCACTGTATTGCCCAGGCTGGTCTCAAACTCCTGAGCTCAGGCAATTTGCCCACCTCGGCCTCCCAGAGTGCTGGGATTACAGGCGTGAGCCACTGTGCCCACCTACTGGCCTCAATATACTGTAAGGCACAGTTTTTTTGGTTTTTGAGACACGGTCTTGCTCTGTTGCCCAGGCTAGAGTGCAGTGGCACAATACAGCTCACTGTAGCCTCAGCCTCCTGGGTTCAAGCAGCACGATACGGTTCACCACAGCCTCAACCTCCTGGGCTCAAGCCATCCTCCTACCTCAGCCTCCCAAGTAGCTGGGAATATAGGCACGTGCTACCATGCCCGGCTAATTTATCTTTTATAGAGATAAGGGCACTGTGTTGCCCAGGCTGGTTTTGAACCCCTGGCCTCAAGCAGTCCCCCAGCCTTGGTCTCCCAAAGTGCTGGGATTATAGGCATGAGCCACCATGCCCAGCAAGGCATAGTTCTTAATTCATTATCTTTCAAATTAAAAAGAAAAATCAAAAATAGCATTCACAACTTGTTTTTGTAAGGGATAGCCGATGGCTTTGACAGTTTTTCCTTTTTTCATGTTTTGCTGTCTGATTTGTGGTCTCCTGTCCCCACTGGTCATCATGGTGATTTAACAGACAGTTTATTCCTAAAAGGAAGTTATGGAGGACCCCTTTTCAGGGAGTCAGACCTATTTTTTTTTGAGACAGAGTCTCGCTCTGTCACCCAGGCTGGAGTGCAGTGGCGCAATCTCGGCTCACTGCAAGCTCCGCCTCCCAGGTTCACACCATTCTCCTGCCTCAGCCTCCTGAGTAGCTGGGACTACAGGTGCCCGCCACCACGCCCGGCTAATTTTTTTGTATTTTTAGTAGAGACAGGGTTTCACTGTGTTAGCCAGGATGGTCTCCATCTCCTGACCTTGTGATCCACCTGCCTCAGCCTCCCAAAGAGCTGGGATTACAGGTGTGAGCCACCGAGCCCGGCCCAGCCATATTTTTTGATAGACTAGTGTCAGGCTGCTGCTAGTGAGACTAGAGGGCAAATGGGGAGCACGCCTCAGGTGAGCGAGCTAAATTAGAAGTGATTTTGATTGCTCGACACTCTGCTTGAAGGTGGAACTTTGCAAGGCTTCATCTCTGATGTACTACAGAAGAGAGCGCCGGTTCTTGCCCTGAGTCTGCTTCTGGCAGTTGGGTCCCTCATCGGGTATAGTCGTGAGTATTCTTTTGCAATTACTAATTCCTTTGCTCCCCTAATCTGGTTGGAATAAGGCATTTGTTTGGAGTCAGTGACCAGTGCTGGGGAGAGCCTGGAGACCAGCTTCAAGGCCCGATATGCCACCTTTGCATTGTCCTGTGAATGCCTGGGAAACCTGTCATCACATAGTTTTATTTGTCTTGGGAGGAAACTGGCATCTCTTTTGCTTTGTTAATTTGCTTAAAAGCTTGCTTGGGAGTGTATATGCTTTGTTTGGGGGAGGCTCCAGAGGCACAGCATTATAGCCAATAAAACAATAAAAAGGGAACAGGTTTCAAAAGCGGAAAGATGGTAATTAGTAGGTTTGGTATATTCCCTTAAGATGCTGCTGAGACAGGAGTAGAGCTTTTCTTTAGCTTTTAGAAGTCTTGTTAGCTTGAGCATTAGCAAGAGGCAGACGTTACAAATCAGAGTTGAAAGAGGCAGAGAGAGTTGTGTCTCTTTGTTGTCTCTGGGAGTGATTTGTGAGGTCACGGAGATTCAGATCTTCGCGTACGGTTGGCAGAGGCACGTGGAGTCTGCTTTTCAAGCCACCATGGTTTGTCTGTGTCTTCCCTCACAGGTTCTCCAAATGATAAGTCCATCAATGCCCTTCTGATGACTGTTACAGGTACGGCACATGGCTCTGCTCCACCATGCTTCTGTTGCTCTGTAAATTCAGAGGAAAAGGGAAACTGTTTTCTCCCTCAATTTGAGTAGTACCGAAACCTTAATTACAGAGAATTCAAATTTTAAAAGGAAAAACGCCTCCTTTTCCAGATTCTTTTTCTCTGCTGTTTCTTACATGACCTCCTCAGTCCTATTGTGACAGAAGCGGTCCCTATTGACAGAGATTTTCTACGATTTTTGATTGCTGCCCCAGCTTCTGCTCTTACCTCTAAAAGTGACTTAGAA
The DNA here is from genome assembly GCF_000001405.40 of Homo sapiens. Taxonomy (NCBI): domain Eukaryota; kingdom Metazoa; phylum Chordata; class Mammalia; order Primates; family Hominidae; genus Homo; species Homo sapiens. Next base: position 140,344,931 of record NC_000007.14, on the reverse strand, counting down.
AAATGCCACATGGGAGACCAATTCACCAGCTTTCAAAAAAATCCACAATAGCTCGTGTCTCCTCCTGTGTTGGAATTGGTCAGCATTTTGTCACTTGAGCACTAGATAAAATAGTTGGGTGCATTTAGGGACTATGTTATAGAAAAATTACTTACTTTATTTATTATTTATTTATTGAGACAGAATCTTGCTCTGTTGCCCAGGCTGGAGTGTAGTGGCACAGTCTCAGCTCACTGCAACCTACACCTCTTGGGTTCAAGTGATTCTCCTGCCTCAGCCTCCTGAGTAGCTGGTAATATAGGCGTGCACCACCACGCCCAGCTAATTTTTGTATTTTTAGTAGAGACATGGTTTCACCATGTTGCCCAGGCTGGTCTCAAACTCCTGACCTCAGGTGATCCACCTGCCTTGGCCTCCCAAAATGCTGGGATTACAGGCGTGAGCCACCATCCCCAGCCAGAAAAATTACTTATTTTAAACTTTCTAATTTTATTTTTATTTTTGAGAAGGAGTCTCGCTCTTGTCACCCAGATGGGAGTGCAGTGGTGCGATCTCAGCTAACTGCAACCTCCACCTCCTGGGTTCAAGTGATTCTTCTGCCTCAGCTTCCCAAGTAGTTGGGATTACAGGCGCCTGCTACCATGCCCAGCTAATTTTTGTATTTTTAGTAGAGACAGCGTTTCACCATGTTGCCCAGGCTGGTCTCGAACTCCTGACTTCAGGTGATCTGCCCACCTCAGCCTCTCAAAGTGCTGAGATTACAGGCATAAGCCACTGCGCCCGGCCAGAAAAGTTACTTATTTTAAACTTTAGATCATGCTTGGGAGAGTGAGCTGCTCATTCTACTTGGGGTACATGGAACTGATTCCAGCAGTGGGACCAGATTCACCTGGGCCATCGCATGCCTGATTCATGGGCAGCCTCACTGAGAGCAGTGGCAGATAGAGTCACCTGCTCCATTGCAGTGGCTTTTTCCTCTTTGCTCTTTTTTTTCAATATTCCTGGTTGAATTTGTGTAGTGGAATGATCATATGATGCAACTACCGTAATAGAATTTATTTGACAAGCTAGTGCAATTAGTTATTAATGAATGTAAACTTCACAGGATTAGAAGGGCTATGTGTTTCACTATTTTTGTATCTTTGGGTTCTACAAAATATACTAGAGTGTCACATAATTCGAGAAGGGATTTCAGGAACGTGGATGTTAACTACTAATAGTTTGAAAATGATACTATCTGGGGGTTTCCTTTTTTTTCCACTTCTCTCCAACATATTAAGAAAACTATTCGGATATTATTTTGCCTTATGCAGTAGATTGCTAGTGGTTGTGAATTGTGTTTTAATAAGAACCTGTTTATGACTTCAGGATTTTTTATTGGTGGACCTTCTAATATGATTAGTTCTGCTATTTCTGCGGACTTGGGTCGCCAGGAGCTCATCCAAAGGAGCAGTGAAGCTTTGGCCACTGTCACAGGAATTGTGGATGGTTCGGGGAGCATTGGAGCTGCAGTGGGCCAGGTGAGAGAACAGGAGAGGGGCTGGGATTCTAGTGTCTTCCCTCAAAGGCGGCTGAATGTGAACCTGCCCTCTGGGCCTCAGTAGGTGGCACTCTTGTGCTGTAGAACGCTGTTCCCAGAGCCCAAGGACTTCCGTCTCCCCTCAGGACCAGCTGATGCGTCCTAATGTAGAAGGACTCTCCATTGTTTTTAGTTCCTTTTTTCTACTTATACTTCTAGATTCTTCCTGTCTGCAAATAAGCTAAGACCTCGTAAGACAGACAGATCCTTCTGCCCCAGCCCACCATCCCCTTCTTTCTTTCCAGGCTGAACTTGGTATTCCGTGGTGGGGGGTGCTTCTTGTTATCCCCACCTGGCATGTGGACCCCACCATTGCTGTCTCCCGTCTCCCTCTCCCAGACACTCTACTGCATACACGTTCCTTCCTGGGCCCCGCCAGACATGGCCATGGACTCTGCAGCTGCTTCTGAATCACTCGCTCTGCTTCCTGTGTATCCAAAAATCTCTGACTGTATCTCAAAGAGTGGCCCATAAGTGTCTGGTATCAGAATCATCTGGGACACTCATTAAAGTACAGAACACCAAGCATACTACAGACTTGCTGAGTTCGAACCTACAGATCTGTATTTTCAACAAGGCTTCTTGGTGATTCTTCCACACTCAGATGTTTGAGATCCCTACACTAAGATTGGCCTACTATACTTAGAATTATTTACATTGACCTTTTTTTTTTTTGCATAAATTCAACTTTCTCTGGGACAGATATTTCTTTTCTGGCAGAGTCATGAGTCATGCCTCTTCTAGGATATACCACTACAGATTGTAGAGTACTAATTTTGTAGAAAGATGGATCTGAGAGTCATCTGTATGGATAAAAATAGTTGAACCTGTGGAAGTGAATGAAACATTTAATAGGGAAAGAGAATGTTGGCCGAGTCTCAGGGAATGCCCAGTGGTCAAAGAAAGAGGAAGGCAGCAGAGTAACCTGTAGTCAAGGGAACTGCGTTTGAGAAGGCGTTAGTAAGGTCATGGATGTAGAGAGGTCAGGAGAAAGAGAACTGAAGGATTTGTCTTTTAGGCTCTTAGTTTTGACATCTAGGAGGTCATTAATAACCTTGAAGATTATTGTTACTTGCTTGATGGGGGTGAATTGCTGATGTCTGATTGCTAGTGGTTAATGAGAGATAAGTATTGAGGTAAAGTAAGCCATGTTAATACTTTGACTACCTAGCCGTATTTTAATAGTCTATATGCACTTGTTAATGTCTGTCTCTCCCACTGTAACATAAGCTTCCTGAGCGCAGCATTTTGTTGTATGTTCTTCTGTCACCTTAGTACCTAGAACAGTGCCTGGCACACAGTAGACATTACTTGTGGAATGAATGACTGATATGCTTGGCATATTTGATTATAAGACTAAAGGGCAAAAAACCCCAAAGAAACAAAAACCTTAGCAAAGCCTTGAAAAATACGCTTACCTGATCATGCCCTGGAGCGGGAATCGAAAAATGCTCCCAGCCATCAGTTCAGACGTCTTCACCTATGGGGTAGAGAGTGGCTGCATTGGGCATCCTTTTCTGACATTATATTATTTTAAGTTATCCTTCCTTACGAATGTTTTCTTCACTAACTAAATGGGTGCATTATAATGAGTATTTCAGAGAATTTGCTTTTATTCAGATTGCCTCACCTGCCAGTATCCAGATCCCTCACTGTGAACTTGGGTCCTAGACTGACCTTCATGGTTGGGGAAGCACGTCTGGAGTAAATCACTGTTAGCTTTACTCATTCCTCTTCCATGTTGAGTTTTGAATGATTTCCCATTGCCTAAGGGGTGAAATCCCAAACTCTGTGACTTAGCGTTAACCTCTATCAGCTCTGTCCTTAGCCAGTGTACTAATTTACCCTGAATAACTTTGTTACCCCGTCTTTCCCTGACTTCCCAAGTAAAGAATTGTTTCTTCTTCAGGTTGCCATAGCAGTTGATGCGGTTCTGTAGTAGGCACCTGTCACGGTGTAAAGGTGATGCACCGTGACAGGTGCTCTGCTTGTTTCCTTCGTCTTTGTATTCCCAATGCTTAGTGCTTTTGTTGACACATACTAGGGGTTCAGTAAGATTAAATTGCAGTATCTGCCCAAGAGAAATGAGAACAAATGTCCACATTAAAACTTGTACATGAGGCTAGGTGTGGTGGCTCATGCCAGTAATCCCAGCACTTCGGGAGGCCAAGGCAGGAGAATTACTTGAGGCCAAGAGTTCAAGACCAGCCCAAGCAACATAGTGAGACCCTCATCTCTACAAAAAATAAAAAGTTAGCTGAGCATGGTGGTATGTGCCTGTCCCAACTACTTAGGAGGCTGAGACAGGAGGATCGCTTGAGCCTGGGAAGTCAAGGCTGCAGTGAGCCATGATCACACCACTCCAGTCCAGCCTGGGTGACAGAGCCAGACCCTGGCTCTCTCTCTCTATTTTTTTTTTTTGAGACAGCATCTGGCTCTTATGCCCAGGCTGGAGTGCAGTGGCAGGATCTTGGCTCACTGCAACCTCTGCCTTCTGGGACTCAAGCAATTTTCCCACTGCAGCCTCCCAAGTAGCTTGGACTGCAGGTACCCACCACCATGCCCAGCTAATTTTTGTATTTTTTTTGTAGAGACAGGGTTTCACCACATTGCCCAGACTGGTCTCAAACTCCTGGGCTCAAGTGATCCTCCTGCCTCAGCCTCCCAAAGTGCTAGGATTACAGGCATGAGCCACTTGCCTGGACAAGACCCTGTCTAAAAAAAAAAAAAAAGACAAAGTTGCAGTCAGTTTGGAGCCCCCCATGCTTCCTGTAGTGGATGATGAGACCTCTGCTTTTTTGCTACACATGATGTGATCTAATATAAATCACATAGTCGTTCTGCATTAATTTTTTTCACTTGTACATTTCAGTAATAATGTGATTGAAGAATGCTACCCTTTTGTGTCTGCGGCCAAATTGATTTTTGACAAGGGTGCCAGGACCATTCAATGGGGAAAGGATGGTCTCTCAATAAATAGTATTGGGAAAACTGGATATCCACGTGAAAAGAATGAAGTTGGAGCTGAGGAGTGGGAGAGGAAAGAAAAAAAAAAAAAAGAATGAGGTTGGACCCTAACCTTACCTCATATGCAAAAATTACCTCAAAATGGATTAAAGGCCTAACTTGAAGAACTTAAAATTATGAAACTCATAGAAGAAAACAGGGACAAATCTTCATGACAAATATGTACAAATGACCAATAAGCACATGAAGAGTCTCAGCATCCTTAGTCATTGGGAAAATGCAAATCAAAAACACAGTGAGCTGTGACTTCATGCTTACTACGATGGCTGTAATTAAAAAACAGGAAAGGGCCGGGCGCGGTGGCTTAAGCCTGTAATCCCAGCACTCTGGGAGGCCGAGGCGGGCGGATCACGAGGTCAGGAGATGGAGACCCTCCTGGCTAACACGGTGAAACCCCGTCTCTACTAAAAATACAAGAAAAATTGGCTGGGCGTTGTGGCGGGTGCCTGTGGTCCCAGCTACTTGGGAGGCTGAGGCAGGAGAATGGCGTGAACCCGGGAGGTGGAGCTTGCAGTGAGCTGAGATTGTGCCACTGCACTCCAGCCTGGGTGACAGAGTGAGACTCCATCTCAAAAAAAAAAACAAACAGGAAAGGTGACTGGTGCTGGCAAGGATGTGCAGAAATTGGAGCCCTGCATTGCTGGTGGGAATGCAAAATGATGCAGCTTCTGTGAAAAATACTTTGGTGCTTCTTCCAAAAAATTTAAATAGAATTACCATATGACCCAGCACTCCTAGGTATTTCCCGAAAGATTGAAAACTGGGGGCCGGGCGCGGTGGCTCATGCCTGTTATCCCAGCACTTTGGGAGACCGAGGTGGGCAGATCACTTGAGGTCAGGAGTTCGAGACCAGCCTGGCCAACATGGTGAAACCCTGTCTCTACTAAAAATACGAAAATTAGCTGGATGTGGTGGCAGGTGCCTGTAATCCCAGCTACTCAGGAGGCTGAGGCAGGATAATCGCTTGAACCTGGGAGGCGGAGGTTGCAGTGAGCCAAGATCACACCACTGCACTCCAGCCTGGGTGACAGAGGAAGACTCTCTCAAAAAAAAAAAAAAAACAAAACTGGGACTCAGATATTTGTATGTCAACATTTATTGCAGTATTATTCATAGTAGCCAAAAGGTGGAAACAACTTGGGTCCATCAGCAAATGAATGGAGAAACTAAATGTGGTATATCCATACCAGGGAATACTAATGAGCCATTAAAAAGAAATGAAGGGAAGTTACAGTGAGCTGTGATCATACCATTACACTACAGTCTGGGCAACAGAGAAAGACCCTGTCTCTTTTAATCCCAGCACTCTGGGAGGCTGAGGTGGGTGGATCACCTGAGGTTAGGAGTTTGAGACCAGCCTGGCCAACATGGTGAAACCTCGTCTCTACTAAAAATACAAAAATTAGCTGGGCGGGGGGTGGCACCTCAGCTACTTGGGAGGCTGAGGCAAGATAATCGCTTGAACCTGGGAGGAGGAGGTTGCAGTGAGCCAAGATCGCACCACTGTACTCCAGCCTGGGTGACAGAGCAAGACTCCATTTAAAAAGAAAGAAAGTCCGGGCGCAGTGGCTCACGCTTGTAATCCCAGCACTTTGGGAGGCTGAAGTGAGTGAATCACCTGAGGTCAGGAGTTCCAGACCAGCCTGGGCAATGTGGTGAAACCTCATTTCTACTAAAAATAGAAAAATTAGCCGAGCATGGTGGCTCACACCTGTAATCCCAGCTACTCTGGAGGCTGAGGCAGGAGAATCACTGGAACCTGGGAGACAGAGGTTGCAGTAAGCAGAGATTGCCCCACTGCACTCCAGCCTAGGTGACAGAGCGAGACTCCATCTCCAAAAAAAAAGGAGTGAAGTTCCAATGTAGTTTACCTTGAAAGCATTATGCTAAGTTAAACAAGCCAGACATAAAAGGACAAATACTGTGATTCCATTTACACGAAATATCTAGCATAGGCCAGTTCATGGAACCAGAAAGAAGAGGTTAGCAAGGGCTGGGGAGATGGGCAGTTAATTTCTTAATAGGAACAGAGTTTCTATTTGGATGATGAAAAAGTTTGGAAATAGATGGTAGTGTTGGTTGTACAGCATTATGAATGTAACTGATACCACTGGATTGTACACTTAAAAATGGTTAAAATGGGCCGGGCGCAGTACGCCTGTAATCCCAGCACTTTGGGAGGCCGAGGTGGACGGATCACAAGGTCAGGAGATTGAGACCATCCTGGCTAATGTGGTGAAAACCCATCTCTACTAAAAATACAAAAAATTGGCCGGGTGAGGTGGCAGGCGCCTGTAGTCCCAGCTGCTCGGGAGGCTGAGGCAGGAGAATGATGTGAACCTGGGAGGCAGAGCTTGCAGTGAGCCGAGATTGCGCCACTGCACTCCAGCCTGAGCGACAGAGCGAGACTCCATCTCAAAAAAAAAAAAAAAGTTAAAATGGCAAATTTTATGTAAGCTATATCTTACCATAATAAGAGAAAAAAAGAAAATGGGTTAAATAAGTGCAATTAGATCCTTTTCAGTAATTGAAAGTAAAATAAAAGAATATGCTGTAGGATGCAAAGGTAGTACTGCAACACTGTGAGCAAACAGCCTAATTGGAAAATGAGTGGCATACTTAAAGACAAACTATTTTTGAGGCATCAATTATAGTACCTTTCATTGGAAGAAAGAATGATTAAATGGGAGTGGCTTGCGGATGTTCATCTTCCTCTCTAAATAGCAAAGTGAATAAAAATAAACCTTCTGAACTGACAACTTCTATTATACGGTTTTTCCATTTGGACTCTGCATGCTTAAATGGGCCATTAATCACAGCAGGCACATGTATGTGGAAGAGCTTTGTAAACTGCAAAACATACAAATCCTGTTCCCTTCTTATTTTCTAAAATAGCCATGTTTAATCTACTTTTTAGCTGCTTCCTTTTATGAATTATAAAGAATTATATTGTAATTTTTTTTTCCTCCCTTTCAGTATTTAGTGTCTCTGATCCGGGACAAGCTAGGATGGATGTGGGTTTTCTACTTTTTCATTCTCATGGTAAGTGTGTGCCCCTTTAAAAAAAAAAAAGTCATTTTTCTGTTAATTAAGTTCAAAGCACTTACTTAAGTCACTTCAGCAAAACTGTTGATTGCTTTTAAAGGCTCCTTTGTGAAAAGTAACATTTTATTAGTCTAAAAGACATCTTCTTCTTCTTCTTCTTCTTTTTTTTTTTTTTTTTTTTTGAGGCAGAGTCTCGCTCTGTTGCCCAGGCTGAAGTGTGGTGGCGTGATCTTGGCTCACTGCAGCCTCTGCCTCCCGGGTTCAAGCGATTCTCCCACCTCAGCCTCCCGAGTAGCTGGGATTACAGGCGCCTGCCACCACACCCGGCTAATTTTTGTATTTTTAGTAGAGATGGGGTTTCACCATATTGGCCAGGCTGGTCTTGAACTTCTGACCTCAGGTGATCCACCCGACTCGGCCTCCCAAAGTGCTGGGATTACAGGCAGGAGCCACTGCGCCTGACTTCACATTCTTCTTTGTGAGGAAGAAAAAGGCTCTCAGTTTGCTCTTGACCTGAGTCTAATGAATATTGCCATTTATGATTTCAGAAAAACAAGAAGAGACTTATTTAAAGTATCACCAGCCCCTAATCAGTATACTCTTCTAGGCTACCCTCTATCTGCTGAATATAATATAGGAATTCTGAAGTAAATTACAATGTATACCAAGCAACACTTGAGTTAAAAGAGAAGCATTGCTGTAATCAACACTGTCATGTTTCCCGGTTCTAAAATGTTGATAGTTTCTTGAGGAAATATTTATGATGCCCTAGACATTCTTGGCTGGGATTCTCTACTTTCTTGGAAATAGCCAATACAGAGTAAGGCCTTGTTTATTTTTATTTATTTATTTTTTTGAGACAGGTCTCATTCTGTCACCCAGGCTGGAGTGCAGTGGCACGATCACAGCTCACTACAGCCTTGACCTCCTGGGCTCAGGTGATCTTGGGCTCAGGGGGTCCTCCCACCTCAGCCTCCTGATTACCTGGGACTATAGGTGTGTGCCACCATGCCTGGTAACTTTTTGAATTTTTCCTAGAGGTGGTTTCACCATGTTGCCCAGGCTGGTCTCAAACTCCTGAGGCTTTGTGCTTTTAAAATATTGCTCTCTGTTATGAGCTGTGACATACTCAGGCACGTTATTGTGGGACAGTGCTCAAGACAGGTCTACCTGAGAGAGTCTGGAAGGCACCAGGGACGCATTCAGTATCCTGTCCCCAAATCCAGGGCACTGTAATTGAAGGCAGCTTCCACCACCCGTACTCCAGGCAGCTGTCCTCTTGCTGTGGTCAAGGAGCCCCAGGATAGTCCAGCTCCAGGAATACCTTGGAGCTTTCATCTAATTCCCATCTAGCTTCTAAAGACTGGGCCCATGTAACTTGTGTTCCATTTCTGACATCCATGCTAAGTAGAGGGAAGTATCTTGTGATGAACTTTCTGATGTGATCATACTAGGAACTGTAGTAGAAAGAAAACTTTTATCTATTATAAGGATCACTGTTGTTCATCTGAGCCTCTGGTCTCAGTTCTCTGCTCCGCCTATGGCAAATTATTTGTATGTATTGTTCTTTTTTTGGGAACTGAAATGTGATGTTGAGTGTTTTGTAATATTAGCCATAATTTTCAAAATCATTTTCTAATTCATTGAAGATTAAACATTATCTTTGTATGAAGTCAAAATGAATGTAATTGTCCAAATCCATTATTATGTTCAAAACATGACACTCTAACAGAAGTAAACTGTTGCTGCATATTTAATACTATTTTCTCTTTACAGACAAGTTGTACAATTGTGTTTATCTCGCCATTAATAGTGAGGGAAATATTCTCTCTCGTGCTAAGGAGACAGGCTCACATATTGAGGGAGTGACCGGTGCCCGCGAGACAGAAAGAACAATGTCAGCCACATCAGGACCGCTGGGGCTTCGAGTCTGCCCTAATTTGGGTTTGTCTAGGAGCTCCAGCCTGATCTTGGATTGTCAGGCGTCTCTCAACACTGCCAGCCACCTGAGATGCTGACCAGCAGTGAAGGCTGCACTAGTTTTCTACACTACAGGAATTACTGTTGATGATTTTTGCTGTTGTTTCATGAATGTGCCGAGTGACTTCTGACTCTGCCAGCATCTTTGACCTCTGACTCTGCCCGCGTCTTTGTTTGGCCTATTGAGGTTTAGCGTTTTAACCTTAACTGTTGTTTTGGACTTGAACTTTCTCTAGCCTTGAAAATGGAGTGAACAGGAGGCAAAGCCACGCGTGGTTTGTGTTGGTGGTATGTTCCACAAATGGAAGAGATCATTGCATTTTGCTTTGGTAATGAGTTTACAGAGAGTGGGTCATCTTTGAAGCATCAAATCCTGATCAAATGCTCAAGCTGGACCGAGCTGCAAGCCTGCCTTGGACAAAGAATCCCTCTGTTCACTGTGGTGGGAAAGATCACACTACATGCCTGTTGATTGGCTCAGTCACTCTGTGTCTGATCTAAACGTCATTCAGCCCTAGAAGCATGAATTGCTTCAAATTATTGTCAACTTGTTCTCTTCCATTTTCATTCAAATTAACTTTGACTCCTGGAAGTATTGAGTCTTCCTTTCAAGGACCATAAGGTACATCAGTTATCTTGAACATTCTGACGTGTAAAGGACCATAAGGTACATCATTTATCTTGAACATTCCGACGTGTAACTCACAGCCGAAGCACTCCATCCCAGATTTGTTGTCTGGGAACTTAGGATCCTCTAGGAAGCTAATCTGCTTAGTCTATTTTTAGAGGATTGATCTCTGGCACAAGCAGCTTCCTGGAGTTACCTCAGCAGAAGACTAGAATTAGAGAAAAGGGAAAGACCTTTTCTTCTAGTAAGTGTCAAGTACAGATGCTCTTTGACTTATGATGGGGTTATGTCCCAGTAAACCCATTGGAAGTCAAATGCATTTAATACCCCTGACTGGACACCACAGCTTAGCCTCGTCCACCCTAAATGTACTCAGAACACTTAGAATTGCCCACAGTTGGGCAGAATCATCTAACACAAACTCTATTTTATAATCGAGTGTTGAATATATCATGTAATTTATTGAATATTGTACATTATGTTGAAATTGCAACCATTTCACACCATTGTAAAGTCCAAAAATCAGAAGCTGAGGACTGTCTGTACATGACATTGAATCACATGAATGGATTACTAGGGCCTGAGGGGTGTCCGTTCTTTAGAAAAATGTAGAGTATATATATCTTCAGGGCTGTGAATTCCATACTAGTTATCAATATTTTAAGATCATTCTGTATATACATATTTTAAATTATGCAAGCAAACTAGGAGGAGAATGTGCAATTTTGAGGGATACCTAATTTGCATTCGGTTAGGGGATATTTTTCAACCTCTTGCTTTATACTCTGATATGGGGTGTGTTTATGAACTTGTTAATGTTATTTAATCATGCAGATTTCCAATCAGTGTATTGCTCATTTACTGACAAAAAGGGAAAATACGAAACACAGAAAGGGAAAATAAACTGACTTTTATAATGAATCTCCATTTCGTTACTTAAATCTATATACCATGAGCACTGAGATTTAGAATGTGATCGGTGCCCTCATGTTTCCTGATACTGAGCGCTCCCGGGTGAGCCCACGCTGACCCACAGCATTGCTGGGTCACGTGCTCCCTCACCTGAGGTGCTGGGGTGGCTTCATTTCCATCTGTTCTGTGAAAACTTGCCCTTTCCCACTGTGGAAGACTGTGCTCGGTTTGGATGAATTGCCCGGTTGTAAGTTAAGGGCCGTCTGTTTTCTCATTGAACCTCTTGGCTGGCGTTTGGCTCAGAGTTTCCTTTCCGGCTGCACTGTGGGTGTGGTCTCATCTTTGTGTCCCCACGCCAGCCAATGTTTTCTTACCCAGTTGAACCTTAGATCGGTGACTGTTCCCCTGACCTTTCTATGGCCCCCGAGCTGTACTGAAATGAAACCATTTAAAAAAATTTTTTTGAGACAAAAGTCTCGCTCTGTCACCCACACTGGAGTACAGTGGCACGATCATGGCTCACTGCACCCTTGACCTCCTGAAGTCAAAAGCGATCCTCCCGCCTCAGCTCCCAAGGAGCTGGGACTAGCCTCCCAAGTAGATGGACCGTGCGCCACCATGCCTGGCTAATTATTTTTAGTCTTTTTATTTTCTGTAGAGACGAAGTCTCACTGTTACCCAGGCTGGTCTCAAACTCCTGGGCTGAAGCGATCCTCCCACCTTGGCCTCCCCAAGTACTGGGATAACAGGCATGAGCCACTGGGCCTGCGTAAAATGAAATTACAAATCAATGCTCAGCACTGGACAACATGAAATAAGGATATATTCCCTTATTCTAGTTCTGCCAGTCTGCACAGGATTTAACTTTTTTTTTTTTTTTTTTTTTGAGATGGAGTCTCACTCTTGCCCAGGCTGGAGTGCACTGGTGCAATCTTGGCTCACTGCAACCTCCACCTCCCGGGTTCAAGCGATTCTCCTGCCTCAGCCTCCCAAGTAGCTGGGACTACTACGGGCACACGCCACCACGCCCAGCTAATTTTTGTATTTTTAGTAGAGATGGGGCTTCGCCATGTTGACCAGTCTGGTCTGTAACTCCTCAAGTGATCCACCTGCCTTGGTCTCCCAAATTGCTGGGATTACAGATGTGAGCCACCGTGCCCAGCCAGGATTTAACTTTGATGAACATCTAAGAGTTCACTTTATTTTCTTCTTAATATCTTCTCCCTTGAGAAGGGAAGAGAAAACCATAGTGAAAGCTAATTTGAAAATGCATCCTTTCCTCACAGCCAGATCGTCGATGCTCGCTAGGTTGAAATAAAATGCTGCGGTCTGCCTTTTCTTTTCAGAAGGTGGTTTTTTTTTTTCTTACAGTTTCAAAGGAGGAAATGTCTCTCCCTACTCCTGCTTATTCTGTCCTTTCCTGGTTCCCGAGGAACCAGAGTGCCACAGTCAGCATTCCTGCAGCAGTATTGGAGGAGCTGCTGTTCCTCATGATGTTCCGTGGGATGGAGAATGTGCAACGCTCTCAGTCCTTTGTGCCTCTTCCCTTTTCCCTTTTTTTTTTTCTTTTTTTGAGACAGGGTCTTGCTCTGTTGCCCAGGCTGGAGCGCAGTGGCACAATCATAGCTCACTGCAGCCTCAACCTCCTGGGCTCAAGCAGTTCTCCCACTTAAGCCCCACCCTGAGTAGCGAGGGCTACAGGTGCACACCACCACATTCAGCTAATTTTTTAAAATTTTTTTGTAGAAAAGGGGTTTCGCTGTGTTTCCCACGCTGGTCTTGAACTCCTGGGCTCAAGTGATCTGCCCACCTTGGCCTCCCAAAGTGCTGGGATTACTGGCATGAGCCACTGCACCCAGCCCCCTTCTTCAGAACCTCCAGAAGTCCTCCTGTCTCCCAAATCAATACACGGTAAAGCCTTTTCTTTTCCCTACTGGCTTTTCTGACTAATGTCCTAGTTTTCTTTTTGCAGCTAAACCCTTTGAGCTAATAGACAGTATCTGCTGCCTTCCCATCTATACTACTCATTTCCTCCTCAACTAGGTAGCTACCTGTCTATCTGTTGGCCCAGGACAGTCCTGACTTATACCTGTCATTCACCGTAATTATCAATGGCACTTCCTTTTGCTCTCCAAGTGTCCTGATTTGGACCCCTTATCTCTAGCCTCTGGCCTCTCATCACCCTACAGAAGCCATGCATTGAGGGTCATTGAATTTTGAGACTTTTTCCCCCCTCATCCCATATTTGTGCTTGACACCTGTAACCACTTCGTCTTTCCCAGGACTTTTTCTTCTTTGGCTTCTCTGGCATTTTAATTTATCGAATCTTCTTACTGACTATCCCTTTTCCTGGGTTCTCTCCTCTGCTCTGCCTGCACTGGTCTCCTTTCTACTTTCCCTGATGAGCTATTTTTGTAATCTACCAATAACCCTGTCAAGTACTTAATGAACAAGAAGCCACTAAAGAGAGGAATGGCATCTGTTTGTTAATGACTATCTGGTGTATAGTTAAGAACAGCTGGTCTCAGGGGAGGGGAATGGGCTCGACTTATATAATCCCAACCCCTTCTCCCCTCCCCACACAGACCATTCTGCCAGTTTGCTGCATTAATCGTTTTCAACTCTTTAGGTCATAAACCCTTTTGAGAATCTGAAAGCCACTTAATGTCTCCCAGATTGAAATGCTTATATGAAAAAGTATTCGCAATTTTCTCATTGGGTGTTCATGAGCCAAAACTTGAAGCTCATCATTGGACCACAAAGTTAGAAACCTTGGTCAAGAGAATCAAGTGCCTGTGATTGAGATTCTGCAGAATTCAGTTTCATCGCTTTCTGTACTGACCCTCCCATTGCCTGTCTACACGAACCTTCTGCAGCATCAGACCAGTTAGCTCATTACTCACTGCAAAGGGCAGTTGTGCATTCATATTCATACCTTCTTGTCTTGATTGACACCTCTCTTTAATACCCCTGTTTTGCTCCCAGCTTCATGAATCTTAATTTTCTCTCAAGGCTTGGCCAAGCACCATCTCATCTGAGGAACCTTTCCCAACCAGCCATGCTAGTCCTTCCTTCTCTACCGTCTCTCCTTCCCTTGGTGGTAATGTCAGTGTTGCTTATTTGGTGCTTAGCTGTTTCTGTCTTCCCTATTTTTGTATCTAACTCCCCAGGGAGACTGCTGCTGTTTTTTTGCAGTGCCCAGCTCCTCGCATGGTTGGTGCGGAATAAATGTGGAGTGTGTTGGGAAGGGTGGGAGGAAGATTCAAGAGTGGAGTGTGGGCAGAGCAGGCCAAGGCAAAGTTCCTCCCTGACCCTGCACACTGCCCCGCCACCTGCTTTACTCAGGACGCTGCACGCCTGCAATTAATGGCCGCAGACTGTCGGCGCTGCCCAGGTTCTCGGACTACGTGGGTTTTGAGTGCATTCTCCTCTCCTCTGGCTCTTGGCAGCCTCGCCAGCTCTCCCTGAGGGCTCAGCGGCAGCGAACAGTGAGCTCTTTTGCTCCAGTACAAATCTCTATGTTACTCAAGCTGCTAGCTTTATTCCTGCTGCGTGTTTTTACTTGGCCTGTCCCTTCCAAGCATTCAAACTCTCTTCATCCGTCATAGTCCCCCTTCATTGCCCACCTCCATGAAGCTTTTCCCGGTAACCCTGCTAGTAATGCTATTTTCCTTCTGGAAACTTCTCTTGAGAGCCCTTATCCTTAGACCACACAGTCTGCCCCAGGCTGATTGGTTTTATTGCCTTATTTTGTTCTCGATTGTTTCTGGCTAAGTTCTCATTTCCTCAATTAAATTGTGAGAGTCACAGGAGTCGGCACCCTGGCCCAGGACACAGCAGCCATTTCATCACCACCGGCTGATGTTCCTTCCCACCTTGCCTCTTCTGTGCCTTTAGAGTCAAAGCACAATCTTGTGCTTTTCCTTAGGCCATTTCTGGCGACATAAAGTTTGTTTCAGCTTATGTCTAGAATAAATCAAATTAAATGTGAAATACTGTTCGGGCATCATGGCTCATGCCTGTAATCCCAGCACTTTGGGAGTCCGAGGCGGGCAGGTCACTTGAGGTTAGGAGTTCAAGACCAGCCCGGCCAACATGATGAAACCCTGTTTCTACTAAAAATACAAAAATATAGCCTGATGCGGTGGTGAGCGCCTGTAATCCCAACTACTCAAGAGGCTGAGGCAGGAGAATCACTTAACTCAGGAGGTGGAGGCTGCAGTGAGCCGAGAGCGCGCCACTGCACTCCAGCCTGGGTAAAAGAGCAAGACTCCATCTCAAAAAAAAAAAAAAGTGAAATACTGGTATTTACATATACATGATCATAAATAATACAAATCACTTCAATGTGTTTTTATTTTATTTTATTTTATTTTTTTGAGATGGAGTCTCGCTCTGTCGCCCAGGCTAGAGTGCAGTGGCGTGATCTCGGCTCACTGCAATCACACCATTCTCCTGCCTCAGCCTCCCGAGCAACTGGGACTACAGGCGCCCGCCACCACACCCAGCTAATTTTTTTTGTATTTTCAGTAGAGACGGAGTTTCACCGTGTTAGCCAGGATGGTCTCGATCTCCTGACCTCGTGATCCGCCCGCCTCAGCCTCCCAAAGTGCTGGGATTACAGGCGTGAGCCACTGCACCCAGCCACTTCAATGGTTTTATATTTGTGTGTGTGTGTGTGTGTGTGTGTTATATGCAACGTAACAATGATTTGTTACTATATGGCTTTTTGGAAGTAAGAACATACGCATGTTGCATAGTTAATCAAATAATACTCGAAAAGTTCTGTACCTGGACACCCAAGGTGTGGTCTTTCAGCCATTAGTGAAATAATGCTTCATAGGTGGATGCATCTTTTAAAACTGCTGTTCCGTTCACTACTCTGTTTTATCCCCTCCACAGTCTGAGGTCTGCAGGTGATTCTGTAGTTTACATGTCAGAACCAAGATTCAGAGAGAGTAAGTGGCTTGCTGGGAGTCAAATCATCTGAATAACAGAACTAGGACTAAATTAAAACCCAGTTTTTAAAATTTAACTTCAGTGGCTTTTTTTTTTCTGCCATGCAGCCTCTCCTTAAATTGACTCTTCCCCTAGGCTTACTTCTACTTCCAGGGTGTAAATTGGGTAGCCAGTTCTCATCTTTCTCTAGGGCCAGAGTCCCAAGGGTGAGCAGAATTGTCAGACCTGCACCTTTGTGTGGAAACCACCTGTGTCCCGTTCCTGCTGTTGGGCTGTGGCCCCACAGGGATGTCCAGGCCAGCCTGGCTGACTGGCCTTGCCCTGGGGTCTTAGCCTCTCTCTAGGGGGCCTTCTGTACTAGATTTACCTTTTTATTTTTTTTGAGATGGAGTTTTGCTCTTGTCGCCCAGGCTGGAGTGCAGTGGTGCGATCTCAGCTCACTGCAACCTCCACCTCCTGAGTTCAAGCGATTCTCCTGCCTCAGCCTCCCGTGTAGCTGGGAGGTGCCTGCCACCATGCCTAGCTAATTTTGTATTTTTAGTAGAGATGGGGTTTCACCATGTTGCCCAGGCTGGTCTTGAACTCCTGACCTCAGGTGATCCACCCACCTTGGCCTCCCAAAGTGTTGGGATTACAAGTGTGAGCCTCCGCACCCGGCCTAGGTTTGCCTTTCTAAACAGCACCTCTTTACTCTTTTTCCCTCATCTTCTGTTTGAGTCTAAGAGTTGCACCATCCACTTGATAAACTGCTGCCTTGGTGTTTCTCCCCCAATTCTGTGTCTGCACAGTCAGCGGAGGTGTGACTGTTTCACGTGCCCGGCTGACCCAGGTCTGCCTTGGGTCCCTGCTCGGGCACCCCTCTTTCTAACAAATGTTGAATTAACCTTGAATGAGATTGTTGCTTCTAAAATGCCATTGGTCAGCTTTTTACTGCTTGTTCTTGCCCTCTGTTTAAGGAATTTTTTTTTCTTTTTGTCCTTTCAGGAATTAAATAAAAAGTAGCAAAATTGTTTGAAACTGTTTTCAATCCCCTTTATCACTGTGGCACAGGAAGCTGTCATCTCAGAAATTCATTGGCAGAGAAACACAGATAAAAGGGCTACCCTGTTGGACAGGAATGTTCTTTTGGATTTAATGGGATAATTGTATTTAGGTAAAACCTTTCATCTGAGGACTTCAAAGGCCTTTACCTTGTTTAGTAGTTATTATCACACCCTACAGAGTGACATTAGGGTACCACACTCCTAGATATTTTTTGTGTGTGTGCATTTGTTTATTTATTTAGCATTTTGCTTGTTTTCTTAGGCTCACCATGGAAAGCCTCAGGAACCTAACAGCACTGCAGTTGATTTCCATTAAAAAATAGTACCTAACAAATAGCAGACGTAACTGGCCTCTGTGTCCTAGAATGACGAATGAAGATGTTAATAGGGTTATAAAATAAAGAGCAACCATTCTGGAGCCAGGAAGGCGGGGCTGCGAGGGGCAACAGTCGTGACCAAAGTACTGGTGGCAGAGAGCGCTCCTTCCCCACACGCCCCAGTGGGTTTTACTTTTATTGGTTCTACTCAGGTTCCGAAAAGAGATTATTCTGTGAACAAGCTCTTGGAGAGAGTGTAGAGCCTCATAATCCTCCTTAACAGATTTTTTTTTTTTTTGAGACAGAATCTCGCTCCGTTGCCCAGGCTGGGGTGCAGTGGTGCAATCTCAGCTCAGTGCAGCCTCTGCCTCCTGGGTTCAAGCGATTCTTGTGCCTCAGCCTCCAGAGTAGCTGGGATTACAGGCATCTGCCACCATGCCCGGCTAACTTTTGTATTTTTAGTAGAAAACAGGGTTTCACCATGTTGCCCAGGCTGGTCTCAAACTCCTGACCGCAGGTGATCCACCTGCCTAAGCCTCCCAAAGTGCTGAGATTATAGGCGTGAACCACGGCGCCTGACCAACAGATCTTTTGAGAAGCAAGCCTGTGTCATGACCTGAGGGAGGATCCCTAACTTCCTGCCCCCACCCTCCCAGCCCCAGGCTCTGCAATCCGTGAGAGGCCATTGGCACAGCCTCTGGATAAAGGGGTTGGATTGGTGGTGAAGGGAAGAAGCTTTCAGAGAAATCTTGGCAAGAGTGGCCATGGGGTGCCCAGTGCTGTCCCCTTTGCTGTCCCCTTCCACACGCATCTGGTCTTGGCACAGCCATGTCACTGTCTACCAGCTTCTTTAATGCTTCAGGGTCGTGGTGGTTGTGAGAGAGAAGGAGATTTTTATACCGTTGGTTATGTTTTCCTTCCCAAAGAAGCAGTTCTTGGCCTGTGAAAACCCTTTCCCCGTGGCGGACCATTCATACCTCTTGGCTCAGCAGGGGGAGACAAAGTCCCAGACACTGCCTGCTGCACTTGTTTGAAGGAAAGTGCTGCACGCTCTTTATTTCAGTCTCACTTTATATCCGTTTGTTTAGATGTCCTCCTGGCTAGTTATTCTCTCTCTGTTTCCCCTCTGTGTAAGTCCTCGGTTCCCTCCCCTGGCCTCCTATTTCCGCTGGTAACCTCCCAGTCCCTTATACTGGAAGATGCAGAGGACCTGGAGATCGTCCACTGAGACAGTTCAGCCTCAAAATCCCTGACTCAGCCTGTGCTAAAGTCTCAGAAGACGTGGGTCCTTAACTTCACTCGAAATCTCACTCCCTTAAATTAGCTTCTGTCCACCTTTTTCTTCAGTCTTTATGTCTCCAGACCTCTGAATTGAGTCAGTGGAGGGAGGAGAGACCTTCAGTCACCCCCTTCACCTCTCACAGCTGTCATCCCTCTACTACCAATGTTGAACAGATTCTCCGAATGGACAGTCCACCTATGGAAAACCACATTATTTTCCAGCAACTCTTCCTTCCATCATCTGGAATCCAGCTTTGAACTGAGTTTAGAGCTCAGTCGGCTTCCTCCCTCTCTCGTGTGTGAATTCCTTTGTGTTGTCTCTACCAGCTGGCCACTAACCTGTCCGCGGAAACTGTCCCCTTTCAAGGACCAGAGCATGCTCTCCCGGGGAAGCCATTCCATTGTTGGAGAGCTCCCATGGTTAGAACGGTCTTTATCCTATTCACTGGGGATCTCATGATTTCTTCCATTGGTTCTAGGAAAAAGCAACACAAATGTATATTTTCTCTTGAGATACGTGTGTGTGTGTGTATGTATATTTATGTGTGTGTATATATATATAAAATATATAAAATATACAGTTTTTTCCTTATTTACATTGAAGGGCTAACTCAATATATTTGAAGACAACTTCCGTCTTTCCCTTTGAAAAGCTTTTTAGGGCCAGGCGCGGTGGCTCATGCCTGTAATCCCAGCACTTTGGGAGGCTGAGGCGGGTGGATTGCTTGAGGTCAGGAGTTTGAGACCAGCCTGACCAACATGGCAAAACCCCGTCTCTACTAAAAATGCAAAAATTAGCTGGGCGTGGTGGCGGGCGCCTGTAATCCCAGCTATTTGGGAGGCTGAGGCAGATGAATTGCTTGAACCTGGGAGGTGGAGGAGGAGGTTGCAGGGAGCCGAGATCACGCCACTCCACTCCAGCCTGGGTGACAGAGCGAGACTCTCTCTCTCAAAAAAAAAAAAAAAAAAAGCTTTTTCAAAATGTGATTGAAACACTTCCCCCACTATTGCTTTCTGATCAAACTGGGAGGTCCCAGTTCTTCCCTTTTGAAATTGTTGAGTACCTTCTCATTCTTTGAACGCTACTGATCTTTCCCAACTTGATTTCCTCTTTCCTCCTAATCCTCAATCCCAAGAAACTCTCTAGGCAAAATTCTTTCATTTTCTGTGTTTCAGAGATTCTTGTTCATACTCAACCTTGTCTTCACCAGTCTACAAAACTCTAGAAAGGTCTACATTCTAATCGTTAAAAAAAAAAAAAAAAAAACAAAAAAACAAAAAACTCCTAGTACAGTGCCTGGTAAACAGGAGGTAGAACATTACTTAATGTTTAATTTTCTCTGTTCTTGCTCTAGTGCTTCCTTAGAAAGTTCACTTTTTAATATTTCTTAAAATCTACAAATGACTACCAAATATTTAGCCCTAGCCCCAATTTGTTACTCATTTTCCAGTCTTAGGTTCCCTGGAGATCACTAGGATATCCCAATTTAATATAGCTAGTTTTCTCCAGTCCCTGCAAACCTGCCGCCTAGTGTATCGTATAGGAAATAGTATAACTTTCCTAGTGGTCTTTGTTCAGTAAGCTGCTTGAAATGATTTTGAGGAACCTTAGGAATCGAGCCATGTCTGGATTCTCATTCATGGAGTCGTTCTGATTCCTGGACCACGGGCCCTCAACTGGGCCATGATTCTCACGCTTTCTGGTTTCTCCTTAACTATCGGGGCAGCCCAGTCTTTCAATTCCCCCAGGCTCTCAGCCGCAAGGATCATTTTTGGCACATCTTTCTCTTTTCATGTAGTCAGCCTCCAGGTGTTGCTGATTCTTTCTCCTCCTCACTTTTCCAGTTCATCTTTCATTTTTGTTTCCGAGCCACCATCCTGTGCCTGGGTGACTGATAACAGCCTCATCGCTGGTGCTCCTGCTCCCAGCCTTGCCTCGCTTCACTCTGCCCTCTGCTCAACTCTTAGAATAGTCTTGTTAACGGGACTTTTGCGGTGTTATTCCGCTGCTTAGACACCGAGAGTGACTCTCTTACTTGCTGGATTAAGTGTGAGATCCTGCACGAATCCTCATCTCTAGCTATAAAATCTGAGACAGACCAGAGACCTGTTAGTAAGCAGAGGCTGCACTTTTCTTCTATGGATGTACTGTTTGCAATTAATAGTATTAAACAACTCTCATCTTTTTTTTAAAACAACTTTATTGAGATATAATTTATACATGCCGTACAAGTCATCCATTTAAAGTGCACAAAGGTTTTGGAGACATTCACAGAGCTGTGAATCACCACAATCAATCGTAGAATATTTTCATCATCCCCCCAAGAAACTCCATACCCATTAGCACTCACTCTCCATTTCCTCCACGCCCCTAACCCCTGGCATCCATCACACTTCTGTGTCTATAGATTTCAGACATTTCTTCTAAATGAAATTGAACAGCATGTGGCCTTTAGTGACTAGCTTCTTTCACATAGCATCATCGTTTCAAGGTTCATCTGTGTTGAAGCATGTATCAGTATTTCATTTCTTTTTATTGCATAAAATATTTCCATTGTATGGATATACCACATTTTTTGCATCCAGTCATCAGTTGATGGACATCGGGTTGTTTGTCTTTATTTTATGTAATTCACATACTCGAAACTCCACCCCTTTACAATGTAAAATTCATTTTTTTTTTTTTTAGTTTATTCGCAGAGTTATGTGACCATCACCACTATCTAACTTTAGGACATTTTCATCACCCCAAAAAGGAACCCTCCACCCATTAGCAGTCCACTCCACTCTCCCCACTCCCCTGCTTCTGGAAAATACTGCTTTCCATTTTGTGTGGATGGATTTTCCTCCTCTAAACATGGCATATGAATGGAAAGATGCAATGAATGGAAGAATGTCTTTTGTGACAGGCTGCTTCTACTTACATAATGTTTTCAAGGTGATTCTGTGTTTTCTTCGATTCTGTATTTGTCTATTTGGCATTCATTCATCACGGGCCTACTGGATTAACTATATTTTCTTATTTTCTATAATCTTGATGTCTTGTCATTCATGGCCTGGCTGACTGGGAGACACTGCCCCTCCCAGAGTGAGCCAGTTCTTAGAGATAAGCCCAGGCCTGGCCCAGGAGAACACCTTTCATTTGCAAACGAATCAGCGGTCTTCTTTATCAAACTCTCACACCAAGCTAATCTTCCCCTGCCCTTAATCAACCCAGCGACAGGCACCAGGCAACTAGCCGACAGCCCCTGTGCTCTAAAACCTGGCAAAATTATTTACGCAGTCAGTCCTCAACTGTTTAACCCTGACCTGTCTTGCCTTTCCTGCAGAAAACACAATAAAGTCTCTGGCCCTGGCTTTTCCCTCACCCTTCTGCCTCCTGTCCAAAATCGGTGCTTCCCCATGTGGCCCTACATGGCCTGGCTTCCCCTCCTGTCAGGGGCTGTAGGTCATAAAAGCCTTCTTTCAGTGGCATGGACCTCTGTGTAGTCACTTGGTTACCTCCATAAATTAAACTCTTGTGGGTACAATTGAGCCAAATGCTTGTTTAGGTTGCAGCATGTATCTGTTCTTCAGTACTTTTTTTTTTTTTTTTGAGATAGAGTCTTGCTCTATCACCCAGGCTGGAGTGCAGTGGCATGATATCTGCTCACTGCAACCTCCGCCTGCCGGGTTCAAGCGATTCTCCTGCCTCAGCCTCCCAAGTAGCTGGGGATACAGGCACACGCCCCACAACGCCTGGCTAATTTTTGTGTTTTTAGTAGAGACAGGGTTTCACCATGTTGGGCAGGCTGGTCTTGACCTCCTGACCTCAGGTGATCCACCCACCTCGGCCTCCCAAAGTGCTGGGATTACAGGTATGAGCCACTGCACCCAGCCTCTTCATTCCTTTTTATGGCTGGATAATATTGCGTTGTGTGGATATGCCACATTTTGTTCATTCATTCATCGGTTGATGGACATTTGTGTTTCCCCTTTTTGGCTATTTTGAATATTGCTTCTGTGAGCATTCATGTACAAGTTTTGATGTGAACGTGTTTTAAATTCTCCTGGGTAAATACCTAGTTTTGGGGCATTGCTGCATCGCATGGTGATTCTATGTTTAACATTTTGAGGAACCATCAAACTGTTTTCCAAAGTGGCTGCATCATTTTACAATCCCATCGGCAGTCTGTGAAGCTTCCAGGTTCTCTGTGTTTTCACTGACGCTTGTTATTGCTTATCTTTTAAAAATTTTAATAATCCTAATAATTTGAAGTGGTGTGTTATTGTGGTTTTGATTTGCATTTCTCTAATGATAATGATGCTGAGCATCTTTTCATGTGCTTATTGGCCATTGGAATATCTTTTTGGTGAAATACCTTCTTTGCTCTTTTTTTTTTTTGAGACAGAGACTCACTCTGCTGCCCAGGCTGGAGTGCAGTGGTGCGATCTTGGCTCATTGCAACCTTTGCCTCCCAGGTTCAAATGATTCTCGTTCCTCAGCCTCTCGAGTAGCTGGGATTACAGGCACCACAACCATGCCTGGCTAATTTTTTTTGTATTTTTAGTAGAGATGGGGTTTTACCATGTTGGCCAGGCTGAACTCGAACTCCTGACCTCAGGTGATCTGCCCGCCTCGGCCTCCCGAAGTGCTGGGATTACAGTCATGAGCCACCGTACCTTGCCGTCTTTTTTTATTTTTTAATTAGATTATTTGTCCTTTTATTGTTGAGTTGTAAGAGTTCTTTATGTATTAATGTTTTGGATGTAACTCCCTTATCAGATGTAGCATTTGCAAAATTTTCTTCCATTCTGTGGACTGTCTTTTCACTTTTTTACCGGTGTCCTTTTTTTTTTTTTTTTGAGACGAAGTCTCGCTCTGTCGCCCAGGCTGGAGTGCAGTGGCGCGATCTCGGCTCACTGCAAGCTCCGCCTCCCGGGTTCACGCCATTCTCCTGCCTCAGCCTCCCGAGTAGCTGGGACTACAGGCGCCGGCCACCACGCCTGGCTAATTTTTTGTATTTTTTTTTAGTAGAGATAAGGTTTCACCGTGTTAGCCAGGATGGTCTCAATCTCCTGACCTCGTGATCCGTCCGCCTCAGCCTCCCAAAGTGCTGGGATTACAGGCGTGAGCCCGGCCTCTTACTGGTGTCCTTTGAAACACACAAAAAAATAATATTGATGAAGTCCAGTTTATTTTTCCTTTTGTCACTTTTGGGTTTGGTGTCATATATCAGATATCTTGGCCTAATCCAGGGTTACAAAGACTTATTCCTATGTTTCCTTCTAAGAGTTTCATAGTTCTAGCCCTTACTTTCAGGCGTATGATCCATTTTGTGTTATTTTTTGCATATGGTATGAAGTAGGAGGCACATTCATTTTTTTACATGTGAATATCCAGTTGCCCAGCATCATTTGTTGAAAAGATTACTTTCACCTCCATTGAAATGTTTTGGCATCTTTGTTTAATATCAATTGACCATGAATGTAAAGGTTTATTTCTGGACTCTCAATTTTATCAGATTGATCTGTATGTCTGTCTTTATGTCAATACCGTTCTGTCTTAATTACTGTAGCTTTGTAGTAAGTTTTTTTTTTGAGACAGGGTCTTGCTGCCCAGGCTGGAGTGCAGTGGTGCATTGTTGGCTAATTGCAACTTTTGCCTCCTGGGTTCAAGTGATTTTTCTGCCTCAGCCTCAGCCTCCCGAGTAGCTGGGATTATAGGCACCCACCACCACACCTGGCTAAGTTTGAATTTTTTATTTTTTCAGTAGAGACGAAGTTTCACCATGTTGGCCAGGCTGGTCTCTAACTCCTGACCTCAAATGATCCACCCACCTCAGCCTCTCAAAGTGCTGGGATTACAGGCATGAGTCATCATGCCTCGCCTGTAGTAAGTTTTAAAATCAGCAAGTGTGAGTCCTCTAACTTTGTTCTTAATTTTCAAAATCGCTTTGGTGAGTCTGAGTCCCTTGCATTTCCATATGAATTTTAGAATTAGCTTGTCAATTTCTACAAAACAAGACAGCTGGGATTTTGATAGGGGTTGTGTTGAGTCTGTAGATCAATTTGAGGAGTATTGTCATCTTAACCATATTAAACCTTCCAATCCATGAATATGGGATGCCTTTTTATTTATTTATGCCTTTAATTTCTTTCAGTGATGTTTTATAGTTTTTGGTGCACAAGTCTTGTTACTTATTCTGTTAAATGTATTTTGTATTTTTTTCTTTCTTTTTTTTTTTTTTTTGAGACAGAGTTCGCTCCCGTTGCCCAGGCTGGAGCGCAATGGAGTGATCTTGGCTCACTGCAACTTCTGCCTCCCAAGTTCAAACGATTCTCCTGCCTCAACCTCCTGAGTAGCTGGGATTACAGGCGCCCACCACCACGCCCATCTAATTTTTGTGTTTTTGGTAGAGACGGGGTTTCACCATGTTGGCCAGGCTGGTCTCAAACTCGTGACCTCAGGTGATCCACCCGCCTCGACCTCCCAAAGTCCTGGGATTATAGGCATGAGCCACTGTGCCCAGCCATTTTTTTCTTTTAAATTTTATTGTAAGTGGAATTATTTTCTTACCTTCATTTTGGGCTGTTCAACACTAGTATATAGAGATATACAATTGAGCTTTGTATATTGATCTGTATCCCGCAATCTTGCTGAACTTATTTGTTCTAATAATTCTGTGGATTCCTTAGGATGTTTTTAGATATAGGATCATGTCATCTGGGAATAGAGATAGTTTAACTTCTTTTTCTCTGGGTGCCTTATCTTTTTCTTGCCCAATTTCCCTGGTTAGAATCTTCAGTTCAGTGTTGTACAGAAGTGGTGAGAGCAGACATCCCTGTCTTGCTCCTGATTTTAGGAGGAAAGCATCTAGTCTTTCACCATTAAGTATGATGTTAGCTGTGAGTGTTTTGTGAATGGCCTCTTGCCTTTTTGTCATCTTGCACCATCCTGTTTCTCTTTCTGCTCTGTGTAGTGGAAAGAATGAGAACCTCAGAATCAGACTTGGATTTGAATTGATTCGTTCGTTAATTTCACCAGAAAATATTGAGTGTTAGATAGAGTGAGATTAAATTGAATTTAATCATATAGATTAAGTTGTAGTGTGGTAAGAGCTATGATGGGGGTATGGCCAAAGCAGTGAAGGGTACAGAAAACAGGCCCCTGAGAAGGTCTGAACACCTCGAGGATATGATGCCTGAATTGCTCTTAAAAAACAGTAGGAGATAGTCTTGAAAAACAGGGAACATGTGCAGCGATGGGAAGGTAGCTGTATTCTGTGAGCCACAGATAGGTCTGTGAGGCCAGAGTATGGGGTGCCTGCAAGTGAGTGGTTGAGGTGATCCCAGAGAGTGAGAGCCACCTCACCAAGGCCCTTGCTAGCTTCTGAAGGTGTTGTGAGAACTGATTTGTGTGTTGGAACCCTTGGTGGTAGAGGAGATGGAGTGGTAATGGGTAAGACCATGATGCGAGAGACCTGGAGAGAGGAAGCTATTGACTAAGCAGGGGACACCTGAGGACCTAAAGGAAGGCTCTAAAGTAAGGCTGGAAGAAGGGAATCGAGTCAAGAAAGATTAGAAGGTAGTATTAACAAGGTGTGTTGCAATTGACTGAGAGGTGAGGGAGATGGATTTGCAGAGAATGACTCTTGGATTTCTGGAATTTGGGTTGTTTGATGGAGTAGACTAGATTCGGTTTTCTTATCTGTAAAATGGAAGAAATACTTTGCGGATAACATAGGCAAATGTCTTACCACAAGCATACGGTTGAGACTCCATAAATGCTCGTTTTTTTTGCTTTCCCCCATGTTGTTTCTGTTTCCTCCATTCTGTCAGTGTAGGTCTTTGTTTGGTTAGTTCTGCCTTTGGAACGCTTTTCTTTGCTGTGTCCCATGCTTCCCACTGTGACTGCTGCATGGGTGACTCCCGGATCCTTCTCTCCAGCCCTGATCACGCTTGTATGCATTTTCGACCGTGTTCTGGTCATCTCCATGGCCTCTCACCCTCACAAGGGAGAACCATCCCCCGATTTTTTCTCCTCTTGAGGTCCATATGCCTGTTGATGGCACTGTAATCTTCTCCATCAATTTGGCTACAAATCATTTTTTCCAGTTGAAAAAACACATCCACCTCTAGTGGTTTTGAGTATTTCAGAATCATTTTGATGCCTTTCTCTTCTTCTTTCATTTCTTCACATTTGGTGAATATTTGGCCTCTGTTTAATTATCTCCGTAACATTATACACACAAGTGTCTTTTTCTATCTCATTGTTACTTCCCTCATCAGGCCTTTATTAGTTCCCATCTGAACTACGACGCTGGTTCCCTATCTCTGGTTTCCGTTCCTTTCAAGTCATCTTGCCACAGCTGCCAGACCAAGCTTCTGGAAGCTCTGATTGGATCACCCCTGTCACCTTGTGGGTTCTCCACACCCACTGGATCAAGCCCAAGCTCCTAAGCCTGTCATTTAAGGCACTGCATGTCTAAACCCCATGTACTGCTCTGATTTTATCTCCCCACATCCTTGTAGAAAAATGGGGCAGTTCTCTGCACCTTTGGTATCATCTCTGTCTTCCCTGGTGGAAATTGTGCTTATTCTTCAAGGCACAGTTTGTGAATCCTGCCTTTCACCAAACCAGTTAATTCTTTTTCATATCACATAGGACTCAGTGCTTATTTATTTTATTTTATTTTTTTGAGACAGAGTCTCACTCTACCACCCAGGCTGGAGCATGATCTCAGCTCACTGCAACCTCCACCTCCCGGGTTCAAGTGATTCTCCTGCCTCAGCCTCCACAGTAGCTGGGACTACAGGCACACGCCACCACGCCCAGCTAATTTTCATATTTTTAGTAGAGATGGGGTTTCGCCATGTTGGTCAGGCTAGTCTTGAACTCCTGACCTCAAGTGTTCCTCCTACCTTGGCCTCCCAAAGTGCTGGGATTACAGGCGTGAGCCACCGCGCCTGGCTGGTGGTTATTTAAAATGATCTGTGTACACTTCTTATCTCTCCTACTAGATTTAATCTCCTTGAGGTGCTTCCATCTCTGTAACCCTCAAAATGCCTTCTTCATATTCAGTATATGTTTGTGAATGGAACGTATACTCTCCTCATCTTCCTGAAGCATACAGGCATGACCTTTGCTTTTCCAAATACCCATTCCCAAGGGCTTGTGACACAAGACAGTGAGAAGGTGAAGGACAGCTTACTTTCCCCTGTGGATCCCCTTGCAATTTAATACACAGGAGCGTGAGAATGTCACACAGGCAGGTTCTTATTTAAATTCCTGGTAGCTGAGCCCAGCAGCATGTGGTGGGTTTGATTTAGTCTGTACAGCATTTAACTCTTTCTATGGATGAAAGATGAAAGTGGATAAAAGTTCTCATAGACTGTATGGGAACCAGATAGATTGAGAAATTAACTCATGTGTTGTGCAGTTACAGAGCTCTAGGTGCCGGTCTGATTTTTCCTTATAGAATCTAGAACTTAACTGACATAATTCCTGGGTACTTTCAGACACATAGCCAAACACGTAGCCAGGTGATTCATTTGGTAAATTCCATAAGGTCTGCCCTGCCCTGGAATGGCTTCTCAGCAAGGCTGTCTCAGCTAGGCTGGGAAGGAGGTGGCTTTCAGTTCCGGTTTCCAATCAGTGACTTCCAAGAACTGGTTAAGAAGCAGGAAGAATAGAAAGAGTTAGATGGTTTCTGTGTTGGGCTAAAAAAAAAACCTCTCAGATACCCAGTTCCTACAATGCATGTCTCCTGGCAGCCAGACAAGGAAGGAGAGAAACTGTGAAGGGTGCCAGGGTGCCAACAAGAGCACTCGTGTTCTTGGCAGAGCTCAGAATAGCGTTCACAGCTCTCAGTGATTCATCATCTGCAGGCCTGCCCACCCGTGATCCAAGTGACTGAGGACGGGGTGAGTCAGGCAGCTCCCTCTCCTCATCACCCTTCCTCCATGGCTCGGTTCTGTGCCCTCCCTGGGCCCTATGGGCTGCCTAGCAGAGGGGAGGCCGATGTTGCAGGGGATGCTGCCAGTGAGGAAAGGGTGCCTGCTCTGGGTCTGTGCCAGGGTGAAGCCTTCGTGGCTTCTTGAAGGACTCCCGGCTCCCCTCTGCGTTAAGCCCTAGGCACGTTTAGAGAAGAGGGGAATCTTCACTGCCAGCTCTAGGGACGGGTCTGATGGTGGGGCCCGCTTAGCCCCAGCGAGCTACTCAGTGCTCCTGCACTGATCTAGACACCACCCCTCATCATCGTATCTGCCCCTCTTAAATCTAATCTGCATTCTGTTCTCTTTCTTTCTCCCACTCTTTTCTGTTTATTCTTTTCTTTCTTCCCTTGCTCAGCAAGAATGATATTTATTTAAGACATCACAGCTGTTAAATGTTTGCCTCTGGGGATAATTTTTCGGCCAGGTGCCCCCGTGCCTCTTGGCTGGTCCACAACCGATTGCTGGCCATGATGGGAGGGGGTGGCCCGCTGCCCTCAACACTGAACTCCCTAGTGTGGGTCCAGGCCTGGGGCTCATCACAGCTACCCTGCTTTGACCCGCAACACAATCATGGGTTGAAAAACCATCCTAGTGCCATAATAGGCTTAGAAAGGGATCATTCTTCATCTGGTCAGCCAGAGCCAGGCCACAGGCTGCATGGTTTCCCTCAGCAAGGCTCTCGCTGGGTGTCCCACTTTACTTCTGCAGCGAAAAAGCCGTTTTACCTCTTTTGCCACTTTCACAAAACATTCTCTTGGATCCACTCAAGTGAAAGCTGTGAAGTGTCCTTGTTCCTCCCTCACAGAGGGAGCTCCTAGCCTTGCAGCCCTGCCTGTGTCTGTCACTTACCAGCAGCGTGCCAGGACACTGCAGACATCTAGGTTCGGGGACTTGTCTAGGAAGCCATGGCTCTGTGTGGGTGTGCAGGAATGTACTGCTTCAGAGCGTTCCTGTTTTCCCTTCCCTGTTGCTGCAGAGCACGCATGCTGCGGGGAGAATGCAGCTTTAGTAACAAAACATCCAAATATACTTATTTCCAAAAAGAGCAATGCAAGATGAAGAATGGGGTGCTGTGTGGATGATGTCCTGCGTAAGGATAGAACACAGGAGGAGCTTGAGTGCGAATAATGTTTCACTTTTTGTTCAGGAGTCAAAACTTACAATAAATACGACCAGGTCTCCAGATCACAGTGAATTCCAAACCCCGGTGGACGACCCACTTATTTCAAACATGTTATGTAACGTTGTAAAGCACAGAGGATAGGTAAAATTCACAGCCCTGGGACAATTCGGGGCACTTAGATGTGAAATGTTTGGAAATCGCTTTCATTTTTCTCATCAGAGCCATCCCATGAACTGGATAGGACAGAGACTTCGCCCCATTGAGAAGCAAGGACGCTGAGGCACAGCGAGATCATCATTCAGCGTAGATTCCAAAGGGCACAGACTTGGTTAGCACAGTCAGGCTGAGCCCCCTGATCTGTGTTTGATTTCTATCACGCTGCTCTTTTTTCAGTAAACCTCTTTCACATAAGAGATGAAACCAGCCCACCACTAATAGGACCTGTGCTCTGGGCTGTTTAATTAAAGTCGGAATGAGTTTTACTGAATTTACATGCCTTCCCTAGAACTCCATATATCCCATTTGGAATTTGTACGAAGTCCTAGGAGCAGGCTCCCTCTCTGCAGTTGCTCAGGACTCAACTCCTCTGGCGATCTCCTGACCTCATGATGTGCCCACCTCGGCCTCCCAAAGTGCTGGGATTACAGGCATGAGCCACCGCGCCCAGCCCCCATGTTAACCATTATTAAGTGTACAATGTAGTGGCATTAGTTACTTTTGCAATGTTGTGCAAACATCACCCACTGTTTCCAAAACGTTTTCATCACCCCAAGCAGAAACTGTACCATTAAGCAAGAACTCCTAGGCACCTCCACCCACCTCCCTGCCCCAGCCCTTGGTAATCTCTTATCTACTTTCTGTCTGTATGAATTTGCCTATTCTAGGTATTTCACGTAGTGCAATCATATAATATTTGTCCTTTTGTGGCTGGTTTATTTTACTTAGCATAAGATTTCCAAGGTTCGTCCATGTTGTAGCATGCATTAGAACTGAACTTTTTTTTAATGGGTGAATATTGCATTGTATGAATATATCACATATTATTTATCAGTTCCTCTGTTGATAGACACTTGGATTGTTTCCACTTCGGGTTGCAGTGAACATTGGCCTACAAATATCTGTTTGAATCCCTGTATTCATTTCTCTGGGGGAGTATACCCGGGAGTGGAATTGCTGCATTGTATAGTAATTTTATGCAACATTTGGGGAACCCACTATAGAGTTTTAAAATTCAAATTAATTAACAACTTTCAAAAATGAGGAATTCCACACAAAAATTAGATCTTTTTTTCAACTCCTTCCTTTTTTTTTTTTTTTTTTTTTTTTTTTTTTGAGATGGAATCTTGCTCTGTTGTCCAGGCTGGAGTACAGTGGCATGATCTCAGTTCAGTGCAACCTCTGCTTCCTGGGTTCAAGCGATTCTCCTGCCTCAGCCTCCTGAGTAGCTGGGACTACAGGCACCTACCATCACACCCAGCTAATTTTTGTATTTTTAGTAGAGACAGGGTTTTACCATGTTGGCCAGGTTGGTCTTGAACTCCTGACCTCAGGTGATCCACCCACCTCGGCATCCCAAAATGCTGGGATTGCAGGCATGAGCCACCACGCCTGGCTCAGAATTTTTTTCAACTTATCTTGACGTTCCTGGGTCCACCTACAGTGATATGATCTGCTGGGGATGAGTGGAAACTGCCTCCTCTAGATGGGGCATCTGGTATCCAGATTGACAAGGGCCTCACCCAGCTGGCATCAGACATTGGTCCCTGCCTGGGCCCTGCTCTGAGCCTTTGCCCCAATCCCCTCCCTTCATGAGGTTTTCCAGCCCCCTCACACAATCACTCCTTCCCTCTTATGTTCATACTCCCTCATTATTTGTTTACATGCCAGACCTCTCTCCATCTTGGCTGTGATAGTCTGAGGGTGGGGCACTTGTCTTTTCACCTCTGATTTACCCAGGACCAACAGACACATTGTTGGTGCTCATAGTCTTTGTCAAATTGAAGTTTTAAATTGATGGCTCATGCTTGTAATCCCAGAGACTCAGGAGGCTGAGGCAGGAGGATCACTGGAGGCCAGGAATTCAAGGCTACAGTGAGCTATGATTGTACCACTGCACTCCAGCCTGTGTGACTGTGTGAGACTTCAACTCTAAATAGATAGATAGAGGGATGGATAGATAGATAGATAGATAGATAGATAGATAGATAGATAGATAGAAATGGGATAGAACAGAATAGCTGAAGGTTAGGTCAGGACTAATTGGTACAGTTACCACTGACTGAATCAAACAGGTGCTAAATTGCATTGTAAAATATTATAAGAAAAGGGGAAAAAACTAAAATTGGAGAAATGAGTTACAGATTACAGGCAATGAAAGAAGGGCTAACCACTTCCTCATGTGGACTGTTTCTCCATTTAGGGTTTTCTTTTTTATCACTCTTGGTGTAGTCTCATCAAAGACATGTAAAAGGTGATTTGTGGAACTGAGCATGATCGTGTGTGTCTGTAGTTCCAGCTACTCTGGAGGTTGAGGCCAGAGGATCGCTTGAGCCCAGGAGTTTGAGTCCAGCCTGGGCAACATAGTGAGACCCCTGTGTCTAAATAAATAAATAAAAGGTGGTTTATGGAAAACAGGTACAATATCATAGAACAAGTCAAAAAGAAACAGGATCAAAATGTAATATCTAAATACAAATGCAAAAGAATGAGTTTGGATCCCTACCTCACACCATATATTAAAAAATTACTCAAAGTGGATCATACATCTAAATGTAAGAGCTAAAACTAGAAAACACTTTGAAGAAAACATAGGACTAAATCTTTGTGATATTGAGTCAGGCAATGGTTTCTCAGATCCACACCAAAAGCACAAGCAACAAAAGAAAAAACAGATACACTGGACTTTATCCAGTAGAAAACTTTTGTGTTTCACAAGACACCAGGAAGAAAGGAAAAGACAGCTCACAGATGGGAGAAAATATTTGCAAATCATATACCCAATAAGGGACTTCCGTCCAGACTATATAAAGATCTTTTACAACTCAACAACAACAAAAAGACATGACCCAGTTGAAAAACAGGCAAAGGATCTGAAGACACATTTCTCCAAAGAAGATTTACAAATGGTCAATAAGCACATTAAAAAAGCTCAACATCATTAGTCAGTAGGGAAATACAAATAAAAACCACAATGAGATATCACTTTACACCCACCAGGTTGGCTATAATAAAAAAGATGGAGAATAACAAGTATAGTGAATTTATGGAGAAATTAGAATTTTCATACATTGCTGGTAGAATAGTAAAGTGTTATAGCCACTTTGGAAAACAGTTTGGTGGTTCCTCAAAATGTTAAACATGGCTAGTGTGGTGGCTTACATCTGTAAGCCCAGCACTTTGGGAGGTGGGGGTTGCAGTGAGAGATGGGGGTTGCAGTGAGATGAGATTGCTCCACTGCACTCCAGCCTGGGCAACAGAGTAAGACTCCATCTCAAAAAAAAAAAAAAAAAAAGTTAAACATAGAGTTACAAGGCTGGGCATGGTGGCTCACGCCTGTGGTCCCAGCACTTTGGGAGGCCAAGGTGGACAGATTGCTTGAGCCCGGGAGTTTGAGAGTAAGCCTGAGCAACATGGCAAAACCCTGTCTCTACAAAAAATACAAAAGTTAGCCAGGCATGTTGGTACACACCTGTGGTCCCAGCTACATGGGAGGCTGAGGCAGGAGGATCACTTGAGCCCAGGAGGTCAAGGCTGCAGTGAGCCATGTTCATACCACTGCACTTCAGCCTGGGCAACAAAGTAAGATCCTGTCTCAACAAAACAAAAACCCTAGAGTTATGTTCAAAAAAATTCTACTCTTAGGCATGTACACAAGAGAAATGAAAACATATGTCCACACAAACACTTGTACATGAGTGTTCATTGTGGGATTATTCATAATAGCCAAACGATGGAAACAACCCAAATGTCCATCAACTGATAAATGGATAAATAATATGTGGCATATCCATGCAATAAAATATTACTCAGCCATGAAAAGGATTAAAGTGCTGATACATACTTTAGCATAAACCCACCTTGAAACATTTTGCTAAGTGAAAAAAGAAGCCAGTTACAAAAGACTAGATATTGTATGATTCCCTTTATATGAAATGTTCCAAATAAGCAAATCTATTGAGACAGAAAGCAGATTAGTGGTTGTCTGAGGCTGGAGTGTTGGGGAGGAGGGAAATGAGGAGTGACTGCTGATGGGTACAGGGTTTCTTTTGGGGGTGATGAAAATGTTCTAAAATTAGATTGTGGTGATGGTTGCACAACTGTGTGAATATATTTAAAACCACTAAATAAAAAATTGTAAAAAAGAGAAAACAAAGCAAGCAGACAAAAATCACTGAACTGTAAAAGAACTGAAAGAGGACCCAGATATAAAACTCTATTCATTCCTTTTACTTCAGTAATAAAATACTCCTCAGAGGTGACCGAAAAAATGCGCCTGAAGTTGTTTACACTAAAGCTTTACAGATGACCTGGCATGGTGTGTTGTTTGCTTTAAAATGCTCCACATACTGCCCCATGCAAAGTGACCTTGGCTGGGGGCTAGATGAAATACAATGGGCAAAATTCTTCATAAAAGCTGGGGATGGGCACATGGGTGTTCATTACGCCACTCTATTTTTGTGAATGTTAATTTTTTTTCCATAATAAAAGTTAAAAAAAAGAGACAGAATGAAAGCATCTGTAATCTGCAGTTCCGTAGTTACACATAAAATGTGTATTTGTGTGTGTGTGTGTGTGCATTTGGGGAGCTGTGTGTGGAGGTCTGTGGCTGTGGACTGACACACCTGTGTTTCTGTGAACCTGCATTTCTGTGGACGAGGGCAGGGAGGGATTACCGGAAGGAGAGGAGAGGACAAAGCCATCTGGGGATGTGTGACTTTGCTAGGGCTGTGTAAAAGTGACCACAACCTGGGGAGCTTAAAACAACAGCAATTTCTTTTCCTTTTTTTTTTTTTGGAGACCAAGTCTTGCTCTGTTGCTCAGGCTGGAGTGCAGTGGCATGATGTTGGCTCACTGCAATCTCTGCCTCCTGGGTTCAAGTGATTCTCCTGCCTCAACCTCCCAAGCAGCTGGGATTACAGGTGTGTGCCAACATGCCTGGCTAATTTTTGTATATTTAGTAGAGACGGGGTTTCACCATGTTGGCCAGGCTAGTCTTGAACT
This sequence comes from Homo sapiens, assembly GCF_000001405.40. Taxonomy (NCBI): domain Eukaryota; kingdom Metazoa; phylum Chordata; class Mammalia; order Primates; family Hominidae; genus Homo; species Homo sapiens. Next base: position 140,309,839 of record NC_000007.14, on the reverse strand, counting down.
CCTGACCTCAGGTGATCCACTGCCTCAGCCTCCCAAAGTGCTGGGATTATAGACATGAGCCGCTGCGGCCAACAAAAAACAGTGATTTCTTCTGTCACAGTTCTGGAGGCTAGAGGTCTGCAGTCAAGGTCTCTGTTGGGCTGGCCTCCTTCTGAAGACTCCAGTGGGGAATCCTTCCTCGCCTCTTCCAGCTTCTGGTGTCACCAACAATCCTGGGTGGTCTGTTGCTTGTAGATGCACCGCTTCAATCTCTGCCTCCGTCATCACGGGACATTCTCCCTAGATCTCTTCACATTGTCTTCCCTCTGTGTTGTGTGTATCTCTGTCTCTGTTTCCTGATCTTATAAGGACCCCAGTCATAGTGGAGTAGGGCCCACTCTAATTAAGTATGACCTCGTTTAAACTTGATTATATCTGCAAAGATCCTATTTCCAAATAAGGTCACCTTTACAGGTAGTTGGGGTTAAGAGTCAATATATCTTTTTGGGGGACACATTTAACCTACAAAAGGGCAGAAGGCAGGATAAGCAGAGACAGATTCTTAGACTGTAAATTCAGAGAGCTGAAGCCCCAGCTGCCTCATAGGCGGGCTGCAGAGGACACAACATTTACAGTGATTAGACTTGACCTTAATGCATCATTCGCTGGCCAACTTTATGTTTTCCAAACGGAGACAAGCCTTTTCTGGAACCCATTTCCCACTCAGCAGTTTGGACTGAGGAGTGACACATCTAGACCCTTCCAATCGATCAACCCTTTTCACTAGAAAGGTTTGGGGGATAATTCTAATGTGTATTCACTTGAGAAATGTTTCAGGCCAGGTGCAGTGGCTCACGCCTGTAATCCTAGCACTTTGGGAGGCCAAGGCTGGTGGATCACGAGGTCAGGAGTCCAAGACCAGCCTGGCCAAGATGGTGAAACCCCGTCTCTACTAAAAATACAAAAACTAGCCGGGCGTGGTGGCAGGTGCCTGTAATGCCAGCTACTCGGGAGGCTGAGGCAGAGAATTGCTTGAACCCAGGAGGCGGAGGTTGCAGTGAGCCGACATCGTGCCACTGCACTCCAGCCTGGGTGACAGAGCAAGACTCCGTCTCAGAAAAAAAAAAGAAAGAAAGAAATGTTTCAGAAAAAGCTAGTTTCTTACTCTTTGACACAGACATGTCCGTTTAGACTTTATCTTCTGAGCTGGCGGCTAAAGTTATTTTAGACTCTACAGTTAAATTGACCCAGAAATAATTCCTCCTTTGAAAGTTCCTTTGCAATGTTATTCACTCTGACTCTAACTTCAGGTTACATTGTGCTGTTCTTTGCTCTTTAATCTCACTCTGGCCTTTCACCAAAAGCAGTAAAATCCGACTTCTGTATTAAATGGTACTTGTATATAATATTATTTGGGTAAACCAGATGTCTAATAATTGCAATATATTTTCATATGATTGTTTGAAGAGTTTCATGGAAAAAGTGCAAGCCCCTCAAACTTCCCGAACTGTGTGAGCTGTTTACTGTTGAGAACTTTCCAGAGGAAAGTTGGAGGGAGCAGAAAGCTGAGGAGAAGGAGCTGGACTTTGGGCTTTGTTTGCCTGTACTCTCTCCACTGTTACCTTCAACCTACATTTCAGCTCCAGTCCATAGGAGTCATTTGCAACCATCTGTTTTCATCTCTTTGCTCCCAGGAGTGCGGAAAAAGGCAAGAGCAGGGAGGAGCTGAAGTTTTGCAGAGGTTAGGGAGAAGGTTGGCTTGACCTAAGTGGAGAGAGAGGAGGGCGGGTTTTTTTTGTTTTGTTTTGTTTTGTTTTTTTGTTTTTTTGAGACGGAGTTTTGCTTTTGTCGACCAGGCTGGAGTGCAATGGCATGATCTTGGCCCACTGCAACCTCTGCCTCCTGGGTTCAAGTGATTCTCCTGCCTCAGCCTCCTGAGTGGCTGGGATTACAGGTGCCCACCACCGCACCCAGCTAATTTTTGTATTTTTAGTAGAGACAGGGTTTCACCATGTTGGCCAGGCTAGTCTCAAACTCCTGGCCTCAAGGGATCCACCCGCCTCGGCCTCCCAAAGTGCTCGGATGACAGGCATGAGCCACCGTGCCCGGCTGAGAGCTGGGATTTGAACCACTGTCAGTTCCTGAACAGAGATTTAAGAGATTGATGAGCACTAGATGAAATCTTAATCCTCCGTCATTGCTGGTGCTTATGTAGACGTGGGAGAATAGGAGGATAACAGTATCCAAACAGGCTGATAGTATTTCAGGAGCTTCCATGGGTTGCTTGAGTCCTCAGGGCTAGGCATGGTGCTAACAGCTTTATGTGCATGCGGCACCTGCCGGCTGCCCTGCTTCTCTATCCTATGTGCGATGGGAATTCATTCTTTTACCTGGCCTGGGCTCTTCCATTTTGCTTTTCAAAAACCCACATTTACAATAGACTCTCATTTTTACAGTAAAGCGTACCATAGAATCACTTTACATTGCAAGTTCTCCCTCCTCCTATAGTGCAATTAATCTACTCTATTCAATTGGCAGAAAGTCTGTTTACAAAGAGCTCTGTGAGAGGACACTTGTCTTCAAAGCACGGAAACAGAAATAACAGAAAGACTCAGCTTCATTGATGGCCCACTTACCGCAGGCAATATTTAATGCAATATAATTAATTGTACTTCTAGAAAAGACTGGACTGAGGGCCTAGGAGCTTTTTATAACCGATTGAAAGACACCAGAGACTCTACCCCTAATGTCCAGCCAGAACCCGCCCCTAGCCCACAATACAGCCAGGCGCACTTTTTTTTTTTAAGCTATCCATTTAAAAAAAAAGATTTTCCAAGGCGAGCACATTATTTCCTTTGTTAGTTTGGATCAGAGTCTGATATCCCTAACAAGTCAAAGTTGTTCTTTTTAGCCCTTCCGACAATTTGAGTCTGTTCCTTTGAAGTTGTGCTCTCGGTGGAGATGGAAAAGAGACTCACCTTTCAGCGTATGGAAACTCTGTTCCATTCCTGTGAACTGTTAATGCGCACATTTAAATCATTGCTACTTTCTTCTCTGGTGTTAGTTTCTGACCTCTTGGTTATTTTCTGTTTTCCATTGGACTTTTCGGTTGCTCCCTGTTTCTTTTTAAAAGTAGCACCTCAGTCTGTTCACACTAGAAAATGTTTGGCTTATTTTGCATGTCCCTTTTCTCAAAGGATAAAGGGAACAACCGTTCCTACGAATTGCTGACATCTCTGTGGAGGCCAGCTGCTAAGTGAAGGAAAGCGTGGCCGTGACTTGCAGGAGATCAGAGGCCCCCAGGCTCCTTCAGGCCAACCGACATCCAGATGAGGGCTTCTTGCTTCTTTTAGATCCATGCTCTGAACCCAGATGATGGTCTTGGATGGCTGCTGTAGTCAGGACTCTAGCCAACCTAACCCATGTGCCTTATGTTAACTTACAGTATTAAGCAAACATTTGCTTGTTAATCTACAATCTTTTTTTTGTTGTTGAGATGGAGTCTCACTCTGTCACCCAGGCTGGAGTGCAGTGGCATCATCTCGGCCCACTGCAGCCTCTGCTTTGTGGGTTCAACCAATTCTCCTGCCTCAGCCCCCTGAGTGGCTGGGACTACAGGCACCTGCCACCATGCCCGACTAATTTTTGCATTTTTAGTAGAGACGGGGTTTCACCATGTTGGCCAGGCTGATCTCAAACTCCTGACCTCAAGTGGTCTGCCTGCCTCAGCCTCCCAAAGTGCCAGGATTACAGGTATAAGCCACTGTGCTTGGCCTAATCTGCAATCATTATTCCAAGTTCTTGCCACTACCCTTAAGCAGGTTCTATGTGAGTGGTCCTCCTGATCTGCAGTGGACTGCTGCTTTAACTTGGCTGAATAACAACTATTATACCACACCCTTGTGTCCTGCAATGCAGTTTAGACACATGAGAAAATAGTACGAACCTCAGCCCAGTTCAGTGGCTCATGCCTGTAGTCTCAACACTTTGGGAGACCAAGGTGGGAGGATCACTTGAGCCCAGGAGTTCGAGACCAGCCTGGCCAACATAATGAGACTCTATCTCTACTAAAAAAATAAAAAAAATAAAAAAATAATTGACCAGGCATGGTGGTGCATACCTGTGGTCCTAGCTACTCGGGAGGGAGGATAGGAGGTCCAGGCTGCAGTGAGCTGTGATCATGTCACTGCACTCCAGCCTGGGTGACAGAGCAAGACTCTGTCTCAAAAAGAAAAAAGAAAAAAAGCCGGGCATGGTGGCTCATGCTTGTAATCCCAGCACTTTGGGAGGCCAAGACAGGTGGGATCACCTGAGATCAGGAGTTCAAGACCAGCCTGGCCAACATGGTGAGACCCTGTCTCTACTAAAAATACAAAAATTAGCTGGGCATAGTGGTGGATGGCTGTAATCCCAGCTACTTGGGAGGCTGAGGCAGGAAGATTGCTTGAATCCGGGAGGCGGAGGTTGCGGTGAGCTGAGATTGCGCCATTGCACTCCAGCCTTGGTGACAGAGCGAGACTCCGTCACACACACACACACACACACACACACACACACACACACACACACACAAAAGAGGATATAGAACCAGCCCTGTAGATTTTGTGCCAGCTCTCAGGGGACTTCCTGCACCACTTGGACTATCATTCTTCCAGATCAGGTGTCCCCAGGGATCGTCTGCAGTGGTTACAAACAACACTTCACAAAATGTTAATAGCCACGAATCTATTTTAATGTGTATTAGAAAAAAATATGGCTGGGCATGGTGGCTCATACCTGTAATCTCAGCACTTTGGGAGGGCGAAGTGGGCAGATCACTTGAGCCCAGGAGTTCAAGACCAGCCTAGGTGACATGGCAAAATTCTGGCTCTACAAAAACACAAAAATTAGCCAGGTGTAGTGGCATACGCCTGTAGTCCCAGCTACTTGGGAGGCTGAGGTGGGAGGATGGCTTGAGCCTGGGGGGCAGAGGTTGCCATGAGCTGAGATAGTGCCACTGCACTCCAGCTTGGGCAACAGAGTGACACCCTGTCTCAAAAAGAAAAATTATAACATGCACATAAAACCTGAGACATGCATTTCTTTTCAAAAGTCATCAAAGTTAAAAAGTGAGTCCTATTTAGAGACTATTAACCAAGTAACTCTAGGAGGCAGTGTGTGACTACGGAGAACACCCTGAAGGCCTAAAACCCCTTATGGGGAGGCTCTGAAGGCCACCCCAAGCCCTTTCATTTTTCACTCCTCCATCTTCATTACTCCTTCTCTCTCCAAGTTCTTCATCTTCTGGGCCTGTTTCTCCTTCCCTTCCTCCCTCTAAGCTTCTCTGGTGGTGCCCTGGGTTTTAACAGGGAGAAGGAAAGAGGCTCACATTTAGTGATCATGAATTACTTGCTAGAAGGTCACAGATGTAAGGCAGATACTGTCTACTAGTGGGGCTTTGGGTGATTTCTCTGGAGTACTTTTTGAATTTGCATGTGTGAGTCACCTGAAGATCTGGTTAAAGTGCAGATTCTAGCCCAGATGGTCTGGAGTGGGGCTGAGATGTTTTCATTTCTAGCAATCTCCAAATGATGCTGCGGTGGTTGGTTCGTGGGCCACACTTGGAGTCACAAAGGTTGATCATGGAGCTCTATTTCTTTTTTCCTTTTTTCCTTTTTTTTTTTTTTTTTTTTTGAGATGCACTCTTGCTCTGTCGCCCAGGCTAGAGTGCAGTGGCGCAATCTCAGCTCACTGCAACCTCCCCGCCTCCCGAGTTCAAGAGATTCTCCTGTCTCAGCCTCCTGAGTAGCTGGGACTACAGGCGCATGCCACCACGCTCAGCTAATTTTTTGTAATTTTAGTAGAGGCGGGGTTTCACCATATTGGTCAGGCTGGTCTCGAACTCCTGACCTCAGGTGATCCACCCACGTCGGCCTCCCAAAGTGCTGAGATTACAGGCGTGAGGCACTGCGCTAGGCCATGGAGCTCTATTTCTTTAGAGAACTAAGAACAGAGAAATACATATTTTAGGAAGAGGATGAGTTCTGAAACCACCTCTATCATCTGCAGTGAAGCCAATTATTAAGAACACTTAAGAGTCTAGCATGTTTTGCTCTCTGGAAGAAATATAAGATGGTTCCTTTATACTGACCAAGGCAGTTTGTAATGAAAACTGTTGGCTCAACTTGTTGCTAGGGTACCGCTGGGGAACTGGCACACAGAAAATCTGTAACCTAATGTGATTGTGTGGGAACTAATGAGCTCTGAACATGACAGGCAGGGAGGGTTCTGCTTCCCTCCTTTGCTCAGGTGATGGGCTAACACCCATGTCCAATTAGGCAAACCTGGCATGTGTAGCCATTCGGGGCTGCTGCAGAGCTGTTTCTCTGGGTAGAGAAAATTGGATTGTTGAATTGTTCCAAATATATTGGTATGCTCCCGTCTCCCATCCATTTGGTTATGATAACCAGACCTGCAGACACGTTCTGAGGGTTAGAATAGCTCCAGCATTTAGAAAACAAGCCAGCCAAATACAAAAGGACCCAGATTGAGGTTATATGAAAATTGATGGACGTGATTCAGGACCTTGCTATTTTAAATGAAATGACCTTCACCTGAAGAGATCAGAGGGCGACGCTATTAAGAGGTGTTGCACTTTTACAGTATTCTTTCTGTTAGGGCAGAAAAACTTATGGAAGGAAAAAGGCAAAGTGAATCACCTTTTCTTAAGATTCAGCTGGAACCAGACACTTAGCAAAAGTGATGCTCTGCAGCTGACACAAGTAGCCACATGATTGTGGAATGATAGTGCTCCAAAATGTTCTTGGGGGCTGGATGTGGGGGCTCACACCTGTAATCCCAGCACTTTGGGAGGCCAAGGCAGGCACATCACTCGAGGTCAGGAGTTCGAGACCAGCCTGGCCAACATGGGGAAACTCCGTCTCTACTAAAAATACAAAAATTAGTCAGGTGTGGTGGCAGGTGCCTGTAATGCCAACTACTCGGGAGGCTGAGGCAGGAGGATTGCTTGAACCTGGGAGGCGGAGGTTGCAGTGAGCCGAGATTGCACCACTGCACTCCAGCCTGGGTGACAGAGGGAGGCTCTGTCTCAAAAAAACAAACAAACAAAAAAATTATTGGGTATTACTGAGCATGATGGTGTTTAATTTTGGGAGGGGATGGGGGTAGTTATTCCGGACTCCCTTCCCCTCGAATACACACATGCATAATCTTCCATATAATTTCCAGGGATTAATGGATTCCCTGGGAGATCCAGGGATTTCAGGTTAGAAACCTCTGATGTAATACATTTCCTCCTTTTCAGAGATGAGAAAATCAAGGCCCAGAAAGAAGGTGACTGACTATTGGTCTCAGCAACACTGACAGTGAACAAATCAAACAAGAAGGCAGGCACGGTGGCTGATGCCTGTAATCCTGTCATTTTGGGAGATGGAGGCGGGTGGATCACTTAAGCCCAGGAGTTCAAGACAAGCCTGGGGAACATGGCAAAGCCCTGTCTCTACAAAAAATACAAAAACTAGCCAGGTGTGGTGGCACGCATCTGTAGTCCCAGCTACTGGGAAGGCTGAGAGGTGGGAGGATCACTTGAGCCCTGGAGGTTGAGGCTGCAGTGAGCCATGATTGCACCACTGCCCTCCAGCCTGGGCGACAGAGTGAGACCTTGTCTCAAAAATATTTTAAAAATTAAACAAACAAGAGGGCTTAAGTGTCACAACCATCAATGGGGAAAGTGTCCGTGCATAATTTATTTCTGGAAGCCCTGAGAAGAACAAGCATCAACAGCTTTCTGAGAGACTTATAACTTTTAGCTGAGGGAATCTCAATATTTAACCAAATAACACTTGAAGAAAAGCAGAAATCATCGAGACAGCAGCTCCTGGGAACTAGGTTTTATGATGTGTTCTAAAGACATAAGCGAGAAGCCTGCTGTCACTTGTTAGCTGTGTGCTGAAGTGCAGTTTGGGGTGTCTTTAGGGCAGGTAATAAATTCCTTTCAGAGATTGAAATCACATACCAACGTGAATCTTCCACATCCCTGAAAACTACTTAGGCAAGATGCCTCACATGACACGGAACTCTCGATTTGGCAACACATGTTGGGGTTCAGCCCCCCACAATCCTGGCACAGTGTGGGTGCTCGCTAAATATTTATTTGGATAAAATGGGCTTTCCTTAACTTTACAGTTTTCTGGGGATAGAAGACTCAGGAAACATGAGAGAGCAGTATAAAATGTGTAAGTACACAGTGGAAGGCTGGGGTTCCTAGTGAGGATTTTAGAATCTCACAAACGAAAGCAGCCAGACACAAAAAAATACGTGCAATATGATTCCATGTACATGAAGAACAAATGTGGATCAAATTAACTTATGCCATTAGAAGCGAGAATATTGGTTACCTTTGGGGACCAGGGTTGGGGGTGAGTGTCTGGGAAAGAGAACTTCTAGGGTGCTATTAACCCTAGCCCTATTCTATTTCTTAATCGGGGGGCTGGGTGCCTCTATGGATTCACTTTGTGATAATTTATCAAATGGTTCTGTATGTGTGCTCTATTTTAATAAAAACATTTATTTAAAAATACACACACAATGAAAGATGTAGGCCAGTCCTTCCCAACCTTGAACGTGGGTACAGGTCACTTGGGATCTTACTAAAATGCAAAATTCAGGCCAGGTGCAATGGCTCATGCCTGTAAATCCAGCACTTTGGGGGGCTGAGGCAGGAGGGTCACTTGAGCCCAGGAGTTTGAGACCAGCCTGGGCAAGACAGGGGGATCCTGTCTCCTCTACAAAAAAATAAAAAATTAACTGGGCGTGGTGACACATGCCTGTAGTCCCAGCTACTCAGGAGGCTGAGGTGGGAGGATCGCTTGAGCTCCGTGGTTGGCGGGGTAGGTGTCAGAGCTACAGTGACCTATTACATAATATAATTGCGCCACTGCACTCCAGCCTGGGCAAGAGTGAGACCCTATCTCAAAAAAGAAAAAAAGAAAAAAAAAAGCAAGATTCAGATTCATTTGTCCTCTGGTATGGCATTTGATTCTGCATTTCTAGAAAGGATCTAGAGACCGGTATTGTCAGGATCCTTTTTTTAGGGAGATCCAGGGATCTGGTAAAAGTAGCCTAGGCCTATCCTGTTAACCTATTGGGCTGTTAACCGACAGGACAGCAGTTCCCAAGCCAGCCCGTGCTCTCGTGTGGGTCTGTGACGTTCACCTGCTCACAGCACCTTTGAAGGTGATTTTCCAACCGCTGGGTGGTGACCAGAGCCTGAAGTTGGGCTACCCCAGTGGGTAATCGACTGGTGACCAGCCCTTGAAGCCCACATTAGGGCCCTGGACTGCCTGCCCCATAGAAACCACTGGAGACCTGGAGGCTGTTACCCACAAATTGCATAATGAGGGCATGAGGAGCCTTGCTTCCCTCTCCATCCACAAGTGTGGGTGAAACTGGGTTTTCATCAATGACTGCTGCATAAATAAAGTGGCCATTCCAACTCCTCCTCACAGGGCTCTGGTGAGCCCTCGTAGGCTGAGGTGAATGGATCACAAGGTCAGGAGTTCAAGACCAGCCTGGCCAACATAGTGAAACCCTGTCTGTACTAAAAATACAAAAATTAGCCAGGTGAGGTGGCCTGCACCTGCAGTCCCAGTCCTGGAATGGTCTGAATATTTGTGTGCCCCACGAAATTCATATGTAAAAATCCTAACCCCCAGTGAGCTCCCTCACCAGTTCGGCCATGTGAGGACTCAGGGAGAAGATGGCAATCAGTGAGCCAGGAATCAATCAAGAAAACCATTATTTTGAGTGGGGGCTGGGTGTGGCGGCTCATGCCTGTAATTCCAGCACTTTGGGAGGCAGAGGCAGGTGGATCACTTGAGGTCAGGAGTTCGAGACCAGCCTGGCCAACATGGTGAAACCCCATCTCTACTAACAATACAAAATCAGCTGGGGTGAGCATCTGTAATCACAGCTACTCTGGAGGCTGAAGCAGGAGAATCGCTTGAACCTGGTTGGCGGAGGTTGTAGTGAGCTGAGATCATGCTACTGCACTCCAGTCTGGGCAACAGAACGAGACTTCATCAAAATAAAAAGAACAACAACAACAAAAAAGAAAACCATTATTTTGAGGAGGGGGAAAAGAAGCAAGTCATATACAACATGATTCCTTTCACAGAAACAGTAAAAGCAAGCTGGGTGTGGTAGTGCATGCCTGTAGTCCTAGCTGCTCAGGAGGCTGAGTGGGAGAACTGCTTGAGCCCAGGAGTTCAAGGCTACAGTGAGCTATGATTATGCTGATGGGCAGCCACTGGGAAACATAGCAAGACCCCATCTCTAAAAAAAACAACATGGCCGGGTGCGGTGGCTCACACCTGTAATCCCAGCCCTTTAGGAGGCCGAGGTGGGTGGATCGCCTGAGGTCAGAAGTTCAAGACCAGCCTGGCCAACTTGGCGAAACCCCGTCTCTAGTAAAAATACAAAATTAGGTGTGCATAGTGGTGCATGCCTGTAATCCCAGCTACTCAGGAGGCTGAGGCAGGAGAATCACTTGAACCAGGAAGGCAGAGGTTACAGTGAGCTGAGGTCACACCACTGCACTCCAGCCTGGGCAATAAGAGCGAAACTCCACCTCAAAAAAACAAACAATAGCCGGGCGTGGTGGCGGGCGCCTGTAATCCCAGCTACTCGGGAGGCTGAGGCAGGAGAATTGCTTGAACCCAGGAGGCGTGGAGGTTGCAGTGAGCTGAGATCTCGCCACTACACTCTAGCTGGGGCGGCAGATTGAGACTCCATCTCAAAACAAACAAACAAAGAGAAAACAACCGTAAAAAGAGGCCAAACTAATTAATGCCTTGTTCCTGGGTTGAGACATAGGTAGTAAAATATAAAGAGAGGCCAGGTGTGATGGCTCACGCCTGTAATCCCAGCACTTTGGGAGGCCAAGGCGGGTGGATCACCGGGTCAGGAGCTAGAGACCAGACTGGCCAACATAGTGCAACCCTGTCTCTACTAAAAACACAAAAATTAGCTGGGTGAGGTGACACGCACCTGTAGTCCTAGCTGCTTGGGAGGCTGAGGCAGGAGAATCACTTGAACCTGGGAGGTGGAGGTTGCAGTGAGCCGAGACGGTGCCATTGCACTCCAGCCTGGGTGACAGAGCAAGACTCTGTCTCAAAAACAAACAAAACAACAGCAACAACAACAAAACATATATATATATATGTGTGTGTATATATATATACACACATATATATATACATATATATATATACACACACATATATATATACATATATATATATATATATATATGTTGAGAGAGAGAGAGAGAAAGAATACAGGAAGTGATTAATAAATACACAGGATGGCAGTGTCCTCCAGGAGCTAGAGAGGAAGGTGGGGAGGAACACCAGGGGAGGAGTACCAGGGGAGGAGCACCAGGGGAGGAGCACCAGGAGAGTTCTGTATTATGTGTTGTGCGTTTTATTATCATTCTTTAAAACCGTAGATATCCACATCATATGCACTCTTTCATTTGTATGCAGTGTTCACAATTTAAAAATGAAAATGCAATGCCACATCTTAGGATAATATTTTATGCTGCAATTTCTTTTGCTTGATTTTTTTTTTTTTAGAACATTCTGTGTTTTAAAATTTTTTGACCTGTCAGAGTCAGTTGCCAATTATGGTATTTATTTGCAAGGACACTTTATTCTGAGATTCTGCTCCTCTTATCTTTTTTCTTTTTTTTTTTTTTGGTGGTAAGATGCCCTTTCTTTTGATGGCATTTTAATAAAATGTTGGTGATAATAACAGTATATTTGGGATTTAAAAACAAAACCTCCCTTGTGTATTAAATAACAAATTGGCAACTAGAAGTGACTCCCAGCCCCCTTCCTTTTTTAAAGGTGACATTTAAAAGACTGGAAACCACAGGTGTAGACAACTTTTCTTTTGGGAAAGGAAGATATCCAGCTCTAAGGGGTTTTCAATAAATAAATAAATAAATAAAGAGAGTTGGAGGAGTACTGCCTAGAGAAGATGAAAGGGACGTGTGGAATCCTCTCAAGCTTTTCAAAGAGGTTTTCACATTCTTGGAGACATTGTATGTTGGTTTGAGAATCTTTCTTGTGGTTTTTTTATTGGTTTATTTGTGCATTTGTTTGTTTTTGAGACAGGGTCTCACTCTGTTGCCCAGGCTGGAGTGCAGTGGCATGCCCTAGGCTTACTGCAAACTCTGCCTCCTGAGCTCAAGTGATCCTCCCACCTCAGCCTCTCAAGTAGCTGGGACTACAAGCATGCACCACCACGCGCGGCTAATTTTTGTATTTTTTTGTAGAGACGGGGTGTCACCATATTGCTCAGGCTGGTCTCCAAATCCTGAGCTCAAACGATCTACCTGCCTTGGCCTTCCAAAGTGCGAGCCACCACACCTGGCCCTCTTGTGGTCTTAAAGGAAAGGGGAGGAGGGCAGGTGAAGAACAGAAATGCCACATGTCATATTTAGTAGGACACCAGCAAGTGGAGCCATGCTGCAGCTTCATTTTCCCCAAAGCTGAAACTGTGAGTACACCACCACCAAGTAGCCATGCTCATAGAATCTGAGAGGTGGAAGAGTTTGGAGGGAGTATAACAACTATTATTATAACCTGCATTTATTGACCTTTTTTTTTGGAGACAGAGTTTCGCTCTTGTTGCCCAGGCTGGAGTGCAATGCCATCTCGGCTCACTGCAACCTCTGCCTCCCAGGTTCAGGCAATTCTGCTTCAGCCTCCCAAGTAGCTGGGATTACAGGCATGCGCCACTATGATCGGCTAATTTTTTGTATTTAGTAGAGACAAGGTTTCACCATGTTGGTCAGGCTGGTCTCAAACTCCTGACTTCAGGTGATCCGACCACCTTGGCCTCCCAAAGTGCTGGGATTACAGGTGTGAGCCACTGCACCTGGCCCATTTATTGACCTTTTAAACGCATGCTCTGTGTGAGCGTTTTACAGGCACCAGCTCATTGAATCCTCTCATCAACCCTAAGAGGAGGTATTTGTCTCCATTTTATTTTATTTTACATTTTATTTATGTATTTATTTATTTATTTATTTTTAATTCTTTTTGAGACAGAGTCTCACTCTGTCACCCAGGCTGGAGTGCAATGGTGAGATGTTGGCTCACTGCAACCTCTGCCTCCTGGGTTCAAGTGATTCTCCTCTCTCAGCCTCCTGAGTAGCTGGGATTACAGGCACCCACCATCACGCCTGGCTAATTTTTGCATTTTTAGTAGAGACGGGGTTTCACCATGTTGGCCAGGCTGGTCTCGAACTCCTGACCTCAAGTGATCCGCCTGCCTTGGCCTCCCAAAGTGCTGGGATTACAGGTGTGAGCCACTGCGCCTGGCCTCCATTTTATTTTATTTTAGATTATGACTTATTATTTTGTGAAAGATACACATAAAAGCTTTTAATCTTGGGAGTTATTTTACTTAAATAATTTTTTATTGATGCATAATAGATGTACATACTTTTGGGGTGGGAATAATTTTAGATTTGCAGAAAATTTTCAAAGACAGTATAGAGAGTCCCCATATGGCCTTCACCCAGCTTCCCCTAATGTTCACATCTTACATAACCGTGGTACATTTGTCAGAACTAAGTGATTAATATTGATATGCTACTCTTAACCAGCGACTTTATTAGGATTTCACCTACAACTCCTGTGCCCTGTGTTTAAAGTCAAAGGCAAATGACAACAACCCAATCCAGGCAAGACTGCTAAAGGCTTAGACCCTTCAAGAATGAAGGTTTGGGTGATCCCACCAGTCAGGAGGCCATGACCCGCTGAGGTGCTTGCTGAGGACAAAGGAAATGAGGAATGGGTGGTGGCAGGTAATTATCAATGTCAACTACAGACGCATGACCAATGGCAGAAATGAGGACTGTAGTAATGATTTTGATACGAATATGTTTGTATTTATGAATTAACTAAATATTTTCATTATCTTCCTCTCTCCTAGCCCCTTAACGTCTAACATAAGGCATGTTAATAGAAATTAGCTTTCTCTCTCAGTATTTCAGTTATAGGATCTCAAAGGGGGAGTGTGAATCAGTGAGGAAGAAGCTTATGATGTGTTTATATACAGTTTAAAGAGTGATAATAAAATGCACAAAAAGGGAGTGTGAATCAGCTAGAAGAAGACAAAAAGAGAGTTTGCATCTTCGCTGGGGAAAGGGTGCGTGTGGATTTGTGGGATGGCTGCATTCTGTTAGGAGGAAGCATCACTTTGTTACTGTCCGTAACTGGAGGATAAGTGTGATGAAAAGAGGAGTGTGTGGGTGCCAACTTGAGAAGGGAGCAGTTGTGCCGACTTTAAAATATGTCAGCCTGGCTGCGTTGAACTCCGTTTCTCAGAATCCCCTCCCGCTATGTCTCCAGTTAGGATGAGCCACAAGAGAGAATTGGAGGGTGGAAGTGAAGCAGTCACCATTTTGTAATTTACCTGTTGTCATTTAACCTGCAGGCTCCCGTCATCAGTGTGGATGGCAGCCATGCCTGCAGCTACTCTACCTTCCCCTGATCCTCCTTCAGCTTCTCCAACTCCTGGGCCAGATGGGGCAGCTCCATGACAATGGGCACTGGCTTCTTCAGGACATCCAGACCCTCAAGGTCAGGGGCAGTGAGACTGACACAGGTTCCAGTTCATGCTGCTCGGTTCCAGCTTGTGCTTGCAGGTTACAGGCTGTCCTGCTCTTCTCTATTTATATCCATTTCCCTCCTAACCACCTGCCCTGTGAACTTAACTCTCTAGCATCAGACATCCCATCCAGGAGGAGAACATACACACAGTTGTTTAACTAGCCTCACAATTACTAAGATCAAATTTGCACAACAAATACACACACACACAGAGAAATATGTATCCTAATGGGTCTGCCTCTCTGATTAAACCCTTAATTGATACACTCATTCTGTGGACATCATTCAGTCCTTTTTCTCCAGCCACTCCGTCCTTGCTCAGTGAACTCACAAACAAAGGGGACATAGCAGCAGCAATAGAAGGGATGCAAGGGCTTAGTAGCCTGGTCTTCTACCCTCCAAGCCTGAACTGACAACAGATCACAGCCCATACTGAGGCCCTAATATGGCACTATTCCCCAAGAGGACCAATCAGCTGCCTGGTGGCAGGTTAATTACATCAGGTCACCTCCATTATGAAAGAGGAAGTGCTTTGTACTTGCTGGAATAGACACTTACTATGGACATGAATTTTCCTTCCCTACCCACAATACTTCTGCCAGAGCCACAGTAAGTGGACTTACAGAATGCCCTACCCACCGTCAAGGTAGGCCATATGGCATTACTTCTGACCAAGGAAGTCATTTCATAGCAAATTAAGTGGATCAGCGGGCTCCTGCTCATGGAGTTTACTAGTCTTACCGTGTTTCCCACCACCCTGAAGCAGCTGGCCCAATAGAACAATGGAATGAGCTTTTGAAGATTCACAGGACCAGCTACCATCTACCATCCCTATAAGGATGACGACACCTTATAGAGCTGGTGTATGATCTATGCTTTTTTTTTCTTTCAAGTTTAACCTGATAATTTATTTGTGGGGAAAAAGCTAGTTTTGATGAGAAAAAGTTGTCCTTTCCTTGTAAACACAAAGAAACTCAACAGGAATTTTAAATGTTATAGTAGGCCAGAAAATGCAACAGTAACTCTTACAATCCTTTTCAATTAAACAGACAAATCAAGTTGAAGACAAATGTTAAAATACTATTTAGCCCAAATATTTATCAGCGTATATATCCTGTTGTTCAATTGGCTTTTGATTTAAAAACCAAACAGACAAACCAACAAACTTTATAAGAGCTACACTGGCTGGGCGCGGTGGCTCATGCCTGTAATCCTAGCACTTTGGGAGGCCGAGGCAGGCAGATCCCTTGATGTCAGGAGTTTGAGACCAGCCTGGCCAACAGGGCAAAACCCCGGCTCTACTAAAAATACAGAAATATTAGCTGGGTGTGGTGGCACATGCCTTTAATCCCAGCTACTTGGGAGGCTGAGGCAGGGGAATCACTTAAACCCAGGAGATGGAGGTTGCAGTGGGCCAAGATCGTACCACTGCACTCCAGCATGGGTGACAAAGCGAGACTCCCTCTCAAAAAAAAAAAAAAAAAGCTATCACCACATTTAGAGTGATGAAAATAAATTAGTTCCCCCCTCAAGATATTGTTTAACCTCTAAAGCATAAAAAGCTGTATAATTTCTTATACAAATTGACCAGTGTTCTTTCAAAAGTAATGCAGTTTGGGATTGATATTACACTGTATTTGTGGGAAAGTACTAGGCACAAGAAAATATATATATCAATTAGGCATTTTCAGTCTAGTCAGTCTCTAAGGTTATTTAATTCTTGGTGATGTATAATCATTGGTATGCATTTTGGTACTTAAGTCATGAATTGTGGAGAACAAGAAGCAACAGGGTTTATATCTAACAAACGATTGCAACATTCAACCGATCTCTTCTGTGAACTTTGTGATTTGTTTTGCCATTGGTCGCTTGTAGTAGGTTCTTTTTTTTTTCATTCTTCCATATTCATGCTTTCTCCATCTGCACTCTGTCACGTTTCTTCATCTTTGTCATCGTGATGTACGTCTTTTGACATTAGTTGTCTAGCTAATTTAATATTGAGTCCTTTGTTGAAGTGAAGCCTCCTTTTCATTTTAAATTGTCGCTTTTTTTCTCGTTCTTCAGGTGAGAGGTCACTATCCTCCTCTCCACTGCTTTCTTGTTCCTGAACCCGATACTTGGGCTCTGAGCCTTCAGCAGCAGCTAATTTCTTAGCTATCTGGTGCCATGGCCTCAGTGGTTTCTGTATCATTACACGCGTCTCCATCAACACCCATCACACCATGGTAAGGGGAGTGTTTGGTTCATCAGTGTTCATGAAGCCACAGTCTTTGTCTGCTGGATGATATGTTGCCAGGAAGTTCATTTCATCCCACTTCCGGGATTTTTTCTCAGCTCTTCTTCTGCCGACGCAACCATAGAGAGTCGTAGAAGTCCTGTTCTTCAGGATCCCCTTGATGGGCCGGTGCGAGGCTGTTGAGGCGGCCTTTGCCCGGCGCTCCGGCTGTCGGCTCAGGGTCGCTGCTTGGCATGGGCTCTGCGGAGAGAAGGATCAGGCACTAGCCAAGCCCGCCAGGCAGCCGCGGAGCCCGCTCAAGGCTAAAGAGGCCGCACATGCTGTATCGGAAACGGCTACTGGAGTGATTGTCAACACACAACGACCCCGACACCAAAGCCCACGCTGAGCGGGTGGCGGCTCCTCGCGCGCCCTTCGCGGCCAGCACTTTACCCGTGGTCCATGCTTTAAATCAGTGACCAAGATATGACACTATTTCACCCATAGCCGGATTCATGGGGCCAGGGGTCAGGAGGTGGAGAAGGGAGGGGTCTCTTTCACCATTACCTGTAATTATGCACCTGTGACATTTTTCTTTCCCATGCCTACAACTTTAGGTTCTGCTGGCCTAGAAGTCTTAGTTCCCAAAAGAGGAATGCATCTATCAGGGAACATAGCAATGTTTCCATGAAACTGGAAGTTCAGGCCGGGGGCGGTAGCTCGCGCCTGTAATCCCAGCACTTTGGGAGGCCAAAACAGATGGCTCACCTGAGGTCAGGAGTTCGAGACCAGCCTGGCCCACATGGTGAAATCCCGTTTCTATTAAAAACACAAAAATTAGCTTGGCATGGTGGCAGGCGCCTGTAATCCCAGCTACCTGGGAGGCTGAGGCAGGAGAATCGCTTGAACCCAGGAGGTGGAGGGAGGTTGCAGTGAGTCAAGATCCGGCCACTGCACTCCAGTCTGGAAGACAGAGAAAGACCTGTCAAAAAAAAAAAAAAAAAAAAAAAAAAAGGAAGGAAGGGAAACTGGAAGTTCAGATGGCTTTAGGGTCCTCGTGTCAATGAACCAACAGGCCAAGAAAGTTACTGTTTTGGCTGGGGTAATTGATCCTGATCAAGAGGAAACTGGGCTGCTACTTCGCAATGTGGATAAGGAGGAGTATGTCTGGAATTTGGGCATTTGGGAGATGTCCTGTGATAAAAGATAATGGGAGGTGGTCACGGTGGCTCACGCCTGTAATCCCAGCACTTTGGGAAGCCAGGGCAAGAGTATTGCTTGAGTTAATTAGTTCAAGACCAGCCTGGGAAACACAGCTAAAACCCCGTCACTACAAAAAAATACAAAAAATTAGCTGGGTGTCATGGTGCAAACCTGTAGTCCCAACTACTCAGGAGGCTGAGGTGGGAGGATCGCTTGAGTCCAGGGTTCAAGGCTGCAGTGAGCTATGATTGAGCCACTGCACTCCAGCCTGTGTGACAGAGCAAGACCCTGTCTCTATGTATATATATACATATGTATATATGTATATATATAATGAAGATAATGGAAAACTACAATTGAACTCAGGCAGGCTTGTTAATATCACAAGCACTTCAGTAACGGAGGTTTGAATCACCCCATCAGTCAAGGAATCTGTCTAGCTGAGTTGTTTGTTTGTTTGTTTTGGAGACAGAGTCTCAGGGCTGGAGTGCTGTGGCACAATCTCAGCTTACTGCAACCTCTGCCTCCCAGGTTCAAGCGATTCTCCTGCCTCAGCCTGCCAAGTAGTTGGAATTACAGGTGTGCTCACCTCACTCGGCTAATTTTTTTTTTTTTTTTGTATTTTTAGTAGAGACAGGGTTTCATCATGTTGGCCAGGCTGGTCTCGAACTCTGACCTCAAGTGATCTGCCTGCCTCAGCCTCCCAAAGTGCTGGGATTATAGGTGTGAGCCACCATGTCCAGCCAGTGAACAAATATTTTAAAAGCTGGTTTTAACCACCACATTTACTGCTTATAATTTATCCTTCAGGGTTCGTGTTGAGGGGAAACGGGATGTTGATTAGTTGAGGAAAAGGATTAAGAATACCAGCCACAATCATGAGACCGACTACATAAATGAAGACTATAGTAGTTATAAGCATTTCTTCTTACTTTAATATGAATACTTCATGTATATTTCATCCAATTTTTTTCTTTCCTTCCTCCACCCCGTTACCCTACTACTGAATGAGATGCTAATAAGTTAACTTTATGTTTCATTATTCAAGTTACAGAATATCCACAAGGGATCAGCTAGAAGAGGAAGGAACATTACCTAAACATGAGTAAAATGATATGCAGCTTTGTATTCTCTATTGGAAAGATGGTTAGTGTATTTTCAGTGATATAAAAGATAATTGTATCCTGTAAGGTGAATGCATGATTTTGCTATTGTCTTTATTTGGAGGTTTAATGTGATTCAAAAAGTATGTATGGAGGCTGGGCTTGGTGACTGTCGCCTGTAATCCCAGCATTTTGGGAGGCCGAGGTGGGCAGATCACCTGAGGTCAGGAGTTTGAGACCAGCCTGGCCAACATGGTGAAACCCCATCTCTACTAAAAATACAAAAATTAGTCAGGTGTGGTGGTGCACCCCTGTAATCTCAGCTACTCGGGGGGCTGAGGCACAAGAATTGCTTGAACATGGGAAGCGGAGGTTGCAGTGAGCTAAGATCACACCATTGCACTCCAGCCTGGGCAACAGAGTAAGACTCTTCCTCAAAAAAATAGTAATAAAAAAATATACATATATTTATGGACGCCAAGTTTACAGGGGGTAGACTGTGGTGGTTTGTATTGTGTCAGTTGGGCTAAGTTGGAACTACATTTTCCAGAACCCTCTTCTCTGTAGAGCTGGCCAGAAGAGGAATTTACATGAGATTTGAAAGGCAGAAATGAAGCCACCACACTGCTCTGGAAGGTCATCATGCGCAGCTGCAATAAAGGGTACACAGAAGTGCTGGTGGAGGTGGAGAAGGGGAGGAGTTTGGCTGGGGCTGAGTGCCGTCATTGCTGGGAGATCTGGGTTCATTTATTTATTTATTTATTTAGAGATGGAGTTTCACTCTTGTCGCCTAGGCTTGAGTGCAATGGCACTATCTCGGCTCAGTGCAACCTCCGCCTCCTGGGTTCAAGTGAGTCTTCTGCCTCAGCCTCCTGAGTAGCTGGGATTACAGGCGCCCGCCACCGCACCCAGCTAATTTTTGCATTTTTAGTAGGGGCAGGGTCATGTTGGTCAGGCTAGTCTCAAACTCCTGACCTCAGGTGATCCACCCACCCTGGCTTCCCAAAGTGCTGGGATTACAGGCATGAGCCACCACACCCAGCCTTGTTTCTTTTTATTAATTCAACAAATATTTATTGAGTGCCTGCTATGTCTGTGCTGCTTTATTTTTAAGGCTTTAAATGTTCATTTTGAAATAATTTCAGACATAAAAAAGTTGCATTAATAGTACAGAGTTATATATTCTTCACCCATCTTTCTCAAATGTTATCTTAGAAAATCTGGAATCATAGCACAATCATCAAAACCAGGAAGTTGGCTGGGCAGAGTAGCTCATGCCTGTAATCTCAGAACTTTGGGAGCCCAAGGTGGGTGGATTTCTTGAGGCCGGGAGTTTGAGACCAGCCTGGCCAACATGATGAAACCCCGTCTCTACTAAAATTACAAAAATTAGCCGGGCGTGGTGGCACACACCTGTAATCCCAGCTACCTCTTGAGGCTGAGGCATGAGAATTGCTTGAACCCAGGAAGCAGAGGTTGCAATGAGCCAAGATCAGGCCACTGCACTCTAGCCTGGGCAACAGAGTGAGACTCTGTCTCAAACAAACAAACAAACAAACAAACACCAAAAACCAGGAAGTTAATATTGATATAATACTATTAACTCATCTACATATGTGTTACAATTTTGCCTCTTGTTCCACTAATGTCTTTTTTTAGGTTCTAGAGTCAATCCAGGAGCCCATGCTGCTTTTATTTTTTATTTATTTATTATTATATTTTTGAGATGGAGTTTCGCTCTTGTTGCTCAGGCTGGAGTGCAATGGCACGATCTTGGCTAACTGAACCTCCACCTCCTGGGTTGAAGTGATTCTCCTGCCTCAGCCTCCCGAGTAGCTGGGATTACAGGCGCCCGCCACCATGCCCAGCTAATTTTTTGTATATTTTTCAGTAGAGACGGGGTTTCACCATGTTGGCCAGGCTGGTCTTGAACTCTTGACCTCGGGTAATCCCCTTGCCTCAGCCTCCCAAAGTGCTGGGATTACAGGCATAGCCACTGCACCCAGCCCGCTGCTTTTAATTATGTCTGTTTAGTCCCTTCCAATCTGGAATCATCGCACAGCCTTTCTCTTTCATGACCTGGGCGCTTTTGAAGAGTACAAACCAACTAGTTTGTATAATGTCTACTTGGGTTTTTTTAAATGTGTCCTTAGGATAAACTCAGGTTATACGTTTTGGGCAAGAATACCAGAGAAGTGATGCGGTTCCCTTCTCAGTGCGTCCTGTCAGAGGTGTCTCCTCCCTGGACTTGGCTGACTTTGGTCCCTTGGATTAGGTGATATCTTCCAGGTTTCTACACTGCAAAGTCATTATTTTTCCCCTTTGGAATCAGTAAGTATCTTATGGGGAGATTCTCTGAAACCCTGCCCATAGCCGGTTTTCCACCATGCTTGCCCACTACTTCTGGCATCAGTGGATGGTTCTTGAGCAGGTCCTGTTTCAGGCACTGGGCATCAGCGACTCCAGCTGTGGGGCTTCTGCTGTCCCTTTTGAGACCTTGTGAAGTGTGGTTGACTGAGTTGGCTGTAACCAGGCCAGCAGCCCTCATTTGCAGGGCAACAGCTGTAGCTGCTCCCGCTGTTCAGCACCTGGTTCCAGGATAGGGCAAGGCTTGGGGCCTTTGGGGTGGGGTGGGGGGGTTTCCCATGGACTGAGCTGCAGCTTCACTCCCATCTGCCTCAGGACTGGGAGCTCCCCATAGGACCGCTAAGGGTTTTGTCCCTTTTCCTCCACTTTGATGGAGCTTCTAGAAATAAGGGTGGGATTAGGAATCAGGTTCTTCTTCACCACCTGCCCTGCCCTGCCCTGCCCCACCTTAGGGTCTTCTCCCCCTTGGCCATTCCTCTCTGGTGTTTATAGCATATAGTTGTTAGTGGTATTCTCACTTCCCCGTTAGGCTCTTGCTAGTGAAGTTGTGGATCCAGCATAACTCCATCGGCAACCTTCATCCATTTATTAGGGAAGGTCATGTATTTCCAGGTTCCAGGCATTCAAACGTGGGAATCTTTGGGGAGGCCATGATACTGCCCACCACAAGTGGTTAAGCAATTTGCCCAAGGTCACACAGTTGGGGGTGGGATCAGTGGCTCATGCCTGTAATCCCAGCACTTTAGGAGGCTGAGGTGGGTGGATCACATGAGGTCAGGAGTTTGAGACCAGCCTGGCCAACATGGTGAAACCCCATCTCTACAAAAAATAGAAAAAGTAGCTGGGCATGGTGGCGGGTGCCTGTGGTTCCAGCTACTCAGGAGGCTGAGGCACGAAGATCACTTGAACCTAGGAGGCGGAAGTTGCAGTGAGCTGAGATCGCACTGCTGCATTCCAGCCTGGGTGACAGAGCGAGACCCTGTCTTAAAAAAAAAAAAAAAAAAGGAAAGTAAGTGGCAAGCTAGGCGCGATGGTTCATGCCTGTAATTCTAGCACTTTGGGAGGCTGAGGCAGGCGGATCACTTGAGGTCAGATGTTCGAGACCAGCCTGGCCAACATGGTGAAACCCATTTCTACTAAAAATACAAAAATTAGCCAGGCATGGTGGTGAGCGCCTGTAATCCCAGCTACTTGGGAGGCTGAGGCAGGAGAATGGCTTGAACCCAGGAGGCGGAGGTTGCAGTGAGCCGAGATTGTGCCACTGCACTCCTGCCTGGGCAACAGAGTGAGACTCCGTCTCAAAAAAAAAGGTAAGTGGCAAAGTCGGGATTCCAACCCAGGCAGTCTGGTCCCAGCCTGCTGTTGGTCACCACACTGCACTGCCTTTCAGCCCTTAGAAGGCTCTTTCTGGGATGTCCCTGAGAAATGGCCAATCTCTGCATGAACACCCCCTCTACAGGGAATGTTCCCGTAGGAACGAGTGCATTAGTTCAGGGTGCTCCAGAAAAACAGAACCAGTAGCATGTGTGTGTGTTCTATGTATAGATACACAATACACACACGAACACATACACACATGAACACACACACACACACACACACACACATGAACTTCTTTGGAATGGGTGATAAGCCTGGCTGCCCATCCTAAAATGCTATAACTGAAGTCCTGTTGGGTCAGGGTAGGGATAAGATGCAGAGCATCTAGCAAAAGAATTTTGTTCCAAGTGGTCTTGACTTATGCAGTAACTGGGATCCTAAATCAGTGCCCGTGAATGAAATTTTAGAAAGCGATGCAGAGAAGTCCTTTTGCAACGTGAATAAAACCTGAATTTTCAAGGGTCCAGTGTTGAACCCACCTGGATTATCACCTCAAGGGATTTCTGCTATTTCACTGCATTCAAGCTAGGCATAATAGTTCATAAGTGCATTCTGAAAATGACTTTTTATTGCCACAGCTTAAAAAAAAAAAGGAAAGCTTAAAGTACATCAATAAAAATACCACCACTATCAGTGAGAAAACTGTTAACGTTTTGGTGTATTTCCTCTGTCTTGTTTCTAGGCCCAAGTAATTTTTAAGGAAATGGGAAACACATTGAATAGGCAGTTTTACATCCTGCTTCTTTCACGATATCAGTGTATCATAAACAGTTTCTATTATTATGGAAGTAGGTTATTGCGGGGGTCAGAGGAGGCCTGCAGTGTGAGGCCTCTCTATGAACTATGGCAGCACGGGATCCCAGGTTCCAAGAACAAGAGTTAGACCACACGGGGGTTCTTTGGTCCACACTGCACACATGGGAATGGGCCAGGGGCCTTGGAGTCGGCTGAGTTTCAGGTTATAACCAATATTGGGCTAAGCAGTGCACGATGACAGAATTAAGTTGGAGGCTATGTGGCAGCCAGAGAGAGAATGAGGTGTCAGTTTAACAAAGTGGCTTGCAGACTTGGAGCAAGCAGAGGAGAGGCTGGCCAGGTGGCTGCGGATACAGAGAGAAGGAGTCTCAGGAAGGGTGGAGGAGGAGGGAACTGACCTGTCCCCAAGACCTTGGGATGCTCCTTCACTCACGTAGGGTTCCCCGAGTGCCTGCCATGCACCGCCTGGGACCAGAGGCAGTAGGGAAGGAGCAAGAGAAGCTCTTCCAGGCACAGAGGATCTGGTGGATTTTGGCAAGTTCTTATTCCAAAGCCTGAAAATTCCTTTTGAGTCTTTCAAGGCCCTTCCTGATCTGCCCCAGGTTCCCTTTCTCACTTCATCTCCTCTCTGCCTCCCTCGCTCCTTCTAGCCAGCTCCACTGGCCTTCTTTTTTTTTTTCCCGAGACAGAGTTTCGCTCTGTCACCCAGTCTGGGGTGCAGTGGTGCAATCGCCGCTCACTGCAACCTCCACCTCCTGGGTTTAAGTGATTCTCCTGCTTCACTACAACCTCTGCCTCCTGGGTTCAAGTGATCTTCCTGCCTCAGCCTCCTGATTAGCTGGGATTACAGGCATGTACCACCACACCCAGCTAATTTTTTGTATGTGTATTTTTTATTTTTTTGAGACACAGTTTCACTCTTGTTGCCCAGGCTGGAGTGCAATGGCACGATCTTGGCTCACTGCAACCTCCGCCTCCCAGGTTCAAGCAATTCTCCTGCCTCAGCCTCCCAGGTAGCTGGGATTATAGGCATGTGCCACCATATCTGGCTATTTTTTTGTATTTCTAATAGAGACAGGGTTTCTCCATGTTGGTCAGGCTGGCCTCGAACTCCCGACCTCAGGTGATCAGCCTGCCTTGGCCTCCCAAAGTGTGCGGATTACAGGCGTGACCCACCGCACCTGGCCTGTATTTTTATTAGAGATGGAGTTTCACCATGTTGGCCAGGCTGGTCTTAAACTCCTGTCTTCAGGTGATCCGCCTGCCTTGCCTCCCAAAGTGCTAGGATTACAGGTGTGAGCCACTGTACCCAGCCATCAGATTTCTTTTCTTTGCAATCTTTCCCCTTCCAATATACCAAGTAATTTTACTTATGTCTTTTGTTTATTGCCTGTCTCCTTACCACTAGAATGAGAGCAGGGATTTTTGCTTTTGTTCACTGATTTATCTCCAGGGCCTACCACATAGTAGAAGCTCAATAAATGGTTGCTAATGAATAAATCTGACCAAATGTGACACCCAGCCTATGCTCAGAAACAAACCAGTGTTAGGCTTATCAGGAACCAATGAAATCACATTGACTACTGCATTAAGATTTTTCACCAAATGTCTTTGGATTCATTCATCCATTCAGAGAATATGTATTGAGGGCTTTCTATGTGCCAGGCACTGCTCTCAGTGCAAAGAGTCTAGCAGTAAGCAAAACCAAGAGAAAGAAAGAGACAAGAAACAAATAGCTTATGATGAAATGTCAGGTGGTGGTAAGTGCTATGAAAAATTAATTAAGCGAGTAAATGTTCCAGTTAACTGTTGCTGTGAAACATACCACCCCAAAACTTAGTGGCCTAAAACAACAAGTCAGTTTCATCTCTTATGGCTCTTTGGTTGACTGGGCTCAGCAGGGTGGATCTTGTGGGGTTTTGCATGTGGTTGCCATCAGATGCTGGCCAGGCCTTTAGTCATCTGAGGAATCTGCTGGCTGGACATCTGAGTGGCTCACTCTGTTGACTGCAGAGGTTGACTGTCAGCTGGGAGCCAAGCTGGGCTGTCAACCTGGATACCTACTTGTGGCCTCTCCATGTGACCTGGGCTTTTCAACATGCCAGCTGGGATCTGGAAGGAGGTCTTCAAGAGGAAAGTGTTCCAAGAACACTGTGTTTGGAACTAGCACTGTGTCTAGCGCCATATTCTGTTGGTCCAAGCAGTCACAAGGTTCCCATAGTCAAGGGGCTGGAGAAAGAACACGTGGGACAGAAGAGATTGCTGCAGTACCCCTGGGAAACACAGTCTCTATGGGAAGGGGATGGTAAGTGGTGGGGAAGGTCTCTGAAGGGAAGGCCTCTCTGATAAGGTGAACTTTGAGCACAGGCCTGAGGGGAGTGAGGAGATGAGTCATGGGGGTATCTGGGGAAGAGGGCTCTAGGCCGAGGCAGAGCAAGTACAAAGGCCCCGAGGCAGGAGCATGGCTGACCCAGTGAGGAGCAGCACCATGTGCATGTGGCATGCCCTTTCCTTCCCTGTCCTGAGACCACTGGTGCTCTTGCCTGCACATGTGCCCTTTACTCCTTGATCTTCACCAACCACGAGTCTTTGCCATGAAGTCACCCTCCTTGACCCAGAAGGCAGGTGCCAACCAGGTCACCCTCATTGCTGTGCTTTGCTGCCATCTAACTCAGAACCAGTGCCTGCATCATAGCCCTGGGGATCCAGCACTCCTGCCTCTCAGGTCAGCCCATCGGGGCCCCAGCACATAAACTGAGCAATGGCTCTGAGCCAAGGAAACCCAGGTGCCCTTTGCTGGGACTGCAGTTGGTCCCCGACCCCTGCCTGGCTTGGACCAGGCCCCTTCTCTGGGGCTGAACTCGAGGCCCACAGCCCACCTCACTGGTTGCTGAGCCCCACCTCATGCAGCTGAATGATCACAAACCATGATGGACCCCAGCTGGGCTCTGGGCTCCCTCGGCTCCCCAGCCACCTCTCTGATTTTCCACCCAAAGGCTGACAGCTGGGGTGGTGGTTGCACAGCGGCAAGGGTGCCAATTTCAGAGCCTGACTTTGTGGATTTGGATGGAGCTCTGCCTCACACTGGCTGTGTTACCTTGAACAAGTAATTTCACCTCCCTCTGCTTCTTTTATCTTTAATAGAGGGCTGTTATTGCATCTTTAAAATATTACAAAGAGGTCTGAAGAATCATCTGCCATCTTGTTTCCATAGCTGGTCAACTCAGATCTTCCTCAGCCTACGGAACTTTTCTTTTTTTGGAGACTTAAATACCATCCAAAATTTTTTTTGCTGTCCTTGTTGTGACCTGTAGAATCAAAGTGGCAGCCTGAATTTGATAACAATGCTTAATATTGTTTCCTTCAAGAATTAACTGATCACTCATCTTTCTGGGCTTGAGATATTGAACAAGAAATGCCTGGTCTCATCCAAACCCTGATGATGTATCAGAAGCCCAGGGGAGCACCCCGACTACAGGCAGTGTGGCCAGTTCCTTCCTACCTCCCACCCTTTGTCAGCCTGGAGCCTCTTCCTTTCCTTTCTAAGGAGACAGAGTTCAGCATTGATG
Organism: Homo sapiens; assembly: GCF_000001405.40. Taxonomy (NCBI): domain Eukaryota; kingdom Metazoa; phylum Chordata; class Mammalia; order Primates; family Hominidae; genus Homo; species Homo sapiens. The sequence continues at coordinate 140,282,583 of NC_000007.14, read as the reverse complement.
TGATGCAAATCCCTCCACAGGGTTCTTCTGGGACCCTTCCCAATCCCTGTATGTCCCTTCCTAGTGAGGCTGATGCTTTCTGGAATGCTGATGGTGTGATTGCTGAGAATGACCTTCATTCTCACCACAGATGGGGCCAAGAGAGAGCTCCTGGTTTTGCTTCTGTTTCTCCATCCATAAAATGGGACTTCCTAGTTCTGATCTCATAGGTTTTCTGGGAGAACTCATTGAGTACATGCACGTGAAGAGCTCAGAAGGGCACCTGGCAGGCGGAAGGTGCTGTGTCGGCTCTAATGATGCTACGACTCTTGGGCAAAACTTTGGACTTTCTTGTGCTGACCCAGAGCCAGGCCCTGCAGCCAGACCCCACCTCAAGGCCCCATGTCCACCTGGGCCTCTCAGGTGGCTTTACCCTCTTGGTTGGCCCCACCAGCCAGATCACCCCCATGCCCCACTTGGGCCAACCCAGGAGCCCAGGAGCAGAGTGGAAAGTCCACCTTGTGAAAAAAGGCAGCAAGAATCCATCTGAATTTATAGAGGCTGCACCATGGGACCCAAAGTGGGTATTGGCACTGTTGGAGTCACAGCAGACGCCCTTAGCAACTGGTAAGCTTCAGCAGTGGCTGCACACACTGGAGTACTGGTTAACTCATAGGACAGGTGCCAGAATTTCTTTCTAAGAGGCATGATGGGAAAGCGGCAGTCGTGCAGTTGTGGGAGGATGCTAAGAGACCTGGCTTGAAGCACATCTGCATGGCAAGCTCGGTGTGCACGTAGAGGGCTGTCTACAGGCGTGTGGTACTCAGAAGTGCTCACGGCTAAGGAGAGGGCAGGCAAAGCCTCATGCTCCAGTGGTGATGAGGGACACCAGCTTTGACCCTTATATGGGGGCGCTAGTTCATGGAGTTGTCCTAATCATAAAAGAGTAAAGAATCCAGGAATGTAGGCTCTGGTTTTTGTGTTACTTTTTAAAAACATTTGTTTAAATTTTTTATTGTGGTAGAAAATGCACAACGTAAAATTGACCATCTTAACCATTTTCAGGCGTACAGTTCAGTAGTGTAAAGTTCATTCCCATTGTTGGCCAACCAATCTCCAGAGCTCTTCCATCTTGCAAAGCTGGAACTCTGTACCCATTAAACAATGCCTCCCCTCCCCTCCCCCAGTCCCTGGCAAGCATCATTCTACTGTGTGTTTCCATGAATGTGACAACTCTAGGTGGAATCATGCAGTATTGGTTTCTGTGTTCCTTTTGAAAGCCTGGACTTTTTGAAAGCTTCGTGGTGGCCATCATTGTATACACCATCCCCCTCCCTTGCCAGCTCTGCTCCTCAGTCTCCTTGGGGAGACTGTGCTTAGCCCACAGGTGCTGCTGTTGTCTCTCCTAGTCCTTGGCCAGCATGTCCTTCACTACCACACTTTTCCTGGATGTGCTCCCCCAGCCAAGGCTTCCATCACCCTCTGAGAGCTGATGGCCCCCCAGTTGCCTTAAGGCTTTATCCTTCCTGGGTCTTTGGAATCAAAGTGGCAATCTGAATTTGATAACAATGCTTAATATTGTTTCCTTCAATAATTAACTCATCTTTCCGGGCTTGAGATATTGACCCAGAGCCCCTGTCCCATTGACTTCCCATCCCCGTCTCACTCCTTCGCATCCTCCAGGGCTCAGCCTTCTCAACAGTCATCAGGAGATCCTTGCCTATATTGTGAAGACCTATTTCCTTGTCTGTCTTCCCTACTAGAGTGTAAGCTACTCGCAGGCTGAGAGAGCCTCATTCCTCTTGATGTCTCAGCATCGCAGACATCAGGAGCTCAGGAATTATTTGGCAAATGAGTGAATAAAGGAATCTTAACAACACAGCTCCATGGAAAGTAGGACCAAGAGAAAGGGTTGCAGGTGAAGATGGTGGGTTGAACACATGCATCTAACTTATTCTTTTCTTTTTGGCAGGGAGATGGAGTCTTGCTCTGTTGCCCAGGCTGGAGGGCAGTGGTACGATCTCAGCTCACTACAACCTCCCCTTCCCAGGTTCAAGTGATTCTCCAGCCTCAGTCTCCTGAGTAACTGGGACTACAGGTGTGTGCCACTGCATCTGGCTAATTGTTGTAGTTTTAGTAGAGAGTGGGTTTCACCATGTTGGTCAGGCTGGTCTTGAACTCCAGACCTCAGGTGATCCACCCACCTTGACCTCCCATAGTGCTGGGATTACAGGCATGAGCCACCGTGCCTGGCCCATCTAACTTATTCTTAATGAAATCCCACTAAAACTACAGCAAAGGGATTTAAAAGATAATATGCAAACCCATAAGGAGGATGAAAGGGCAGACCTGGGAAACTGAGTCATAATTGGCCAGTGTGAGGAGCAAAGTACCAATGTCATTTACCCTGCTGAATCCTCAAGAGGTACAGGAACAGGCAGCACAAGGGACCTCTGAAGATGGGGGAAAGTTGAGAAGTAGGGAGCCCTGGAGGCCATCTTGGATGCTGCTGACCCAAACCACATAAACAAATGCAGTGCACTTACCCAACCCTCACCCTTCGGCGGGCCCAATGTCTTGTCTACATAGGTGCCCTAATCCAAGTGAGCCCTGGGTTTCCCTGGATAGCCCTTGGTATATCCACTGTCTTTCTCAGAAGGGGCTCTGAACACTGTCGGGGAAGCTCAGCCATTTTATGACCTGAGACCCCATGGGAATATCTCATCCTGGAAGCCTTCATCTCGAAGTGACAGTGAAGCCCTGACCTTATTCAGCTGGCCTTGTGCTTCATACCCAGCTTTTCAAAACTCAGCAATGTTTGGTTACGTATATATAGTCAGGTGATTAAAAAACAAAACAAACAAACAAAAAAACCTGTTTCAAAAGTAAGAAAATGATTAACACAAAAGTAACCCAAGTGGTTACCTCTTTGGGAAGAAAGGGAGATGTCATTTAGGAAGAACACACATGGGAATCTGCAGCAGGTTGAATTGTGCCCCCCCCCGCAAAGATATAGTCAAGTCCTAAGCCCCGTGTATTAGGCTGTTCTTGAGTTGCTATAAAGAAATACCTGAGACTGGGCTATTCATTTATTTATTTATTTGAGACAGAGTCTCGCTCTGTTGCCCAGGCTGGAGTGCAGTGGCGCTATCTCAGCTCACTGCAACCTCTGTCTCCTAGGTTCAAGCAATTCTCCTGCCTCAGCCTCCCAAGGAGCTGGGATTAGAGGCAGAGGCCACCATGCCGGGCTAATTTTTGTATTTTTGTAGAGAAGGGGTTTTACCGTGTTGGCCAGGCTGGTCTTGAACTCCTGACCTCAAATGATCCACCCACCTCGGCCTCCCAGAGTGCTGGGATTACAGGCGTGAACCACTGCACCTGGCCTGAGAGTGGATAATTTATAAAGAAAAGAGATTAATTGGCTCACAGTTCTGCAGGCTGTACAGGAAGCATAGCAGCATCTGCTTCTGGGGAGGCCTCAGGGATCTTCCAGTCATGGCGGAAGGTGAACGGGGAGCAGGGGCATCACATGGGAAGGCAGGAGCCAGAGAAAGAGTGGGGGTGGGGGTGCCACACACTTTTAAATGACCAGATCTTGCGAGAATTCACTCACTATTATGAGGACAGCACCAAGAGGATGGTGCTAAACCATTCATGAGAAATCTGCCTCCGTGATCCTATCACCTCCCACCAGGTCCCACCTCCAACAATGGACACTTCAACTGGTCATGCGATTTAGCAGGGAGGACACAGATCCAAACTGTTATCACTACAGTACTTGTGAATGTGACTTTATTTGGAAATAGAGTCTTTGCAGATGTAATCAAAACAAGATGAAATCATGCTGATTAGATTAAGGTGGGCCCTAAATCCAGTGTAGCTGTTGTCTTTATAAGAGAAAGGACAGGGAGATTTGGATATAGATACACAGGGTAGAAGGCCCTCTGACAATGGAGGCAGAGATTAGAGTGATGTAGTTACAAGCCTAGGAACAACAAGGATTGTTGGCTGTCATCAGAAGTTAGGAAAAGTTAAGGAAGGACTCTCCCTAAGAGCCTTCAAAGAGAACACGGCCCTGGCCAGGCACAGTGGCTCATATCTGTAATCCCAGTACTCTGGGAGGCCAAGGCAGGTGGATCACCTGAAGTCAGGAGTTTGAGACCAGCCTGGGCAACATGGTGAAGCCCTGTCTCCACCAGAAAATACAAAAATTAGCCAGGGGCGTGGTGGCATATGCCTGTAGTCCCCAGCTACTTGGGAGGCTGAGGCAGGAGAATTGCTTGAACTGGGAGGCAGAGGTTGCAGTGAGCTGTGATCATGCCATTGCACTCCAGCCTGGGCGACAGAGCCAGACTCTGTCTCAAAAAACAAACAAACAAACAAAACAACCCAAAAAACAAAGAGAGCATGGCCCTGCCGATACCATGATTTCAGATAGCCCCCAAACTGTGAGAGAATACATTTCTGTTGTTTTAAGCCCCTCAGTTTGTGATACTGTACCTTGATATTGGCTAACCCTAGCAATCTAATAGAGATGCCTAAGGTTTTTACTAATGTTATATTTTATAGCCTGGGTTATGAGTACATAAGGGTTGAATTTGTTTTTTTAAACCTGTTTATATGTTTTATATACATATACGACTTCACAATAACAAAAATAAAAGTAAGCAATGGCAAAAAAGGGAACATCCAGTGACTGGGCTTAGGAAAGAAATTCAGGTTGGACACATTTGGCTATGGGTTTGCCTTGTGTACCAAGATCACAGCAGGGGATGTCACCACCCGCAGGTGTGTGGGGCATATGCAGGAGAGGACTTTTTTTCTTTTAAACTTTTATTTTAGGTTCAGGGGTACATGTGAAGGTTTGTTACACAGGTGAACTCATGTCATGGGCGTTGGTTGTACAGATTATTTCATCACCCAGGTACTAAACCTGGTACCCAGTAGTTAGCTTTTCTGCTCCTCCCCCTCCTCTCTCCTGCAACCTCAAGTAGACCCAGTGTCTGTTGTTCCCTCTTTTTTTTTTTTGAGACAGAGTCTTGCTCTATTGCCCAGGCTGGAGTGCAGTGGTGTGACCGCAGCTCACTGCAACCTCCGCCTCCCAGGTTCAAGTGATTCTCGTGCCTCAGCTCCCCGAGTAGCTGGGATTACAGGTGTGCGCCACCACACTTGGCTTATTTTTGTATTTTTAGTAGAGACAGGGTTTCGCCATTTGGCCAGGCTGGTCTTGAACTCCTGACCTCAGGTGATCCACCTGCCTCGGCCTCCCAAAGTGCTGGGATTACAGGTGTGAGCCACTGCACCCAGCCTGTTGTTCCCTTCTTTCTGTTCATGAGTTACCATTTCACTCCCACTTACAAATGAGAACATGCGGTATTCGGTTTTCTGTCAAAAGAGGACTTCCTGGGGTCAAGCTTGAATGTTGTAGATAGTGAGATACAGCAAGCAGCAGGGGGTTCCTGGAGCTTGGTCTCTTACAGGCAAACATTTCTAGTGATCATGGGCCAGAAAACATCCTAGCCAGTGCGGCATCCAAAAAAAGATGAGATGCTGTTCCTTCCCAGGGGCAGCAGACTGTGTACCCTCATGGGGAAGGTTCTGGACAGGGTGGCTGTCCAGAGGCACGTTGCTAGGTGTCCCTCAGAAAGTTCTCTAGGAGCCCGCGTGAACTGCAGTACTGGGGGCTCCTGCCTTCCTATGCAGAAGGCAGCCAGAGGTTACCTTTATCTGGCCTGATAGCGGGTGCTTTGGGAATAGCTAAGAGTCCCGAATACACCAAAGTGGGCATGGTCTGAGCAGCTCACCATCTGCAAGGTGCTCACTACAATGCTGGACCTCATCTGGATGTCTGCTGATGACCATGAGGCCAAGAGGGAGGCCTCATCAAGGGCCAGAGGTGCTCCTTTAAGAAACTGATACAGGCCAGGTATGGTGGCTCATGCCCATAATCCCAGCACTTTGGGAGGTTGAGGCAGGAGGATCTCTTGAAGTCAGGAGTTCAAGACCAGCCTGGCCAATGTGACGAAACCCTGTCTCTACTAGAAATACAAAAATTACCCCGGCGTAGTGGCGCACGCCTGTAATTCCAGTTACTCGGGAGGCTGAGGCACGAGAATTGCTTGAACCCCAGAGGCAGAGATTGCAGTGAACTGAGATCACACCACTGCATTCCAGCCTGGGTGACAGAGTGAGACTCTGTCCCCCGCCAAAAAAGAAAAGAAACTGATATAGGAGCCTGGGGTAGGGACAGAACCCCCACCCTATCCTGGTGTCGTGGGGTTTCATCTTGACATGACTCCTTCAAAACCCTGTTGGCTTATGACAGCTGACCTCCCAAATAACTTTTCTCTTTCTCGGCCGGAGGTAATCAGGACAATGTGAGATTTCTCAGTGATTTTTCTTCTCCATCTGGTTTCCTGCTTTGTAGTTAGAGGAGATAACAGCCATCCCAGGAATTCTCAATATACGTATATTACTTTAGCTGAGAAAAAAATGTTTAAAGGATGGGAAAGTGTATACTGAACACCTCATAGAACGATTCTAAATGAATAGATTGGTTCTGAATGTAAGATAAAAGAGCACTTGGAAAAGTGGGTAGAGATTGGAGAAAATCACTTTATATCTCTTTCTCCTAAAGCTGTGTTAAGTTCTCTTTAATGGAGATTCTGGGAAAAGGATCTAATTCCTTTAAAAGCTGGGCTGCCCTGCAGCTGAAGCCAAGTTGTAAAACTGTTTGGGATGTAGAAAGGTTAGTAAAGAGACCGACTGTATGGCCATTTCTAACCATCTGATGGGAGGGGTATTTGGCATGGTCTAAATGCTGCCTGTGAGGAAAGCAATGATCGGAAAAATAACATCACGGGGCTTTTTATACAGCCCACTGGTATCATGATGCAATGTGATTATTTTTCTGACTTTCTGTTTTTACCACAGGAAAAGGAAGAAACTAGGGAATTGGAGGAATGCTCAGATGCCTAATTACCAGTGTTTCTCTCAGATAAATTATAAACAGGCAGTTAAAGAATTCTACTACAGCTAGGAAACAAAGCAGGCTTTAAACACTTCAGATGTCAACATGCCCCAATTTAGAAGGCGTTAGAGCTGTATATAACCCCAGAGATAATTTTTCTCCAAGGAATGATTCAGCAGAGTTAAAAAAAAAAAAAAAAGAAGTAACTCCCACCTCCCCATTCCTGCGCATATATGGCAGACATCATTAATCGAGGCAGAGTTTCTTTTTTTTTTTTCTTATGGAGCCTAGATACTGCCCCAGAATTCTTCTCAACAATGTGTGCCGAAGAACTATAAATGGATCAGAATCGGTGCGTGAACTGAACCAGCTAAAGAGGGACCTAGCACAATAGTTAAAGTATAGGCGCTAAAGTTCAGCTCAGCCACTTAAATGTTCAGATAAGTTTTCTTATCTGTAAAATGCAGATGACGAGAGGACCTATCTCCTAGTATTGTTGTAAGGATTAAATCACCACATCTAAACAGTTTGGAGCAGGGACAAGTAGTAAATATTCAACAAATAGTATTTAAAATTTTTCTAGAATAAAGAGCTAAAGAAAGTCATTTACTGTTTAACCCTGGAGGAAGTACTAGATTAAGATTTAGAAGGAACCTGTGAGTTGAAGATTTATTCAACAAAGATATTTAGCAACTACTATTATTTGCTGAGCTTTGTACGAAATGCTGTGGAGTCTATATAATGCAAGGTACCAATATATAAATCTGGGTCAAAGTTGACCTTTTTTTTTTTTTTTTTTTTTTTTTTTTTGAGACAGGGTCTCGCTCTGTCACTCAGGCGGGGTTGCAGTGGTGTAAACATGGCTCACTGCAGCCCTGACCTCCTGGGCTCAAGTGATCCTCCTGCCTCAGCCTCCCATGTAGCTGGGACCACAGGTGTGCACCACTATGTCTGGCTAATTTTTGTATTTTTTGTAGAGATGGGGTTTTGCCATGTTGCCCAGGCTAGTCTTGAACTCCTGAGCTCAAGCTATTCATCCACCTTGACCTCCCAAAGTGTTGGAACTACAGGTGTGAGCCACCACACCCAGTCTGGCATCCTTTTAAATGTAATAATATACTGACAAGTTATTTGTTTATAGTCAGTTGTTTTACATAAAATTTCAACTTAATAAAAAAAATCAGAAGATAAATGGCCAGTTAATTAAATATGAAAAGCTACTCGATTTTGTTAATAAAGAGGGAAACAAGTTAATACAACAATGGGAATAGGGGGGATGGAAGATTTGAGAAACATATCAATCTGGACATTTAACATCCAGATATAAAGAAATCCAGGAAGAGAACCGGGCACAGTGGCTCATGCCTGTAATCCCAGCGCTTTGGGAGGCCAAGGCAAGCAGATCACCTGAGGTCAGGAGTTCGAGACGAGCCTGCTAACATGATGAAACCCTGTTTCTACTAAAAATACAAAAAATTAGCAGGACGTGGTGGTGTGTGCCTGTAATCCCAGCTACTCGGGAGGCTGAGGCAGGAGAATTGGTTGAACCCAGGAGGTGGAGGTTGCAGTGAGCCGAGATCACGCCATTGCACTCCAGCCTGGGCAGCAAGAACGAAACTCTGTCTCAAACAAAAAAAAACAAAAAAAAAAGAAAGAAAAGAAAAATAAACTGGAAAGAATACACAAAACTTTTACTCATTTATTTCTGGGTCAGACATTTTTGGTAATTTTAATTTTCTTATATATATATATCATGTTTTCATTTGGATCATGTGTTATTTTAACACCAGAAAAAAAAAATCTAAGCATAAAAAGAAAGAAAGCGTGCCATCTGGTTTTGGTGTGTCACCCTGGGAAGCTCCACCATTTGGAAAGAGGAGTGCATCTGGCATGGCGCCTGGGGATGGACTCAGTGGGCCCTGGAAATACGGAAGGAACTCGTGCCTGAGGCCTGCGGCATGGGTATGGTCTGCCCTCAGGTCTCACCGCCTTCCCCCAGGGGGGCCCACAGCCCTGTGCACCAGGCAGGGCCTCCAGCTTCCCTGGTCAGGACTGCAGCGGCTGAGGCTTCACCTGGCTGTGGCTATGGCCACCCCTATAGCTGTGCTGACCCCAGCTACCACCCATGTAGGGGTCTGAGGCTGCTTAGAGGGTACAGCATCCATCTCAGATGGATGGATTGGAGGTCCTGGCTGCCCCGCACCTTCTGTGACTGAGCTGGACATGAGCTGGGCAGCAGCAAGAGTTGGGAGAGGGACCCTTCAAGACACCTACAACCTCAGCAGATGGGACTGGACTTCATCCTTTAAGCAGGGCCAAAACTCCCCACTCCCACCCAAATCAGTAGGAACCTTTTTAATTCAACAAACTGATTCTAAAGTTTATATGGAAAAACAAATAACCAGGAACTTTCGAACCAGAAGAGCAATGATAAGAGACTAACTCTACCAGGTATTTGAACAACTTTTAAAGTTACATGGATTTTATGTTATTTTACTACTTTATTTTATTTTGTATTTTATTTTATGTTTGAGCCAGGGTCTCACTCTGTTGTCCAGGCTGGAGTGCAGTGGTGCAAACACAGCTCACTACAGCCTCGACCTCCTGGGCTCAAGCAATCCTCCTGCCTCAGCCTCCTGTGTAGCTGGGCCACAGACGCATGTCACCATGCCTGGCTAAGTTTTTTAATTTTTTTGTATAGTCAGGATCTCACTTTGTTGCCCAGACTGGTCACGAATTCCTGGCCTCAAGCAGTCCTTCCACCTCAGCCACCCAAAGTGCTGAGATTACAAGTGTGAGCCACTGTGCCTGGCCTTTATTTTATTACTTTTATTTAATAGAGACAGGGTCTTGCTTTGTCACCCAGGCTGGAAAGCTGTGGTGGGAACACTGCTCACTGCAGCCTCGACATCTTGGGCTCAAGCGATCCTCCTGCCTCAGCCTCCTGTGTAGCTGGGACTAAAGGAGTACACCATCATGTCCAGCTGATTTTTTTTTTTTTTTGTAGAGAAAGAAAACACCCAGCCATGTTGATTTTTAAAATGTGGTACTAGCCTGTAAATGGATAGACAACTCAATGGAATAAATCCAAAGTTCCAGAATAGACCTAAATATATACAGGAATTTCGTTTCTAAGCAGGGTATTAGTTTATAAAATGGGCTAGACACTTGGAATGACACTATTCAATTAATGGCATTGAGACTTCTGGCTACCCATCCAGAAAGAAAATCGAATCTCTTCTTCACATCCTCAGCTAAAATAAGATACAGATTCATTGATATTAAAATGCCAAAATGGAAACCATAAAAGCAGTAGTAAAATATGGGAGATTAAAAAATCATATAGTGGAAAGGCCTTTAAAACAATGTCAAACCCAGAAATCATAAAATAAAAGGTTGAATTTTTTTTTTTTTGAGACCGAGTCTCACTCTTGTTGCCCAGGCTGGAGTGCAGTGGTGCGATCTCGGCTCACCACAAACTCCGCCTCCCAGGTTCAAGCGATTCTCCTGTCTCAGCCTCCTGAGCAGCCAGGATTACAGGCATGCACCACCACGCCCACCTAATTTTTTTGTATTTTTAGTAGAGAGGGATTTCTGCATGTTGGTCAGGCTGGTCTCGAACTCCTAACCTTAGGTGATCCACCCGCCTTGGCCTCCCAAAGTGCTGGGATTACAGGCGTGAAAATTTTGACAACACACACACAAAAACATGCCTCTAAACACTGTAATTCCACTGAACTGTACACCTAAAAATGATTTCTGGTAATGAGAGGTGACAGCGTGCCGGCAGCCCTTGCAGCCCTCCCTCACTCTCCGCGCCTCCTCGGCCTTGGCGCCCACTCTGGCCGCGCTTGAGAAGCCCTTCAGCCCACCGCTGCACTGTGGGAGCCCCTTTCTGGGCTGGCCAAGGCTGGAGCCGGCTCCCTCAGCTTGCAGGGAGGTGTGGAGGGAGAGGCGTGGGTGGGAACCGGGGCTGCGCCTGGCGCTTGCGGGCCAGCGCCAGTTCTGGGTGGGCGTGGGCTCGGCGGGCCCCGCACTCGGAGGGGCCGGCCGGCCCCGCAGGCCCGGGGCAGTGAGGGGCTTAGCACCTGGGCCAGCAGCTGCTGTGCTCGACTTCTCGCCGGGCCTTAGCGGCCTCCCCGCAGGGCAGGGATCGGGACCTGCAGCCCGCCATGCCTGAGCCTCAGCGCCCTCCAGCCATGGGCTCCTGCGCGGCCCCAGCCTCCCCGACGAGCACCGCCCCCTGCTCCACGGCGCCCAGTTCCATCGACCACCCAAGGGCTGTGGAGTGCGGGTGCACTGCACAGGACTGGCAAGCAGCTCCACCTGCGACCCGGGTGCGGGATCCACTGGATGAAGCCAGCTAGCCTCCTGAGTCTGGTGGGGACTTGGAGAATCTTTATGTCTAGCTAAGGGATTGTAAATACACCAATCAGCACTCTGTGTCTAGCTCAGGGTTTGTAAATACACCAATGGACACTCTGTATTTAGCTAATCTAGTGGGGAGGTGGAGAAGTTTTGTGTCTAGCTCAGGGATTGTAAAAGCACCAATTAGCACCCTGTCAAAACAGACCAATCGGCTCTCTGTAAAATGGACCAATCAGCAGGATGTGGGTGGGGCCAGATAAGGGAATAAAAGCAGGCTACCCCAGCCAACAGCGGCAACTTGTTTGGGTCTCCTTCTGTACTGTGGAAATTTTGTTCTTTCGTTTTTTGCAATAAATCTTGCTGCTGATCACTGTTTGGGTCCACACTGCCTTTATGAGCTGTAACACTCACCGTGAAGGTCTGCAGCTTCACTCCTGATCCAGCCAGACCACAAACCCACCGGAATGAAGAAACTCCAAACACATCCGAACCTCAGATGGAGCAAACTCCAGACACGCGGCCTTTAAGAACTGTAACACTCAACCGTGAGGGGCCGCGGCTTCATTCTTGAAGTCAGTGAGACCAAGAACCCACCAATTCTGGACACAGTAAGTCTTATGTTTTATATATTGTACCACAATAAAAAAAAGTCAATTTAGGTAAAAACAAAGTCAAAAGGCAGTGTTGGAAAATGTGCTTATAATCCACAACACAGACAAAAGACTAATATTCCTAATACCTGTATACTAACTCCTGCAGGTCTATATCTTAATAGAAAAAAAAAAAGGGTAACACTAATACCTACACTACATAGCACTTTTCCATTGCCCTAGGTAGTCTTCTAGAATTGCCTTAAGTAACATAGTTAATCCTCTCCGCAACTCCATAGGGTACGTACTGTTATTGTCCCCAAGAGAAATCAGGCATAGACAGGGTGGGTCATTTGCTGACATTCATAGCTGTTAAGCAGTGAAGCTGAGATTCAAACCCAGCCGTTCTAGTAGCTCTAGAGTCCACGATCCTAACCACCTAACTAAATTATCTAACTGCCTTTTTTGGAAACGTGCATGCGCCTTAAACATGTGGAAGGATACCTGACTTAACTCAGAATGCACAGAATGACAATTTAAAGTACAATGAGAAGGCCCGGCTTGGTGGCTCACGCCTGTAATCCCAGCACTTTGGGAGGCCAAGGTGGGCGGATTACTTGAGGTCAGGAGTTTGAGACCAGCCTGGCCAACCTGGTGAAACCCCAGCTCCACTAAAAATACAAAAATTAGCTGGGTGTGGTGGCGCATGCCTGTAATCCCAGCTACTCGGGAGGCTGAGGTAGGAGAATTGCTTGAACCCAGGAGGCGGAGGTTCAGTGAGCTGAGAATCGCGCCACTGCCCACTGCACTCAGCCCTAGCGACAGAGTGAGACTGAGTCACAAAAAATAAAAATAAAAAGTACAATGAGAGGCCTGAAGGTGGGGAAATTTTTTTAAAAAAAGATTAAAAAGAGAAAATAAAGTACAGTGATGTACTGTATTTTTTGCCTATCAGTTTGGCAAAGTTTGATAATGCTTTGTTGGTGTGTTGGTAAAGATATGGGAAAACAGGTAGTTTCAAACCTTGCTGATGAGAATGCAAATTGTGCACCAGTTTATTCCATTGAGTTGTCTATCCATTTACAGGCTAGTACCACATTTAAGAAATCAACATCGCTGGATGTTTTCTTTTTCTACAAAAAAAAAAAGTCAGTTGGGCATGATGGTATACAGATATACACATAGAAAAATTCTCCATTGATTAATCAATATTTGTTGCAGTGTTGTTGACACTAGCCAAAGTTTGGAAACAACTAATAGAGGATTGGTTAAAGAAACCCTGGACATCAATATGATGAAACACTGAAGGCACGAAGATTGGCAGCCGTGTCTTAATCTGAGATAATCTCCAACATAGAGTTAAAGGAACACATTTGAGATGTAGAATAGTGTGCTACTATGTAAGACTTTTTAAAAACAGAAAGTATACAGACACATGTGATAGGATGTGGTCTTGAATTTTCAGCAGCGTCCCCCAAAGAAAGACAATAAGAGATAAACACCCACACTTCCTAAGGAGAGACTCTAGATCCGTCCTTGGTGGATGTATTAGTCTGTTTTCACACGCCTGATAAAGACATACCTGAGACTGGGTAATTTTTTTTTTTTTGAGACAGAGTTTTGCTCTTGTTGCTTAGGCTGGAGTGCAATGGCACCATCTTGGCTCACTGCAACCTCTGCCTCCTGGGTTCAAATGATTCTCCTGCCTCAGCCTCTCGAGTAGCTGGAATTACAGGCATGTGCCACCACACCCGGCTTATTTTGTATTTTTAGTAGAGATGGGGTTTCTCCATGTTGGTCGGACTGGTCTCAAACTCCTGACCTCATGATCTGCCTGCCTTGGCCTCCCAAAGTGCTGGGATTATAGGCGTCAGCCACCATGCCAGGCCTAGACTGGGTAATTTATTTTTATTTTATGTATTTATTTATTATTATTATTTTTTTTGAGACGGAGTTTCGCTCCTGTTGCCCAAGCTGGAGTGCAATGGCGTGATCTTGGCTCACCACAACCTCCTCCTGGGTTCAAGCGATTCTCCTGCCTCAGCCTCCCGAGTAGCTGGGCTTACAGGTGCACGCCACCACGCCTGGCTAATTTTGTATTTTTAGTAGAGACAGGGTTTCTCCATATTGGCCAGGATGGTCTCGAACTCCTGACCTCAGGTGATCTGCCCGCCTCAGCCTCCCAAAGTGCTGGGATTACAGGAGTGAGCCGCCGCGCCCGGCCTAGACTGGGTAATTTATAAAGGAAAGAGGTTCAATGGATTCACAGTACCACGTGGCTAGGGAGGCCTCACAACATGGTGAAAGGCAAAAGGCACATCTCACATGGTGGGGGGCAAAGAGGGAGTGAGAACCAAGCAAAAGGGGTTTCCCCTTATAAAACTATCAGATCTCGTGAGACTTATTAACTACCATGAGAACAGTATGGGGGAAACTGCCCCCCGCTTCAATTATCTCCCACTAGGTCCCTTCCACAACATGTGGGAATTATTGGAGCTACAATTTAAGATGAGATTTGGGTGGGGACACAGCCAAATCATATCAGCAGACTTCCTAAAAGGCAGCCAACCTCTCCAGCAACGCTCTCCCATCACCTACCGCCTGCCTCTAGAAAGGGAGGCCAGAGATTCATTAGGGGAAAAATGGTGCTTTCTCCCCCTCGTGGGCTTGGGGAGGGCTTGGCCTCCCTGCAGCTGAGAGATAAGGGCTTCATGAGATCCAGTCACAAAGAGCAGGGGTGTACATCAGGAAGGGAGCCCAGAATTTTCCACCCTGGCTGGCTGTTAGTAAGTGTCTGAGTCTCAAGTCTTGGTGCTGCAGGAAAAAGTTCCTGGGGGCTTGTGGAGTGTTTCCCACAAGCGAGATGGAGTCTCGCTTTGTGGAAGGCAGGATCGCAGGGCGACTGGAGTCTGCCCTTGGCATGGAGGTGACTGAGGGCAGAGGTGGGCCCAGATGGGTGGGGACGATGGAGCTGAGCTTCCTCCTGGGCCCAGTGTGTGCCATGGGGTGTAGCTGCCCCAGGGCTGCCAGGGTGGGGGTCCTGGAGCTGAGAGAGAGCCACCCAGGCATGGTGCTATGCAGAGCCCTCAGGGGGTGCTCCAGAAATCCCGCCCAGTTTCCAAAAGGGTGAGACTGATGGGCTGAATTGGGATCCTCCCTCCCCAATTCGTATGTTGAAGTCTTAAGCCCCGGAACCTCAGAATGTGACTGTGGTTAGAGATAAGGTCTTTAAAGAGACAATTACATTTAAATAAGGTTTTAGGGTGGGTCCTAATCCAATAGGACTGATCTTTTTTTTTTTTTTTTTTTTTTTTTTTTGAGATGGAGTCTTGCTTTGTCTCCCAGGCTGGAGTGCAGTGGCACAATCTCAGCTCACTGCAACCTCCGCCTCCCAGGTTCATGCGGTTCTCCTGCCTCAGCCTCTCGAGTAGCTGGAATTACAGGCTCATGCCACCACACCCGGCTAATTTTTTGTATTTATAGTAGAGACAGGGTTTCACCATGTTGGCCAGGCTGGTCTGGAATTCCTGACCTCAAATAATCTGCCCGCCTGGGCCTCCCAAAGTGCTGGCATTACAGGTATGAGCCACCGTGCTGAGCCAAAGTTTTGATATACTTTGAATTGAACTTTTTCAATGTGGGGACATTTCTCAAAACTGAAAGTTAGTGTGAAAGTGATGGAATCTCCCTTAGTCAATGTCATCAAGGAGCAGAGCAGGCAAATCAGACAGATCCTGCCGCGAGTAGAAGATAAAGCTGTACCCTGATTATACCACACTGAGATGAGCCCGTTGAATAAATGCGGTGAGCATGTATGTGCTGTGTATGCTCTGACTGCCATGCGTAAATCATGCTTGCTAATGTGTAGTGGAGCTGCGGCGGCGGTGGAGGGGCGAACAGCAGTGGGAGGGGGATTTGTATTTTTTTCTTTTCTTTTTCTTTTTTTTTTGAGACAGAGTTTCGCTCTTGTTGCCCAGGCTGGAGTGCAATGGCGAGATCTTGGCTCATCACAACCTCCACCTCCTAGGTTCAAGTGATTCTCCTGCTTCAGCCTCCCGAGTAGCTGGGATTACAGGCATGCACCATCACACCCGGCTAATTTTTTGTATTTTTAGTAGAGACGGAGTTTCACCATGTTGGCCAAGCTGGTCTTGAACTCCTGACCTCAGGTGATCCACTGTATCAGGAGTGGTCAGGAGACCTCGGCCTCCCAAAGTGCTGGGATTACAGGCGAGAGCCACCGCGCCTGGCCTGTATTTATTCACTGTATGGAATTTTGGCCTAAGTTCTGTTTTATCTTTTTTTTTTTAAATCCAGTTCAGGGCCCGGTGCAGTGGCTTGCGCCCATAATCCTAACACTTTGGGAGGCTGAGGAGGGCGGATCATGAAGTCAGGAGTTCGAGACCAGCCTGGCCAACATGGTGAAACCCCATCTCTACTAAAAATACAAAAATTAGCCAGGCGTGGTGGTGGGCGCCTGTAATCCCAGCTACTTGGGAGCCTGAGGCAGGAGAATCGCTTGAACCCAGGAGGCGGAGGTTGCAGTCGCTGCACCATTGCACTCCAGCCTGGGCAACAAGAACAAAACTGCGTCTCAAAAAAAAAAAAAAAAAAAAATCCAGTTCAGGCCGGATGCAGTGGCTCATGCCTATAATCCCAGCACTTTGAGAGGTGAAGGCGAGTGGATCCCTTGAGCCAGAAGTTTGAGACCAGCCTGGGGAACATGGCGAAACCCCGTCTCTACAAAAAATACAAAAGTTAGCTGGGCATGGTGGTGCACACCTGTGGTCCCAGCTACTTGGGAGGCTGAGGCTCATCTGCCTGGGAGGTCAAGGGTGCAGCAAGCCAAGATCGTACCACTGCACTCCAGCTTGGGTGATGGAGCAAGACCCTGTCTCAATAAAAAATAAAAATAAAAATCCAGTTCTATAGTGCCACCCGCAATTCAGGTGACAGCCCTGTGTTTTCTCCCAACACTCCCTCATTTTGCTACCTTCTGGGTTTGGAGTGTGCCTGATCTGACTTTCCTCTTTCCCAGCCCTGACCTGGTGCCTTTTATACTATGCACATGCCTGGAAGAGACCCAGGCTTCTTCCTTCCCTTCCACCCTTGTATCTTTAGGGTTTCCATCATGCCCAGTGTGACAGCACCAGACCGTAGAGCTTAGTGGTTAAGGGCGCAAAGTCTGAAGCCACTACCTGGGCAAATCGCTCAATAGCTCTATGCTTCAGCTTCCTCATCGCTGAAAAGGAGATGATAGTTCCGACCTCATAACATTGTTGTGAGGATTATAGGAGCCAACCCAGGGTGCCATATGTAACTGAGGGTGGACATGCACATGGCACTGAGGGGTGGGCCCAGCAGCCATGGGAGGGGGCTCTAGTGGTCACTAGGAGACAGACAATAGGTAACGTCAGAAGGATCACACCAAATGGAAATCCACCCAACCAATGAGACCGGAGACTGATCTCCAGCAGCAACAACACAAAAGACATTCATCTTGTATGAAACGTCACCTAGATCATGGGTAGGACTGGGAACCTTGGTGCTCTCCAAGAAGCCACATGTCCTGGGAGTCACACGCTTCTGTGAATCTGGACTGGGCTGATGACCGGCTTTAATCAGCAGTGTGGCAGCAGGAGCTCCTCCTTCAGAACACCTATACTGACCACACAGGGTGAAACCCCAAGGAGGCCAGCTTCTCCATTAGGCCCCTAGACAAGCAGCTGAAGAACATCCAGAAGGAATTGTTTTTTTAAGTGGCAGTCCCCCTCCTGCACCCCTGTTTAAGTTAGGACGGGGTCCCATTCTGCTTTCACAGTCTTGGGACCCCTGCATTGCCTGGAAAGGAGTCTGGCTAGCCTCCTAGAGAAAGTGCTGGAAAGGCCCATCCAGCATTTCAGCTTCCCTCCAGCTGAGCCAGGCCCCAGATGAATGCCAGCCCATGGGCGAACACCAGCAAGGCCAGCAGAAAACGACCCAGTGGAGCCCAGAGCTGGGAGCGAAATAAAACAGCGGCTGTTGTAAGCCACTTCATTCTGGGGTGGTTTGCGACACAGCAATAGGTAACTGGGACAAGGACCAAGTGCTGTTTTGCTGCTTTGATTGCTTAAGGGACCCCCTGGAATTCTTGTAGCCTGGGTATAGCAGAAGAAGAAGGGGAACCTCCCCGAGCAGGACTCCCTGGTTATTTGCATGAGCTCCAGGCCTCCTGGCATCACTGTCATTCCCTAGCAGTTGACCTTGGTTTCTGTGTGGGAGGAAGGAGGCAGCCGGATGGAGGGGGAAGAGACAAAAATGTAGAGGAGACCGACCTGTGTTCAAAGCCATCTCTGCCACACCCAAGTTGTATGACTGTGGGCAAGCTATTAAATTTCTATGAGCTTCATTCCTCATCTGTAAAATGGATCTCCTTACAGAATTGTTGCCAGGATGACATGACGTTACATGTAAAGCAGAAAAATACCTTAACATAATAGGTTTCCAAAACATGATAGCTGTTAGGATTTTACCTCCTGAGAGCCGGGGGTAAGGGGGGCCCTAAGGCTGGTGGGTCAGGCCCTGTGGGACCCAGCAATGTTCTGTTGCAGGGATCAATAGAGTCATCTCCTTGTTAGGAACAGATTGACCCCCAGCACCCAATATTTGCCAGTTCCTACCCCAAACATGGCTGGGCTCATGTCTTAGACTAGGTGCCTCATTGCCCCGTTAGGCCGCCGGCTGTCCTGGAGCCAGTGTGTTCAGAGGGTCCCTGGGCTCAAGTCTAGGAGGATCATCCACGTGCCATCTGATCCCACCGAACATGAACTGATCTGATGCCTGAACTGATTACACTGAGTGTGAGACCCAACCTAGCCAGCTCCCCAATCCAACCCATGGACCAACCACTGGAGCCTGATATTTCAAGGAATCCTGAAGGGGTCATTTTTAAAGATGGCTATCCTCCTTGATGAAGTTGGAATGGGGTCTAGCTGCATAGGATAGAAAACTCCCCAAATACCAATGGCTTAAACAAGTAGTTTCTTTATTTCTCATGTAAAAGAAATCCAGAGCTGGCTCCATATGTTATGGGGACCTCGGTTCCTTTCTTTCCATCCTGCTGTCCTCAGCCTTACAAATACTTACTTCATAGTCCACAAGGGCTGCCAGAAACCCCATCATCACGTCTCTTTGTCAACAGACGAAACAGGAGAGGATGAAAGGGTGACCACTTCCTTGCAAGGAGCTTTCTAGCCAGTAAAACGTAAGCGGAAGTACGAGGAACACTCCTACTTAATCACAAGCCTAATCACAAAGCTATACCTGGCTGCAAGGGGGATTGAGAAATTAAGTCTTAAATAATAAAATCAAGGTTCTATGGGTGACAAGTTCTGAAGCTAGACAGAGGTGGTGGTTGCACAGCCTTGTGAATACACTAAATGCTGAATGCTTTAAATGGGTTAAAATAGTGAATTTTGTTATGTGTGAATTTTACCATGATAAAAAAAAAATCGGAGTTCTGTGAAAAAGGAATAGGATGCAAATGAATATTGGAGTAGACACCCAGTGGTCTTGCTATGCCTGTTTTTTTCGTTGCAACCATTTAATGGTATCAGGTATCTTGGGATCATGTGTACACCCTGTAGTCAGGGGCCGGGGTCTGTGCCTCAGAAGCTGGGGAGGGTTGCTGGCTAGCAATGTTCATCATTAGGATTTAGTGAAGAAGCTTCCTTAAAGTGAGGGATACCTGTATTGGCAACTGGAGGCGCGTGGAATTATGACCCGTGACCTGAAGCAGTTTGGTTACAAGTGGACTTTAGGATAAACAAGTCTTCTTTTCCCCTTTCTTTCTTCCTTCCTTCCTCTCTCTTTCTTTCTCTCTCTCTCTCTCTGTCTTTCCTTTTTTTTTTTTTTACTTATTTTTGAGACAGCATCTCACTGTGTCACCCAGACTGGAGTGCATTGGTGTGAACATGACTCACTGCAGCCTCAACCTGCTGGGCTCAAGCAAACCTCCTACTTCAGCCCTACAAGTAGCTGGGACTACAGGTATGCACCACCCTGCTTGGCTAATTTTTTGAAACGTAGACACAGGGTCTTGCTATATTGCTTCGGCCGGTTTTGTTTGTTTGCTTGTTTGTTTTTAGAGATAGGGTCTTGCACTGTGTCCAGGCTGGAGTGTAGTGGTGCAACCACAGATCGCAGCTCACTGCATCCTTGAACTTCTGGGCTTGCATGATCATCCCACCTCAGTCTCCCGAGTAGCTGGGACTACAGCTGTGCAACTCCATACCCAGCCAATTTATTTTATTTGTAGAGATGGGGTCTTGCTATGTTGGCCAGGCTGGTTTCAAACTCCTGGCTTCAAGCGATCCTCCTGCCTCAGCCTCCCCAAATGCTGGGATTACAGGTGTGAGCTACCACACCAGGCCCAAACAAGTATTATTATTATTATTATTATTATTATTATTATTATTATTGACACAGAGTCTTTCTCTCTCTTGCCCAGGCTGGAGTACAGTGGTGCGATCTTGGCTCACTGCAACCTCCATCTCCCAGGTTCAAGTGATTCTCCTGCCTCAGCCTCCCAAGTGGCTGGGATTACAGGCATGTGCCACAACACCTCGCTAATTTTTGTATTTTTAGTAGAGACGGGGTTTCACCATGTTGGCCAGGCTTGTCCCGGACTCCTGACCTCAGGTGATCGTCCACCTTAGCCTCCCAAAGTGTTGGGATTACAGGCGTGAGCCGCCTTGCCCAGCCCCACCCATATATTCTTATGTGGTATCTTAGGCTATGTGGGCTGCCCTAACAAAATACACAGACCTGGTGGCTTAAACAGCAGAAATTTCTCACAGTTTTGGAGGCTGGGAGGTCCAAGATCAAGATGCCAGCCAGTTCAGTTTGTGGTTTGTTTTCTTCCTGGCTTGTAGACAGCTGCCTTCTTGCTGTGTCCCCACATGGCAGAGAGAGAGAGAGAAAGAGAGAGGAGTGGAGAGAGTCAGCACTCTCTGGTGTCTCTTCTTATGAGAACACTAATCCTATCAGATCAGGGTCCCATTATTCTGACCTCATCTAACCTTTGTTAGCTCCTTTAGATCCTGTCTCCAAATACAGTCACATCGGGGGTTAGGGCTTTGAAACAGTTTGGATCTGTGTCCACCCCTAAATATACTGTCAAAGTATAATCCTCAACGTTGGAGGCAGGACCTGGTGGGAGGTGACTGGATCACGGGGGTGGTTTCTCATGAATGGTTTAGCACCATCTCCTTTGGTGCTGTCGTCGGGATAGTGAGTTCTCATGAATATCCCCCTCTCTTTCTTCCTCCTGCACCAGCCATGTGAAGTGCTGGCTTCCTCTTTGACTTCCGCCATGATTGGAAGCTTCCTGAGGCCTCCCCAGAAGTGGAAGCTGCCATGCTTCCTGTATAGCCTGGGGAACTGCGAGCCAATTAAACCTCTTTTCTTTATAAATTACCTAGTCTCAGGTATTTCTCCATAGCAGTGCAAGAACAGATAATACAGGCTTCAACATATGAATTTTGGAGGAACACAAGTCAGTCTATAGCCTGTGGTCAGGATAGAGTCATGACTTAACGATGCAGAGAAAAACGAATGTATAACCCCCTAGCCAGTGTTCTAGAGGCAGTTATAGAGCTTTATTATCCACCTCCCATTCAATGACCCTTTTCTCCCATTGTTTTCCTGAATAGTCCAGGCCGGGCCAAGTGTTTACTTCTGAACTTGATCTGATAGCTCTTTGTAATCCACAGCCCACATTCAGGATTTCCCTGTTTCTGAAAACACCAGGGAAAGCTTTTGTCCAGATGGCCTGCATTTTTGCTCCACCCCCAAAATAAAGGGGATGGTCTCCTGCCTTGCATGAAATGTCACCTAGTAAAGAAAAGGGCGGGGGGGGGGGGGGGATATTACAGAGACCAAAGCAAGGGGTGTGGCTAAAAAGTGGCTTGGCCACCTCTCCTGCCTCACCTGTCCCCAGAGGACTGAGTCTGACCCATTTGTCCAGGGCAGGGAACAGGACAGGAGAGAGGAGGAAGCAAGAGGGTTAAGTCTGTCCAAGCCTTTCAGTGTGATGAGACGAGGGTGGAGTGTCTGCCAAGAACAGGTCAGGTTCAAAACAGGAAACCCCAGGGTAGTGATGGACACTTCTCTGTCGATTTTACGTGGATCTCTAGGGAAAGTGCTGGAACTGATCTCATTCAATATATATATATAGTTTTACAACTCAGATTGAAGAGGAAGTGCACAATGAGCTCTGCAGCTTTGCCAGCGATGCTGATCTCTTCCAGGTGCTGAAACGCTAAGGTAATGGGGAAACGCTGCAGGAGGCTCCGACCGCCCTTACTAGGAGGCCAGGAGAGTGGCCCTTGCAGGGGAACGAGTGAAGTGGGATACCTGAGAGCAGAGTCAGGCTCTGCTGCCCTTATTCTCACA
Source organism: Homo sapiens (assembly GCF_000001405.40). Classification (NCBI taxonomy): domain Eukaryota; kingdom Metazoa; phylum Chordata; class Mammalia; order Primates; family Hominidae; genus Homo; species Homo sapiens. The sequence continues at coordinate 140,260,242 of NC_000007.14, read as the reverse complement.
AGCTGCAGCAAATGCACTCCCTGAGTTCCTGCAGCTCCCAGTGTTGGTGTGGGCAGCGGGGGAGAGGTGGGATGGAGTGTTGGGGGCCCTGACCCTCTTGGGAACCCCTGTAGCAGCCCTGCCTCCTTCCTGACCTGCGCGCAGAAGCTGGGCTTTCCCGGATACTCCTGGGTTTCCCTCCTTGTGCACTGCTTGGCTCTGTGGGTACCTCCAGTGGTTCTCCCCTGTTCTTGCCCAGTTCCTCCTACCTGCTGTGAGAACTGATGACCTTCCCTGGCTTCCAACCTCAACCCTCCTCTCTGCTTGACTGGAGCTTGGTGTGACCTTAACCTGTTCCACTCCTAGATACTGGACCCTCAGGCATCATTTGGTTTCTCCCACTCCTTCCAATAAACCTGGCCCATGGGACAGCCCCTTGTCCCTTCTCCCTGACCTCACTCCACTCCAAAAAGCATTTGCTAGGAGAACAGAGAAGCCCCTCCTCCAAGTCTTTTCCTAGAACCTGCCAGGTGTTCTCCATCTTGCCTTCCCTGATTCTCTGATACCTGCTGGGATCTTAGCCTCAGCATCAGGTATTTTCTTCAACATAGTCGGCTACGATTTCAGATATATTTATTTAGTTTGTTTGATTTCACCTTGGGACTTCCTCTCCCACCTGCAAATGGTTCTGATCCTTGCTTTTGGGCACCACAACCAAGGATAACAAGTGTTCTCCTGGCACCAGGGAACCTTCCAGCCAGGACTGCTCTCCACAGACTGAGAGGTTAGGTTAGAGAATGTGTAGGAAAGAGAAAGCTTCTAAGGGGAAGAGATTTAGCTTTGTTCTACTGCATATATTAGTTATTATATATTAAGCTATTCATGTGCTATAGCTTAACATATACTGATTTATATATACACACACACACACACAAGGCTATAGCTGGCCAGGTGCTCATGCCTATAGTCCCAGCACTTTGGGAGGCCGAGGCAGGCGGATCACCTGAGGTCAGGAGTTCAAGACCAGCCTGGCCAACATGGAGAACCCCTGTCTCTACTAAAAATACAAAAATTAGCCAGGCATAGTGGCGCATGCCTGTAATCCCAGCTACTCGGGAAGCCAAGGCAGGAGAATTGCTTGAACCTAGGAGGCAGAGGTTGCCATGAGCCAAGATCACGCCACTGCACTCCAGCCTAAGTGACAGAGTGAGACTTCGTCTCCAAAAAAAAAAAAAGGGGGCTATAGCCTTATGAGGGCTAAGCTTTTTTAAGTTTCAGTTGCTGGGAGGGCAAGCAATGAAATAATTGATTCAGGCAGGGATCCTCAGTGAGTAGCAAGACCATTAGGTGAAAAGTAGCTGAGACAGAGGGTATTTGCATGGTGCCAAAATATCGCCCTGCAAAATTACTTGCTAATTCACAGAGGAAAATAGTTACTTTATGAAATAAAAATCTACAATCAAGTGACTAAATTTAGCATCATTAACAGAGGGTCTACAAGACATTATGGGGATTCCCGATGTCATGCAATGTGAAATGTTCCTGCCCCAAATAATGTTGACCTTAATCTCTTTCTTCCTTTTTTTTTTTTTTTTGAGACAGAGTCTCACTCTGTCGCCCAGGCTGGAGTGCAGGGGTGCAATCTCGGCTCACTGCAGCCTCCACCTCTCCACCTCCGGGGCTCAAGGGATTCTCCTGCCTCAGCTTCCCGAGTAGCTGGGACTACAAGCGTCTGCCACCACACCCGGCTAATTCTGTATTTTTAGTAGAGCCGGAGTTTCACCAGGTTGGCCAGGCTGGTCTCGAACTCCTGGCCTCAAGTGATCTGCCTGCCATGGCCTCCCAAAGTGCTGGTATTACAGGTGTGAGCCACTGTACCCGGCCTGATCACCTTAATTTCTCAGTCATGGTCTGGGAGAGAAATAAAGCCTGATGCCCCAAGACATCTGTATTAATCATTTCTTCAGAGAAACAGAACTAATAGGATGTATGTATATAGAGAGAAAGAGATTTATTTTAAGGAATTGGTTCATGTGATTATGGAGGCTGAGAAGTCCCAAGATCTGCAGTTGGCAAGCTGGAGACCCAGAAGAGCCAATGGTGTAGTTCCAGTCTGACTCAGGCAGGAGAAATTCACTCTTACTCTCAGGAGGGTCAGCCCTTTTGTCCTATTCAGGCCATCAACTGACCGGTTGAGGCTCCCCCATCATTAATTAGGGAGGGTGTCTGCTTTAATCAGTCTACAGATTTAAATGTCATTGTCACCCAGAAACACCCTCAAAGACATATCCTGAATAATGTTTGACATTAACTTTAATTAAATTAATGTTGACACATAAAATTAACCATCACTGCATCCTTTGTGTGTAACAATTTTTTTCTTTTTACTTTTTAAATGTGGTTATTAGAAAGTTTTTCTTTGTTTTAAATTTTTTGTTTCTATAGGTTATTGGAGAACAGGTGGTGTTTGGTTACATGAGTAAGTCCTGTAGTGGTGATTTGTGAGATTTTGGTGCACACATAACCCAAGCAGTACACAATGCACCCAATTTGTAGTCTTTTATCCTTCACCCCCTTCCTACTCTTTCCCTGAGTCCCCCAAATCCATTGTGTCATTCTTATGCCTTTGCATCCTCATAGCTTAGCTCCCACTTATGAGTGAGAAAATACGATGTTTGATTTTCCATTCCTGAGTTATATCACTTAGAATAATAGTCTCCAATCTCATCCAGGTCGTTGTAAATGCCATTAATTCTTTCCTTTTAATGGCTGAGTAGTATTCCATTGTATAGATATACCACAGTTTCTTTATCTACTCATTGATTAATGGGCATTTGAGTTAGTTCCACATTTTTGCAATTGCAAATTGTGCTGCTATAAACATGCATGTGAAAGTATCTTTTTCGTATAATGACTTCTTTTCCTCTGGGTAGATACCCAGTAGTGGGATTGCTGGATCTAATGATAGTCTTACTTTTAGTTCTTTAAGGAATCTCCTGTGTGTAACAAACTGAGTTCTCTCCTATGCATCTTGAATGGTTCTAGTATAATTAGTCATTCAATCTTTCTATATTCTGTAGTTCACATGAGGGACCCCTGTTGAGAAACCTGTTTAGAGGAAATAAAGACATAGAGGGACAAGTTAAATGGCACTACAAGAAAACAATCAGAAAAATCCAGAATGTGGAATATTTTTCAAAACCACTAACATAGTTTCTTTTAAAAGTCAATGTGAATATATATATATATATACAAATTATATATATATATATAAATTTTAAAATAAACTTTTATAAAATAGAGACAGGGTCTCACAATGTTACTCAGGCAGGTCTCCAACTCTTGGGCTCAAGTGGTCCTTCCACCTTGGCCTCCCAAAGTGCTGGGTTTACAGGCATGAGCCACTGTGCCTGGCCACTTATGTAACTTCTTTGGGCCATACTTTCCTCATCTGTAAAATGGACAGAATATCATCTACCTTGCAGAGCTACTGAGAAGATGAAAGATACTGAATATAAAGCTCTTTATACTCATTGATACTCAATGAGTAGTACAATGCCTAGACACAATGGTTGGTAGCTATTATTACTGGTGCTGGTTTTTGGGAAACCAATAAAGGTGACCGAAATGCAGTGTAAGGGAAATACAGGTAAATATGAAAGGACTCTGCCTTACTCCAGAATATGGAGTACTAGATAAAAGAACAGGAGCAGAGAGTTCAGAAAACCAAAACAAAACCCATAAGCCATAAAAAATGTTGATAAATTTGACTATGTAAAAAACAGAAATTGGGGCCGGGCGTGGTGGCTCACACCTGTAATCCCAGCACTTTGGGAGGCCGAGGCGGACGGATCACGAGGTCAGGAGATCGAGACCATCCTGGCTGACATGGTGAAACCCTGTCTCTACTAAAAATACAAAAAAAATTAGCCAGGCATGGTGGCGGGCGCCTGTAGTCCCAGCTACTCTGGAGACTGAGGTGGGAAAATGACGTGAACCTGGGAGGAGGAGCTTGCAGTGAGCAGAGATCGCACCACTGCACTCCAGCCTGGGTGACAGAGCGAGACTCCGTCTCAAAAAAAAAGAAAAAGAAAAATAGAAATTGGGCTGGGCACAGTGGTTCACGCCTGTAATCCCAGCACTTTGGGAGGCCAAGGCAGGCAGATCACGTGAGGTCGGGAGTTCAAAACCAGCCCGACCAACATGGAGAAACCCTATCTCTACTAAAAATATAAAATTAGCCGGGCGTGCTGGCGCATTACCTGTAATCCTAGCTACTCAACAGGCTGAGGCAGGAAAATTGCTTGAACCCGGGAGTCAGGGGTCGCAGTGAGCTGAGATCATGCCATTGCGCTCCAGCCTGGGCAACAAGAGCAAGACTCCATCTCAAAAAAAAAAAAAAAAAAACTGCAGGGCAAAAATCACTATAAACAAAGTCAAAGAACAAACTGGGAGGAATATTTTCTTTCTTTTTTTTTTTTTTTTTTGAGACGGAGTCTCACTCTGTCACCCAGGCTGGAGTGCAGTGGCGTGATCTGGGCTCACTGCAACCTCTGCCTCCCAGGTTCAAGTGATTCTCCTTCCTCAGCCTCCCGAGTAGCTGGGATTACAGGCATGCACCACCACGCCCGGCTAATTTTTGTATTTTTAGTAGAGACGGGGTTTCACCATATTGGTCAGGCTGGTCTTGAACTCCTGACCTCGTGATTCGCCCGCCTTGGCCTCACAAAGTGCTGGGATTACAGGCATGAGCCATCGTGCCCGGCCGAATATTTTCAATTTATATCAAGCAGAGCTCATGTCCTTACTGAGGAAGGACATCCATAAATTAGGAGAATGACCTGCAAAAAGCCCAGGGAGGCTGGGCGGGGGGATTCATGCCTGGAATCCGAGCCCTGCGAGGGGCCGAGGTGGGCGGATGGCTTGAGCCCAGGAGTTCAAGACCAGCCTGGGCAACATGATGAAACCTTATCTCTACAAAAATACAAAAATTAGCTGGGCGTGGTGGCATGCACCTATAGTCCCAGCTAGTTGGGAGGCTGAGATGGGAGGATTGCTTAAGCCTGGCAGATTGAGGCTGCAGTGAGCCGTGATTGCGCCACTGCACTCCAGCCTGGCTGACAGAGTGAGTCCCTGTCTTAACCCGACAAAAAGGGAGCCCAAAGAACATAAATTCCATGGTTTCTCCAGGCCCTTCCAGAGGCACCCATCGGGGTGCAGGACAGTGGGACAGATGGTTCTTTAGGCTTCCTAATGTCCCAGCTCTAATACCTCTCTACAGCCTCCATGTCCCTCTTCTTTGGATTTTATACTAAGTCCTTTTCAGACACATTATTAGGAACCAATAAATATCTGTTGAGTGATTTCACATGTTAGAGTGCACTTGTTTCCTAGGGCTGCCATTAACCAAGTGTCACAAGCTGGTTGGCTTAAAAACAGTGGAAAATTCTCTCTCACCATTCTGGAGGCTAGAAGTTGGAAATCAAAGTGTCAGGAGAGCTATGCTCCCCCTGAAGGCTCTAAGGGGGAGGGCCTTCCTTGCCCCTTCCTAGCCTCTGGTGGCCCAGGCATCCTTGTCTTACGGCAGCATCGCCCTACCCTCTGCCTTCCTCTTCACATGGTCATATGCCCTGTGTCTTTGCGTCTGTGATATCTCCTCATCATATAAGGACACCAATTGTTAGATTTAGGGCCCACCTAAATTTACATCCATAATGATTGCATCTCAAGATCCTTAACTAATTACATCTGTAAAGGCTCTTTTAAAAATAAGATCAGGCCAGGCACCGTCGCTCACACCTGTAATCCCAGCACTTTGGGAGGTTGAGGTGGGCAGATCATGAGGTCAAGAGATAGACCATCCTGGCCAACATGGTGAAACCCCGTCTCTACTAAAAATACAAAAATTAGCTGGGCGTGGTGGCACATACCTGTAGTCCCAGCTTCTTGGGAGGCTGAGGTTGCAGTGAGCTGAGATCATGCCACTGCACTCTAGCCTGGCGACAGAGTGAGTCTCTGTCTCAAATAAATAAATAAATAAATAAGATCATATTCTAAAGTTCCAAAGTTCTGGGTGGATGTGAGTGTATTTTTTGGGCAGGGGGTGAACACTATTCAACCTGCTACACAGAGCTTTTTCAGTTGCAAATGACAGGAAACCTCATCTAAGGAGCTTAAATAAATGATTATTGGCAATCCTAGCAAAATATATCTAGTATGTTACCCTGAACAATATCGGGCTTTGATGAGGTTACAAGTCCATCTCTAAACTAATCACTGCAGCCAGGCCAGAGGCTGTACCTGAGCTCTTGAACCAGGGGTAGATTCAGTTCCACTGAAAGCACACAGACTGAGGAGATTATTTGCAGATACCATTACCAGGAGAAGGGGGAGCAGGTGCTAGGTGGTAGAAAACGTAGCCACCTGCTAGCATGGTCTTCCTCCACAGTCAGTCAGCTCTTGGGCAGCAGTGACTCTTCTCATATCTGCATTCCAGGGCCTTGAAGAACAGCAGGACTTCAAATAAATATTTACTGAGTTGTTTTTGAATTTTTAACATGATTCAGTCTCCAAGGGCTTCATTCATGGTAAATCTGCAATCCGGCGTCTGATCCAGGGTGAGCCTTCCCCACGGAGGCACTGTCCTTTGTAAGGCCCTTCTAGGTAGACCAGCTGGCCATCTGTTATGTAACCATCCATTCTTCAAAACTTCCATAAAAGAGAAGCAAGAAAGAAGGGTTTGGATCATGTTAGGGTCAAAGAAGGGCAGGAGAGAAATACAAGTGGTAGATGAAACTGAGCATCAAAGAAATACATCCCCACCTTTCCCCTTTGTTCTAACACACACACAAATCTCATTATCTGCAGGGTTGGACTATTGTTACCCTCACATACCCTGGAGTCCTGGTGGAGAATACAGGATTCTGGGTTTAGGCATGTGTCATTCGGTGGTTTAGGCCTGAAATATTGTGCCTTAAACACCCACAGAGGGGCCTTATATCCCAAACACCAGAAGAGCCAATGCCCAGAGGGTGAAATCAGACAGCCCTTAAGCTAGATGAAGCTGGAATTGGTAACCACACTATGGAGTTTAATTTGCTGACCTAGATGTAGTCTGCAGCCCACAAAACCTCATACCACAGCAAAGCTTTTTCTTGTGCTGAGACAGCTGGCTGAGCATGATGTTGCAATGACTCAGTTCTCAGTAAAGGGTCTGAGGAAATTAGGGGCAGGGCTACAGCCCCAAGACCACAGCTCCAAGAGACCTTCCTGTTTATTCATGGGTGAGAGAAGGGGAACCTTCTGTTTGTGGGCACTGGTATTTCATCAGAAGAGACAAGGCTGGACTCTGGGTTTGAGCTGTGTGTACACAGTCAACACATGACAGTCAGACAATTATACTCAGAGTGAGAATTCATATCTAGCCACATAGGCCAAAAGCATCTCTAAAAGCTGTTCTTAGGCCAGGCGTGGTGGCTCACACCTGTAATCACAGCACTTTGGGAGGCCAAGGCAGGTGGATCACAAGGTCAGGAGTTCGAGACCAGCCTGGCCAACATGGTGAAACCCCGTCTCTACTAAAAATACAAAAATTAGCTGTGCATGATGGTGCACGCCTGATGTCCCAGCTACTCAGGAGGCTGAGGCAAGAGAATCGCTTGAACCCAGGAGGCAGAGGTTGCAGTGAGCCGAGATCACACCACTGCACTCCAGCCTGAGTGAAAGAGCCAGACTCCATCTCAAAAAATAAATACATAAATAAATAAAAGCTGTTCTTAAAACTATGTGAATCAAATCACATTTTTACTTGACTTCCATTTTAAAACTGGACATAGGTTTATATGAGGAGGCCTAGTTCAATAAAACGAGAGTTGAAAACTCTGTGGGCTCGGAGGACTTCCCATTAAACATAGCCGGTTGAACATGTGCATACTCCTGGGCCTCCTCCCAAAACCCCACTAAAATGTGAGGCAAGAGACTTTTTTTGAAAAGCATAAGTCCATAAGAGAGGTAAGAGCAAAGAGAAGGATCAAAAAGATTTTTAAGCTGGAAATTTGAGAGATAATGAACCTCACACACCAGAGTAAAGGGTCTCAAAATGGGGAAGCCAAGAAAACAAGCCAATCCATGCCTCTGAAACACCCCAAAGGCTTAGGAATTGGAGGTACCAGATACTTCTGAAAAGGCATGGCTGCGGCTGAAAACTAGAGCACTGATTAAAAGTTTTCTTCCAACCTGGGCAACATAGTAAGACCCCATCTCTACAAAAAACACAAAAATTAGCCAGGGGCTGGTGATGCACACCTGTGGTCCCAGCTACTCAGTAGGCTGAGGCAGGAGGATCACTTGAGCCCAGGAGGTTGAGGCTGCAGTGAGTCATGCTCGGTCCACTGCACTCCAGCCTAGGCAACAGGGCAAGAAAAAAATAAAAATAAAAAGTTTTCTTAAGCAATAGTTAAGGCTGGGCACGGTGGCCCACGCCTGTAATCCCAGCACTTTGGGAGGCCAAGGCGGGCAGATCACTTGAGGTCAGGAGTTTGAGACCAGCCTTGCCAACATGGTGAAACCCCCTCTCTACTAAAAATACAAAAATTAGCCAGGCATGGTGGTGCATGCCTGTATTCCCAGCTACTCAGGAGGCTGAGGCAGGAGAATCATTTGAACCTGGGAGGCAGAGGTTGCAGTAAGCTAAGACGGTGCCACTGCACTCCAGCCTGGGCCACAGAGCGAGACTCCATCTCAAAAAAAAATGAGAGTTAATCCCTGCAGTTCTTCCCTTAGCCTATGCAACAAGCTACTACTTTCTCTCAGCCTTCATCAGAGACGGACCACTTATTGTATGGGGAGTTTGAGTTAGAGGAACTTTGGACTTAGGAACAACTGAAGGTGGAAGATGAGTATCAAAGAAGGGGGATGAAATGAAAGTCAATGTACCAACCCGTGCTGTCCTCATATTTGACTCCTAGACACTGGCAGACACATTTATAACTATGGGGAGGGAGTTCAGAGAACTCCCATAGGAAACTGACCACCAAAAGAAGAGACATGGAAATGTATCATAGGGGATTCCCCCAAGAATGACTGGCCCCTGTCTGATCACCCCATTCTAAAATCACTCCATCATACATGCAAATCTTTCTTTGTTTTGCTTTGTTTTGTTCTGTTTTGTTTTGAGATGGAGTCTTCCTCTGTCACCCAGGCTGGAGTGCAGTGGTACAATCTTGGCTCACTGCAACCTCCGCCTCCCGGGTTCAAGGGATTTTCCTCCCTCAGCCTCCCGAGTAGCTGGAATTACAAGTATGTGCCACCACGCCCAGCTAATTTTTATATTTTTAGTAGAGACAGGATTTTGCCAGTCGGCCCTGCTGGTCTCGAACTCCTGACCTTAGGTGATCCACCAGCCTCAGCCTCCCAAAATGCTGGGATTACAGGCGTGAGCCACCGCACCCAGCCAATATTGTTTCTTAAAACTGAATATTCAGTGAATAAAAGCATTCATGGAAGGTTGAGCTGTGATAGTAGAAACTAAAAATTCAAGACGTCAGGTGTGGTGGCTCATGCCTGTAATCCCAACACTTTGGAAGGCTGAGGCAGGAGGATCTCTTGAGCCTAGGAATTCGAGACCAGCTTGGGCAACATAGCGAGACCCTGTCACTACAAAAAATAAAAAATTTGTCAGGCATGGTGGCACATGCCTGTTGTCCCACCTACTTGGGAGGCCAAGGTAGGAGGATCGCTTTAGCCTAGAAGTTTAAGGCTGCAGTGAGCTATGATCAAACCACCGCACTCCAGCTTGGGTGACAGAGTGAGACCCTGTCTCAAAAGAAAAGAAGAAAAAAGAAAAGTCAGAAGGTAAAGTTGAAAAAAAAATCACAGAAAGTAGGAAAAAAGGGTCAGAAAATAGGAGAAAGACAGTTAGAAAATCAGAGACCTTCTACATCAATTTAGGAAGTCTGACATTTGAGTAATTGGAGTTCCATAAAGAGAGAATACAGAAAATGGAAAGGAGGAAATAATGTTTTAAAAAATAACAGTAATTCAAGAAAAAAAATTCTAAAATGGAAGACCATATGTTTCTAGATTGAAAGGGCCTACCCGAGTATCCAAGGCAATGAATGGAAAAAAAATCCCCTACCAAGGCACAACATTGTGAAATTTCAGAACAACTATGAATAAGATCTAAAAAGCTTCCAGGATAAAAAAAAAAATAGCAGGTTATGTACTACAGATCAGAAATGGCAATAGCTTTGCTCTTCTCAAGCACAACGCTAGAAGCTGGAATATGATGAATTCAAAGCTAACATGCAAGTGTGAATGAAGAATAGAGACACTTTCAGAAATGTAAGCTTTCAAAATTTTAACCTCCCAAGCAGCCTTTCTTCTTTTATTTTATTTTTTATTTGAGATGGAGTCTCGCTCTGTCTCCCAGGCTGGAGTGCAGTGGTGCAATCTCTGCTCACTGCAACCTCCACCTCCCGGGTTCAAGCAATTCTTGTGCTTCAGCCTCCCAAGTAGCTGGGATAACAGGTGTGCACCACCACACCCAGCTAAGTTTTGTATTTTTAGTACAGACAGTGTTTTGACATGTTGGACAGGCTGGTCTTGAACTCTTGGCCTCAAGTGATCCACCCACCTCAGCCTCCCAAAGTGCTGGGATTACAGGTGGGAGCCACCACACCCAGCCCAAGCAGCCTTTCTTAGGAAACTGTAGGATGATATATTCCATGAAAATGAAGGAATAAATAAAGAGGAAGCCTTGAAGCCCAGGAAATGGGAAGAGAGCAGAGTTGGGAGCAGGAGGATAGGGATGGAGGACTTGAGGATGCCTCCTAGAAAAACACATGAAACCAGGACAACCTGCTATGTCTAAATACAGTGAGCAAAGATTCACATTTCCAGTAGAGTCTGGAGAAGAATTAGCAATAGGTACATAGACAGTTGAACAAATAGAAAATAAGGCAATATTTATCTTCAGGGAAAACAAGAAAAAGTTTGTACCAGATAGGAAATATAATCATGTTACACTCCGCAGCTCAGCTGTGAATAATGGCTGCATTGTCAGAATAAACACTGGCTACTGATTAAACCAGAAATTGCAACACAAGCAAATTAGGAGGATGGGGAAGAGAAGATATATGATAGCTAAATCCTTGTTTCCCAAAGAAGGAAGACAACAGATAATAAATGCAACGGAGAAAACTGGAGAAGCTGGTGAAAGCTAAAAAGAGGCTGCTTCTGAAAATCAAGGGGGGGAATAGTGGGGAAGGAATTGCTTGCTTTAAGATTTTAAAGATTATTTTACTTTTCAAATAATGCAAATGTGTTATCTGATAAAAACAGTAACTAAAGAAAGATCATTATTGAGTTATGGAAGAAGTTAAACTAGTAGTGGCTATTATTTGTTGAGTACTTACAATATGCCAGAAACCACGGTAGGCATTTTACTTATAGTATCTTATTTATTTATTTATTTGAGACAGGGTCTTGCTTTGTCACCCAGACTGGAGTGCAGTGGCACAATCATGGCTCACTGCAGCCTCAACCTCCTGGGCTTAAGCAATCTTCCCACCCCAGCCTCCCGAGTAGCTGGGACTACATACATGAACCACCATACTGACTAATTTCTTAATTTTTTGTAGAGATGGGGTTTTGCCTTGTTGGCCAGGCTGGTCTCGAACTTCTGGCCTCAAGTGATCTGTCCACCTCAGCCTCTCAAAGTTCTGGGATTACAGGTGTGAGCCACTGTGCCAGGCCTCTAATTTGGTCTCTAAAAAAACGAGTAAATAAAAACATGATGCCCCATCAGACACTGCAGAGCAGCGATTCCCACCTTTTTCTGCACTTTTGAATGAAGGACAATGATCATGTAAGCCCCTTACTCCCACCTGGGAGTCCAGGGTTACACATAATTCCTCACTGTAAACTCATCCTTTTCTCTCCTACACAAGTAAGAATATCTAAATAAGTTAAAGTGACATTATTTTTGGAATAATCTAAAATCTTCTCAAATATAATTTTTTAAAAGTAGATCGGCCAGGCGCAGTGGCTCACACCTGTGATCCCAACACATTAAGAGGCCAAGGTGGACAGATCACCTGAGGTCAGGAGTTTGAGACCATCCTGGCCAACATGGTGAAACCCCATCTCTACTAAAATACAAAAAAAAATTAACTGGGTGTGGTGGCGCAACACCTGTAATCGCAGATAGTCAGGAGGCTGAGGCATGAGAATCACTTGAACCCAGGAGACAGAGGCTGCAGTGAGCCAAGATCGCACCACTGCACTCCAGCCTGGGTGACAGAGCGAGACTCAGTCTCAAAAAATAAAATAAAATAAAATAAATAAAAGTAGATATTACAAATCCCAGGATCTTAACTACTGTTAGTAACCAAGTCCCTGTGGCTCACAACCATTGGAGGAAATGCAGCCACAGAGGGCCTTGGAGACGTGTCTGCGGCTCCACACTGAGTTGATGGCAGAGCCCAGAGCCCTTGCCTTTTATAGTATGTGTTAACAGAACAGCTGGCTAGGATGTACTTCTACAGATGGTGGCGAGTGCATGAGGCTTGACCATCTGAGCAAGCTTGTCAGGAGGCCAGAGCTCTTTCTTTCCCTGTCTGGGCCACTCTTTACAAATGTACCAAAAAAGCTTTTATTGTCAGAGAAAAATGATTCCATTTAGATCTAGATATCCTGTGGAGTCCATTCCTTCAGTAAACTTTTTTTTTTTTTTTTTTTTTTTTGAGATGCAGTCTTGGTGGCTCACGCCTGTAACCCCAGCACACTGGGAGGCCAAGGTGGGTAGATCACGAGGTCAGGAGTTTGAAACCAGCCTGACCAACATGGTGAAACCCTGTCTCTACTAAAAATACAAAAATTAGCCAGGTATGGTGGCACATACCTGTAATCCCAGCTATTTAGGAGGCTGAGGCAGGAGAGTTGCTTCAAGCTGGGAGGTGGAGGTTGCAGTGAGCCGAGATCGCGCCACTGCACCCTAGCCTGGGTGACAGAGTGAGGCTCCGTCTCAAAAACAAACAAACAAAAAAACATATTCTTGGGCCCTGCCCCAGACATATGGAAACAGAACAGGGCTGTGGAGGGGGGAATTAGCAGGAATCTATGCTTTTCCTTCAATCTTTTATTTTGAAAATATTCAAACTTATAGAAAAGTTGAAAGAATACAGCAACCACTCCTATACCTTCTACAAAGATTCCACAATTAACATTTTACTACATTGAGGTTTTTTTCCCTCTCTCTCTATCCTCTCCTTCTTTGTGTCTACAGAATTTCTTACCGAGACCTTTGAAAGTATATTTCAGACATCAGGACACTTCATTCACGTTGTGGTTACACTGTGTCCCAATAAAAGAAACGTTGACGTCCTGGCCCCTGGTACCTTGAATGTGACCTTAGTGGTAAATAGGGTCTTTGCAGAGGTACTCAAAATGAAGTCATGCTGGATTAGAGTGGGCCCTACATCCAATAACTGCCATCCTTATAAGGGAGAGAGAGATTTGAAGACACGGAGAGACACACAGGGAAAAAGGCTACCTGACTGTGGAGACAGAGATTGAAGTTTATGTTGTCACCAACCAAGGAACGCCAAGGATTGCCAGTAACTACCAGAGGCTGGAAGAGGCAAGGAAGACTCCTCCCTAGTCCTTCAGGCAGAGCATGGCCCCACGAGCCCTTGATTTTGGACTTGAATTGTGACAGACCAAATTTCTGTGTTGCAAACTATCCTGCTTGTGGCAATTTATTACCGTAGCCCTAGGAAACTAATACAACTCCTCAATACAGGTGTTACCTAAATGTGGGCATTTAATGGGACTCACGTATTCTCCCCATAACCAATATCATTAGCACACCTAAGAAAATTAACAATAATTTTATGATATCCAATCCATACTCAAATATATCCAATTGTTCTCAAAATATCTTTTATAGATTTTTTTTTCCTTTTTTTTTGATCCAGGATCCAATCAAAGTATCTTACACGCATTTGATTATTATGTCTCTCTAATTTTTTTATTCTAAAAGAATTCATCTTAAAAAATGACTTCTTGATGTGTCCAGGTTTTAAAGAAAAAAATTATTCTCAAACAGTAAGAAAGACTTTATTCAAGACTATTGCAATAGGAGTGCTGCTCTAGGGGAGTGCGCGATCTGGCTCAACTCCAAGTACAAGGACAAGTGGGGATTCACAGCCAAAGAGCAGGATGAGGGGTCAGTGGATGGGAAATTACTAATGGGAGACATCAAGCGTAGGGATTCTTGCTAAAGACAGGCTAAGGGCTTAGACATCAAGGAAGCGGGGTGAGGTACTTGATCAGATACAAAGAGTGGAGGGATGACTTGGCAGGATTCTTTGCTAAGACTGGCTGGGCAGACCAAAGACAAGATGGGGGCCAAGGTCCAGGCCTAGTTGAAAAGAAGGCTCAGAGGAGTCTGACTAAAGTTTGGTCAGGGAGACAGCCTTTGTTACAGGTTAGTTGTCTTATAGTACGTTCCACACTGTGCACTCGCCTTTCCTTTTCTTTTTCTTTTTTCTTTTTTTTGAGATGGAGTTTTGCTGTTGTTGCCCAGGCTGGAGTGCAATGGTGTGATCTTGGCTCATTGCAACCTCTGCCTCCTGGGTTCAAGCGATTCTCCTGCCTCAGCCTCCCAAGTAGCTGCCATTACAGGCATACACCACAACGCCTGGCTAATTTTGTATTTTAAGTAGAGACGGGGTTTCTCTGTGTTGGTCAGGCTGGTCTTGAACTCCCGACCTCAGGTGATCCACCTGCCTCGGCCTCCCAAAGTGCTGGGATTATAGGCGTGAGCCAGCGTGCCCGGCCTTGCATTTGTCTTTTCATCCTTTTGGTGAAACTTGTTCCTCTATCACCATTAAGTCATGAGGCTTGATCAGATTCATGTTTATCACATATGGCAGGAATAATTCATAGCTGGTAGTATTAAGTATTTCAGATTACATCACATCAGAAAGTGCATAAGTGCATAATAGCTGCACTATTAGCGATGCTTAGTTGTTGTTATTTTTATTTTTGGAGATGGGGTCTTTTTCTATTGCCTAGGCTGGTGTGCAGTGGCATGATCATAGCTCACTGCAGCCTTGAACTCCTGGGCTCAAGCAATCCTCCCACCTCAACCTCCCTAGTAGCTGGGACTGCAGATAAGTGCCACTCATGCCTGGCTAATTTTTTATTTTTTGGTAGAGACAGTCTCACTATGTTGTCAAGGCTGGTCTCGAACTCCTGGCCTTAAGCAGTCCTCCTGTCTCAGTCTCCAGAAGTGGTGGGATCACAGGCATGAGCCACTGTGCCTGGCTGAGTTTGATCACTTTGGTAAGGTGATGACCACCAGCTGTCTCCATTGCAAAGGGCAATTTTCCCTTTGGTAATTTGCAAGTCATCTGCAGGTAATACTTTAGTCCGATGTGAATATCTTGCTCTTCCATAACCTTCTGTCCAGTGGTTTCATCAAAAATCTTTATTTAATTGGGGGTTGCCAAATAGTGATTTCCAATTCTATCATTCCTTTCAGTTTTATTAGCTGGTATTTCCCTTCCTTTATTCCTTGTTTTGAAGATCACTAGAGATTTTTAAAAATTGTGGCTTGATTTTTAAAAATCAGGCCGGGCATGGTGGCTCACGCCTGTAATCCCAGCACTTTGGGAGGCCGAGGCGGTCAGGAGTTTGAGACAAGCCTGGCCAATATGGCGAAACCCCATCTCTACTAAAAATACAAAAATTAGCCAGGCGTGGTGGCGCGTGCCTGCAGTCCCAGCTACTTGGGAGGTTGAGGCAGAAGAATCTCTTGAGTCCGGGAAGTGGAGGTTGCAGCGAGCAGAGATCGTGCCACTGCACTCCAGCTTGGGCGATAGAGCAAGACTCCATCTCAAAAAAAAAAAAATGTGTTATCAACTATAGTGAGTATTTATTTTGATGTTCAGATTGACTAAATTTGGCCAGTAAAATTTCCTTCAAGCTGGTTGCTGTCTTGGAACACTTCTTTGTCTTCTGGCACAATTTGATGTCCTAGGCTCACTTTCCCTGCCCCAGATTGGGGACCCACCATTTTTCCAAGGGGCAGAAAACATGGTCATCCTCTCAATTACCTAGAGTAGTGGTATCACATTCCACCAGCCTGGCCAACATGACAAAATCCCATTGCTACTAAAAAAATACAAAAATTAGCCGGGCATGGTGGCAGCGCCTGTAGTTCCAGCTAATTGGGAGGCTGAGGCATGGAGAATCGTTTGAATCCAGGAGGTGGAGGTTGCGGTGAGCTGAGATGGTGCCACTGCACTCCAGCCTGGGTGACAGAGCAAGACTCTGTCTCAAAAAAAAAAAAAAAAGAAAGAAAACAGAATAATGGTATCACATTCCTTACCCATTTAAAATTAGCTTAACAGTAGCTACTGTTGATCAAGTGCTGTGCACTGGGCCACGTTTCCATGCATCCTCATTTAATTCACATTAATTCTTTACAGTAGGTTATGTTACTTATCCCTATTTTATAGATGAGGAAATCAGGGTGTGGAGAAGTTAAGTAAACTGCCCAGGTCCTCTCAGCTGGCAAGAGGAGGAGCTAGCAATTGGAACTCTAATCATTCTGATAACAAAGCCCAAGCTTGGAACCACCATAATCTATTGACAATTTGGCTACAAAAGAAGAAAACTCCTTAAGCAGCATTGAACTTGATAATACTACATTTTTAAAAACAAAAACCATGCTTTAAGGTAACAGGTATTAAGCAAAATTTAGGGAAAGAAATCCTTGAGTACAATCTGGAAACTTTCTCATTAATTCCCTTTTTTTTTTTTTTTTTTTTGAGATAGAGTCTCACTCTGTTGCCCAGGCTGGAGTGCAGTGGGAAGATCTCAGCTCACTGCAATCTCTGCCTCCTTGGTTCAAGCGATTCTCCTGTCTCAGCCTCCTGAGTAGCATGAGCCACCACGCCCAGCTAATTTTTGTAGTTTTAGTAGAGATGGGGTTTCGCCATGTTAGCCAGGCTGGTCTTGAACTCCTGACCTCAGGTGATCTGCCTGCCTTGGCCTCTCAAAGTGCTAGGATTACAGATGTGAGCCACCGCGTCTGCCTTTTTTTTTTTTTTTTTTTTTTGAGACAGAGTCTTGCTCTGTCCTTTCTCATTAATTCTAAATTGCCAGTAATCATAGTTTAGAATGATCTTGATCGACCCAGAATATGAGGAGAAAGCTTTCTTACAACTCAGCCAGAAGCCTTATCATGAAGTGAATTGGAGCAGGGACTTTGGACCAAGGGAATGTTGAATGCCCTTCCAGCTTCTCACCTACAAGTCTTTTCTGTGCTTCTGGGACAGTCCATTCAGAGCTTAAGCTGTCCAGGGTAATGAAAGTGTTAGTAGGGGAGAAGAGAAAGCTGCTATGATAATGTAACTATGCCAAGTTGTCGTTGTCATAGGGTGCTGGGGAAGGGGATAGGGAGGGGGACACTTGCCAAACTGGGGGCTGTGACTGCTTGGACAGAGGAGCACCTTTTTCTAATCTGCACAGAGGTGCAGATAAGCACTGCAGGCTAGCAGAGGCCCTAGCTGAGTCAAGTTCTTTCAGTTTGAAGTTGACTGTTCTAGGTTCAAGGGTGAATGACTTTCTATTATCTCTTAATGAGAAAAAACTTCCTTCTCCCAACAAGAATTTCCAGTTGTGGTTATTAGCCTAGGTGTAACCGAAATTGAAAAGTAATTATATTTCTCTTAGCAGCTAAGATTGCCCCCAGCAACCTGCCCATTTCCTGCTTTCACTCTTAGGAGGACAGTCTTTTGCCTTGTATTCTTTTTTCCCCTTCTCTACATTGACTTTAGGGTCCAGTTTTAAGTCCCAGACCTGTTTAGTAACTAGCTTTAATCCCAGGGCACCAAGTCTCTGGCCTCTCCATGCTTCCCCCTTCCCTTCCTGGGTCTTAGCCAGGGCAGGGAGCACTACCTACCTGAGTACGCAGAGCAGTGGTGAGAGGTGGCCCAGGGAGCCATCTCAGGGAACCCATTAAGATAAAGGGGAAGAATAAACAGAAGCAGATGTTCCTTCAGCCCCAGTCCCCAGCCCACTGAAAAACAGGAAGCTGGGATGGCAGCTGATAAGGGCTGTCTCCAGGGCTGGGCCGGGACTCCTTGGAGCCAGGGGCTGGGTTGGGTTTCTCAGTCCTCATCTCTCCAGGACAGTCTCCTTTTTCTTGTCCTTCATTAGTAGGGGAAAGCATAAACACAGTCCCCCATTACCACAAATTATGCAGTTGAGGTCCCACGTTTGGGGAAATTGTGAGGGTCAGCCCATCCAGAGTGCAATGGATGAGGCTTGCCCTGGGAAAATCATTTCTGTGATCCTGTTATCTCCCCCACAAGGTAAGTATCTCCAGGCCAATCTTATTTTCCTTCCATGGGGACAGGTCAGAGGCACTTTCCCTCCATATGAATACAAATCAAATGTATTCACATTCTATCATCAATGCCTGTGGTCACTCAAAATTCAAAAGAAGGGGCCGGGGCATGGTGTCAGCCTGTAATGTCAGCACTTTGGGAGGCCAAGGTGAGCGGATCACTTGAGGTCAGGAGTTCGAGATCAGCCTGGCCAACATGGTGAAACCCCTTCTCTACCAAAAATATAAAAAATTAGCCCGGTGTGGTGGCAGGCACCTGTAATCCCAGCTACTTGAGAGGCTGAGGCAGGAGAATCGCTTGAACCCAGGAGGTGGAGATTGCAGTGAAGTCGAGATCACGCCACTGCACTCCAGCCCAGCCTGGGCGACACTCTCTCAAAAAAAAAAAAAAAAAATTCAAAAGATGTGAACTTCCAAAATGGAGACTGCACACATGCACACATCTACATACATGCACACACACATGCATGCACACCATACACGTACATACATGTGCACCCACAGGCGCACACATACCATACACATGTGCACACATGCCACATGCATGTACACACGAACCATGTACATGCACACATACCAAACACACACGTGCACATACAAGCCCTCATCTAGGCTGAGATTTAAAAGCCCTGCAGTTGGCTGAGCGCGGTGGCTCACGCCTGTAATCCCAGCACTTTGGGAGGCCAAGGTGGGCGGATCTCCTGAGATCGGGAGTTTGAGATCAGACTGACCAACACGGTGAGGGTCAGCCCATCCAGAGCGCAATGGTTATTAGCCTAGGTGTAACCGAAACCCTGTCTCTACTAGTAGACAGGTTTAGTAGAAACCCTGTCTCTACTAAAAATACAAAATTAGCTGGGCATGGTGGCGGGTGCCTGTAATCCCAGCCACTTGGGAGGCTGAGGCAGGAGCATTGCTTGAACCCGGGAGGTGGAGGCTGCAGTGAGCCGAGATCACACCATTGCACTCCAGCCTGGGCAACAAGAGGGAAACTCTGTCTCTAAATAAATAAATTAATTAAATAAATAAAAATAAAAGCCCTGCGCTGACTCCATTCCTCAGTAGTGATGATTCCCCAAAACACTACAGTTCACCCTCCATAAAAGGGGTTGTCCAAGCTTGGAGCTCTCTGGGTCTGGGGTTTCCCCTCAGTAAAGTGAGGAATGTGGACAAGGAAACTTCTAGGACCTCTTCCTGTGCTCCCACATCCTCTGGCCCTAAGGGCTGTTTTCAGCTCCCCACCCCCATATCCCAAAGGATCAAAGGAATGGAAACTTAAGGAATTGGACCTTAAGGCTGTGGTGTCTGGGCTGGAGTGGACGGTGCTTTGCCACACACCTCTGGCATATCATCCTACAGCAGTGTTTCTCTTTTAAAAGAAAAAATTATTGCGGTGGCTCAGGCCTGTCATCCCAGCATTTTAGTACAGCGAGGCAGGTGGATCACCTGAGGTCAGGCATTCAAGACCAGCCTGGCCAACATGGTGAAACCCCATCCCTACTAAAAATACAAAAATCAGCCGGGTGTGGTGGTGGGCGCCTGTAATCCCAGCTACTTGGGAGGCTGAGGCAGGAGAATTGCTTGAACCCGGGAGGCAGAGGTTGCAGTGAGCTGAAGATCATGCCATTGCACTCCAGCCTGGGCAACAGAGCGAGACTCCGTCTCAAAAAAAAAAAAATTATTATGGACCCCAAGCTGACGAAATCTTTAATATTACCCAAATATATGTGCATATTAAGACCTTGGTATGCAAAGTTTAACAATACAACACCTCGTATTGTTAGGTAGTCTATCATCAGAAAAGTCAAGCAGAAAGGAAGAGAGAAGTCAGGGTGTCACTCTGGGCCCCCAACTTCAGGAGTGTTTCCATCAAGGGCTGCATTTCCCCCCTTGACAAACCCACCATAGCTCTGGCTTTGCTGGGTGATCCCTGGGTGCAGGGAAGCCCGACCCCTCCTTCTGTCCCCATTCATAGAATCCTGGACTGGCTAGGGGCCTAGAGAGATCACTAAGCACTGCTGAAATGCAGAAGACCAACTTCTAGACACAGGCACCCCGCCCCCTCCTTCTCTCCCTCCAGCCTAGGGGTGGCAGTCACTTACTGCTGTTGTAAACCTCTGGGCTGCCTCACCCTCTACTTTTTGGATCTTTGGTTTATTTGTCCTGGGTCCTAGGAAGGAGGTGAGGCAGCACTTCCTAAGGACGGGGAGTGCAGATGGCATAGGCAAGATGCCCGCAGAGGCTGATCCAGGCATGTGCTCAGCACAGCAACTGTAAGAGGAGAGCAGGGCTGGGCCAAGGGAGAAGGTGAAATGTGATGCACTTGCCACCAAAGCCCGGCCCTCCATCCCATGACGAGTTACAAAGCCCTTCGGAGTTGTCCTGAGTGGAGGCAAGGGGCTGGGTTTTTGCACCCCACTCCCCATATCTCACCCCTACATGGTTCGGTTGAATTCAGGCTGCCCCGCAAGGAAGGAGCCACCCTTGGGCCAGGCAGCCCCCTTCAGGCAGGGCTATTCCTGGGAACAGACTGGCGGTGAGCTGTCAGCAGTTGTATCCCAAAGAAGAACCTGGGCAGAGGCTGCAGAGTCGGCCACAGCATCAAAGCCCAGCTCTGCTTACTACCTGCGTGACCTAGACCCAATTCCTCATCCTTGTTTAGCATGCAGTTCAGTTTCCCCATCTGTAAAACAGGGAGGCTGTGAAGATCAAATGAGACCATGTTCCCGTAGGGGACAAGAAGCCCGCCCCTGGCTGGCTTCCCTCTAGGGAGCTGCTGCCAATCCCTTTGGCCAGGATCCAGGACTCTGCTTCAGCCACCTGTATAAGGGGGCGGGGACCCTGTGTGATGAGGTCTGTGCCAAGGTGTGGCCTTCCCTCCCACATCCTACTCTCAGGGGGTGGATGGATCTTGCTCTTCTCACTGGCTCCTCCAGCTCTGGGGACAGAACAAGGACGGCGAACCAAGGTCCTCTTGGAGCCTGTCCTTCTGGCCTCCCTCATCCTCCCCACATGAGCACTGGCAGGTTGGGCCCAAGCATGGCCAGGGAAGGGAGAACCTCTGGATCCTGGAGTTCCGAGCCTCAGCTGTGCCATGCAGCCCAGAGCCCTGCCCCGAGTGGAGTGTCAGGCTCTGTGCCATTTGCCTTTATCCTCTGTGTGTGCCAATCCCCAGGAACCCCACAGGAAGGAAGGGGTGGAAGAGCTAGGGCAGAATTCTGGCATTCCTGGGTCCCCTAAATCCCACCTGCACTCTGAATGGTAGAAAAGATGGGAAGATATAAATAGAAAGCAGTGGGGGTGTGGGGGAAGGTCAGCAGCACCCCAGACTGCTTCAGGGCCCCTGGGGACACAAGGAAACCTGATGTGAGTTGGAAAAGGTCCCTCCTCCGGGTGGACGCACACCCATGATGTGCAGCTTAGCTCACAGATGGCGCCTTTGTGCAAACTAGAAAAAGCCCTCAGCCCTCCCTGTGTGGTTGGGGTGCAGCGCCCAACCTGAATGAAGTCTCCACGGGATGTCACAGGTCCCTTGCACTGCCAGTTTTCTCAGCACACACGAAATTGAAGGTATAGCCTTGGGTTCTGCACATTTTGTGTGGCTTATGTGCCAACT
The DNA here is from genome assembly GCF_000001405.40 of Homo sapiens. NCBI lineage: Eukaryota > Metazoa > Chordata > Mammalia > Primates > Hominidae > Homo > Homo sapiens. The sequence continues at coordinate 140,238,226 of NC_000007.14, read as the reverse complement.
GGGACAATCTGGTTATATGCCACAGAGCCCATCTTCCCAGACGTCAAACATCTGTCCACACCTTACAGCCTTTGCTGCTGCTCTCTGCGATGACAGTCATAGAATCCTGGACTGGCCAGAGGCCTAGAGAGATCACTAAGCACCACTGAAAGGCAGGAGACCAACTTCTAGACACAGGCACCCCGGCCTGGCAGCCTTTTTACCGTGTGTGTCCAGCCAGGCTCCCTGCTGCTCTGAGCCTATGCCTGGTAACTCATGTTTTCATGGACGTGGACAACAGCACCCTGCCCATAAGATGTGTCGCTGCAGGGTGGTGTGGGTACGGCAACGATCAGAGCTGGGCGACCTCAGTCTGTGTTTAGCTAGATTTGTTGTATCCACCCAGTATTGATCCTTATGGCTTTTCTTGAAAAAGTGGATATGGCCACAATGGGCCTGCACTCCTTCCTGGTACCACATGGCTGGAGGGGAGTTGTGTCCTCTCTGGTAGCACCATAGGAGTGGCTATAACCCCAGTCTAATGGAGAAATAGTCCATTATGTACTCCAGAGGCTTCCGGCCTTCGTTTGAGTCCTATATCATTTATTGCCTGTTAGACTTTGAAAGAGCTACTGCTCTGTGCCTCAGTTTCCCCATTTGTCAAACAGGATGATGAAATAATAGCACCTACCTTACAGGATTGCTATAAACATTAAATAAATGCATATAATAGCACGTAGTACATAATCATAATCACTAAATGTCAGCTCCTATAATGACAACAGGCGAGGTCCCCATGGATAGTGTAGATATTTAGGTAAAACATCCACAAACATCATTTCCTTGTTTTGATGACCCTCGAATTCCCAGCAATAGATGGTAGCTGGCCTACAGAAAACTGAGTTGGGAAAGCCAAGCATTCCTGTACGAGGCCCCTACCCCGTCCCCCAGTAATAAGGCAAACTTCCAGATTGCCAGGGGTTGTGGGGGCCGCCTTGGCTCCTCGTCTTGCCCAGCTCAGAACTGTCTCTGAGGCGGGCATGCAGGGACACACTATGGACAACCAGTCATGCTCCTCGTCAGCAACTTCAAAGAACATTGCCCATATCCCAAGGCCTCTTCGTTCCTCTTCATAAGTCATTAGGGGTCTGTCAACAGCTAAGTACCCCAAGACTTTTTATTTCCAGCTTGACTCCTGCTTGGGATAATGAGTTCCATGACCCTACCGCCCACCAAGCGAAGGAACATTTTCTTTGATTATTCCTAAATATAACTCTCTCAAGCTTTAAGCAGAGCACCCCCTCCCCGGTTCTCTTTCAGGATTTAGTGAATGAGTTCAAGAGCACCCTAACCATCCATGATTAAACAGATGTTCTTCCTTCTTAGCCTTTATCTTCCCAAATGGAAGAACCCTTAACACATGACTTTGCGTTTTTACGGCAACTTCACTATTTCCTTGACGATTTGGTTGCTTCTTTTTTGAGTTTCTCATGGTCTTTCTTCAAGTGTAGTAAGCACACAGGACAGAAATCCCTCTCCAACCACAATCCCTCTCCATCTGACTAACTTTGTATATTTTTAGTAGAGATGAGGTCTTGCTATGCTGTCCAGGCTGGTCTCTCTTATGCCACATTCTACTCTGCTTGGATGAATTTCCAAGCACAAAATGAGAATTTCAGTTTAATATATGCAAATCACAGTCATTGTGTTGAAAACAACTGGAAAGAGAAGGGACTGGGAGTTGGTGAGAGAAAAGGGTAAAAGCTGTAGGCAGAGTGCTATCAGAAACATTTTTCAGAGAGGTGTGGGAACAATAAAAGCAGGTGAGGTCTTAGAACTCCAACTCTGCACTCTATCCCAGAGCCAGCACACGCAACTGGGCAGGTATCCCACCCAAAAACACCCTCCAAGAGGGAAGGCAGGGGCTGAAATTCAGCCCTCACCCACTCACTGTGCTCCTAGGTGCTGGGCTACAGCAGCCAGCAGGAGTAACCTTTTTTTCTGATTTGCACAAAGGTACTGTGTGGACCAGCAGCAGCCCTGTCCGTTCCTGCGTCGGTCACTATGGGGGCAGCTGTGTCCTACAGACAGAGAAACCCAGGTCAGAGCTAGGCACTGGGTCCTGATATGCTCTAGAATAAAGTTTTCATAGTCATTCATCCAGTGAATATTTATTGGGCATCTACCATGTGCCTGGCACTGTATTTTTGTTTTTGTTTTTTTTGAGACAGGATCTTGCTCTGTCATCCAGGCTGGAGTGCAGTGGCATGATCACGGCCCACTGCAGCCTCAATCTCATAGAATCAAGTGATCCTCCCACCTCAGCCTCCTGAGTAGCTTGGACTGCAGGCACACACCACCACACCTTTTATATTTTTAGTAGAGATGAGGTCTTGCTACGTTGCCCAGGCTGGTCTCGAACTCCTGAGCTCAAGTGATTCTCCTGCCTAGGCCTCCCAAAGTGCCAACACTGTTGTAGGTGTGGAGAAGACAGTGGTGGATAAGACAGACCTGGTTCCCGCTCTCAAAGAGCTTTGATTATAGTCAGGGGAAACAAGTTAACAAGGTCAATGTAGACATCACAAGTATCATAACGATCCAGATCAGTGGTTGGCAAACTATGATCTTTAGGCCAATCTAGCCCTTGGCCTGTTTTTGTAAGCCCCATGAGTTAAGAATAGTTTTTATATTTTTAAAAGGGTTGTTAAACAAATTCAACAAAACAACCCTTAGGAGGCACATGAAGCCTCATTATCGACTAGTCCCTTACAGAAAAAGTTTGCTGAGCCCTGGTGTAGGTAGTGACTTGCAATGGTAGGGTTATCTAGCAGACATTGCGGGTTGTCAACTTGGTTGGATTATCTAGCAGACACTGCTGGTCGTCAACCGGTTGGATTATCTAGCAGAGACTGCTGGTTGTCAACTGGTTGGATTATCTAGCAGAGACTGCTGGTTGTCAACTGCCTGGATTATCTAGTAGACACTGCTGGTTGTCAACTTCACAGAACCCATCCATATCTCCCAAATATATGGCAGCCTCGAGATTTGTATAGGATGGGGCCTTAGCTGCTTAAGCCTAATCAGGGTTCTTTTAGCAGTGACTGGGTGCTGCTCACCAGCACATTTCAGGGATGCACCATTGAGCACGTGAGATTCCGCTGGGCTAAATGATTGGTTAGGTGAAATCCAGTGTTTTTTTTGAGCATGGGAGGCAAGAAACTCTCTTCCTGGATGGGGTGGGATGTGCATGTGGGGCCAGGGATTGCTGCAGCCATTTTGCTCATGGCTGGGAGGTCAGCCTGAGGATTCAGTGACCCATGGAGGGAGTGCCCAGAGAATCACAGAAAAAAGGATCCAGGTCCCCACCATACCCTGGCTGCAGCGTGATTTTCTTTTGGACGTTTTAGTTCCCAAGCCAATAAACTCCATTCTGTGTTTACACCAGCTGGGGTTTCTTGTTTATTTGTTTTGAGACAGAGTTTCACTCTTTTTGCCCAGGCTGGAGTGCAATGGTGTGATCTTGGCTCACGGCAGCCTCCACCTCCTGGGTTCAAGCGATTCTCCTGCCTCAGCCTTCCGAGTAGCTGGGATTACAGGCACGTGCCACCACGCCCAGCTAATTTTGTATTTTTAGTAGAGACGGGGTTTCACCATGTTGGCTAGGCTGGTCTCAAACTCCTGACCTCAGGTGATCCACCTGCCTTGGCCTCCCAAAGTGCTGGGATTACAGGCATGAGCCCACTGCATCTGGCCTGTATTGTTTAATTTTTTTTTTTTTTTTTTTTTTTTGGGACGGAGTCTCGTTCTGTCGCCCAGGCGGGAATGCTGTGGCGCGATCTCCGCTCACTGCAAGCTCCGCCTTCCGGGTTCAGGCCATTCTCCTGCCTCAGCCTCCCGAGTAGCTGGGACTACAGGCGCCCGCCACTGCGCCCGGCTAATTTTTTGTATTTTTAGTAGAGACGGGGTTTCACCGTGGTCTCGATCTCCTGACCTCGTGATCCGCCCGCCTCGGCCTCCCAAAGTGCTGGGATTACAGGCGTGAGCCACCGCGCCCGGCCGTATTGTTTAATTTTTAAACTGACTTTTACTTACATAGAGCAGTAAAGTACACAAAACTTAAGGACACAGTCTGATGAATTTCAACACCACACACACAAACATATACCTCTATCATCCAGATCAAGAATGTTCCCAGCCTCCACAAGCCAAATATGTAATTAAAAATGTCCTACTAGGCATATTAACGCAATAAAAGTAGAAAGCTGGGGCGTGGTGGCTCACGCCTATAGTCCCAGCTATTAAGGAGGGTGAGGTGGGAGGACTGCTTGAGGCCAGGAGTTTGAGGCCACCCTGGGCAACATAATGAGACCCCCACCTCTAAAACAAAATTAGCCAGGGGACGGTGGGGTGTGCCTGTAGTCCTAACTGTTCAGGAGCCTGAGGTGGGAAGATTACTGGAGCCCAGGAATTCCTGGCTGTAGTGAGCTATGATTGTGTCACTGTACTTCAGCCTGGGAGACAGTGAGATGAAGAAAGAAAAGAAAGAAAAGAGAAGAGAAGGGAAGAGAAGGAAAGAGAAAGAAAGGAGGGAGGGAGGGAAGGAAGGAAGGAGAGAAAAAGCTGAAATTAATTGTAATAATCTATTTGACTTAACCCAATAGATCTAAAATACTTTAATACATAATCAATGTTGAAAGTATTAATGATTACATTTTTTTCCTTACTGAGTCTTTGAAGTCCAATGTTTGTTTGACACATACAACACATCTCAATTTGGACTAGCCAGACTTCAAGTGCTCAACGGCCCCATGTGGCTAGTGGCTAATGTACTGGACAGCTCAGGTCTAGAAAGCAAGGGCTGATAAATGAAAAGGAAGCAAATAGCATCCATTGATAGGAATACAAGTTGTGTAGGATGTAAGCCACTGACTTTGAGTGCCGATTTCTTAGTTTTATTTTAGTGAAAATAAAATCAGTTCACACCCAGTATCAGTTCCCTAACCCTATATTCCCCTAAGGTCCCAGATTACTCAACATAGGATATTCCTACCACAAAGAGTTTTCGTTCCCTTTTGGACCCTCTTATGAAGAGTTGTCATTCTTCACATTCTTAGGCATGATGGACCTCTGAATGACAGGTTCCCATCTGACCAAAAAGCCTCCAATTTCAGCTTTGAGTTATTTCAGACTTTTCAGATGGAAGTCATTTTATATCTGTGGTTTCAAACCTGACCAGTCATCTAAATCACTTGAGTATTTAAAACAAAAAACATAACACGCGCCCTGGACCTGCTGAATCCCAATCCAGAGATGCGCTCGGTGATGTGTATTTTTAAACGCCTTCACAGATGACTGTGATGGGCTTTCAGCCCTGGGAACCACTGAGCATCATCTGCTTTGCTGAAAAGATCCAGAGACTTCATCAGGCACCATAGCAGAGACACAGCAAGGCCCCGACTGACAAATCCTCTAGGAGAAACACTCCTATTAAAAATGTTGTAGCCTTGGCCGGGCTCAGTGGTTCATGCCTGTAAACCCAGCACGTTGGGAGGCCGAGGTGGGAGGATCACCTGAGGTCAGGAGTTCGAGACCAGCCTGGCCAACATAGTGAAACCCCGTCTCTACTAAACATACAAAAATTAGCCTGGTGTGGTGGCAGGCGCCTGTAGTCCCAGCTACTTGGAAGCCTGAGGCAGGAGAATCGCTTGAACCCGGGAGAAGGAGGTTGCAGTGAGCCAAGATTACAACACTCCAGCCTGGGTGACAGAGCAAGACTCAAATTAAATAAATAAATAAATAAATAAATAAATGTAGCCGCGGGGGGACGGGGAGGAAGTTGTTTATTTCCTCATGGCTGGGATAATGGCAGTAGTGGAGGTAGAAGCTTCTTGGGTGCAGCCTATTTTAGGCAGGCCGAGCCCAGTCCATGGAACAGGAAACAGTATCTGCAGGTGGGGGACCAACATGAGAGAGGACCACGGGTCTCGAGTTGGCCTGAGGGTGTGGGTAAGGAGGAAATGCACAGTGGGTAACCCGCCCGCCCCTACACACATTCTGTTTTTTTACTTCTGGCTTTTCTGGCAGTCAGTGAACTCTCTTAATCTTAAGGCATGGCGTGTAATAGCAGAGCAAACCTGTGTTGCAAAGGGACAACCTGAAAGAGCATGACTGAAGGGGAAATAAAACTCACCCGGTCCTTCTGGATTTCAGTTTAATCACTGGGTGTGCCCTTGGCACCAGGATCATAAAACAGACCTGGTTTCCTTCCTTTGATGTAGTTAAAGAGCCCTGGATTTGTCGTCGGGGCACCTGAGTTCCAGTCCCAAACCTGTACTAAGCAGCTGTGCCACCATGTGCCTAGGATTTAACTTACCTGAGCCTCACTTCCCCTGCTGGTAAAATGAGTAATCAAACCCATCTTGTGGGTTACAGTGATGGCTGGGTAAAGTAATGCATGGGAAAGCAATTTAGAAACGATCAAACACGACACAAAGGGAAGACCACCGTTTACAGAAGGGAAAGTGACGCAGGACACAGAAAGCGGGAGAAACCGTTCGCCAGCTCCTAGATTCCTCACCTCTGCCCTCCCCCTGTCCTCCCTTCCCCCTCCACGGCAGGGGCCTTACCAACAGCAGGCGCTCTAATCCGCCTGGGCACACACCTGTCCTGGGCTGCTGGGAAGACGCCCCCCGCCCCGCCTAACAAACACACAGAAGTCTCCGGGCCGGGACACCATAAACGTTTCTAGTGGCAAGTCCTCACGGCCCGCGGGCTTCCATTGGCTCGGGAACCCCCTGAGCCTATTTTTCATTGGCTGGCTACTGCTGGGATGAGGAGAGGCAGTCTCAGCCGAGAGTCACTTAGGGCTGCGTGCCCTTTCCTGCCCACCTCCCCGAAGCGGCCCGGGAAGCCCCACTGCTCCCTGCGCGCTCCCTGCGCGCTCCCTGCGCGTCCCGGCCGCGCGCCTGCAGATCCTGCCCGCCCGGCAGCCGTCCCAGGCCGGGAAACAGTAGCCGCCACTCAAATCCGCCCCTTCATCGCCCAGTCCCGCAGTGGACATCTTTCTGGTCCCCCACCCAGAACTGAGCATCACTCCCCCGGTCACGCACATGAGCTGCGCCTCTGTCACTTTTGTCACTCAGTCCCCTTCCTAACTCCTCCCCCCACCCGCAGATTGAAGGGTGCAGTGATCTCCTGGCTCGGTCCCGAATAACGCTGGGTTTAAGTGCACTGGGCCCCAGTTGACAACCAAATAAAGTGGAAACACGTGCGCACCACTCACAGAAAGTATTTCCATTCCGCAGAAGCAACACCTACGGCCCCCACGCCCCCCAGCTCCGAGCCAGAGAACCGGCCCTCTAGGGAAGCCGCCGCCCTTCCCCATCGGGCTGTCATTGTTCCCCGGTCACTTCGGGCGGCGACCCCCACGGCCCGGCCCGCGCGCCCCGACAGCCCCCGCCCGCGGGACCAGCAGCCGCGGCAGGGCACGGGACACCCTTTCCCTGGCGGGGCGGCGTGGGGGCGGCGCTGCCAATCGCTGCGCAGCGCACGTGCTGCACGTCTGCGCATCCGGCCCCGCCCGGCCGGCGTGGTGTGGGGTTGCGGGGGTGCGGGGGCGCGAGGCGCAGCGGCGGTGTGGACGCGCGAGGGTCGAGGGATGCGCGCGTCGCGGGGTGGAGTGCGCGGTGCTTCGGACCCCGGGGCGGCGAGAGTGCGCCGGGGGGCAGTGCGAACGCCCAGGAGTGGGGAGTGCGCAGAGATCTGGGGGTGGCAGAGGACGAGCGCGCCAGCGGGGACCACGGGGGGACCCGAGGGCCCACAAAAGGGTCCGTTCCCCCCTATGCGATGGCTGAGCACCGGGAAACTCCCCAGCGGTCTCCGCCTGTCTCTATCCCTCTCTTACTAGAAACTTGCCACAGCTGGTGGGCGCGGGCCCGCTGCCCTGCACGTCCACCGCCAGATCAGCCCAGGGCCCGCGCCCGGAGGCCAGGGAGCTGGAGGTCAAAGCTTGGTCTCCTGACACCTGTTCAGGAGAAAGCGGATCTTTGTTTGAGGGCCCTCCTTCCGCCACCCACCGCCCCCGCCCCCAACCCCGCCTCCAGCCTAGAAGAGGAGTATTTCAGGTTGCGATTTTCAAACGGAATCATCAAATGTGTAAACTAAAGGGCGGAAGCCCAGGAGTCAAAACAGCCGTGGTATGGTCTTGACAGAGGGCAGAGAGGAAGAGAGGGGTGCCACCTGCTCAGGGCCAGACGCTGATTGAGGGCGCGCCCTGGGAGGGGCGCTTCCTGGTGCTCATTAGTGGAAGGGTGAAATGGGAAGGCAGCAGGGCCGACTTGCTCTCGGCAGAGGGACATTTTCATTCTTCGGTGTGCTGTTTGGGCCCCAGAGAGCTCCACGTCCCAGCGTGGAGGCCAGTGATGTAGCTGGAGCGAGCTGTGAGCTCCTGGAGCTGTTTCGTTGTTTACCCTCCTTGAAAGGAATGCTGTAACAACTTCCGGAAGAGGAGCCCCTTTGAAGTGTGGGCAGGATTGGGGTTCCTCTGACTTCACGTTGTCTAGGTGGCCCCTTTGATGTGGTGACAGGGCTTAGCAGAGACTGGCTGTGGGGAGTCAAACGCCAGTCCAAGGTCACCTCCACCAGGATGGACATACTGAAGGGCAGATTGAAATAGGCCAAAACGAATCTCAAAATTTTCCATTTCCTGGTTTGTTCATTTTTTCATTAATACAGTACGTACTTCTCAAATGTATCATTCGATTCTTTATAACTATGAAATGACGTTGGAAAACTTTGGGTGAAAATGCTATACCTACATTTATCTCATTTAATCCTCACAATAACTATTAGGTGGGTATTATCCCCACTTTATGGAAGAGAAATTGAAGGCCTAGGGTCACGCAGCTATGTGACTGAAAGCCTTCCTTCTTGAACTGCTCCTTCTCTAAAAGTTAATTGGTTTATTTAAATGAGTCAACCCACACAAAACAGATGGGTGTCTGGCACACGGTAAATGTGCAATGAACTGTTAGTTGTACTTGTCACCTTTTTTTGTTGAGACAGTGTTTTCCGTCTTACCGCGCAGGCTGGAGTGTAGTGGCACAATCTAGGCTCCCTGCAACCTCCGCCTCCTAGGTTCAAGCGATTCTCCTGCCTCAGCCTCCCAAATAGCTGGGATTACAGGCTCCCGCCGCCACACCCAGCTAATTTTTTTTTTTAATTTTATTTTGAGACGGAGTCTCGCTCTGTCACACAGGCTGAAGTGCAATGGCGTGATCTTGGCTCACTGCAACCTCCGCCTCCCGGGTTCAAGTGATTCTCCTGCCTCAGCCTCCTGAGTAGCTGGGATTACAGGCGCACGCCACCATGCCCGGCTAATTTTTATATTTTTAGTAGAGACGGGGTTTCACCATGTTAGTCAGGCTGGTCTCGAACTCCTGACCTCGTGATCCGTCCACCTCAGCCTCCCAAAGTGCTGGGATTACAGGCGTGAGCCATTGTGCCTGGCTTTTTTTTTTTTTTTTTTTTTTTTTTTTTGTATTTTTTAGTAGATACAGGGTTTCGCCGTGTTGGCCAGGCTGGTCTCTAACTCCTGACCTCAGGTGATCCCTACATCTTGGCCTCCCAAATTGCTGAGATTGCAGGCGTAAGCCACCGCGCCTGGCCTCTTGTCACTTTTTATTACAAATAAGAAGCTTAAACGTTCTCTATATTGCTGTGGCAAGTACTACAAGAGTCTTAGGCAGCAGATCGTGAAGAACTGTTTGAGAAATGTTTTAGGGTTTTGCTTTTCTCTGATTAGAACCATCTCCAAACGGTGTTGGAACTGGAGTTCCTGAGTAAGATGCTTTCAGACAAAATATACAATGTCTTTCTCTAGAGATCCACTCCTAGGCTTTTTGTTCCTTTCTTTCCCACTGTAGAACATTGCAAAAACAAGCTGCTGAGCCCTCAGCTGGGTGCTTGGGTGTCCCTGAGTTTAAAATGGAATGGAATATAGGTTTCTGTTTTTGCTTCCGTTGTTATGGCATGGGTAACGTAACTTGACTTTGTCTTTAAAAATTTCACAAAAGAAATCAACATTATTTACTAAATCACTTTTTAAACGTGTTTTAAAAGTGCTGCTTTTGGGTTGAAGGGTGTGCTCCCGAAGACCACGCTGAGTTAAGAGGCTAATAGGAATCGTGTGAGTGAGGCAGAGTGGGATGAGGGCCGTTCCAGAGACAGATGTGCCCTGGGAGACCAGGAGGAAAGCAGGCAGGTTGAGCTGTCCTGTTGGTTGTTAGCAGGACAGAACCAGGAGGATGCGGAAGCATTGGTAGCTGAGATGCACGGCACAGACCCAATGGGGTCCTCTCTCTTTCTTTTGTTTTTTGAGACAGAGTCTCACTCCGTCACCCAGGCTGGAGTGGAATAGCGTGATCTCGGCCACTGCAACGTCTGCCTGCCGGGTTCAAGCGATGCTGCTGCCTCAGCCTCCCAAGTAGCTGGGATTACAGGCACCTGCCACCATGCTGGTTAATTTTTTTTGTATTTTTAGTAGAGATGGGGTTTCACCATGTTGGCCAAGCTGGTCTCGAACTCCTGACCTCAGGTGATCCACCACCTCGGCCTCCCAAAGTGCTGGGATTACAGGTGTGAGCCACCATGGCTAGCTTTTTTTTTTTTTTTTTTTAATAGAGACAGGGTCTTCCTGTGTTGCCCAGGCTGGTCTTGAACTCCTGGGCTCAAGGGATCCTTCCGACTTGACCTCCCAAAGAGTTAGGATTACAGGTGTGAGCCACCACGCCCAGCCCAGCGGGGGCCTCTCTTTTGAGTCAAAGGCGGTTTGGAGGTCTAGCACAGCCCTGCTTTGCTCTGGACATGATTCAATGAAAGAAGATAAAAAGTAACACCTGGTAATAGTAAAATAGTAACAAATGGTATTTATTAAATACCTACTGTGTTCTAGGCACTGTGCTAGGAGATTCACATGCTTTATGTCATGTAAGCCTATGATGTGGGTTACTATTATTAGTCCCACTTTACAGGTAGGGAAACAGCCACAGGGAGGTTAAGTTGTCCATTACCCAACTAGGAAGTGGCCCCATGAGCAGAGGACTCAAGCTTCTAGTGTACTCAGCCACTGGAGGATGATCCTTTTGTGCTGAGATTCAGTTTACGAGTTCTATTATGGGGGAAGTTGGGGGCTTCCTGGTCTCAATCTATCTAAGGCCAGCTTGTCCAGCCCATGGGCTGTCTGCGGCCCAGGACAGCTTTGAATGTGGCCCAACACAAATTTGTTAACTTTCTTTAAATGTCATGAGACTTTTTTGTGTGATTTTATTTATTTATTTTAGTTCATCAGCTATTGTTAATATATTTTATGTGTGGTCCAAGACAATTCTTCTTTTTCCAGTATGGCCCAGGGAAGCCAAAAGATCGGACACCCCTGATCTAAGAAGAAGGAGGAAAGGACTGGCTGGATCAATGGGAGAGGGAGAAGAGATAAGGCTCAATTAGTGAGCAGGGATCTGTGCAAAGGAATCAGGACATAGGCACAGCAGCACCACAGGGTGACAGGTGTTAATGTGGGGGCTGAGGGGAGGGAGCAAGAGTACCTTTCAGTGGGTGTGTGTTCAGGGAGAAATGAAGAGAGTTGGGGCTGTTGCAGAGTTGAATTGGGAGCTCTGGGAGCAAGTGTACCAGTCAGTATTATAGGAAGGCAGCCATGTTAAGACACAGGACCTGCAGGGTGGCCAATTTGTTTTAAAGTATATGACAATAACACTCCACAGTTTTAACAGTTTGTTGGGCTAAATTGTGTTCCTCCTACTGCTACTGCCCCCCGCATTCATATGCTGAAGTCCTTACCCCCAGTACCTCAGAATGTGACCTTATTTGGAAATATGGTCATTGCACATGTAATTAGTTAAGATGAGTTCATACTGGAGTAGGGTGGTCCCTGATCCATTAGGCCAGGTGCAGTGGCTCCTGCCTATAATCCTAGAACTTTGGGAGGCTGGGGTAGGAGGATCGATTGGGCCTAGGAGTTTGAGACCAGCCTGGGCAACATAGTGAGACACTATCTCTACAGAGAATACAAAATTTTTAACAAACTAGCCAGGTGCAGTGTCATATGCCTGTGGCCCCAGCTTAACTCAGGAGGCTGAGGTAGGAGGATTGCTTGAGCCAGGGAGGTCAAGGCTACAGTGAGCTATGATTGCACCACTATACCCCAGCCTGGGTAACAGAATGAGACCCCATCTCAAAAATAAAAATAAAAACTAAAGAAGGAAATTTGGGCACAGATATGCACACAGGGAGAATGGCATGTGAAGATGAAGGCAGAGATCAGGGTGCTTCTTCTACAAGCCAAGGAACCCCATAGATTGCTGGCAACCACCAGCAGCTCAGGGAGATGCCTGGAACAGATTCTCACTCACAGCCCTCAGAGGGAACCCATCCTGCTGACATCCGGATCTCGGCCGTCCAGCCTCCAGAACTGTGAGACAATGCTTTACTGTTGTTTAAGCTGCCTAGTCTGTAGTACTTTGTTACTTTGCTCTAGCAAAGTAATACACATGGCAACGTATCTGATGACAGCTCTAGCTGTGATAGAGCCCTGAGGTTTTTGAAACCTGCCTTTGTAGAGGCTGAGAAAATCTGTTTTCTTTCATTTTCCTTTTCTTTTTTTTTTTTTTTTGGTTTCTTTTTTTGAGACAGGGTCTTACTCTGTTGCAAAGACTGGAGTGCAGCAGCGTGATCATGACTTATTGCTGCCTCTACCTCCCAGGTTTCTCAGTAGCTGGGGCTGCAGACACACACCACCTGCCTGGCTAATTTTTTAAATTTTTTTTAGAGATGAGGTCTCACTATGTTGTCCAGGCTGGTCTTGAACTCTTGGGCTCAAGTTATCTGCCCACCTTGGTCTCCCAAATTGTTGGGATTACAGGTGTGAGCCACCATGCCTGGTCAGGACTTGTTTTATATAAAATTATCTCTAACAGAATGCTACATGTACATAGCTATAAAAAGCAAAGTAGAATAAATACATAAAAAGTATAATGAAAAATTACAATTGCGCTTAGCCTCTTGTTCCCCAAGGCTGTCTTCCTGAAGGCCGGCACTGCCAACTCTGTAGCCATTTTTCTTGTATTTTCCACCATTTTTCTAAACAATATGCTTACATTACTATTTCTTTTCTTTCCTTTTTTTTTTTTTTTTTTTTTGAGATGGAGTCTCACTCTGTTGCCCAGACTGGAGTACAGTGGGGTGACCTCAGCTCACTGCAGCCTCTGCCTCCCAGGTTCAAGCAATTCTCCTGCCTCAGCCTCCCAAGTAGCTGGGATCACAAGTGTGCGCCACTATACTTAGCTAATTTTTGTATTTTTAGTAGAGATGGGGTTCCACCATGTTGGCCAGGCTGGTCTCGAACTCCTGACCTCAGGTGATCTGCTTGCCTCAGCCTCCCAAAGTGCTGGAATTACAGGTGTGCTGGAATTACAGGTGTGAGCCACCACGTCCAGCCACATTACTGTTTCTTGATTTTCGACTTTGCACACTACTTGTTAACTTCCAATCATGGTAGCGGAGGAAACGCTCTCCTTCCTATACCCCCTTCTGTATCCTTGTATTCCAGTACTTTATGAAATAAATGACAACTGTTCACATTATTAGGAGGAGGTATGTAGTGTTAGGAGGGGGCATGGCTCACCTCTGAGCCATGTAGTGTTCTAGGACAACACTCTGTGATTAAACAACCCTTTTCTCCTTCTGGACTTAATGGCAGTTTCTTTTTTGCATTTGTCTGATTTTCTCTGAACCTATGTGTTCCCCCATTGCCCTAGCACCTCTGCCACACTGCAATCAACAGTATTTTTTGACTCTGAATGCTTTATTTTTTTTTCCCTAGGTGGTCCCTCTGGCCTCCTCCTCCAACGTGGACAGAGGTGCCTTAGGCTGCAGCGTGGCCCAGCTCCTGAGAGGGAGGAGGAGGTGTCTTTTGAAAGTGGCCAGCAGTTTTCTGGGTTTGGAGGTGGATGTTTCAGTTCACTGTGGGGGTGAAGTCCTTTGGTTTCATGAAGGCCTCCGGGACAGGCAGCTGTGCTCTCTTGTTGTTCCCCTCTGAGGGGCTTCACAGTTCTGGCTTGGGCGTGTTAATCAGGCATTCAGGCTGAGGCAGTCCTGAGTCCAGGGGAGATGTTGTCTGAAGGTGTGAACGGCTGAGCTCACTCCTGTGGAAACTGATGTTTTTGTCAGTGGTTGTTTTTTTGGCAGGGTGTGGGAGTTGTTGCTGAAAGTTGCTTGCAGGAGATAACGGAGTGGCTGAGGGTGGAAGGTGCATTTTCTCCATCCGTGCACAGAATCAGCACTGCTGGGTCACGCAGGGTGTAGGGATCTAGAGCACCAACGGAGCCCCGGACCTGGAGCCTGGCAGCCCCATGGGCACTGTGTCTTAGAGGTAGTGGCCCCAAGGCTCGTATTGGTGGACCTCAAGCCACAGAAGACAGGCCAGAGGAAGGATACAATGATGACTGGGACTGATTGGTTCAACAGATGTCGGGGACCCTTTTGAGGACTCCCTGAAAGACCCAGGGAATACTTCTGCAGGGCTGGGGCTGAGGGCCTGCGCTCATCAGGGGCCTCAGAATCGTTGTGACATGGGGTATCCGTGCAAAGGGATCTCACGTCTCCCCAGACTGCTGGACACTGGGTGTATGAGCATATTCCCTTCAGAATGATTCACAGCGATAGGCAGGGTATTTTTACCCCCATTGACAGCCAAAGAGTCTGAATCTCAAAGAGGCTTCAGTCCTTAAGTGGCAGAAGTGGAATGAGACCCCAGGTCAGGTGCTTTCCCACTTCCACAGAAGATAGAAGTCACGTTGCTAGAAAGTAACAGGGGAAGTAACGGTCCCATTGGACCATTTAGGGTCCTAGGAATGAAATATTTATTATGTTCAGTTCTGGGAATCGCGTTTTAAGAGAAGCAAGAACTTACTTCCTACAGGGAAATCAGGTTCGTGAAAGAGACCGGGGGTGCCTTTTCTGGCTTTTGTAACATCAGAGGGTCCTCCCCAGTCAGTGTTAGCAGCCCTGGGAAGCAGAGTTCTCTAGGGCTTCCAGACTCGACCCCAGTGTTGTCACCGGGCACCATGGTATGCTCAGTGCCATGGGCAAGCGTGGCTGTCATCTGCCCAGGGCCGTCGCCTGTGTAGCTAACGTCCTCTGTAGACAAGCACCCCTCTGTTGCAGCCTCATAAGCAAGGTGATTGTAGATGTCATGCCTGACTAGTTCACCCTTCTCAGGAAGTGAACTTCCTTTTTACTCAGTTTCACAAATATGGGGGTTCATGCAGTCTCCCCTCCCATCCCAGCCAGCTGCCCTGACAGTGGGATAAGGCGCTGACAAGCGGCCGTGTTCCCTCTGCGAACAGGGACAATGTCCCCATGAGTGCTCCCTTCCCAGCTCTGGGGCTAGAGTGTGAAAGGCAGGGTAGCGCTTTAGTGACTGGGGGGCTGTTGATCTCAGACACCAGCTGCTGTGATTCCTAGGACACTTCTTATCAGTGGGACACGAATGGGGGACTCCCACGTTCTGGTCTCTCCAGTCAGGTTGAATTTGTTGTTTTGTTTTTATTTTTGTTTTGAGACAGAGTCTGGCTCTGTCGCCCAGGCTGGAGAGCAGTGGCGTGATCTTGGCTCACTGTAACCTCTGCCTCCCAGATTCAAGCGAGTCTCCTGCCTCAGCCTTCTGAATAGCCGGGATCACAGGCACACGCCGCCACACCTGGCTAATTTTTGTATTTTTAATAGAGACGGGGTTTCACCATGTTGGCCAGGCTGGTCTTGAACTCCTGACCTCAGGTGATCCGCCTGCCTCGGCCTCCCAAAGTGCTGGGATTACAGGCGTGAGCCATTGCGCCCAGCCGAATTTGTTGTTTTTTAACAGGAAAATCCTTACTGAAGTTTCAAGATTCCCATTCTAATGATTTTTAAATCTCTATTGAATTCAATGAATTCAAATCTCTCTCTCTTTTTTTTTTTTTTTTTTTTTTTTTTTTGTGAGACAGAGTCTCGCTCTGTCGCCCAGACTGGAGTGCAATGGCATGATCTTGGCTCACTGTAACCTCTGCCTCCTGGGTTCAAGCGATTCTCCTGCCTCAGCCTCCTGAGTAGCTGGGATTATTGGCACATGCCACTACGCCTGCCTAATTTTTGTATTTTTAGTAGACACAGGGTTTCACCATGTTGGTCAGGCTGGTTTCGAACTCCTGACCACACGATCCGCCCACCTCGGCCTTTCAAAGTGCTGGGATTACAGGCGTGAGCCACCATGCCCGGCCTCTAATCTGTTTATGTTTACAGATTTGTTTTTGCCTCACTCACAGCTACTATTTGTATTTTTACTGAGCTTCTTTGGACAAGGTTAAGGAGCTTCTTTTCCTGACTTCTGTTGATTTTTGGTGCTCCGTGTTTGGAGTTCATAATTACACAACCTCAGGGGTTTTCTGGGGTTAGGGGAAAACAGCAGCTTGAAGGCTCAGGAAGTGGCTGGAGTTCTGGAAATAGAGTCCAGAACATAGACTTAGAAAACCCTGATGAACCTGTGTGACCTGGTCCTCCAAGGACTGAGCAATGTTGCCTCTCCTGGCTCTGGAAACACAGCACACGGGGGCTTCCAGAGTGAGCAGGAAGTTGCTGGCCATACCTTCCCAAGCCCCAGAGATGCATTCAGGCTATTTGAGGATTGTCATTAAGGCTTAGAGAAAATTGTTGAAGCTATTCCTGATTTGTACCAGTTAGTTTAGATTCAGCTGCAACAATCACAACTTAAGCAAGATATATAAAATTGTTTCTCATGTACATAGTTGAGGTCTATTATGTCAGCGTCCCCATTATTCAGACTCTTTCCAGTTTTCTGACTGCATTCCCTAGGCTGTGTCTCATCCTTATGGTCCAAATTGACTGCTGGAGCTCCAGCCATCACATCTGACTTCTAGGCAGCAGGACAGAGGAAAAGGAGAAGAAAGGCCTATGTTCTTCCTAGAAGAACCATACTATATTTTTGCTTACATCTCTTTGGCTAGAATTTAAAATGGCCAGTCCAAATTGAAGAGAGGCTGGGAAATTTAGTCCTTTGGCAGCAAGCAGTGTTACTCAGAATAAATTTGGGGTTTGTTACTAAGTGGGAGAAGGCGCATTGGTATTGGGTTAGGTTAAGCAGCCAGCAGTCTATCAGAGAAAGCTGGATTTAGTAGCTGTGAAATAAACAGGTTATTGGGGTTTGCAGTTCACTTAGGCTCTCTTTGTAACCCTGGGCAGGTCATTTTACTTTCTTCAGCTTCAAAATTTTCATTAAAAAAAAAAAAAAAAAAAAGGCCAGTCTTGGTGGCTCATGCCTGTAATCCCAGCACTTTGGGAGGCTGAGGCGGGCAGATCACCTGAGGTCGGGAGTTCGAGACCAGCCTGACCAACATGGAGAAACCCCATCTCTACTAAAAATACAAAATTAGCTGGTGTGGTGGCGCATGCCTGTAATCCCAGCTACTCGGGAGGCTGAGGCAGGAGAATCGCTTGAATCCAGGAGGCAGAGGTTGCAGTGAGCCGAGATCGTGTCATTGCACTCTAGCCTGGACAACAAGAGTAAAACTCCGTCTTAAAAAAAAAAAAAGCCTGTGATTAATAGCTGTGGCTGTTAAACTGTGTTCAAATAAGTCCTGGGGTTTCTTGGAGGCACCTCAAGTTTAATGGGAATAACTGGAGCTGAAATAAGAGTCCAAGCAAGGGCTTCCATGTCCCCTTCCCACCCCTTCAACCAGACCAGCTCTCTTCTCTCTGCTTTTTTACGTTACCCCAGCTCTCAGTAGCTCTAAAGCTCCATGACAGGTGAGAAACATCAGGAGCAACTGTAGAAAGTTTCTGGGTTTCGAGAGAAGCAAGTTGGACAGGTTATGTAGGTTCAGGTTTCTGTGGTTCCGGAGGTAGAGGACCATGTTTCTGTAATTGTGAAAATCTAGGGAGGTATCAGGGAAAAGCTTGGTCATCTTTCTCTAATTCCGGAGGTACTGGAACATAATTTTCTTGTCTCTGGGGGCCTTAGAATATATTCCCTGAGGTCTGGAATGAAAAGAAAATGAATGCTGAAATACGATCCAGGTTTGGTTCCCTGTTCTGCCTTTTCCTGCTTGGTATGTAATTTCTCTGAGCCTTAGTGTACTCATCTTTACAATGGGAATAGTAATGCCTACGCAGGACTACTGGGAAAATGAAATATTATCAAGTATGTAAGCTTAGTAGGCTATGAGTCAACGTTCATTTGCTTTAATGTCACCTGTTCATCAGAGGGCCTTACACCCCCAGGTGGGGTGGGTACAGTAGAGAGGCCTGGGCTTAATGATTCAGCCAATTGGTTCCTGACGCTCAAGATGAAATTGATGGCATTGGGACTCTGGAGTATCACCCTGAGCAGGTGTGCGGGCTGATCCCGTCTCATGGGGGTGTGGTGTTGTGGTGTTCTTTTCAATCTAGAGTGTTTAAGAACCAACCAAATCCTGCATCTGGGCTTTGGTTGGGAAGGTATAGTCTCTCTTAAATCTTTCCTCTTTTCCTCTTTAATGTTTTGTTTTGTTTTGTTTTCTCATCATCAATTAAATACTTTGAAGTCTTTTCCATTTTGAAACAAAAGAAAACCCTTTCCCTCTAGGCAGATGACTCTTCCTGCCTATGTCTTTTTTTTTTTTTTTTTTTTTTTTTGAGACAATGTCTCGCTCTGTCATCAGGGTGGAGGGCAGTGGCGTGATCTCAGCTCACTGCAACTTCCGCCTCCTGGGTTCAAGCAATTCTCCTGCCTCAGCCTCCCGAGTAGCTGGGACTACAGGCACATGCCACCACGCCCAGCTAATTTTTGTATTTTTAGTAGAGATGGAGTTTCACCATGTTGGCCAGGATGGTGTCGCTCTCTTGACCTCATGATCTGCCAGCCTCGGCCTCCCAAAGCGCGGGATTACAGGCGTGAGCCACCGCGCTCGGCCCTGATTTTTGTATTTTTAGTAGAGATGGGGTTTCACCACGTTTCCCAGGCTGGTCTCAAACTCCTGAGCTCAGGCAGTCTGCCCACCTCAGCTTCCCAAAGTGCTGAGATTACAGGCATGAGCCACCGCGCCTGGCCGGATGTATGTCTTTCCATTTTCTCTCTAAATTCTTGGTCTAATCCCTATTTCTGAATCACCTGTGGGCTGCCCAAGCTCTGTAATTTACATCAGCCTCAGATGTAAACATGCCCCCTTGTCTTCACACCCGAGGACACCACTCACCTACCCCATGCCACTGGGTGAGAGAGTCTGTTATTAAAGTCTCTGGAAAATTCCAAAGAATTATAGAAGAGAAAGCAAAGGAAACAAGACACCACCCGCATGCTTCTGAGGCCGTGGCCAGCTAGCCCCAGGGAGCCTCATACCAGCAGCTCCTCTTCCTGGCCACCATCTCCTGCTCAAGCCGCCTTGCTTCCTACATGAAATTTCCTACAATTATCTTAGCTTCTTTTAATCCCAAGGCCCACCCCAGAGTCCTATCTCTGAGGTCACCAGGGGCCCATGAAAGTAACTCTTTCTCTCTATGCTGGACCCTTTTGACTCACCTGTACCTTTCATGGGAAGGGAAGGGTGGGTGTTGGGGAGCCTCACCTGTGCATACCCGGGGGCCCACAAAACACCTTCCCAACCAAAGCACAGCCCAGCCTGTGATATCTACCTCAGCCACACATGGAGTTAATAGTTTCAAAGAATATTCTAGGCTTCCCTTCGGTATTAGTCCATTTTCATACTGTTAGGAAGAAATACCAGAGACTAGGTAATTTATAAAGAAAAAGTTTAATGGACTAACAGTTCTACATGGCTGGGAGGCCTCACAATCATGGTGGAAACTGAAGGAGGAGCAAAGGCATGTCTTACATGGCAGCAGGCAAGTGAGTATATGTATGGGACCTGCCCTTTATAAAACCATCAGAGCTCATGAGACTTATTCACTATCACAAGAATAGCACAGGAAAAATCTGCCCCCATGATTCAATGACCTCCCACCAGGTCCCTCCCACAACACATGGGAATTATGGGAGCTACAATTCAAGATGAGATTTGGGTGGGGACACAGCCAAACCCTATCACCTTCCTACCGGGAGCACCCGCAGAAAGCAGAAGGAGAAGATCTTTTCTAGAGCAAACTTGGGGGATTATGCTTTGTCCATTTTGTCTCTTCCTGACATTTATGTGACGTGTCTGCTGCAATGACCCTTCAGGCCACAGGTCTCTGTTGACATTCTCTCCTGCCTTGACTATTGCCACATCACAGTCTTCTATTTTTTCCTTCTACCTCTGTGGCTCTTCTTTCTGTCTCCTCCTAGGGTTCCTCTTCTGCTACCTTTTTCTTTCTTTTGTAAAAAAACTTTTATTTAAATAATTGCAGACTTGCAAGAGATCTGTCACACAACAATGTAAATTTACTCAACACTACTGAACTGTATACTAAAAAATGGCAAATTTAATGTTGTGTCTTTTTATCACAATAATAATTAGAAAAGGAGAGAATGTTATTTGAGGGCATAGTGGCACTGCAAAGCAGAGGGGAAGGAAAGAGTAGCAATAGGAGTTGAAATTCTTAGAGGAACAATAAGTTGGTTTTCAACTCTGTGTAATAAGTATTTAGTATTTAATACTCACCTCAAAATAATTTCACACTTATAGAAAAGTAAGAAAGATGCCAGACATGGTGGCTCACACCTGTAATCCCAGCACTTTGGCTAAGGCAGGTGGATCACTTGAAGTCAGGAGGATCACTTGAAGTCAGGAGTTTGAAACCAGCCTGACCAACATGATGAAACCCCATCTCCACTAAAAATACAAAAAAAATTAGCCAGGTGTGGTGGCAGGGACCTGTAATCCCAGCTACTCAGGAGGCTGAGACAGGAGGTGGAGGCTGCAGTGAGCAGAGATCACAGCACTCCACTCCAGCTTGGGCAACAGAGCAAGACTCCATCTCAAAAAAAAAAAAAAAAAAAGAAAAGTAAGAAAGAATGCTTTGAAGAATGCCAGCCTACCTATACTCAGATTCCCCAAATGTTAACAATTTATCACATTTGCTTTATTATTTTATTTTTTATTTTTAACACAGGGTCTTGCTCTGTTGCCCAAGCTGAAGTACAGTGGTGTGATCACAGCTCACTGTAGCCTTGACCTCCTAGGCCCAAGTGATCCTTGAAACTCAGCTTCCCAAATAGCTGGGACTATGGGCATGCACCACCATGCCCAGCTAATTTTTTTTTTTTTTTTAATTTTTTGTTGAGTTGGGATTTCCCTGTGTTACCCAGGCTGGTCTCAAACTCCTAGGCTCAAGCAGCCCTCTCTTGGCTTCCCAAAATGCTGGGATTAACAGGCATGAGACACTGTGCTTGGCCTGCCTTATTACTCTCTACCTATCATCTATCTGTTCATATTACCTTTTTTTCTGAATCATAGAGAATAAGTTGCAGACATAATTCTCCTTTCCTCCTAAATAGTTTCATTAGTATTACCTTAAAGAGGCATTTTGTTGGCCAGGCACAGTGACTCTTGCCTGTAATCCCAGCACTTTGGGAGGCTGAAGCGGGTGGATCACCTGAGGTCAGGAGTTCGAGATCAGCTTGGCCAACATGGTGAAACCCCGTCTCTACTAAAAATAGATATGTGTACTAAAAAGAGATACGTGTACTTCCATGGTCATTGCAGCATTATTCACAATACCTGAGATATGGAATCAACCTAAGTGTTCATCAGTGGATGAATGGATAGGAAAAATGTGGTACATATTCACATTACACACATTCACATACACAAAAAAAACCCAAAAAATTAGCTGGGCGTGATGGTGCATTCCTGTAATCCCAGCTACTTGGGAGGCTGAGGCAAGAGAGTCACTTGAACCCTGGAGGTGGAGGTTGCAGTGAGTCGAGATCACACCACTGCACTCCAGCCTGGGCAACAAGAACAAAGAAGCTCTGTCTCAAAAAAAAAAAAAAAAAAAAGGCGTTCTCTTACACAGTGCAATGATCAAAATTAGAAAAATAACAGTGATATAGTACTATTGTCTAATGTGTAAACTTTATTTCAAATTTTGCTAATTGTCACAAAGGAATTGTGTAGCAAAACAACCTCTTTTTTCTGGTCCAGAATCGAATCTAGAATCATACATTGAATTATTTAGCTATCATGTTTGTGTTTTAGTCTCCTATGATCCAGAATAGTTCTTCAGTCTTTCTTTTCTATGACCTTGGTATTTTTGAAGAGCACAGGCCAGTTATTTTGTATATATGTCCTTCAGTATGGTTTTGTCTGATGTTCCCTCATGATTAGACATATATAATCATTTAGAGTATACATTTTTGGCAGGAATACTACAGAAGTGATGTTGTATCCTTCTCAGTACAGCCTATCAGGAGGCATACAATGTCTACCCGTCCCATTACTCCTGATAACTTTGATCACTCAGGGGAGGTAGTGTCTACCAGGCTTCGCCACTGTAAAGTTACTTATTTCTATGTAACTAGTAAGTGTCATGTATGGGAGACACTTTGAGATTATGTCAATTTCTGTCTGTCTCTTAGCTGATGTTTCCAGACTGCCTTCTGCTCTTCTCATTCTACAGAGTTCATGGGTTTGCTGATGTCTCTCAGACTTTCTCACTGGCCAAGATGGCTTTGGAGACACACAGCCCCCTCACAGGATGTCCTGTAACCACCTCAAACTCAACACTGTCCTTCCTGTCTGAACCTTGTCTCCCATCCCCCATGCCACAAACCTGCCCCTCCTCCCCTATTTCCCTGGTGACAGTTCACAGCACCACCTCGCTCCAGGTCATCCATCAGCCTAGACTCCTGGCATCGCTACAGTCTCCTCCCTTCCCCTTGCAGGGCATGCACAATCAACGACCAAGTCCCATTGGTCTTAGGCTCCCAGTATTTTGTATTACTCCCGTGGTTCGGGCCATTATCTTCTCAGTCTTGGTATCCCGTCACAGTCTTCTCTGTTCTTCCTGCTCAGGATCTTGCCTTCCCTCTCATTCATTCTCCATCGTGATAGCAAAGTGAGTTTCCTAAAGCGTAGATCCCATTGTGAAGAGAAGAATAGGTGGAGTGGGTGCTGCTTAGAACCCCAGT
This sequence comes from Homo sapiens, assembly GCF_000001405.40. Taxonomy (NCBI): domain Eukaryota; kingdom Metazoa; phylum Chordata; class Mammalia; order Primates; family Hominidae; genus Homo; species Homo sapiens. The sequence continues at coordinate 140,215,077 of NC_000007.14, read as the reverse complement.
GGCCTCCCACTGTCCTCAGATGCCAACCAACTCCTCCTTTCAGGTGAAGCCTTGCTCACTTCTCCCACTGCCCCAATTATGTTGACTTTTGCAGTTTCCTATTTTTAGTTGCCTTCTCTCCTTGAGTTTTCATGCATGAAATCTGGAGCACCCCCAACCATTTACCAGCTCTTGCTGCTGTTTTTGGATTCAGCTTAGATTTCACATCAGTCTTCATGCAGACATTCCCTGTCCCATGGGCGTGAGTTAGATGCCCTTCCCAGGTGTTCCCCTGGTACTTGTTCCAACCCTGCTGTGACCCTTTTCACATTTTGAAATGGATTATGTTTATTCTAATGCCTCCACTTTGGCTATGAGCTCCTCTAGGCCAGGAACAATGTTTTGTCCATTCCTTGTTGGGAAACTTCAACTCTCACATTATCTGGCTCCAAAACACACACTCCACAAACATTTGTTGAATGAATAAGTGGTCAGGTGGGTGGAGAGGGTGAGTGCAGGCAGGACTGTGGTATAGCTGTGGGTTTTTGTTGAACTAGGGAAAGTTACCAAGACTCTGCTGACTCAGACTTGGGTTCTGGGGACAGGTTTGCCGGTGTTTGGAGGCCAGCTGTTACAGGCCAAGGGCATCCAGGAGGAACACCAGCAAAGAGATCAAAAGAATGAAGGCAGGCCCTCGTCAGATATTCAAGGTGCTTTTGACCTAGAAGGGCTGGAACTCCAAAGGAACAGGTTTCCAAGGCCCAGGTGATTCAGATAGGGTTGGGCACCAAGGCTCAGGAAGGGGAACTACCAGATAAGAAGGCAGTCAGCAAGGCTTCTGCCCAGGTGGCCAACCACATGGCTGAAACCCTCCATTGACTTGGCAGCCAGTCCAGCCTACAGTTTCCTAGGGAACTGATGGCCAAGCAATCTGTAGCGCAACTTGGCATGGAGCCTGGGACATTTTATGAGGGCCAGATGGTTGGACTCTGTGCATTGTCAGTGTTGCAGGGTGGGCAGCTGAGGGTCTCAGAGGTAGGACTCAACACTAGGACAGGGAGTGTCTGAAGGCTGGAAACTCACATAGGTGAGAAGGACAAGAACGGAGAGTTGGAAGTCAGGAGAGCATAGAACCACAGCTTGGTGAGAGGTCCAGAGCCAGGTGTTGTTGGTTCTAAGAGTCAAGATAAGAAAGTGAGTTAAAAAGAGACTAGGAGTGACCACATAGTTAGAATCTGGGTCAAGACTATTATTCACGCCTTGAGAGCAGAAATCTGGTCTCTTTTTCTCTGCTGTCTCTGTGCTGCCGAAATCACTGCCTGGAAGAAAATAAGAGTCAGGTCAGACTGAGTCAGGAATCTCAAGGGGTTACTTGAAGGTCAGGGCTTGATCATGGAAGAATGAGCTCTTTCCACCCAAGGAGGTAGACATAGTTCCAATGAGAAAACTGACCATACATTTTTAAAGTTTATTTATTTATTTATTTGTTCATTTATTTATTTCTGAGACAGAGTCTTGCTCTGTTGCCCAGGCTGGAGTGCAGTGGCACAATCTTGGCTCACTGCAACCTCCGCCTCCCAGATTCACACTATTCTCCTGCCTCAGCCTCCCGAGTAGCTGGGACTACAGGCACCCACCAACATGCCCACAACATGCTAATTTTTGTATTTTTAGTAGAGACGGGGTTTCACCATATTGGTCAGGCTGGTCTTGAACTCCTGATCTCGTGATCCACCCGCCTTGGCTTCCCAAAGTGTTGGGATTACAGGCGTGAGCCACCGCGCCCAGCCTATTTATTTTTAAGACAGGGTCTCATTCTGTCACTCAGGCTGGAGTGCAATGGTATGATCATGGCTTACTGCAGCCTTGACCTCCTGGGCTTAGGTGATTCTCCTGCCTCAGCCTCCCAGTAGCTGGACCACAAGCGCATGCCACCATGTCCAGCTAATTTTTTGTAGAGATGGGGTTTTGCCATGTTGCCCAGGCTGGTCTCAAACTCCTGGGCTCAAGAGATCCACCTGCCTTGGCCTCCCAAAGTGTTGGTATTACAGGCGTAAGCCTGGGATTACAGATTGTGCCCGGCCTTTTTAGTTTACTTGCTAGGATTAATACCTAAGTGGAACATTGATGGTAGAACAAAACAAAACACAAGGAAAAAACATTGAAATAATCCTGGTACTAGGGATAAGGTAATCTTTGCTAAGGGCTAGATTCCCCAGCACCTTGGACACCCTAGCCCAGGTGTGAGAAGGCGGGGCAGCTTGTTGGGTGTGTTCCATTGCTAAACTGACCTGGAGCAGGGAGGAGGCTTCAGGGTGGGAAGCCGAGGGACCGGAAATGAACCTCTAGAACTGACTTGCCCTGAGAAGGCAAGAAGTGACAGAAACAAAACCTAATCAACAGATATTTTCTGTCTCGATCTTACTCAGCAGATACTTAGATTGAAGTAGTTCAGAGCATGCACACGGGCAGGCTGAGTTATGTAGCAGGGAGGGGAAACCATTTGTCATACGTAGTTGTAGATGAGTGCAAAATGCTCCATGGGTTGGATTTTTTCCTGGTGGCAGCTAGAACTAGGATGTAGGCACACCTGGGCAGTGATTGGAGGGGCTGTCGGACAAGGAGAAAGTCCTGGACTGCTCATAGTCCGCAACCTGGACTAGAAGTTCAGGCAGTAAACTCCAGCCACCAGCAACAGGAGCTCTGGGCTCTGAGGCTCCTGGTGGCTTTAGGCAGGAAGCCTGTTACACATGGGGCCTGGGGCCAGCCCTGTGTCTATGTTTAGGGAGCAGGGAGAGGACTAGGGTGGAGGCAGGCATGTGAAGGCAAGGGAATGGCCACGGAGGTGGCTCAGGCGTGTCATTTCCTCTAGTCTCATCAATGACTCTACATGATCCAAGGCTTCCCATCATCATCATCATCACCATCATCATCACCATCATCCAAGTGCCATGTATGAATCACTTCCTATTTGTTCAATTACCTCACTCACAAAACTCTGTAAGTCAGGAATTATTATTATTCCCAGAAGGGGAAACTGAAGCTCAGTGAGGTTAAGCGACTTGCCAAAGGTCATACACCTAAGAAGTGGTAGAGCCACACTCTGGATCGAGGACTAATGGATCCCAAACTCTAGTAGCAGCTTAGAGGGTTAGGAGCACAGACTGTGGAAACAGACGCGCTACTTGCATGGCTGTGGACAACTCTGTGACTCAGTTTTCTCACCTGTGAAATGGGGATGATGGTGATAAGAGAGCTACCTTATAGGGCAGTACTGAGGATCAAGTGAGCAACTGTAAAATATAACTCCAGGAGGAGGGTTGCTTAATTTAGCAAATCAAATACAGGATGCCCAGGTAAATCTGAATTTCAGTTAAACAATGGATAATATTTGAATTTATTTATTTATTTATTTATTTTTGAGATGGAGTTTTGCTCTGTCACCCAGGCTGGAGTGCAGTGGTGCGATCTCAGCTCACTGCAACCTCTGCCCACTGGGTTCAAGCAATTCTCCTGCCTCAGCCTCCCTAGTAGCTGGGATCACAGGCATGTGCTACCGTGCCTGGCTAATTTTTATATTTTTAGTAGAAACAGGGTTTTGCCATGTTGGCCAGGATGGTCTTGAACTCTTGGCCTCAGGTGATCTGCTCACCTTGGCTTCCCAAAGTGCTGGGATTACAGGTGTGAGCCACTGCGCCCTGCCTATTTTATTTCTTTTTTAGACAGAGTCTCACTCTGTTGCCCAGGCTGGAGTGTGATGGTGCAATCACGGCTCACTGCAGCCTCGATCTCCTGGGCTCAAACGATTCTCCCACCTCAGTGTCCTGAGTAGCTGGGACTACCAGCATGTGCCACCATGCCCACCTAATTTTTGTATTTTTTGTAGAGTTAGGGTCTCACCATGTTACCCAGGCTGGTCTCAAACTCCTGGACTCAACCGATCCTCCTGCCTCGGTCCTCCCAAAGTGTTGGAATTTCACGCATGAGCCACCATGCTCAGTCAGATGTTTTAGAAAAAAGTCTTGCACTGTTTGGGGCATACCTATGGTAAATATTGTTTACGGATTAGCTGAAATTCAAATTGAACTGAGCATCTTTTCTTTTATGTGGCAACCACGCTGAGGGGGCTTCTCGAGGCAGCCTCGACCCATGCGCCTGGCTCGGGTGCAGGGTCTAGTGAGGCCCATTTCCTCATTATCATCTCTGCCTCCAGGCTTCTGTTCCTGCAGTTTCATGCCCCGCTACCCCATGCCCTCTCCTGGCCTCTGGAGCCTTTCCTCACTTCTGGCCTCCTTTTCGTGATCTTCGGCGGTCTTCATGGTGAGTTCTTCCCTGACGGACTGCGCCTTGAGACTGGCTCACGTAATTTAGTCCCTAATTATACAGGTCAGGTCCATTTGCTGTTTTTTTCAGGTGAGTTACTCTACTCTCCCTAACTAGGCTCTAGTGCCTTTCAGGCAGGGACTGTGTCCGCTGGGACCTGAGCGTGGATCGGTTTCAATAAATCCCTGCTGCTTGAATGGTTGTAGAAATGGAACCGTTCCTCTTCCAGGAACTGGCTAATGAGAGAGCCACTTTGGTTTTCTTCGTATGCTGTTGTGCTGCCGGAGTAAACCAGCAAAGGCTCGGCATCTGCAGGTCGCTTGCAGTCAGCCTCCTGTTGCCCAGCCCACAGCCTGTTTCACTTCTCTTTCTCACATAGCAGGGCGGCTTGGGCTGCAGCTTGTTTTTTCTCAGCCAAGAAAGTAGCACCCAGAGTGAAAGGGAGTGCACCTCGCTTCAACTACAGTAAGGAACTGACAACTGGCACAGAGACCCTTAGAATAGAACAGGAGGAGGGACAGTGACAGGCACCTTTGTCACACCTCATCTCAGGTGGCATTGCAGCTGTGCTGAGCAGCAGGGCCTGCCTGGCTCCTCTGCCTTGTCCCCTGGCCAGGTTGAGCCCTTGGATGGATACACTGACCTCTGATACTCTTTCCTTCCTGCTCTTGTCCTGTCCCTTGCCTTGGCCAGGCGAGGGCCCGTGCAGAGCCACAGCTCCAGGTTGCCTTCGCCCGCACCTGTGCCGCTTTGCTGAAGCCTAACGTCTCAAGCTAGTAAGACACTCTCTGAGACCCACTGTGCTAAAGGTTCTGGGTCAGCAGTTGGTGGGGATTCTGAGTGCTCCGTGGCCCTCAGCTCCTCATTTTCAGCAATCTAGAAAGACGAGGAATCCCAAGCCAGGATGACGCTCCTCTGCAGCCCCGTTTATTATGCCGGCATCCCTGTGCCAGCTAGGACGTTAGATATGGGCATTACAGGTGTAACTGGTAATCCTGTCTGGGGAGGCCCTGATTTTATCAAGAGCAAGTGCATTGTGGGGGATACATACAGTTGGAAGAGCAAGTCTTTCCCTCAACACCTTTATCATCTAACGTGAAACAAGTGCTTGCTTTGACAGCACATACACTAAAAAATTGGAATGATACAGAGAAGATTAGCATGGCCCCTGTGCAAGGATGACATGCAAATTCATGAAGCATTCCATTAAAAAATTAAAATAATGTGAAACAAAATGAAAACAGAACCACTGATCCTTTGTTATGTAAATAACCCATCCTTAGTACTGGGTTCTGTGGGTGCTCCTTCCCCCAGCTGCTGGAGACATGGGTGGCTGATGGCTGCTCTTAGTTGAGTCCCTTTCCAGGAATTGCCCTCCTTGTTCAAGGTCACCCCTTTCCCCCAGGGCAGCCCATGTTAAGGACTGGTCAATGCCCAGGTGTGGTCCCCTAGCTCCAATTCAGGGCAGCTCTGAAGGGCCATCCCAGCTCCAGAGCTCCCTGTGGGATCCTGGGATCGACTGAGGCTCCTCCCTCTGCCCCACCTGTTCCCTTCACTCCCCATCAGTGACAGATCCTGGGGCCATGCTCTGCATCCAGTCTCATCTCAGAATCTGTTTCCTCTGGGAACTCAAGAAATCTATTTGTCCCTAAATCTGGGGATGCTAGTGCAGAGGATCAATGCTTCTGGAAGTCCACGCAGTGTTCACATGGAGAAAGAAGTGAATCTGGCGGTAAAAGAGTCTGACTTCTTTTCCCACCCTCTCTGCACTGGCTCCCTGCTTCTGGAACCAGGGAGCCCACTCAGAGGGCCTGCAGCTTTGACCCCGCCTATCTGCTCATCCCCCTTCCACCCGTACTTGGCATTTCCACACCACCTCATGTCCCTTCACATCCTTCCTTGTCCTAACTAATCTCTAAGCTGTGACCTTTTGTCAGTCCCATAAAAGTCACTGGGTAGATACCATCTTCAAGAAGAGATAAAAAGAGGCCAGGTGCCATGGCTTATACCTGTAATCCCAGCACTTTGGGAGGCCAAGGTGGGAGGACTACCTGAGCTCAGGAGTTCAAGACCATCCTGGGCAATATAGTGAGACCCTGTCTCCACTAAAAGTTAAAAAAATTAGCTGAGTGTGGTGGCTCACACCTGTGGTCCCAGCTACTCAGGAGGCAGAGGTGGGAGGATCACTTGAACCCAGGAGGTTGAGGCTGCAGTAAGCTGTGATTGTGACACTGTGCTCTAGCCTGGGTGAGACAGTGAGACCCTGTCTCAAAAACAAAAACAAGGCCACATAAGGTGGCTCACGCCTGTAATCCCAGCACTCTGGGAGGCTGAGGAAGGCAGATCACCTGAGGTCAGGAGTTTGACATCAGCCTGGCCAACGTGAGAAAACCCCATCCCTACTAAAAATACAGAAAATTAGCTGGGTGTGGTGGTGCACACCTGTAATCCCAGCTACTTGGGAGGTATGAGAATCTTGAACCTAGGAGGCGGAGTTTGCAGTAAGCTGAGATCGTGCCACTGCACTCCAGCTTGGGTGACACAGCGAGACTCTGTCTCAAAAACAAAAACAAAACAACAACAACAAAAGAGATAAAAATAAAAGAACGTCTGGAAGAAAAATGACACTGAAACTCTGTATTGAATCTTGGTAGTGATCCCCGATTAAGATGCTGTGGGAGTTAATTACAAGCAAATAAACTCTTTAAAGTTAAACATGAAGTTCCCTAAGGAGTTCTGGATGTAAGAACCATTGTCCTTAATAAGAATGACTTGTAGGTCCAACGTAGGGAACTCACTGAAGGTGATCAGGATAATTCTTAGTTATTCTAATGGCATAATTCCATTTTGTTGGGCAAATAGTAGGCATGCAACATATACTGAGAGAGGAAATGGGTGGGTGAAGCTGAACATTTCTGTCAGATGTTTCTTAATGAATAACACAGATGATATCAGCTAATTTTGAGATTGTAAAGTTATTCCTACCATGTTCGGGTGAGACTTTTGCAAGCAGTGGCTCCTAATCACTTCCAAGTCCCCTAGGTCCTACAGAATATGAAAAATAAAGGTATCTTTGGAAGATGTATGTTAGCTCAAATGTGTCCTGAAAGTTCCTGACCCTCCCAGTAATTAGTTTCTTCTCCCTTTGGAAGGGCACTGTCCCTGAGCACCCTCCTCTCTAAAGGTCGAGTATGGCTCAGTCCACTCGCCTCTCTACAAGCCTCTGTCCACCCAGTGAACTCCACCAGGGCAGGGACCACGTGTCTTTATGTCCCTGACCACGGGGCCTGGCACCCTGGAGGTACCTCATAAATACTTATTGAGTGACCAAATAAATTAGATGGCATGGGAATAATGGTGATTAATTTTAATTTGGATAAAACGACATTCTTCCAAAATTCTTGAAAGTGATCAAAATGAAACAGAAAGGCAGGCATCTATGCCAGTGGCAGCACACAGAACAAAACTGATTAGACAAGTGGAAAAAAAGATGTTTTCGGTGAATCTGGGTTCATTTTATTCTCATCTTCTTTTCTGGAAACTGGGGCTTTCTGTATCTTTTTGACAGAGTGGAGGGCACTGAGTACAAAGAGCATAATGACTTTCTTTGTTTTACCGTAAGGCTGACTTCTCCCCCCAGCTTTTAGATTTTGCCTGATTCTCATAAATAGGCAAAAACTGACAGCTTAGATTCCCTCAACATCTTAGCTGTAGCTCCATTTACAAGAATTCAAAATGTATAACAGTAAGTCAACAGTAAACTCAACTGATTGATTTAGAGTTAATGCTTAGGTAAGACAGGTTTTTACATTCATTATATAACATCTTCTATGAGCAAGTTATATACCTTTTAATGCTTCCAAATATCAAAGTAATTTCAAAAGGGCATTCATGTATATTTCACATTTAATATATTTTAATTCCCCATGTTTCTCACTTCCCTTTTTTCCCCCCAGAAACGTCTGTTTCATCATGGCTTCAACTTTTTGTAACAATCGAAAACCCTGGCCCTCATAATTTATTTAAATAAAATCAAATATGCAAAGAAAAAGTTCTGGAAAAGAAAATAATAATAGCTAACATTTACTAACATTATTGAGATTTACTGGGTACCAGAGATATTCTAAACATTTCACTCCTTTCTTTTTTTTTTCTTTTTTTTGAGATGGAGTCTCGCTCTGTCTCGCAGTAGTACAATCTTGGCTCACTCACTGCAACCTCCACCTCACAGGTTCAAGTGATCCTTCTGCCTCAGCCTTCCGAATAGCTGGGACTGCAGGTGCATACCACCACACCCGGCTAACTTTTTGTATTTTTATTAGAGACGGGGTTTCACCATGTTGGCCAGGCTGGTCTCAAACTCCTGACCTCAAGTGATCTGCCAACCTTGGCCTCCCAAAGTGCTGGGATTACAGACGTGAGCCACTGCATCCGGCCATAACTCCTTACCTCATTGAATCTTCACAACAACTTCCTGAGGTAGATGCTATTAAATTCAGCCCCACCTTGCAGGTGAGGCTCTTGCCCAAGGTCATGCTGGTATTAGGTGGTGGAGCTGGGATGAGAACTCTAGTCTGTAACACGGAGCCTGTGCACTTAAATACACCAGGGTCCTACCTGCCTCCCATGAGATAAGAGGGGGACAGGAGTTCTTGCTTTATCTCTGTTACTAAGAACTCAGATCTTATTATTGCCTGTAAGATTTTCTCCTGTGTTTGGCTGAGCCTGTTTGATCTGAGGCTGCTTGGCTGTGTTCATCCTCTGTGTTCAATGTAAAAGAAGAATCTGCTGCTTTCTCTTCTCTCTTTCTTTCTTTCTCTCTTCTGTATTTTGTTGCTATATATTTTTAGGCTTTTTTATTGGATTCTCATCAAAAGAATATTTCTTTTACTTCTGCTTGGTAGACACTTGAACTTCCTTCCATCCCCGACCCTCCCCCACTACTCAGAGAGCGCCACCAAAAGCAATCGAGAGGTCAGAGGTCAATGGCAGGAATGAAAAGACACCAGCTTGGTCACCTAAACAATAGTTGTAGGTCAGATAATTGAAAACTGAAAGGATAATAAAAACTTCTGCATCTGTGAACCAATTAATTAGGCCCCTGTATCCCTGTGGAATGCGTGCCAAACATCTCAGATTTGGTGTGGGCAGAGCTGACAAAATGCTTTGCTAAGGTAAAACCACCACAGAAAGGCAGAGCTTTCCAGAAAAAGACTTGGCATCTCGGAGACCTTCTATTATCCTATTCATGTATCTCATTCACTATTCCAACAAATATTCATGGTCTGCCTGCTGTGAGCAGGGCACAAGGAGGAGGGAGTGAAAGGCATTTTACCTATGAAGTCAGGGGACTCTAAAGATGGCCCTTTCTCCACTGGAGTAAATGGAGCATGACCTTAGCGAGGCTGGGTGCACCCTGTCACCTGTTCTCCCTCTTTCCATCAGCCATTCAAACCCGACTCGCTCAGCGTGCAATCAGACACCCTCTCTACCTGCCTTTCCTGGACAAAGAGTAAATTTTGTTCTGGAAAGAGAGGCGTTGTGCCCTGCCAACTTAGGGCAACCCACATGCCAAAAGTTAATGAGGTTTGGGCTCTGTATTTAGACTTTGGTTGTCCAAACTCCTTAAGTAACCTCCTGCAGAGGGGTTTCCTTATTAAGCAGCTGTCTCTACCTGCTAAACAGCCATTTGTTTCCTGCCTAAGAGTTAAGGGGACTTTCAGCATTCCTGTGCATGATACCTGACTCTTTAGCACCAATTCACTGGTATTCATTCAACAGTGTTTACTGAGTAAATAATAATAATAAATATATTCATATGTGTATTCATAAGAAGAGCAATGTACTTATAAAGAGAGGAAGATCATACAGCAGAAGATGGAAGGTTATGTGTGAACTGTTTTTTTCTTTGTATTTCTCTGTAGTTAAAAAGTTTTCTGTGCCAGATTAATTTTAAAATTAGAAATAAAAATGTTATTTTATTTTATTTTTTGAGACAGGTTCTTGCTCTGTCACCCAGGCTGGAGTGTAGTAATGTGATCCTGGCTCAATGAAGCCTCAAACTCCTGGGCTCAGGTGATCCTCCTGCCTCAGCCTCCCAAGTAGCTGGGACTGTAGGTGTGCACCACCACACCCAGCTAAAATGCTATTTTATAGTATTATTGATCACTTAGATGAACAAAGCATGTTTCATAGTATTATGTATAGATATACTTCTGCTTCTAGCCATAACTGAGAAGCAGGGACCAGATTTTCCCTCCCACCTAAAACGATTTAAAAACCAGATAAAATATATGAAAGAACTGTTTTCAGACATTGTACAACAGGCAATGCAGGACCATGAAAACTGAAAAAATGGAAACATATGAGGGGAAGCATGCAATCTCCAGGGATTACTACCTGGAGAGAGTTTTTGGTTCTTAGTACAGGGAGGAGGAACCCAAATAGAGCCCACTGGTGTCCTTGAGTTGAGGAAGAATACTTCAGGGTTTGGGAAAGCCAAGGTGGCTGGAATTTGCAGGGTGGAGTAATGGAGAGGAGAAAATGTCATGCACACACACATATAGAGAAAGAGAAAGAAAACTGAAGATCTGTAGAGGGCTCCTCATGAGTTCTTCATCTGAGTATTAATCGGTGATTGTTTATGAGGAAACAACCAGGGGCTGGGAAAAGAATTACTCAAAAAGAACAGCAGGAACAACCACCACAGCCCACATAGCGCTGGGAATAGTTTCTGCTCTTGCCAACCAGAGTAGAAATACAGGCCTCTGAGTAGAGTTCTCAAAAAGGTATTATCTCAGCACAGGGACCAAGTCAGGTCCAGCTGAGATAACAGCTGCCCTGAACCCCTTGAACAAAGCTTCAAATCCAGCCTAGAAAAGATCAAACTCTTTCTGAGTAATTTAATTGCATCTCATAGCAAAGTGCAAAAATATTTAAAGAAACACAAAAACTCCAGCACCCAAGAAGGTAAAACTGACAGTGTCTAGCATCCAGGCAAAAATTACCAGGTAAGTGAAAAAGCAGGAAAAGATGGCCCATAATGAGGAGAAAAATCAATCAATAGAAACAGACTCAGAAATGACACAGATGATATAATTTGTAGACAAGAATATTAAAACAGCTATTATACTCCCAGTGTTCAAGACCATAGAGAAGAATATGAGCTTGATAAAGATAAACATGGAAGCTATAAAAATGACCCAAATTGAATTTTCAGAGATGAAAAACATGACGTCTGGGATGAAATGATTATGTAGGAATAGAAAAATTAATTAGGATTTTCTGTCCTTAAGGGCCAAAAACAATACAGTAGCACAGACAGACACATTACCTGCCGAGACCAGCTCAGTCAGGGAGACCCTAACCCAGCAGTGCTAGAGGAATTAAAGACACACACACAGAAAGACAGAGGTGTGAAGTGGGAAATCAGGGGTCTCACAGCCTTCAGAGCTGAAAGCCCCGAACAGAGATTTACCCACATATTTATTAACAGCAAGCCAGTCATTAGCATTGTTTCTATAGATATTAAATTAACTATAAGTATCCCTTATGAGAAACAAAGAGATGGGCCCAATTAAAGGAATAGGTTGGGCTAGTTAACTGCAGCAGGAGCATTTCCTTAAGGCACAGATTGCCCATGCTATTGTTTGTGGCTTAAGAATGCCTTTAAGGGGTTTTCCCGCCCTGGTGGGGCCGGGTGTTCCTTGCCCTCATTCCCGTAAACCCACAACCTTCCAGCGTGGGCGTTAGGGCCATTATGAACATGTTACAGTGCTGCAGAGATTTTGTTTATGGCCAGTTTTGGGGCCAGTTTATGGCCAGATTTTGGGGGGCCTGCTCCCAACAATTACCCATAATAATAAGCATAAGAAGAGAAGCACTAGGAAAGAAGCCTCACTAACTCTTCCAGCTAAAGAGAAGTTAAATAGGGCTTCACGGAGAAGCTAGCATTTGAGTTTGACCTTAAGGGCTTTCAATCAACAGAGATGGGGAGCAGTGTGGGCATTTCCTATGGACAGATTCACATAGGCAAAGCACAGAAAGGGAGAAACCCAGAGCAAGTCAATTGGACTAGTAGGTGAAGAGATTCATGTCTGGCAGCAGTGGGAGAGCAGGTTGAAAAATAATGCTAGCCACCATTTATTGAGCAATTACAATATGCCAGGCATTGCTCTAACTGCTTTATCTACATATGCTTGCCTATCCTCAGCAATGTTATTGTTCAGCCTCATTTTGCAGCTAAGGAAACTGAGGCCCAGAGAAGTTAGATAATTTGCTCAAAAACACACTACTAGAGAGTGCAGTCTGGCTCTAGAGTTCAAGCCCAAGCTCTTAGGCACTATATTCTGCTTCCAATGCTGCTGATCAAATAGGTGTGAGCCGGATTTATTTATAATTTTTTGTTGTTTTTGTTGTTGTCGCTGCTTCTGCTGGGGGAGATTGAATACTAGGCTTAGGAAGTAAATTTTATTCTGGGAGGATGGGGTCCCACTGAAGTGTCATGGGTAGGGCACAGCAGATCTGTGAGGTGCTTTGGGAGAGTTCTTTGAGCCCAATTGGAGGAGGGAAAGGCTTAAATTCGGGAAACAATGCTGGGGGGTGGGGACTGCAAGAATCCAGGTGAAAGGCAGGGAAGGCCAGAGCTAGAGGAGTGCAAGGGATGGGAGAAAGGGGATGGATGATAAAGCAATTTTAAAGAAAGAATTCATCTTCTGCATATGACTGGGATGAGGGTGTTGCCCAGGTCAGCAAGGCCTACATAAGAGTCAGAAAAGACGGAAGGTTGATGCCCTGTGACTAGAAGACGAGAGATGCTTGCCACGGGATTAAGGAAGTGGAGCAGCCTCAGTTAGGGGCAAAGATGAAGACTCTGAGGCTGGCAGGAAGAGTTTGAGGGGCTGAGAGCAAAGCTCTGGGGGCAGTGGGAATGGAGCTGGGAAGTGGGGGATTTGGGCGTCATCAGCAGCACCAAGTAGAGGCTTTGAGGGTAGAGGAGGAGGTCTTCAGTGTTGAGAAAGCGGAAATAAAAAGGAATCGGGAAAGATGCAACAAAGGGGAAGACAATGCAGTGAAAGGGCCGAGCAGACATTAGCTGGTGGAATTACAAGGGAAACCAGGGGTGCCTCCTCACGTGAAGAAGAATTCTCAAAGAGAATGAATGGGTTGCTGTCGCTGTCCAGTGCTGCAGAGAGGAAGCTGAAGGAAGCCAGGCACAAGGCCCCAGGAGGCCATTGGTGCCATTTGGGGAGCCATCTCAGTGATGTCCCTAGCGGTAAAGGATTAGAGAGTGAAGGAGAATGAGAAAACTGGAAGCACCAAAATTCCTCCAGGGAAGAAATGGGGAGGCTAGGTCTGTTCCTTTAGGAGTAATAGGCTCAGAGACAGCTTATTTAGAATTTATTTAGTTTTGGTTGTCATTTTCTCCAGGGCAAACATTTATCTAGCTGTTACTGCCATTGGACACTCTGCTGGGCAATGCACCGGGAATCCTGAGCTTGTAGGAAGAGGCAGACAGGAGTCTGGCCAGAATCATTGGTTCACGCCTGTCATCCCAGCATGTTGGGAGGCAGAGACGGGAGGATCACTTGAGGCCAGGAGTTCAAGACCACCCTGGGCGACATAGCCAGACCCCTGTCTCTAAAAAAAAAAAAGTTTTTTTTTTTTTTTTTTTGAGACAGAGTCTCACTCTGTCACCCAGGCTGGAGTGCAATGGCACCATCATGGCTCACTGCAACTTCTACCTCCTGCGTTCAAGCAATTATCATGCCTCAGCCTCCTGAGTAGCTGAGATTACGGGTGTCTGCCACCATGCCCGGCTAATTTTTGTATTTCTGGTAGAGATGGGGTTTCACCATATTGGCCAGGCTGGTCTCGAACTCCTGACCTCCAGTGAACTGCCCACCTCAGCCTCCCAAAGTGTTGGGATTATAAGCGTGAGCCATTGCACCCGGCCAAAATTGGTTTTTTAATTAGCAGGGCATGGTGGTGCATGCCTGTAGTCCTCAGCCTGGGCAACAGAGCAAGACCCTGTCTCAAAAAAAAAAAAAAAAAAAAAAGGAGTTCATGGGGAGCAGGAGATAAAAGGAACACAAGCAAGGAAAAGGGATATGAGATAGAGAGGGAGGGAGTTGTAAAATCACAGGTAGAGGGTTAGGCTCTTGCTTCTGAGAACAGAAAAGACAAGACTGCAGGACAAGGCGCTCAGAGTGGATGAGGAAGGGCCTCCATTGGTCCTATGGGCTGTGAGGGTCTCTAGGAAGCCTTTCCCGCCTGCTGGCCTCACCCTAGGACTGTTGATGGAGTCCTAAGCACTGCTCGCTGGATGTATGGCTGTGCTCTGCGTGAATGAATGACGTCACCCATTCAGCGCAGCCTGCTCCACACGTGATGTTTGTTGTTCTCGGGAGAGAGGGCGGTATCCAGCCCTAAGGTCTTCCAGGGTGCAAGGAAAAGGCATGTCTGGGGCTGGAAAGAACTTGTCATTGCAAAATTTTCCTTGGGACGTGGAATTAAAAACTTTTGTCACTGACAAGGGTTTGCTCCTAATTTTCCAGAATGACTCAAATGTTTGCTTCAGACAATGACAGAGTGTATCTTGCTTGAATCATTGGATTTCTGTTATTTTTGTAGGATGTGGGTGGGCAATATGACTCAGTATTTTTTCCAAGAGATGTGAAAATTATATTGCCTATTTTGGATCATTTCATACTGAGACCTGGAACATTTTTCTCAAATTTTAAATCTTGGAGCTTAGGGAATTTTTGTTTTTGTTTTGTCTTTCAATCATATCAGATATTTTCCAGATAAAATTTTAAAGGAAAATTACTTAGCAATAGCTCCAAGTTATGAAGTATATTTTGAATGATAATTTATTTTTACATTGTTAAAATAAAAGATGTGTTAAAGCTGGTGGTGTGTTTGCCATCCTAACAGTGAAAATATTAGAGAACGTGGGATAAGGTGGAGACTCGAAAGTCATCTAATTCAAAACTTTATCTGGTGTGTGAATGAATATCCTCATTCTAGTTTTCCAGCTTAAATCTGCCTCCCTGCAGCTTCCAAACCTGGGTTCCAGTCCTGACCCTTATTCTATGTGAACCCCTATGGAATAATTCTGTAGCTGAATGATCATTTTTGAGATACAGCTGTATTTTCCTTTTTGATAAGTCAGCAAGGATTCTTTTCCAGCAGTTTTTTTGGGTTGTTTTTGTGTTTGTTTGCTATTAGTGCTAGGACAAGAGACTGGGGCTTAATGTCTCTGAGAAGGACAGGGCACATAGGAAAAAGAAAGATGAGGCCAGATATGGTGTCTCACACCTGTAATCCCGGCACTTTGGAAGGCTGAGGTGGGTGGAGCACTTGAGGTTAGGAGTTGGACACCAGCCTAGGCAAAATGGCAAAACCCCATCTCTATTATTAATATAAACACAAAAAATCAGTCGGGCATGGTGGCACAGGCCTGTAGTCCCAGCTACTCAGGAGACTGAGGCATGAGAATCACTTGAACCCAGTAGATGGAGGCTGCAGTGAGCCGAGATCGCACCACTGCACTCCAGCCTGGGTGACAGAGTGAGACTCCACTTCAAAAAAAAAAAAGATGAGCCTAAGGGTATAATTCTTTTCTGATAGGTTTTAGTTGATAATGGTATTGTGGTCATGTTTAGAAAATAGTTCTTATCAGGCCAGGCACAGTGACTCACACCTGTCATCTCAGCAGTTTGGGAGGCCGAGGCAGGTTGGTCACTTGAGGTCAGGAGTTCGAGAACAGCCTGGCCAACATGGTGAAACCCTGTCTCTACTAAAAATACAAAAGTAGCTGGGTGTGGTGGCGCACACCTGTAATCCCAGCTACTCATGAGGCTGAAGCAAGAGAAACGCTTGAACTCAGGAGGCAGAGGCTGAAGTGAGCCAAGATCGCACCGCTGCACTCTAGCCTAGGCGACAGAGCGAGACTCTATTTCAAAAAAAGAAAAAAAGAAAAAGAAAAAAAGAAAGACGAGCCCAAGGGTGTAATTCTTTTCCAATAAGAAGCCTGGAAGAGAAAATGCAAGGTCCTTGCTCTGTACGTTTATTGGTTTATTGAGCCTGCCAGAGTGAGCATAGAGAAGCCACCCACCCCACTTTTCCCCCAACCCTTGGGTTCAACCCCAGGTAGGAGTCATTGAGGGGCAGTGGAAACAGCCAGAGAGTTCTAGAGCAGAGGCAGAGGTACCACCAAGCTAATGAAGCTTAGGTTTCAGGGCCTCTCACTTGCTGGGGCTTCTTCCAGTGTTCTAGGAGGGGTCCCAGCAACGAGGTTACATAATCTCATTTAAAAGGCAGCTTAACCGCCATTGGCTAAGATGGCCCTCTCCTTCCAGTCTGACTCACTCTCCATCACATTTATCCTCCTCTTAGCACTGAACAAGTGACCATAGGCACTGTGGGCATCCAGCTAAGGAAATTCGAGTTGGGTTTCATTTTGTTTGGGTTTTGTGGAATGTATTTATATAGATTGTTGTTAAATCTGTGTATAGTTATGTTATGGCTAGCTGTCCTGGAGCAGGAATGACTATGAGGCAGTGGTACACTAGTAAATGTTTCACAACCAGATCTATAGTGTTTGCTAATTTCCATGGTGTAAGTACTTCCACTGTGGCCTATTCCAAGCTGTCCGTGGCCACTGAATATGAAGTTGGGAAGAGCAGCACACCAGGGTATATAGTATTTCACAACATGAATCCCATAGAATGTAAATAACCCCAAAAGCACAGTGACAGTAAAATGTAGTGAAATAACTGGGAAGAGATGAGTTTTGAGTATTTGTTATCTTCATTTTTAGTATTATTTAATTTTAAGTTTACAAAATTTAATTAATAATGGCTATGTTTAACAACTGCCTCCCAAAATTTCTGAAAAGCTAACAATGGGCCCTCATGAGCTAGAACGAGCCAACTCTGGCACACCTCTGTAAGCCAGGACCCCTCCTGCCCACTGTGGGATTCACCCATGACATGAAAGTGGAGGGCAAGAGTTTGTAATTAGAGCTAGTAATGAGTCATTAGAAATGAAGTATGTGAACAATGAAGCAGGAGCAAGTTTTTAAATGTACAGAGCCAGAAGCTCACCTGTGGGAAGTCCTTTCAAGCATCAGGTATGGACATGTGTACACAGAGGGTTTGATTCTCGTCGGTGCCTAATCAAATGGAAGTTCTTGCCCATCAAGATTTTGCTTGATAATTAATTCTGATGTATAGAATTACAAATGCCCTATACATTAAACCATTTTTCTAATTCCAGCGCAGATTATTTTTTAAATTTTGTCAGTGGTGTCTTAGTTATCACTATGGTTTGGATGATCGTCCCCTCCAAACGTCATGTTGAAATTTGACTGCCAGTGTTGGAGGTGGAGCCTGTTTGGAGGGGTTTAGGTTACTGGGGCGGATCCCTCAGGAATAGATTAACGCCCTCTCTGGATGGGGGAGTGAGTGAGTTCTTGCTCTATTAGTACCTACAAGAGCTGGTTGTTTAAAAAGAGCCTGGCACCTCCCCACCCACTCTTTCCGGCTTCCTCTCTCAGTATGTGATCTCTGCACACGACGGCTCACCTTCACCTTCTGCCATGAGTGGAAGCAGCACGAGGCATGCTTCTTGCACAGCCTGTAGAACCGTGAGCCAAAGAAACCTCTTTTCTTTCTAAATTACCCAGCCTTAGTTATTCCTCTGTAGCAACACAAATGGACTAAGACAGTTATCTATTGCTGCATTACAAATTACTCCAAAGTTTAGTGGTTTGAAACCACAAATATTTATTATCTCACAGTTTCCTTGGGTCAGGAGTCTGGGCATGGCTTAGCTGAGTCTTCCAGCTCAGGGGCTCTTGCAAGGCTGCAGTCACATGTTTGCTGGGACTGTCATTGGCTTGACGTGGGGAGTGGGGTTCTTATCCAAGCTCACTCGTGGTTGTTGGCAGGATTCAGTTCCTCACGGGTTGTTGGACTGAGGGCCTCGGTTCCTCACTGGCTGTTGGCAGGAGTCCTTCGTTTCCTTGCCATGTGGGCCTCTCCACAGGACATCTCACAGTGTGGCTGCCAGCTTCTATCAAAGTAAGAAAGCAAAAGAGGAAGAGAGAAAAAGCAAGATGGAAGCCACAGTCTTTTTGTAACCTAAACTCTTGCCAACTTGTTCAGAATAAAACCACAGTCCTTAAAAAGGCCAAAAAGCCTGCATGACCTGCCCCATCCCCTTCCCTGTCTGACGTCATCCCTTGTAATACTTCCCTTGGGTTTCTCCATTCCAGCCACTCTGGCCTCTTTGCTGTTCCTGGAACTCACCAGGCACACTCCTGCCCCAGGACCCTTGCACTTGCTATTCTGTCTGCAATACTCCCTCCAGATATCCATGTGGCCACTCCTTCATCACTTTCTTACCTTTAATCATTTAGTCACTTTCTTGATGATGCCTTCCCTGGTCACCCAGTTTTTAACTAGAACATGTCATTCCCCCACCCTGGGCACTCCTTTGACCCTTTCCCCAACTGAAATATCTTTAGGACTTAACCACCTAGGATGTCAACTTTCTGAGCTAGGATGAGAGTTCCATGAGAACTGTTTTTTGTTTTGTTTTGTTTTGTTTGTTAAACTTTATGGCTACACCCCCAGCTCCTAGAAGAGGGCCTAGGATGTGGTAGTGATTAATTCCTTTGATTTGCCAACTTAGCAACCAGGAGATCATGAAAGAAAGTCAAGTTCATCCCATCATACTGTGTTCTACTAATCCCTCTCTCTCTTACTTCCTTTCTTGCTCAACTTAGTTTTAGTTTTAGAAAGAATGTGTGCACACAGGAAAATTAAAATGATGCAGAAAGGTATAACACGCAAAAGAAACCTCACACTCCCCTCCCCAAATTCTTCCCTGAGTCTCACTTCCCAGAAGTTTCTGTTTTCGAGATTTCCTGTTTTAATTTTTTTGGTGGTTATTACAGAACCTGAAATTTGCGTATACCTTTCTTTCTTGATTTATCAATGCAGAATGTGTCTATTAATTCCCTGCTATGAAAATGAAGAATTTAGGCCAGGTGTGGTGGCTCACGCCTGTAATCCCCACACTGAGAGGCCAAGGAGGAGGATCACTTGAGCTCAGGAGTTGAAGATCAGCCTGGGTAATATGGCAAAACTTCAACTCTAAAAAAAAAAAGAAAGAAAGAAAAAGAGAAAAAGAAAAAGAAAAATTAGTCTGGTGGCCAGGCACAGTGGCTCACACCTGTAATCCCAACACTTTGGGAGGCCAAGGCAGGCGGATCACCTGAGGTCAGGAGTTGGAGACCATCCTGGCCAACATGGTGAAACCCCATCTCTACTAAAAATACGAAAATCAGTCAGGCGTGGTGGTGTGCACCTGTAATCTCAGCTACCCAGGAGGCTGAGGCAGGAGAATCACTGGAACCTGGGGGGCAGAGGCTACAGTGAGCCGAGATTGCACCACTGCACTCCAGCCTGGGCAACAGAGCAAGACTCCATCTAAAAAAAGAAAAAAAAAATTAGTCTGGCATGTTGGTGCATGCCTGTGGTCCTAGTTACTTGGGAGGCTGAGGTGGGAGGATTGCTTGAGCCAGGGAGGCAGAGGTTGCAGTGAGCTGAGATCATGCTACCGCACTCCAGTCTGGACAACAGAGTGAGACCCTGTCAAAAGAAAGAAAGAGAGAAAGAGAGAGGGAAGGAAGGAAGGAAGGAAGGAAGGAAGGAAGGAAGGAAGGAAGGAAGGAAGGAAGGAAGGAAGGAAATTTAATGCATCTATAATCACCCATTTTCCCTAATCAGTTTTTATTAGATATATTATTTTGGTTCTTCTTTAGTTTCTATGGTATATTTTACAACTTCAAATAAAATACTAAGATCTTTATTTCTCAGTTTATCAAATTCTGGCAGTTCCTATTAACTCTCTCCTACGGTAGATGAAGCAGTTTGCATACTTTTCTTTCTTTTCCCTTTCACCTCCCATTTCTTTATTAGACTTTTTTTTTTTTACATTATCAAGGTTTATAATATTTACATTCTGTTCTGTAACCATAATTATACTTTTCTGTGATTTGACTATAGATTGATTCTAAGAATAAAAATAATCTTAAAAGCTATTACAATATTATAATTATTTAAATATTATTCACCATTAAACCAATAATGACTGGTTCTACAGAGAAAAATGTAATCCAATGTCATTAAAACTTAGAAGTGTAAAGAAAAATCACTTAAACATTAATACCTAAATAGCTCCCATTTTCCTCTTATCTTTCTTTATTTCTAGGTCATTTTCAGGTACCACTGCTTCTGGTATTTCATGCCACATTCTTTCTTGGAGTCCTTATTCATTTTTCTGGAAACTGCCGAAATAATTTTTCAGGTAAATTTTCTAAATCCTTACAAGTCCAAAAATTTCTCTCTTTACCCCCTTGCCTTGATGGATAGTTTGTCTGAGTATAGAATTCTAGCTTCAAAGTCTTTGCTTCTCAGAACTTGGAAGCAGGGCTGCCTTCATTGGCATGAGAGCTATGCACTCCAGGAAAGAATGTGGCATGAAATACAACAGGCATTGGTGGCTGAGAATCACCTAAAAATAAAGGGGTAAAAGAAAATAAGTGGCCCCATTCTTAGAAGGGCCCCATGTTTGGTTTAATGCGCTGTTGTTATCATTTTGAACTACTTAATAATTTTTGAACAAGGGGCCCCACATGTTCATTTTCATGGAGCCCTACAACTTATAAAGTAGCCCTGTTTATTATTATTATTATTTTAAAAAATATTATTATTATTTTTTTGAGACAGAGTCTCGCTCTGTTGCCCAGGCTGGAGTGCGGTGGCACAATCTCGGTTTACTGCAAACTGTGCCTCCCAGGTTCAAGTGATCCTCCCTGCTTCAGCACCCCTAGTAGCTAGGATTACAGGCAGGCACCACCATGCCTGGCTAATTTTTTTTTTTTTTTTTTTTTTTTTTTTAGTAGAGATGGGGTTTTGCCATGTTGGCCCGGCTGGTCTCAAACTCCTGACCTCAGGTGATCCACCTGCCTCGGCCTCCCAAAGTGCTGGGATTATAGGCGTGAGCCACCTGTTTCAAACACGGCCTAAAGTAGCCCTATTTGAAAGATATTCAAGCATCTAGCTATGTAAAGGTCTGAAATAGGTAATATGCTTTCTCCTGGAAACTTTTGATATGCATACATGTAGATATTTTTATCATTAGGATTCTGAATTTTCACTATGATGTCCCTAGCTATGGGGCTTATTACACTGTTCTTAGCATTCAGTGAGCCCTTTTACTCTGAAACTATTCATTTCATTCTTAAGCTTAGGTATATTTTCCCCCTAATCTTTCTTTGATGTTTTAGTCCCCTTCTCTGTTTTCTTTCCTTGTAGAATTAAAAGATAAATGTTGGACTTCCTTCATCTTTTATTGTCTCAATTTTTCTCTCATATCTTCCATTTCCTTGCCTTTTTGAATTATATTCTGGAAGATGTCCTTGGTTTTATTTTCCAAATCACCAATTTGGTCTTTAGCTTTGTTTATTCATTATTCAGCTCATTCGCTTTTTAAAAAATAAATTTGGCAGTCATATTGTTTAGGTTCCTCAGACTTTATGGGGAATGATCAAGTCTTCTTTTTCATAACAGCTGGTTCTTGTTGTTTGAAATCTATGCTTAAGTTTCTCTGAGGCTGTTCATTAGAATTAACAAAAAACAAAACAAAACAAAACAAAACAAAACAAAACAATTACTTCTCTTACTTTCCTGGATCATGTTTCTTCCAGGGTGAGCTACTTCTTATTGTGTCTGTTTTTCAGGCTGGTCCTTTTTTATACTGCTGATTTTCCTCACATGTCTTTTTTTGTACTTTTGTGTTTATGATGTAAGTTTCTGCTTATTAGTATGTAGCTGGGTTGGGCTTTTGCTGCAGTTTGTCAACATGATTCTTCCCTGAATGGGAGCTCTGACTGTGGGATTTAGGAAAGTGGGTGAAGAGCATTTACAGGCATTTTTCTAGTGTACTGCCTGGGCAGCTGGCCAGCAGGTTGGGGAACTCCTCAATTATCAAAGTAAAAAGGGATTTATTCTGGGAGAATAGAACCTTAGTCTATTTCTATCCTTGTCTTTTACTCCTCCTTTCTTCTCTTCCTTCTTCATCTACTTGGTATCTGTCATGGAGCCCTGGAGTTACCTTAAGCCCTGCTGTATTTCTCCTCCAGCTCTCAGCACCCTTAGGAGCCCCCCTCAGACACGTTACCCACTTTCTGTAGAGAGCAGTTCTAGCCTCCGCCTAGACCAGTGTTTTCAGTGTGATCCCAGACCAGTGGCATCAGCACAACCTGGGAACTTGGCAATGTGAATTCTCTGCCTCTCCGGCCCCTCCTGGAACTCTTGGGGTGGGGCTTAACAATCTGGGTTTGAATAAGCCCAGGAACAAGATCAGTGGCTTGAGAACTGGCCCTGGACAGAGCCCACTGCAGCTATAGAAGCTCTGTTTCCAAGGCACAGAGGGGAAGCACATTTGTTGTGGGTGGTTCTAGAAGAGCTATTTAGTGAGCTACCCTGGTGCTTGCCCTGTGGCTCACCATTTGCCTTTAAGTGCATTGGCCGGAGCTTGATGTTTCTCTGAGGCTTTCTTTTCTTTTCTTTTCTTTTTTTGAGACAGGGCCTCATTCTGTTGCCCAGGCTGGAGTGCAGTGGCATGAACACGGCTCGCTGCAGCCTCGACCTCCCAGGCTAAAGCGATCCTCCTGCCTCAGCCTCCCAGGTAGCTGGGACCACAGGCACACTTCGCCACGTCCAGCTAATTTTTTAATTTTTTGTAGAGACAGGCATCTCGCTATGTTCCCCTGGCTTGTCTTGAACTCCTGGGCTCAAGTGATCCTCCCACCTCAGCCTCCCAAAGTGCTGGGATTACAGGTGTGAGCCACTGAGCCCAGCCCTCTGAGGCTTTCTTGAGAAGACTCACAATTACTTTTGGTGTAGTTTCTCTTTCTTTTTTTTTAATCACTTAAATTCCATCTGCTTTTTAAAAAATAGCAATTTAGCCATAATAATAGAAGGATATAATTAATAAATTCAATAGTACGAAATGACTTATAATGAAAAAAGCAGTCTCTGCTTGCACACTGCACCCTTGCCTAGCCTCCCCACCCCGCTGCCACCCAGACTGACTCCCCAGTGGCACCTACTTTGAACTCCTTTAGCCACTTTCTTGTTATTTAACTCCGTATTTCTTGATGAACTATTTATGTGGCTCTTTCTCAATGTCTCAGTCTTGGACATTACCTACTGACTTCCAGTGATTGTTATTGAAGATTTCACTCTTTCATGCCCTCTTTTTCCATCCTTCTCGGTATAGTTATATTACATTTTTTTTTGTGGTTTAAATTAATAGCCAGATTTTAAATGGGATTCACTAACAGAACCCAGAGTGTGCTGTGATTGTTTCCTTTCTCTTACAACTTTAATTTTTCCTAAAGTTAAAATTAGCTTTTTAAAATTTGCTTATTTTTTTCTAAGGGCTTCTTCATTAATATTCCCCCAAATGCTCCTATATATCTGTCATACTGTTATTAGTTATTTTTTCTAATGTTAAAAAGACTATTTCAAACAATTTATCAGTATCATCATCATCATTATTTTGAGATGGAGTTTTGCTCTGTCGCTCAGGTTGGAGTACAGTGGCGTGATCATGGCTCACTGTAGCCTTGAACTCCTGGGCTCAAGCAGTCCTTCCGCCTCGGCTTCTAAAACACTGGGATTACAGACATGAGCCACCACACTCTGCCTGTTTCATTATTTTTTTAATCCCTGGAGACCCTCCTTTTGGAGCCTTCTGTCCTCTCCAATCTGAGAGATTATTCTCTAGGTCTCTGCTCAGCTCTCATCCTGGGGTTTCTTTTTACCATACTCCCATGTTTCATGGATCTTTGCAGGAAGTATTTAAGCAGCTCAGCATAAAATCACCCTTCCTAGAATTGTACTACTAATTCCTGACCTTCTGTCCTAATCTCTGTGAGTAGGTCATTGTTTTCATATGTACAAGACAATTTATACCTAGTACCTAACTTTGTTCTTTTCTTTAATTAAAAAAACAGCTGTACTGAGGTATAATTGATACACAATAAACTGCATGGAATGAGTTGGACAAGGTAATGAGTTTGGACATATGCATATTCCCATGAAACCATCACCACAATCAGGGTAATAGACATATCTATCACCTCCAAAACTTTCCTTGTGTCCATTTGTCCTTGTGTCTTCTTGCCCAGGAAAGGTCATCCTACCCTAACTTCTAGCCCCATGATGGGGACTCTCATTCCTGCTCACAGACTTCCTTGATCCCAGTGGGCACCTCAGATTCTTCTTGAATTTATTGTCCCTTGGATTCCACATCACTGTGCCCTCTTCAGCATATAGAGGAAAAATAGACTGTGAAGTCACCCAGACCTGAGGTCAAATCTCACCCGCTCCGCTTTCTAGCTGAATAACCTTAGGCAAATGAAGTCTTGTTTTCCACATTAGAGAAACCAGGGATCATAATACCACTTGCATGAAGATTGTTGTAAGGATTAAATGAGGCAATATATACTAAGCAGCTTGGAGAGTTCCTGGCACAGAATACTAGCTCTATTTTCCATTCTCTATTATATTGTCCCTGGTCCCATTGCCAACACAGCTTTTTCTGCATTGTCATCTGGTTTTACCATTTCCTTTGGACAATGGTTTTTTTTTTGTTGTTTGTTTGTTTTTTCCCCCTTTTTGTGACAGACTTACCCTTCTCCATGCATCTGCCCCTGGGTCTGACTCTCCAGCCCCACCTGCCTCCACTTCTCCCATACTTTGATACTTCCCTTTGGCCTCATTCAGCAAATTGGTCTAATTTTTTTCTTTTTGAGACAGAGTCTTGCTCTGTCACCCAGGCTGGAGTGCAGTGGCGTGACCTCGGCTCACTGCAACTTCCATGTCCCAAGTTGAAGTGATTCTCCTGCCTCAGCCTCCCTAGTAGCTGGGATTACAGGCGTTTACCACCACACTTGGCTAATTTTTGTATTTTTAGTAGAGACGGGGTTTCACCATGTTGGCCAAACTGGTCTTGAACTCCTGACCTCAGGTGATCCACCTGCCTTGCCCTCCCAAAGTGCTGGGATTACAGGTGTGAGTCACTGTGCCCGGCCTTGTCTAATTTCAAATAGAGAACTTTTCTAGTCTGCCTAATCCTGCTACAAATAAATGGGTCAAATCAATACTCAGTCACATGTCCATCTTTTTTGGTACAGAGTATTTTCTAGCTCAAAGACGTCCAATGATAAGAGAGATGAAAACAAAATAGAAATGGAGCAATTTTGCTTTGTCATCTGTCAGTATCACACCATCTGCCCCAAGCATCATGCCTACACCTCTCTTGTTCTTTCTTCTCTTTCTAAATATAGATTAAAGAGTCCTTTTAGTTGTCCTTAACTTATTTTGGCAAGGCCCAGCTCATCCTAGGCTTTCATCTTCCTGACACCTTTTCTACAAGTCTGTGCTGCCATTCTGCATTTGTTCTTGATAGAATGTCCCTTTCTCTAAGTCCTCTGAAACTCTTGGCTCTTCAGAGCTCCCTGTGTACCTCATGCTTAACCCTTTGCTGTTTTACTAATCACTTTCTTTTTTTTTTTTTTTTTTTTTTTTTTGAGACGCAGTCTTGCTCTGCCGCCCAGGCTGGACTGCAGCCGTGCGATCTTGGCTCACTGCAAGCTGCGCCTCCCGGGTTCACGCCATTCTCCTGCCTCAGTCTCCCGAGTAGCTGAGACTACAGGTGTCCGCCACCGAGTCTGGCTAACTTTTTTTTTTTTTTTGTATTTTTAGTAGAGACGGGGTTTCACCGTGTTAGCCAGGATGGTCTCCATCTCCCGACCTCGTGATCCGCCCTCCTCGGCCTCCCAAAAGTGCTGCGTGCGGTGGCTCACGCCTGTAATCTCCATCTCAAAAAAAAAAAAAAAGCAAGAATGATTTTTGCCTTTTGTTTTCTTTTTCCTTTCTTCCTTCCTTCCTTCCCCTCCCCTCCCTCTGTCCCTTCCCCTTTCTTTCTTTCCTTCCTTCCTTTTTATCTTTCTTTCTCTTTTGCTTTCTTGCTCTTTTCTTTCTTTCTTTCGCTTCCTCGCTTTTTCTTTCTTTCTTTCGCTTTCTTGCTTCTTTCTTCCCTTCCCTTCCCCTCCCCTCCCCTCCCTTCCCTTCCCTTCCCTTTCTTTCCTTTCTCCTTTTCTTTCGTGTGTGTGTGTGTGTGTGTGTGTGTGTGTGTGTGTGTGTGTGTTTGAGACAGAGTCTCACTCTGTCGCCCAGGCTGGAGTGCAGTGGTGCAAACTCGGCTCACTGCAACCTCCACCTCCCCCACCCCGCCCGGTTAATTTTTGTATTTTTAGTAGAGATGAGGTTTCACCGTGTTGGCCAGGCTGGTCTTGGATTCCTGAATTCAAGTGATCTGCCATGCCTTTCATTTTCTCCATGACATCCTGTCTTGGAGACATCAGTGTCTTACCTGAAACAGACTTCCATAAAATCCTATGAATCCAGCTTATCTTTGTTACTACATGATAAAGTTGTCCTTTTCAATACACGCGTTAAAATATCTTTAAACCTATTCTTCCTCAAACATATGGCAATATAAACTTCTTTCTCATAACTACTCCTGAATAATAGGGCTGACTATATATTAATGATGATTTTTAAGTACTTAAGCAAAAGATAGTTGGGAATTCTGAACTCTATCTCCTACATTATGAAGAAATATATTAATATTTAGTGGTATTTTGCAGCTTTTGTGCAAATTAGAAAATAAAGTTAAAACTTTGAATTCCTTTTGGTTTAATTTCTTAATTAGAACCTATAAAGGAATAAATCTGTGAGGCAATAAAATGAAGAGATAGGACTCACAATTTAATTAAATCTATAGATTTATTAGGCCATAAATTAGTTATCCATGGGTAAAAAGCTTTGTAAGACACATATGAGGATTTTAAAGACAATGCGCAATATCTGAAGTTATTACATATATATTTAGTGTTGCAATTTTCAAGTCACAAAAGAATTACTTGGCTGGGCACAGTGGCTTATGGGTGTAATCCCAGCAATTTTTGAGGCTGAGGCAGGAGGATCGCTTGAGGCTGGTAGTTTAAGACCAGCCTGGGCAACACAGGGAGACCCTCGTCTCTACAAAAAAATATAAAATAAAAAAAAAATAGCTGAGCATGGTGGTGCGAGCCTGTAGTTCCAGCTACTCTGGAGGCTGAGGTGGGGGGATTGCACCACTGCACTCCAGCCTGAGCAACAGAGCAAGACCTTGTCTCTAAAATAAAAAAAAAAAAAAGAAAAGAAAAAAAGAATTATTCATCATTTGGATTCCATTTGAAAGAGATTCTTTGAATTTTAAAAATATTGGCCGGGAGCAGTGGCTGATGCCTGTAATCCTAGCACTTTGGGAGGCTGAGGCAGGTGGATCACCTGAGGTCAAGAGTTCGAGACCTGCCTGGCCAACATAGCAAAACCCCGTCTCTACTAGAAATACAAAAATTTGCCAGTTGTGGTGCTACATGCCTGTAATCCCAGCTACTTGGGAGGCTGAGGCAGGAGAATCACTTGAACCCAGAAGGTGGAGGTTGCAGTGAGCCGAGATTGTGTCACTACACTCTAGCCTGGGTGTTACTGTAAGACTCTGTCTCAAAAAAAAAAATTGTTTATTGATCATAAGGAGTGACTATTGATTACCATCAATCAGAAACAGGGATGAATTACCCCCAAAATAAGAATGGAAAAAAATTTATAAGAACATGCCCAGAATTTTCCATTACAGTGTTTATCAACTTTTTCTTTATACTTATAATATTGCTAAACAGACTGCCTTCAGTGCTTAATAAATGTCTGTGGTTGTTGATATAGTAGGGTTTTTTCCACTGTCTCTCATTCAATCTCCTTTGAAGACACAGATCTCAACCTTATTTATTGATAAGTACTACCTTGGTGATTTTGTTCGCCTCTTATAATGTGAAAAACCAAACACCTAACATTAAATAAATCCATAGAAAAATCTACTTGAGTTGGGAGTAACATTTTCTTATGTTTCTTGAAAGGTAAAATTTTTCATATTTCATAAATGGGGATGATGAAGGACACAGAATTTCTTTCAATGTTTCATCCTTTAGGACGTCCTTTAGGACGAAACACACTCTGATTAGCCCCAGTCTGGGTTAGGTGTCCCTCCTCCATGCAGCTGCAGCTCTTTGTGTTTTTCTCCACCACGGTACTGAGTATATTAGGTTGCAATTTCATATTTAATTGTCTATCTCTTTTACAGAATGGGAGCCCTTGGAGGACAGAGAATGTGTCTTTGATCCCCGTGTGCTTAGCAACTATCATATGTTTATAGTGGACAATAATGACAAATGAATGGATGGATGAATGCATTTTACTTTTAAATTTAGCCAACCCCTCAGGCTAATAACAGATACACACACACACACACACACACAGAGAGAGAGAGAGAGAGAGAGAGAGAGACATAATTTTCTAGATTTAATCATTATTAAACAATATGTTATTTACCCCACCAGGAGTATTTTTTTGTTTTTTTGAGATGGAGTCTTGATCTGTCACCCAGGCTGGAGTGCAGTGGCGGGATCTCGGCTCACTGCAACCTCCGTCTCTCAGGTTCAGTGATTCTCCTGCCTCAGCCTCCTGAGTAGCTGGGATTACAGGTGCGTGCCACCACACCCAGCTAATTCTTGTATTTTTAGTAGAGATGGGGTTTCACCATGTTGGTCAGGCTGGTCTTGAACTCCTGACCTCGTGATCTGCTCACCTTGGCCTCCCAAAGTGTTGGGATTACAGATGTGAGCCACCACGCCCGGCCTCCCACCAGGAATATCTTCCCAAACTACACTAAAGCATCACAGAATTCAAAATGGGAAACCACGACTAGGGCCCACATAACTATTTTTGAGTAACTGGGTTGGCATTTGAAACCCAGGGACTTTGTAGATAATGTATGGAACAGGGTTTTGATAGACCAAGGCAATATATAAATTCAAAGCATTTATGACCATGGGACAGCTTTAAGCGCTAGATCCCTGATAGGTAAAACTCAAAAAAAATTTGCATAGGTTTTATTTTTAGAACAGTTTTACATTTACAGAAAAGAACATAGCACAGAGACTGCAATGCACGTACCCAGTTGCCCCTATTACTGGTATCTTACATTAGTCCGATATATTAATGTTTGTTATAATTAATAAACTGATATTGATACATGTTCATAACTAACGCTCATAATTTATTCAGATTCTCTTAGTTGTAACCTAATGTCCATTCTTTTTCCAGGATCCCAACTAGGACACCACATCACACTTGTCATGGCTCCTTAGGTTCTTCTTGGCTGTGACAATTTCTCAGATTTGTCTTGTTTTTCATGACCTTGATAGTTTGAGGAATACTGATTGGATATTTTGTAGAAATGTCCCTCTATGGAAATTTGTCCAGAGTTTTTTTCGTGGATAGACAGAGGTAAATGTGCAACTTTTTATAGGAAGACAGTGGTTCTCAAATTTTTTCTCCTTCCACACTGATCACAAGTGTAGCGTACTCCCATGAGTAACATGTCTCATTAGATTAGGGAGAGAGGGATGAGAGCACAGCCCTCAGAGGATTTAGGAGACTCTGTGTATGTATATATTAGTCTAAAAAAGTACCCTCTCCATCTCCATTTAGAAGAACCAGCTAGACGCAGTGGCTCACACTTGTAATCCCAGCACTTTGGGCGGCTGAGGCAGGTGGATCACTTGAAGTTAGGAGTTCAAGACCAGCCTGGCCAACATGGTGAAACCGCATCTCTACTAAAAATACAAAAATTAGCCGGGCGTGGTGGCGGGTGCCTGTAATCCCAGCTACTAGGGAGGCTGAGGCAGGAGAATCGCTTGAATCTGGGAGGTGGAGGTTGCAGTGAGCCGAGATTGCGCCACTGCACTACAGCCTGGGCGACAGAGAATCTGTTTCAAAAAAAAAAAAAAATTACATTCTTATTTCATGATCCATTTGGGTTATAAAACTCAACAAAATAGTGGCCCCATAACATTTTGATCTCTGGAAGATGTGCAACTTTAGAAGATGTTATAACAAGAAAATAAACTATTGAGGTATTCAAAATAGGAAATAATCAATTATGAAAATATGATTTATTAAACTTCCAGCCAGACTCAAGAAAAAGTCTATATTCTTAAACTTTTTATTATGAAAAATATCAAATAGTACAATAAACATCCACAGACATATAATTATCTAGATTTAACAATTGTGAATATTATTGTGTTTGCTTCATTCATCTTTCTCCTCACCCTCTTCTTTTTTTTTGCTGCATCTTTTAAAGCAAGTGTGACATCATTTAAAAGCTTCAGCACGAGTCTTCTAAAAATGACATTCTTCTATAAACCATGATAATGTATCATGCCAAAGAAAATTAGTGTTTCCCTAATTTCACCTAACATCCAGATTATATTAAAATTTCAAAATTATCCCTCAAACTGTCTTTTATAGCTGATATTTTAGAATCAGGATCCATCAAGCTTCATGAATTGTATTATTTAGTTATGTTTCTTAAGACTTTGATCTAGAAAAATGTTCCTCCCTCTTGCCCTCTCTCTTTCTTCCTTGTTTTTGTTTTGTTTTGTTTTGTTTTGTTTTGTTTTTCTGAGACAGGGTCTTGCTCTGTTGCCCAGGCTGGAGTGCAGTGGCACGTGATCTTGGCTCACTGCAACCTCCTCCTCCTGGGTTCAAGTGACTCTCCTGCCTCAGCCTCCCGAGTTGCTGGGACTACAGGCATGCACCACCACACCTGGCTAATTTTTGTATTTTTAGTAGAGACTGGGTTTCAACATGTTAGCCAGGCTGGTCTCCATCTCCTGACCTTGTGATCCACCTGCCTTGGCCTCCCAAAGTGCTGGGATTACAGGCGTGAGCCACCACGCTGGCCATCTCATTCCAGCTTTGACTTCCCAGGCTTGATCCGCCTGCCTCTGCCTCCTGAGTAGCTGGGACGACAGGTGCGTGCCACCACGCCTGGCTAATTTTTATTTTTTGTAGAGATGGGGTTTCGCCATGTTGCCCAGGTTACACTCTTTGTTTTAAAAATGGCAACTTTTAAAATAAACTAAGCTAGTGGTTTTGTGAAATGTTTCATATTTTGGATTAGTCTTATTTCCTTGTGGTATCATACAACTTGTTGCTGCTCTATCTCCTGAATTTCCTGTCAGCTGGAAATTAAGTCTTAAGGTTTAATTATATTCAGGTTAAACATTTTTGGCAAGGATACTTCCTAAGTGATACTATGTACTTTATACTGTATCCTTTGTAATGCCTGGCTACATTGTGATTCACTGTCCTTACTAATGTCATTTATCTGCTTTGCTTTCCTTTATACTTTTTCACCACTTTTATTAACATTTGCGCTTTGAATGTGTTCAACATGACAGTCCTCCTTTAATAACATCTTAACCTCGGGCTGTCAGTTTAGAATTTTCCCAGCTCCTGGGGTAGAAGCAAAGATAATCAGGCTGTGAACAAAGCTGCTGAGCTCTGTGTGTTGGGTCCTGCTTCCCCGACTAGACTCCACTCTTCTTCCTCCCAGCACCATGATATACTCTTTCAAGACCTACTCTCCATAGGCAATCTTTTCCACTCAGACATTATCCTTTTCCCTCCAGCTCAGTAAAATTAAAATTTCTCTGTCCTCCTACCACAACTTTAGCCAGGCTAGTTAATTTGTGTAGTTAATCCCTGTTTCGTTAATCTGATGAACAGGTTACAGGGAGGATCAAGTGCTATGTAAGAACAAATCACTCTCATTTAATGCATGTCAATGGTTTAACGTAGCATTCCCAAGATATATTCCCAAAATATGTTTGTTTTCTTTCTTTCTTTCTTTCTTTCTTTTTTTTTTTTTTTTTGAGACGGATTCTCGCTCTGTCGCCCAGGCTGGAGTGCAATGGCACGATCTCGGCTCACTGCAACCACTGCTTCCCAGGTTCAGGTGATTCTTCTGCCTCAGACTCCTGAGTAACTGGGATTGCAGGCACCTGCCATCGTGCCCGGCTAATTTTTGTATTTTTTTAGAGATGAGGTTTCACCATGTTGGCCAGGCTGGTCTGGAACTCCTGACCTCAGGTGATCCGTTCACCTTGGCCTCCCAAAATGCTGGGATTAAGGCGTGAGCCACTGTGCCTGGCCAGTACGTTTGTTTTCTAAGGAAGAGAATAGCAGACGTGGTTGTGGAGATAGAGCAGTATCATTAGTAGTAGGAAGGAGAATTGTTAGTTTGGAGCAAACATTCCTTGTCAGAGAAATGAGGTTAAATGAACAAGTGAAGTGTTAAAAACAAACACAACACCCTAGATTTGATGTGAAAATTAAGAGAGATCTGCGAGTATTGGAGAAACCACAAAGGAGAAAGGGAGAGGGAGTCCCACGGTCATTGTCAACTGATGCTGGCATGGAGCTGGGTGTCTTTCTTCAAGATATTTTTCCTTTTGAAATTCTATCCCCCGCTTGTTTTTGAGACAATATTCTCCTAGTCTTCTGTCCTAACTCTTCAGCTGCTCTTCATAATAGAGCTGTCCTCTCTATTATTATTAATGAACAAGTAGCAAAATAATTATTCATAATTGCAGTTAGTAGCTATATGGCTTATCATATGCTAAGAATTGTGCAAAGTATGTTATTTTAGTGTACCCAGCCCTGGGAAGCAGATATGCTTACCATTCCCATTAAAATGAGAAAACTAAAATCCAAGTGTTAATAAGTTGTCACAGAGGTAGTAGGTTGTGAATCCAAAACCATGAGCTTAATTATGATGTATGGGGCTTGCCACTAAAACGTTGGCATCATCCAGAGTTCTAGCCTTAATCCCTTTCTTCCCAAGATCAAATCTTTGTGTTTACAATTTCTCTAACCTTTCCTTACAGATTTGTATGCCTTACAGTGTCTTTATTCTTTACTGATCTCTTCATGTACTTTTAAAAATAGCTGCATTTCCAAACTGGAGATTAATTAAATAGACTGAGCAGAAATGCACAGAAGTGATGCTAGTATTCTCACCAAATCCTATCAGATGGCACGTGATCTTGATTTGTCCCATTATTGATGGCACTTGATCATTTGATTAAGATGGTGTCTGCCAAGCTCCTTAACACTGAAAAGTTACTCTAGTTCCCTTTGTAATTAGTAAGAATTTTGTTGGGAGATACTTTGAAACTATGAAACTATTCCACTGCTTATCAAACTTTCAATTTATGTATTTCTTTACACTGGTATAGCTTCCTATATTATTCAGTGGGTTATAATACATGATTTTTTTTAAATGTTGAAGTACAATTTGTCCCTGATTTGGCTGGTGTCCTTTAGACATGCCTCATTATTCTTTGAGCACGTCCTTATATTCTGGTACTACAAGAAGTTCCAGGCTCATCCCGTACCCTCTTCTCCAGTCCTGGAATCAACTATTTTGCCAAGAAGAAAAATGAAGTGGAGAATGGTATTTAGAAGCCAAGACCTGGGCTAGCTGTTCTCATTGTTTTGTGGTGTCACTACTCCCAGATCCTCTCAATGGACAGGGTATGTACATATACACCTATATCTATTTCTACAAATAGTGATAGATTGATACCTCCATTACTAGCCCACCACCAAAGTTTCCTCTTATTTGTAATTCTCTTCCTGAACATTGAGAAACCTGGCTCCCATTTTCCTTAACTCATTGCCAGTCACGTGTCGCATAATGACATTTCCGTCAATGATGGACTGCATATTATGATGGTGCCCCATAATATTATGATGTGATATTTTTACTCTCCCTTTTCTATATTTAGAAACACAATTTCTTACCATTGTGTTCTAAATCCCTATGGAATTCAGCACAGTAACATGCTATACAGGTGTATAGCCTAGGAGTGATGGGCTACATCATCTAGCCTAGGTGTGTAGTTAGCTATACCAAACACGGTTGTAAGTACACTCTATGGTGTTCACACAACGATGAAATTGCCTAACGATGCATTTCTCAGACTTACCTCTGTTGTTAAGCAACACGACTGTATTTTTTTTTTTTTTTTTTTTTTGAGATGGAGTCTTGCTCTGTAGCCCAGGCTGGAGTGCAGTGGCGCGATCTTGGCTCACTGCAATCTCTGCCTCCCGGGTTTGAGCGATTCTCCTGCTTCAGCCTCCCGAGTAGCTGGGAATACAGGTGCGTGCCACCACAACCAGCTAATTTTTTGTATTTTTAGAAGGGACAGGGTTTCACCATGTTAGCCAGGATGGTCTCAATCTCCTGACTTCATGATCCACCCGCCTGGGCCTCCCAAAGTGCTGGGATTACAGGCATGAGCCACCACGTCTGGCCAACACGACTGCGTTTGATCAGTTCTCTTGTACACAACTGTATCAGTTTGTTCTTTCGTTGCTATAAAGAAATATCTGGGCTGGGTGCGGTGGCTCACACCTGTAATCTCAACACTTTGGGAGGCTGAGGCAGGTGGATCACCTGAGGTCAGGAAATCGAGACCAGCCTGGCCACTACTAAAAATGCAAAAATTTGCTGGCTGTGGTGGTGCACGTCTGTAATCCCAGATACTTGGGAGGCTGAGGCAAAAGAATTCCTTGAACCCAGAGGGCGGAGGTTGCAGTGAGCCAAGATCATGCCACTATACTCCAGCCTGGGCAACAAAGTGAGACTGTGTCTCAAAAAAAAAAAAAAAAAAAAAAGAAAAATAAATAAAAATAAATAAATAAATAAATAAATAAATAAATATCTGAGGCATACAACTGTAATCCCAGCACTTTGGGAGGCTGAGGCAGGTGGATCACCTGAGGTCAGGAGTTCAAGACCAGCCTGAGTAACATGGTGAAACCCTTCTGTACTACAATTACAAAAATTAGCCGGGCATGGTGGCAGGTACCTGTAACCCCAGCTACTCAGGAGGCTGAGGCCTAAGAATTGCTTGAACCCGGGAGGTGGAGGTTGCAGTGAGCTGAGATCGCACCACTGCACTCCAGCCTGAGCGACAGACCCAGACTTCATCTCAAAAAAAAAAAAGAGAAAAATATCTGAGACTGTGTAATTTGTAAAGGAAAGAAGTTTAATTGGCTCATGGAAGGCAGGCTGTACAGGAAGCATGATGCTGGCATCTGCTCAGCTTCTGGGGAGGCCTCGGGAAACTTACAATCATGGCTGAAGACAAATTGCATCATATAGCCGGGGCAGGAGCAAAAGAGAGAGGGAGGAGGTGCCACATATTTTTCAATGACCAGATTTCTTAAGAACTCACTCATTACCACGGGGACAATACAAAGTGGATGGTACTAAACCATTCATAAGAAATCCACCCCCATGATCCAGTCACCTCCCACCAGTCCCCACCTCCAACATTGGGGATTACAATTCAACATGAGATTTGGGTGGGGACACAGATCCAAGTCATATGGATAACCAATCTCTCATTGTTGCTGCTGCC
This sequence comes from Homo sapiens, assembly GCF_000001405.40. Lineage (NCBI taxonomy): Eukaryota > Metazoa > Chordata > Mammalia > Primates > Hominidae > Homo > Homo sapiens. The sequence goes on along the minus strand of NC_000007.14, from coordinate 140,179,244 downwards.
TCCTGCTCTGCTGGGCTTCCTTCTTCATACCCCTGCCTAGTCCCTCCATGTTAACATAGCAAGTCCAGGTGGCCCCCAGAGGACATCCCACAACAGGCTGCTTTGGTGCTCTTTAGCCAGACTCCAACAAGACAGCTTTGCATGCCTTCTCTTCACTGCTGTATTGTCTCGACAACACACACCTTCAACAAAGTACATTTAAAAATACATTGTCTTTTTGCTCCATGTAAAACCTCTGTGAGATAATTAAGGCATTACTAGCCATATTTTTTCTTTCAACAGATCATCAGTGATCTAGTTCAGGAGAAATGGAGTGACTGGCCCGAGGTCACAGATTATAGAAAGCAGGACCTGAGTGCATGGGTCTTTCCACTCCAGCAATATGTGATGCCTATGCCAAAATTACAGTACCTTTTTTTCTCCAGTAGAAATATGTTTCAAGCTTAATCAGTGTGTGGTCAACTAATTTCCAGCCTTTCCTTTTCCCGCTATATATATGCCAAACAGTGATGTGATAGAAAAACGAATAGTTGCAGAATTGAGACACTTAAAAACTTCAGTTACAGCTCTAATATATGAGACTTCAGTCAAGTTACTAGCTTTCCTCAACTATAAAAAGGAGATTAGGCAGGACTTGGTGGCTCACGCCTGTAATCCCAGCACTTTGAGAGGCCGAGGCGGGCGGATCACTTGAGGTCAGGAGTTCAAACAGCCTGGCCAACATGGTGAAACCCCGTCTCTATTAAAAATACAAAATTACCCGGGTGCGGTGGCGTGCGCCTGTAATCCCAGCTACTTGGGAGGCTGAGGCAGGAGGATCCCTCGAACCCGGGAGGTGGAAGTTGCAATGAGCCGAGATCACAGCACTGCACTGCACTCCAGCGCGGGCAACAAGAACGAAACTCCGTTTCAAAGAAAGAAAGGAAAGAAAGGAAAGGAAAGGAAAGGAAAGGGAGGGAGGGAAGGAAGGAAGGAAGGAAGGAAGGAAGGAAGGAAGGAAGGAAGGAAAGAAAGGAAAGAAAGAAAGAAATGGAGAATTAGATCAGCGACTCTTTGCCTGGGGGTGGGTGACAGAACAACACTTCTTCCTCCCCTAACAAAAATTACCTATGGAGCTGTGAGGGCTTTCCCCACTGATAGAAATGCCAGCAGAAATTCAGCTACAAATACTCAATCCAATAATCCTTAACATCACTTCCAATCCACAGTTATGATTCCAACGCAATCTTTTCTATACAGTATTTGTCAGCTGTTTTTATTCTTCAGTTTATCATCTTATATTTGGCTCTCAATTTCACCCATAAATTATTGATGGCTTATTATACGCCAAGTACCCTGCGCTCCGCTTTTTGTGGTATCCCTCTTCGGAGCGAGAAGTCACTTAGAATTTTACCCCATCTTCCCCACTTGGGAATCGGAAGGGTTCATAGCTAAGTTTTGTTATTTATAAGCACGCCGGCTCTTCTCTATCCCTCTCTCCACCAACCCCATTTCAAGGTTGGTCCCTCCCAGCGGACGACAGTGATGAATTCCTCTTGGGGACAGCCCTCCCGCAACTAACGGTGGCTCCATCGACGCTCTGGTCTCCTTGCTGCTCGCTGGGAATTCGGGTGGGACGTTTTCCAAAGTTTGGATTCCACGGCACATTCCTCCCTCGGAAAGGCACAACCGGCTCGGCGTGTCAGCTCAGCTGGACTCACGCCGGTGCGGGGCCGCAGCTCCGGTTCTCGCTGGGCGGCTGCGGAGGGCTGGGCGATTCTCTCAGCGTCGCGAGGCGACCCGGGCAGCAGCAAACTTCTCCGCTTCCCCTCTTCGGGACGCGGCACCTCTTCTGCCCTTGAGCACTCCGCAGGAACTTCCCCCGGCCTCGGCTCTCGCTCCGAAATAACCGAGCCAGCTCCTCGCACGCTCCCGCCGTCCTCCTCCGGCTGCGGCCGCGCGCCCGCCGCCACCGCCACCACCGCGCGTGTCCTCACGGGGCCTCAGCTCCCTCCGCCCCCGCAGCCGCCTGCGTGCCCTTCAACAGCTCCCTCCGCCCGGCCGTCGCGGAGAGGAGCGGGGAGCGCGCGCCGGCGCCAGAGACGTGCGCGAGACGCACGGCCCCGCGCCGAGCGCCGGAAGCAGCCGAGTCTGGGCCTCGCGCGTCGCGCGCGCCTCCTCCCCCTCCGCCAGCCGCCGCGGCCTCGCGCGCGCGCACTGAGGCGCCGCCGCCGCCGCGGCTGCTGCAGGAGGCGGCGCTGGCTGGCGGCTGCGCTCGCTCCAGTCGGCGAGCGGAGTAGCGAGCGAGCGTGTGTGTGTTTTTTAAAGATGGCCGGAGCGGCGGCGGCGGTGGCCGCGGGAGCAGCAGCTGGAGCCGCCGCGGCAGCCGTGTCGGTGGCGGCTCCCGGCCGGGCCTCGGCGCCTCCGCCGCCCCCGCCCGTGTACTGTGTGTGCCGGCAGCCGTACGACGTGAACCGCTTCATGATCGAGTGCGATATCTGCAAGGACTGGTTCCACGGCAGGTAAATAAACCCCCTCCAGCCCCGCAGCCGCCACCGCCGGCCACCGACCAACCGCCGCCGCCGCCGGCCGCCCGCGCCTCCCTCGGGCCGGGCCGCCGCGCCGCGCCCAGCTTTCAGGGGGCCCCGGTGCCTAGCCCCCCGGCCGGGCAGTGGGGCGCGCGGTGCCCCGGGTTCGCCGGGCGGGCTCCAGAGGGGAGCCGGTGGGCTCGCCTGGCCCGGGCGAAGAGTCGCCACAACAAACACGAACAAAGAGGGCCGGCGGATAAGTTGGCAGGGGGAGCCTGGGGCGAGGGGACGCGGCCGGGCGGGCGCGGCGGGGGCGTCGGGCGGAGCGCCGGCCGGGTCCGCAGCCCCTCGCCAGCCCGGGCCGCCGCCGCCCCGCCCCGCCCCGCCGCGCCCGGGGCTCCGGCCGGAGTCGCCGGCCGCCCCGCCGCTCTGCCCGGCCGGCCGACGCGCCTGCCTTCCTTCCGGGCGGCGATGGGGTCGCCCCGGCCCCGCGTCTCCTCCGCGCCGCGGGTCCCTGTCGCGCCCCCTTCCCCGTCTTTATCAAACTTCCTGGGCCAGTGGGACGGGGGCAGCGGCGGGCCGGAGAGGCGACCGCGCCAGCCAGCTCGGCGGGGCTCCGCGGAGTAAACAGAGCAACAGATGAGGCACTCGCTCTCGGGGACTTGAAAGGTGCCGGGGAAGTTGGGGCCGGGCCCCCGGCGGGCGGCAGGTTGACCCGGGTCGCGGTCCTGGGCCCCCGCACACACCCGGGTCGCCGGGACTGGGGCAGATGGAGTGGGTTGCGGCGGCCCGAAGGGAACGCTTCTCCGGACCCCCTGCGTTGCCCTCGCGCCGCGGCTTAAACTTTACAAAGAGTGCAGTTGCCATCGCTCGAAGCTGGCGACACCGGGACCGCCTGCGGCTGTGCCCGGGCGCCGGTGCCGGCGAACTTGAGTCGGCCGGGCGGACGCTGCGGGGCCGGCTGGCGGCGGCGGCGGACGCTGCCCTCTGATTCAGCCGCCGCCGCGCTCCGGGTTTGACGTTTGAGAGCTCGGGCCGCCTCCGCAGCCAGGCCGCCGACTCGTGTGTTTTGTAATCAAAGTGTGAGGCTAATAAAGGGCGGCGCCACAGCCTCTTGACTCCGGCGTGGGAGGGATTCACAGGCATTTAAACAAAGAAACTAGTTGGGGTTGGGCTCCCAAAGTCCTTATTTGGGTGTTGTGGCAAAGCCTGCGGTCACCTTTAGTTGAAGCCGGTTTCCCGGGCCCCGTTTGGTGTTGTCTCTTGGCGAGAGCACGCTCACGAGTAATAGCAGATATGGTGACTGTGATTGTAGGAAGTGTCTTTTGATTGACAGCAGGACATTTAAATACAGCCTCCGCTCCCCCCCTCCCCAATTTTACAGAAACACTACAAGACCAGGCCAGATGTCTTAGTCTCCCTCTACTGGTCCAGGGAGAGAAAACCATGTAAATCACAATGTTCTTTGCAGTGTTTAGTGCTAGGTGTAGTTAAGTTTTACTTAATTTTCAAGTACAGTTTTACTTAATCAGTTTTCAGGCTAGCCGATTCTCACAACAGAAAACAAGACACAGTAAATTATCACTTTAAAAGAAAGGCAGCGTCCTCGTTTCGTATAATCTTTAGCAGTCTTGTATATCCAATTCTATTTCCACATCCTGTTTCCATAACATATTCTACGCAACTAGAATAAAGATTATCCGAACATTTAGGTTCTATATAGAATAAAATCAGAATCCCTGGTGATTATGTAAATGCTTATTTTTTTTCAAAGAACTATTTTTTGAAATTTGAGGCGGTTTAAACTGCATAAAAATTTGTCTCGCCAGGCTTGGTGGCTCACGCCTGTAATCCCAGCACTTTGGGAGGCTGAGGCGGGTGGATCACGAGGTAAAGAGATCGAGACCATCCTGGCTAACATGGTGAAACCCCAACATGGTGAAACCCCGTCTCTACTAAAAATACAAAAATTAGCTGGGCGTGGTGGTGCATGTCTGTAACCCTAGCTACTTGGGAGGCTGAGGCAGGAGAATCTTTTGAACCCGGGAAGCGGAGGTTGCAGTGAGCCGAGATCGCGCCACTGCACTCCAGCCTGGCGACAGAGTGAGACTCCGTCTCAAAAAAAAAGAAAAAAGAAACTTGTCTCATTATGCAATGCGGATTTGATAGGCTACCAAATTTTAGACTAGAATTGTATTTATCTTAATTTAGGTCACTTAACACTATAACCATGAAAAGCCCCAGGTATTTGATGGAGAATTTTGTAATACATGTAAGTATACACTTGTAAATAGGGAAATAGGAAATACAGAGGGCTTACGGGAAGGAGGGAGAGCAAGGCCAAAACAAATATGCCCTCTCTGCTTTGACACATAAATTTGTGTAACTTTATATCTGTGGAAGTGAGTCTAAAATAGGTTTTTTTGAGCCCAGGGTCTTTTTGACCATCAATCCTTGAAACTTATGTGGTTCAGATGTCAAAAGTTAGAAAATTTAGCTATATTGTCCTGCCCTACAAAAGCAGTATCTTTTTATTAAGTTTAATTCTTTTTCTTTTTCTTTTTTTTTTTTTTGGAGACGGAGTCTCGCTCTGTCACCCAGGCTGGAGTGCAGTGGCGCCATCTCTGCTCACTGCAAACTCCGCCTCCCGGGTTCAAGTGATTCTTCTGCCTCAGCCTCCCGAGTAGCTGGGATTACAGGTGCCCGTCACCACGCCTGGCTAATTTTTGTATTTTTAGTAGGAACGGGATTTCACCATGTTGGCTACACTGGTTTCGAACTCTTGACCTCAGGTTATCCGCCCACCTCGGCCTCCCAAAGTGCTGGGATTACAGGTGTGAGCCACCCTGCCCGGCCTAGTAAGTTTAATTCTTAAGTATTGGTAATTTGGACTCTGTATGTTTTTCCCGTGGTATTTACTCTGATGTTTACTGTACCATAAAATGAGTGATCGTTTTTCGGAACACAGCAAAATGTTCCTTTATATTAACTATTAAACAAATATCATTTGCTTCCATGAGAATTGACCCCTAAAGGACTAAGATGTATCTTTACCATGCTTAGATTTCATTGGACCAGAGGTGGTCCATCTGTAGAGGAGCAAGGAGGAGTAGGAGGTTGGATACAGAGAATTGCCATTGCCTGGGTAATTTCTTGTTAACTTTATTTCTTTAAGTAGAAGGACTTTTTAAACTGAGGAATCAGTGCATTTTGATATATATAAATTTTAGTTTATTCTGCCTGGCGTTTCTGACATAAGGAAATCTGAAAAGTTGTTGCCCTAATTTCTTGTGACAGGGAAGGAAGACCTGTCCTTGATGCTTTTCTGTCAGGCTGCAGGGTGGATGGAACCAGCGTCTTCCAGGTCTGATGCTGTCAAACTTTAGCTGCATACCAATTCCCATCTGTCCATCTCCCTAAGCCTTTTTGCAAGTGAGAAAAGAACACTTGCCAGGCAGGGTACAGTGTATAATTGAACTCTAGGGGCAATGGGTTGAGGAATTAACAGGATTTTGCCGGGAATGTTCTGTCTAACCTGGAGATACAGTTCTTTCTCCCTGAGTTCTTGGTGGACGTACCACTATAAACGTCTTTCCTGATAAGGCCCCGCTCCCTTATCTCCAGGCTAGATGTCTTTCTGTAATACTTTTATATCGTCATATGCAAAATTGCCTCACTGCCCTAATTGAATTGTATTAGAGTTTCTGTTTTCTTCCTGTTAGAATGTAAACACCGTTTATTAGTCTTTAATCGCATTTTTTAGTTGATAAAAGCAATATATTAAGGAAAAATCGGAAAGTACAGAAAAGTATAAAGAATATGAAAGTACGCATGTCTTCCAGTGATTACCACTATTTTATTAATAATGTGGTATGTGTATATGTATATTCTTTTTTAAAAAAATTGGAATTCTTTCTATGCATTCCATGTTACCTTTTGTCATTGATGTATACTTTTTCCTGTATCTTTAATGTTCTTTGAAAACATTTTTAGTGGCTACATTGTGTTTAATTTCACAGAAGTACAATATATTTGAAAATAATTACCCTATTGTTATTTACTTTGTTTACTACTTTTTTTTTTTTGAGACGGAGTTTCGCTCTGTCGCCCAGGCTGGAGTGCAGTGGCGCAATCTCAGCTCCCTGCAAGCTCCGCCTCCTGGGTTCTCGCCATTCTCCTGCCTCAGCCTCCAGAGTAGCTGGGACTACAGGCACCCGCCACCGCGCCCAGCTAATTTTTTGTATTTTTAGTAGAGATGGGGTTTCACTGTGTTAGCCAGGATGGTCTCGATCTCCTGACCTCGTGATCCACCCTCCTCAGCCTCCCAAAGTGCTGGGATTACAGGTGTGAGCCACCGCGCCTGACCTGTTTACTACTTTTTCTTATGTTTACTAATGATGGTATGATTGACATACTAAACAAATTATTGTGGTTATTTAATTATTTCCTTAGAATAAATAAAATGAGTTAATACATATAAAACACTTAGAAGAAGACCTGGCATGTACAATTTCTCAATAAGAAATTTCCTTGAACTAGTGTTATTGGTCAAAGGGTATAGATGCTTGTAGGCTTCTTGTGCCTATTGCCAAACTGTCCTCCAGAAAGGTTATGCCGATTTCTACTTTCACCTACAGTGTCCACTTTTAGTTCCCTGCATCCTCCCAATCTAAGGTATTATTAACCAGCCCCTACCAAAACAAACAAAAACTGTTAATCTGTAGATAAGTCAGTATTACCACCAAAAGACATACCCAAGCCTGTTCATGGCAGCATTTTTCATGTTGTCCCCAAACTGTAACAACCTAAATGTCATCAACAGTAGATTGGATATATTATAGTATAGTCATAAAATGGAATACCAAGCTGTAAAAAAGAATACACTATGGATGCACACAACATGAATGGATCTCACACATAATAAAGTTGAACACAGAAGCCCAGTACAAAAGAGCATACTGTTTGGCTCTGTTTATGTGAAGTTCAAGTACAGGCATAAGTGGGGCTAGGAGTCAGAATAGGGTTTACCTTTTGGGTGGGAATTGACTGAGAGGGAGTTTCTGAGATTCAGGACATATAAATATAAATATATATAAAATAAATATATATTTATAAATATGTAAAAATATAAATATATAAATACAACTATATAAAAATATATATATATAAATATATAAAAATAAATATATATTTATAAATATATAAATAAATATATATTTATAAATATATATAAAATATGTATATAAATATAAATATAAATATATATTTTTGAGACCGAATCTTGCTCTGTCTCCAGGCTAGAGTGCAGTGGCGCAATCTCGGCTCACTGCAACCTCTGTCTCCCAGGTTCAAATGATTCTCCTGCCTCAGCCTCCTGAGTAGCTGGGATTACAGGCACTTGCCACCATGCCCAGCTAATTTTTTTTTTTTTTTGTATTTTTAGTAGAGATGGGGTTTCACCGTGTTAGCCAGGATGGTCTCGATCTCCTGACCTCGTGACCCACCCACCTTGGCCTCCCAAAGTGCCTGTAATAGGTATGAGCCACCACGCCCGGCCATATTCTTTATCTTGATCTTGGGTGGTGGTTGTATGAATGTGTACAGATGTAAAGATTTACTGAGCTGCATGTGCACTGAAGTCTTTTGTTGTTGTTGTTGTTGTTGTTGTTGTTGGGGGATGGGGGTCTCAGTACATTACCAACCCAGGCTGATCTTGAACTCCTGAGTGCAAGCAATCCTCCTGTTTCAGCCTCTCAAGTAGCTGGGATTACAGATGTGCCATGCACCCTAAAAATTTGCCAATTTGTTAACTGACACAGTATTTTAAAATTTGTTGTTTCTGTCTTGAATGAGATTGCCTCTTGTGTTTTGTCATTGAGTATGATGTTGACTTTGGCCAAGAGTTTGTAGTGTACCAGGTGCTAGGAATATAGTGTATTTGTGCTAGAAATACAGCAATGAACAAAACAAAGTCCTTGCTGTCTTGTGACTTACATTCTCGAAGGGAAAGAGAGATAAATATCGAATCTCACTTATCGAATGTTTTACAAAGTGCTAGGCACTGTTCTAATTAATTAGATGTTTGGTTAACTCATTGAAGTCTCACAGTCACCTTGTTGAGTAATTGCTATTATTATCATCCCCATTTTACACATGAGGAATCTGAGAGTTAGGGAGTTCAGTAACTTTCCCAAGATGGAAAGGCTGGAAGGTGAGAGAGCTAGCATCTGAGCTCAGGCAGGCTGACTCCGGTGCTCATGCTGTCAAGGGGGTAGATGGTACTGAGTCTCCTCTTCCTCCTTGGCTGCAGCCAGCTTCAGGAGGAGGATTAGATGTGACTTGTCTGTCTCTATCTCAGGGGTGCATAGGTGAGACAGTTGAGGCAGGGTTCTGAAGAGACATGCCTGTAAACATCTTCCTTTTTTTAAATCAAAATTATTTTCTTTAATGTAAATATGTAAAATATTATAACTGCCTTGGGGACACATTATGTATAAAATATTTATTTGAAAAGTTTTATAATTTAACTCCGCTTTCATCCTTGTTATATAAATGGATTTTTTTTATTAGAGTGTATTTTGACTTCTTAAAATTGGTTAGGGATAGGAAATATTTTACAAATTTGTTTAATATACATTTCACCTTCATGATTGGTGTCATAAACTTATTAGGTGAATAAGTATCTTCCTATAAGAAAACAAAAAGCTCATTTATTGAACTTCTCAATTTCATTGTTTTGATATGACCGTTTATTATAGAATAATGAGTATTTGTGTGTTTCACTTATAAGAGTTTTATAATTTATACACAATTTTGCTGTTTGAACAAAATATGTTGTGATTATGGGAGGCTTATCTCAGGCTACTTGGAGGCATGGGACATAGTTCTCTCATAAGCTTTTTAAAAACCATTAGTTAGGTTGGACACAGTGGCTCACGCTAATCCCAGCACTTTGGGAGGCTGAGGCGGGCGGATCACAAGGTCAGAAGTTCGACACCAGCCTGACCAACATGGTGAAACCCTATCTCTACTAAAAATACAAAAATTAGCTGGGCATAGTGGTGTGCACCTGTAATCCCAGCTATCCGGGAGGCTGAGGCAGGAGAATGGCTTGAAACCGGGAGGCGGAGGTTGCAGTGAGCCGAGATCACGCCACTGCACTCCACGGTGGGCGACAGAGCGAGACTTTGTCTTAAAAAACAAAACAAAAAAACCCCATTAGTTTGGGGTATATTTCTGCTTGGAATGCTCTCCTGTTCTGTATTTTTCGGTATGAAATCGAGTTTTCTGATCATCCAAGGGGAGGAATGCTTTTATTTTTGAAGATTTGAAGTGGAGGCTTATGAGTAAGAATAGAACAGGTATAGAAGAATTTGGTTATAAAAGTGAGCATTGGTTGATTTGAGCAATTTAAATTTTGAGATAATTTGTGCAGCCTTTGAACAGCCAGTGCTAATCTTAACAACTACCACCAAGTTTCTGGTCTTTTTTGAAAATTACATTTTATTACTGTAGTGATTATTTATTTTTTCCATTAATGAAAAGGTTATTTTTCCCATTAACTGTAGGTTGAGTTAATGGTAACTTGTATGATTTTCGTGTCTATATGTGTGAGCCCTGTTTCCTTTTTATTGGAGAATAGTGTTAGAAACCAAGGTCTGGTATTAGTGGGCTCATTGTTTCTAGGCCTTCTCAGAGGACAGAGCTAGGAAATACACTAATTGCACACATGCACACACATTTGTCTTTGTTTCTGTCTGTATATATTACGAACTGTAAGTTTCATAATGATATCTTTGATTCTAATATAACACCACAGGATTCATTTTAGCTTTCCCCTTTCCTTACTTGTAACTTTTTTTGTACAACAGTGAGAAACCTAGCTGTCATTATCTACAACATATTTGTTCAATCCTGTAAAGTAGTCCAAGAATTTGCTAACCTATATTTTTGTGAGAAACAAATTTGCTAGCTAGATTACAGTATTTGTGTATATAGTACTTCTTTTTTGCCTTTGGCCTTAGAGTATCTAATCAGAATATTGTTTTCCAAAGTTACTTAGGTCAATTCTTTTCACCTGACTTTAATGTATGTCATTTACTGACAGGTTCATTTGTTACTGCTTGTATTACATTTTGATGCCTCCTACATCCAGTTTTTTTTTTTTTTTGAGATAGAGTCTTGCTCTGTTGCCCAGGCTGGAGTGCAGTGGTGCGATCTTGGCTCACTGCAGCCTCGACCTCTCAGGCTCAGGTGATCCTTCCATCTCAGCCTCCTGAGTAGCTGGGATTATAGGCATGTGCCACTGTGCCCGGCTAATTTTTGTATTTTTTTTGTAGAAACAGAGTTTCACCATGTTGGTCAGGCTGGTCTTGAACTCCTGACCTCAGGTGATCTGCCCACCTTGGCCTTCCAAAGTGCTGGGATTACAGGTATGAGCCACCACGCCCGACCTTGTATTGAGATACAGCTTCAGGTTAGATTGCTAAAAGTGGGATTGCTTAGTTAAAAGATAAATGTATATGTTGTTTTATTAGGATTGCTAGATTTCTCTCTAGAATGGTTGGACCAGTTTGCATTCCCACCAACAGTGTGAGAGTGCCTTTTTCTCTAGATCCTTGTCATCAGGATGTGTTGTCATGTTTTTAATCTTTGTCAATCCAGTAGATGGAAAATGGTATCTATGTTTTAATCTGCATTTGTCTAATTATAAATGAGTTTGAACATTTGTTTTTTCTTAGTTTTAGGACCATATTCTTTCAAGAATCATCTGGTTACATTTTTTTTTCTGATTCTATCAAGCTTTTAGTCCTTTGTCCCTCAATATTTAAGGACTTTTTACATATTAGGGGTACTAGCTGTTTGTGGTAAATGTTCTAAGTATTCTCTTCCAGCTTTCAGTTGTCTTTTGGTTTTGTTTATGGTAATTTTTTTGCCATGCAAAATTTTTTTTAAGAAATATGTAGTCATATTTATTAGTCTTTTATTGGTTCTGGATTTTGAGTCATAATTAACAATCCTTTCTCTACCTCAAGGTAAAGAGAATTTTTTCCTGTGTTTTTTTCTAATACTTGTGTGGTTTTATTTTTTAAGCTTCTAAATGGATCACTAATCCATTTGGATTTTATTTTTGTATATAATATGAAATATAAATAGAATTTTTTCTAAATAAAAAGAAATTGTCCAGTTGTCCCAGTACTATTTATTGAAATGTCCATTTGTCCCAGTGACTTCAGATGCCAAAACATATTTATATATAATAGTCATATGTCAAAGATTCTGTATATACTTGGGTCTGTTTCAGCACTTTCTGTTTTATTCCACTGGTTGATTTGTCCCTTGATGTTTCAGCACCACAGTGTTTTAATTACAGAGGCTTTTGTAGTATGGTGTAAGTCTGGTAAGGCCTGTCCCATCCTCTTAGTTTGTTGTATTTGTTTTCAGTGTGTTTCTGGTTATTCTTGCAGATTTATTTTTTAATATGAACTTTAGTATCAACCTGTCTAATTTTATTCAAAAGCATTGTTGGGATTTTTATTAGGGTTACATTAAACTTATGAGAGCTGATATGTTAATAATATTGAGTCCTTCTCTCTGAGAATAGTATTACCTCTTTTATTTATTTTATTTATATCTACTTTTGTGTCTTTCAGGTGTGTTTTTAATTTTTCTTTGTATAGATTTTACACATTTTTAAGATTATTCCTAAGTAATTTTCTTTGTTAGTATTATAAATGAGATTTTCTTTACCATTTGTTTGCTGTTGGTTATTGTTTGCTGTTGGTTATTGTTTGTTTTTTAAATGTTACTTTTATATTCTACTACTTTGCTGAAAAAAATTATTTGAGTTGTATTATCACTTAGGGAACTGATATGTAATATACAAATAGAGAGTTTTAGTACTTCTTTGCCCATTCTTATGCCTCTATTTGATTTCACTTATATAATTGCACAGGCTTATACCTCTCGTATAGAGTTGAATAGTGGTAGATCGTGGGTATGCTTGCTTTGTTCCTGATTTTAGTAGAAATGCCTCTAATATTTCCTCATTAAGGAAGATACTAGCTTTAGTACTAATTTGTCGTATTAAGACAGTATTCCTCCAGGTGCAGTGGCTTATGCCTATAATCCCAGCACTTTGGGAGGCCAAGGTGGGTGGATGGCGTGAGTCCAGGAGTTTGAGACTAGCCTGGGCAACATGACGAGCCTCCGTCTACAAAAAATACAAAAATTAGCTGGGCATTGTGGGGAGTGCCTGTATTCCCAGCTACTTGGAAGGCTGAGGCGGGAGGATTGCTTGAGCTTGGGAGGTTGAAGCTGCAGTGAGCCATGATCCCACCAGTGCACTCCAGCCTGGGTGACACAGTGAGACCCTGCCTCAAAAAAAAAAAAAAAAAAAAAAGGAAAAAAAAGTATTCCTCAATTTTATGTACGTAGTTTTATCATGAATGGATGTTGAGTTTTATCAAAGGCTCCTTCAGCATCTGTGGAGAGAATCGTATAGTTTTCTTCCTTAGATCTATTAATATGCATATACAGTAGTGTGTCCCCGCTTATCTGAGGGAGATATGTGTTCCAAGACCCCCAGTGGATGCCGGCAACTACGGATAGTACTGAACTCTGAGTATACCATGTTTTTGCCTATATATACATACCCATGACAAAGTTTAACTTATTAATGAGGCACACAGTAAGAGATTAACAACAGTAACTGAATAAAATAGAACATTACAACAGTGTACCGTAGTAAAAGGTATACAGTGTGGCTGTAACTTTTGCAGTTTAAGGTGCAGCAGCAAAACTAGCATGAATTTCTTTTGCCTCCTTCACAATTTTATAGATAGAATTGTTCTTACCATAGAGCTTAGGAACTCAACATACTGTTTTTTTTTCTTTCCTTACTTTTCACTTAAAGGAAGCACTTTATGGTTTCTCTTTGGCATATCTGCATTGCCAGCATCACACCAGCCTCACTGCTCTTGTGCTTTGGGGGCATTATTAAGTAAAATAACGGTTAGCTGAACACAAGCATTGATACCCCGACAGTTGATCTCATAACTCAGAGACTTGTGGGCAGGTAGTAAAACAGTCTGGATACACTAACAGAGGGATGATTCACATCCTAGATGGGATGGTGCAAGATTTCATCATGATGCTCAGGACGGCAGGCAGTTTAAAACTTAAGAATTGTCTGTTTCTGGAATATTTCATTTAATATTTTTGGACCTTGGCTGACCACTGGTACCTGAAACCTTAGAAAGTGAAACCACAAATAAGGAGGGGACTACTGTAACATACTTTTAAGTGTAGCTTATCATTAGCTACTGTGAAGAACAACCTGGTGGGAAAATAGCCCTAACTACTTGGTTTACTATTGGATAATTAAGTTGTATCTTAAGGATGCTTTGTAGCTAAATTTTAAAATATTGTTTCTAAATTTTTAAAAAACACCACTGGCTCTGGTAGTTTTTAGAATAAAAGAAAATCAGCAAATATGAGTGACATAGAATAACAAACACTGAGCAGGTAAATGTATATAATAGGAGTCTCTAGAGCATTAATGATCCAGGCATTTCCCCAAAGCAGCATTTTCTAACCTGTGTTTTGTGAACCCCAGGGATATAAAGTATCCTGAGGTTCACTTATTTTAATTTGTCTTTTAAAAAGATGGTGAGTATTTTCCTTTCAAAATCGATTAGTTTGAGGACTTCTGAGGGTATATGAGCAAGCATACATGGCATTGTTGGTGGAAATCAGTCACCTGATTATCATTCAACCGAATGTTGCCAGGCACCATGGTCTTCTTGACTTTTAATTTTTCTTAAAGAGAAGATACCAGACATATGCAGAAGTAGACCGAATAGTATCCTGTGCTTCCAGGTTCAATAAGCCTGCTTCAGTGAGTATCAATTCACTGCCAGTTTCATTACTACACCCTTACCTGGCTACTTTGAAGCAAATTCCTGATACCATATCATTATATCTGTGAGTATTTCAGCATGTAAATCTAAAAGATAAGGCCTCAATTTTAAAAACCTGTAATACCTTTATTATAATTAAAAATAGTTAACAGTTTCTTAATAACATTAATATCTACTGTCCAAATTTCTAGTTGTCTCAAAAATGTCATAATTTTTTTCACTATTTGTTTGAATCAAGATCTAAATAAGGTTCACACATGTGATTAGTTGCTACATCTTGTAAGTTTCTTAATACATAGCAGTGGTTCTCAACTAGATGAGATTTTTGTCTCCCAGGGAACACCAGTCAATGTCTAGAGACATTTTTGATTTGGGAGTGGCAGAGTGGTTGCTACTAGCAGCTAGTAGGTAGAGGGCAGGGATGCTACTAAACATTCTGCACTGGTTAGCCCCCACAAGAAAGAATGATCTAGTCTAAAATCTCCATAGTGTTGTTGTTGAGAAACCCTGATCTATAGGTTTTTCTTTCAGGTCTTTAACCCTCCCCCCGTCCTTGCAAACTCTTTGTTGCACAAAGTGGTTGTTTATCCTAAAAATTCCCACTTTCTGGATTTTGCCGATTACATCCCTGCAGAATCTTTTTGCTTCTCACTTTCCTATAAATTGGTAGTTGGCTTTAGAGAAGCTTGATCAGATTCAGGTCCCCCTAAATCCCCGAAAATTTCACAGGAGAGTGGTGTAGATTTCTATCAGGAACCTAAGCAGAAGGCATAAAATGTCTGGTTGTTTCTCTTTTTGTCATGCTGGCTGCCATTGATCAATGCCAATATCCATTCATGGCAGTTGCAGAATGATACCTTTATCATTATAATTATAAAATGTTATAACTGATAATTAGAAAATTTCTTTTTGATTTGTTACTTGTACTACTATAAAGAGAAAATTTTCTTTTATCTAGTCTTTGGTTACCTAGTTGTACAGTGTAGGAGAGGCAAAATTAAATGCTTGATTCTTTTCCATTATCACTGATTTTTTCAGTTAATTGATTAATTAGCATCCTCATTATTAAAGGATGAGAAATATTTAAAGGAATATAATTTAATATGTAATATTGAGCAATATAGAGAAGTTGAAAGACAAATATATAGAAAGGTCCATGTTTCCTTTGACCATATAAACTGTCATTAAAAAAACAAACAGAAAAATAGAACAAAACAAAAACAATCTGGTAAGAGGGCCAGGCACTGTGGCTCACACCTGTAATCCCAGTGCTTTGGGAGACCGAGGCAGGAGGATCACCTGAGGACAGGAGTTTGAGACTAGCCTGGGAAGTGTAGCAAGACCTCCATCTCTACAAAAAATAAATTAGCTGGGTGTGGTGGCATGTGCCTGTAGTCCTAGCTACTCGGGAAGCTGAGGCTTGAGTGCAGGAATTTGAGGCTTCAGTGCGCTAAGATTGTGTGATCTTGCCACTGTACTCCAGCCTGGGTGATAGAGCAAGACTGTCTGTTAAAAAGACCTGGTGCCAGGCATGGTGGCTCACACCTGTAATCCCAGCACTTTGGGAGGCTCAGGCAGGTGGATCATGAGGTCAGGAGATTGAGATCATTCTGGCTAACACGGTGAAACCCCGTCTCTACTAAAAATACAAAAAATTAGTCGGGCATGATGGCGGGCACCTGTAGTCCCAGCTACTTGGGAGGCTGGGGCAGGAGAATGGCGTGAACCCGGGAGGAGGAGCTTGCAGTGAGCCGAGATAGTGCCACTGCACTCCAGCCTGGGTGACAGAGCGGGACATTGTCTCAAAAAAAAAAAAAAAAGGAAAGAAAAGCAAAAATCTTACTTTTTATTTATTAAAATATCCTGGATATCTCAGAGAGCTTCTCATATCAGCATGTACAGATATCTCATTCTTTTTAGTAGCTGCATAGAATTCTATTCTGTGGATTTACCACAATTTAACTGGTCCTCTCTTGATGGATTCTTGAGTTGGTTTCTCTTTTGTTCTTACTACTTAACAGTGCTGCAGGATATATATTTTTGTGTGTATGTTTATCTTTATTCTTGGCGAGCATTTGGGTATCCTTATGGTAAGTTTCTAGCATTATCCATTTTGAAATTGTTTTTATCTGTAGTCATAGTTTAAAATTCATGTTCTGTTGATCAAAGACAAGTGTAAAGAACACTGATAATGAAATAGAAGTTTGAGCTTAAATATACAAATTTAAGATTCTTATTTACTGGGGCTATAAGTTGCATTCATCTTAACACAAAAATCAATGTCAGAGAAAATACAGTGATCTTATGTCCAGTTTATATTTTATTATGGGGAAGAGGGATAAAACAGTCTCAATGTTTTGTTAACATATTCTTCCTTTATAATTTAGAAATGCCATTTTTCCTTGAGCACAAAACATAGGAATTTCAAACATCTAATATGGACTCCTGTTTATCAGTTAGTAATTTTTTTTTTTTTTTTGGGAGACTGAGTTTCACTCTTTTTGCCCAGGCTGGAGTGCAATGGCGCAATCTTGGCTCACCACAACTTCCGCCTCCTGGGTTTAAGCGATTCTCCTGCCTTAGCCTCCCGAGTAGCTGGAATTACAGGCATGTGCCACTATGCCCGGCGAAATTTGTATTTTTAGTAGAGATGGGATTTCTCCACGTTGGTCAGGCTGGTCGCAAACTCCCAACCTCAGGTGATCCGTCTGCCTCGGCCTCCCAAAGTGCCGGGATTACAGGTGTGAGCCACCATGCCTGGCCTATCAGTTAGTAATTATAACAGTTTGATGTGTGCAGTAAAATCATGAAGTTGTGAAAGCTGGGGGAACTTATACCATTGTAGATAATTTGGTATTTTTAATGTGCAAAAACTGTTGTCAGGTGAGTATTCACTGTTTCACAAAGAAACTGGAATGTGGTCCAGTGTAGACCTTTTGATATATACAGTATCCCTTGAATACTTTAATATTAATAAATATCAAATGGCTCACGCCTGTAATCCTAGCACTTTGGGAGGCCGAGGCGGGCGGATCACGAGGTCAGGAGATCGAGACCATCCTGGCCAACACGGTGAAACCCCGTCTCTACTAAAAATACAAAAAATTAGCTGGGCGTGGTGGCACACGCCTGTAGCCCCAGCTGCTCGGGAGGCTGAGGCAGAATTGCTTGAACCTGGGAGGCAGAGGTTGCAGTGAGCCGAGATCACGCCACAGCACTCCAGCCTGGGTGACAGAGCGAGACTCCGTCCCCCCCACCGTAGAAAAAAAAAACAAAAAAACGAAAAAACAAAACTAAAAAAGAAAATAAAATGGTCATGGAGATGTGACCTGGATATATTTCCATTGTCTGGAACCCTACAGAATAGTTTTAAAAAAAGAACAAAGGTCAGAACATGAAACAGTTTTGGTAGCATTTTAACTGAGCTGGTCAGTGATGTATGGGACCACTGGTATCCTTGAAACAGGGGCTTTCTGGCCAGTTTCCATCAATGGTTTTGGAAACTTTCTGTGGGGACCACATGGGAGTGTTCCTCTCCAAGGACTGGGTTTGTGGGTTCATGGGTTTTTCCTCTTCTGTGTGAACTGCCAGAGTGCCTCACTTGTCACATATGCTACAATGTAGACATGTGGTTAGTCTTTTTTACTTTATTACTTTTTGAAGGAATCATGGGTTGTAAACTATATGCAGATTATAGGAATTTTATAGTCTTTTTACGTAATTTAACTTGTCACAGGTCTGATTCATATTCCTCTCTTACATTCTTCCTATTTCGGTACTTTTTTGAAGGCTAACTTTGTGTGCCTGTTGTTTTGAGTCAGTTTCTTTTTTGTGCTAGCCTGTCCTTATTTTCTTTATATCAAAGGATCAAAGTTTTCTTTGGAGCCCATGGTGACTGGGTGAACGCAGTCCCTTCTGTTTGGTTCAGGGACATCTTTCCTCTTACCTGCTTTTCCAACCATCCAAATGCCAAGTAGTCAGCGCTGGAGTCTACTCCCTGAATTTTTCTCTTCTTATCTTTGCCTTTGTGGGCATCCAGCCTGTAGTAGAAGAGGTCTTATCCCCAGTCTGAACTTGATTTTTCAGTTTTCTCATTCTTTACCCCGTAAGCAATTGATTATTCTCTTAAAGCTCCAAAGTCTTACACCACTCTCCCTCAGGATCACTTGTTGGGGCCACCCATCTCTTCAGGAGTGTTACCACCTCAGCCCTAGGGGAACTGCTACTTGATTTACCTTGGTATTACATCCTGATAAGCCCATCATAAAGTTGAAAAATCCTAAATGGAACCATTGTAAATCGGAGACTGTCTGTCCTGTGCTTATCTCTTGCAGGTCTGCAGAGTGTTTTGTTTTGCAGCCCTACCCCTTACCCCAGGGCAGCTGCTGATTCAGTCACCACCTCAGACATTCTAAGAGGACAGAACAAAGAAAGACCCTGATACAAGCTTCTTAGGACTTCAAGTAACGTTAGGATATGAGTGACTTTTCTTCCCTTTCCTTCCTTTCCTCTCCACTGCATCAGTGATTTTTTAGTTTCATTTACCACCATCACATTTCAGGCTTTCATTGGCCTCTATCACAGTTTCTGCCATATCAGTGTAACACTTTTGTTGCTTATTTAATATTTTTCTTTAAAACTGCTTTAAATGGATTTTATTTTTAAAAATTTACTTGCCTTAAACAGAGGTGTCTGCTAAATCGTGTTAGTGATGCTCACGCTACATTTTAATAGGTGTAAGAAAATATGTATTTATTGAAATAAAAAATATTATCTAAAATGTGTACCTATAAGATTGTCAGAAGGGTAATGATGATTGATAGGCTAGTAGACACAGAGAAAGGGTACAGGTTTTTTTTTTTTTTTTTTTTAATGGAAGTCAAGGATTGAAGAACTTAAATAAGCAAATGAGAATGGCTATACAAAGCAGGAGGCTTAGTAGAATTTGTCCCACTGGCAGGACAAACTTCCCTGGCCTTCAATTTCCCATAAAGCTGCCCTGTTGCCAGTGATATGCTGATTGCATCTGGATCCCATCAGGTCTAGCCATTCTTGTGGTTATATGGGTCCTGAGGTCCTCTTGATTCCTCCCTATTTTACTGGTGACATTGCCTGTTCCAGGGATGTGAGAAACTGCCCACAGCCTCAGGACGGTCCTCAGTATGAATGGCAAGATTGGGTGAATTGATGATCAACTTCTCAGGAATCTCATCTTCCTAGGAGGCCTCAAGCCTGCTTGAAGTCTGTTCCTCCACATATGCATAACGCGAAAAGGCAACTGCTAAGTCATATAGATTGTGGTCTTTGCTGTAGTTGGAAATTATCTTTAGGTGTATTAGATCCCATCCACTCATCCATTCAAGGACCTGGCTTCAACAGTTGTATCCCTACCTCACCATTTTTTTTTGTTAGCATGCCAATTGTACGCATATATCCTTTATTTTAATTTTTAATTTTTATTTTTTTCTCCAATATGGAGTTTTGCTCTGTTGCCCAGGCTGGAGTGCAGCGGCATGAACTCGGCTCACTGCAATCTCCACCTCCCGGGTTCAAGTGATTCTCCTGCCTCAGCCTCCTGAGTAGTTGGGATTACAGGTGTGTGCCACCACGCCTGGCTAATTTTTTTGTATTTTTAGTAGAGACAGGGTTTCACCATGTTGGCCAGGCTGGTCTTAAACTCCCGACCTCAAGTGATCTGTCCACCTTGGCCTCCCCAAGTGTGGGATTACAGGTATGAGTCACCAAGCCCGGCCTGTATCCTTTATTAAAAGAAACAAACAAACAAACAAAAAACCCTTTTCTTGACTGACATCCCTTTTCAGCTGCAGCCCTGTTTCTTTGCTACCTTTGTAGCAAAATTCACCAGGTTGTTCCTACTTGCTGTTTCCAGTTTTTTGGTTTTTTTCCTTTCCTAGGAAATGAGAGGTCCCATTTTCTCTTGTACTCAATCCAATCAGGCTTTCATTGTTAACACACTATTGAAACAGTTCTTTTCAAAGTTATCAGTGAGCATCACTTAACTTGGCATCTGGGGAACCCCTGTGCTGATTTTCCTTCTGCTTTGCTACCCCTCCTTCTCAGTTCTTAACTGCAATTGCTTCTCGTCTCCCTGATCTTTTATGGCTGGGTACCCCATGGTAACTCAGTAGTTTTTCCAGCGCTCACCTGTTTTCTTTCGTAGCTCTCTCCCCTGAGCTCAAGTCTTGAATATAAATTGCCAACTTTATATCTCCACTTGGATGAATAGTAGGTAGGCCAACCTTGAGTGTATGCAGAATGAAACCCCACGACTCCCTCCCTTCTTGATCAGAACTGCTCCTCCTGTAGTCCTCTTCATTTCATTTAATGGCAGTCCTTCGTGTTGTTCAGGGCAGAATCTTTAGAGTCATCCTTGATGCTTCTCTCATAATCTGCACTAAATTATTTGGCCAAATCCTGTTCGCTTACCTTCAGAATCTCACTACTACTGGTTGCCTTCATCACTATCCTTGTGTAAGATGGGCTTATTGAAGTAGCCTCCTAACTGGTCCCCCTCTGTCTGCCCTCCAGAAGCCAGAGTGGTGCTTTTAACATGTAAGTTGTAAGTCAATACTTAAATGAACTTTAGTGGAACATTTGTCCTCTTAAGGAAAACTTCTCTGAAAATTCCCTGCTCATTGCCACAATTTCTTCCTTTCTTTTTAAATAGTTCCTGAAGTACTTCTTTCTCTGGGGAACATCTCTTAAGATTGCTAAGATATTTTAATCCCTTTTGCAGGAAAGACTATTGCCCTTTTCCCACCTGCTTCAACATTTCAATTATTATTATTATTATTATTATTATTTATTTATTTATTTATTTATTTTTTGAGACGGAGTCTTGCTCTGTGGCCCAGGCTGGAGTGCAGTGGTGTGATCTCGGCTCACTGCAACCTCTGCCTCCTGGGTTCAAGCAATTCTTCTGTCTTGGCCTCTCGAGTAGCTGGGATTACAGGCGTGTGCCACCACACCTGACTAATTTTTTTTTTTTGTATTTTTAGTAGAGACAGTTTCGCCGTGTTGGCCAGGCTGGTCTGGAACTCCTGACCTCAAGTGATCCACCCACCTCAGCCTCCCAAAGTGCTGGGATTACAGGCATGAGCCACCATGCCCTGTATCAATTATTTCTTTGTTTGTTAATTGATTAATTAGAGTCTTAATCTGTCGACCAGGCTGGAGTGCTGTTGCATGATCACAGCTCACTGCAGCCTTGACCTCCCAGGCTCAAGCGATCCTCACACTTCAGCCTCCCAAGTAGCTGGGACTACAGGCATGCACCAACACACCCAGCTAATTTTTAAATATTTTTGTAGAGTCAGAGTCTCACTATGTTGCCCAGGCTGGTCTTGAACTCCTGGGCTCAGGCGACCCTCCCACCTCGGCCTCCCAAGGCCAGGGTTACAGGCATGGGCCACTGTGCCTGGCCTCAGTGTTTTCACATAATGGTGTAGTCTCATAAGAGATTCATGGTAGCTGAGCCTACCATAGTTCAGCGTAAAGCTGAGGCTACCCTCAGTGGTGGGACAAAAAAATCCATCGATTTTATTCATGTCTTTAGAACTGTCACATAGTGAGTTGCTAAAAATAATTATTTTTCCCTTTGGAGAATTCCTAAGATCCGAAGATGGTTCTTTTCCTCCTATACAGCTCAATTGTGGATTTCCTCATCAAGTTGAACAATTTTGTCCTTGATCTTTGTTCAGTAATTATTAAATATTACCCAAGTATTATTTACTGAACCTGTACCTATTTACCTGTAACTATTTATTATGCCATTTTGTGTATATTCCTATTCAGTGTTTATCCCTAGGAGGATGCTGAGATAAGAGAATGGAGCAGAGGGTGAGTATGAAGATGAGCATATCTGTACAGGAAATGTGCAAGTTAAGGGTGTGTGCATTAGAGGTTTGCGAGACTAGGCTTGTACATATGCAGCAGGCTCTGTGGGAGCCCCACCCGGATCCCCTGGCTTTCTCTATTTCCATCTCTGTCTCTGTCTCTGTGAAATACTTCTTGCTGAAAGCACCTGATACTTGGTCTGAGGGCATTCTCTAGCTGCAGGAGCTCAGCAGCTTGTACTTGAAGCAGGTCTGAAATGCTGGGGCATTATGCCTCTGGGATAGCCCTCAGCCATTATCTAATGGGAGATAGTAGATAAATACCTAGCTTCCTCTCTCCCTTTGGGTGGGACCTTTCTGAAGCCCCTTATACTTAGTCTTCCAAATGTCCCCAGGGCTCCCTCCCTTTCTGTGTCTCACTTTTCCATTCACTTACCAGTGCTTCCATGGATCACTTCCCATCTGAATGCCTGCAGTCCTGTCTCAGGTTCTGCTTATGGGGGACTCCAACCTTAAACCAGTAGGTAAATTGTTAATGAAAAGAAGGATAATAAGCAAGAGATAGGGGATTTGAAAATAGAGTTTGGATTTCATTGATAACAGATTTTTCACATGATAATCGTGTTTGTGTATTAACGCCTGTGTAATTATGTGATTTCATTTACCTATGTCTGTGTGCAAAATGTATTGTGAACATGGCTGTCAAAGTAGAATATGAAAGCTGCTTTCTTACTTTATTGAATAGTTCTCTGGTCCTGCTACCTTCAAAAAAAATACACTGCCTTGAAGGTTATTTGTGATATGATTTTAATTTGAAGCTGTTTGTTGCTGTCTTATTTCTCCCTTCCTTTAGAATCCCTTCTTTTTCAAAACACTAGAAACCTCCCATTATGGTAAGTAACCTTTAGCATGAAAACTGTTGCAACGAAGTGTTAACATTTCACAGATTAATTGGCATATAAGAAAACTAGCAACCACTTTACCATCGTTGGGGAATGATATGGTCTACATACATAAGATTTTCCTATAACTGATAGTTCTACTTGTGAAATGTAACTGTCCTCAGAAAAGTTACTCAGGAGATTAAACTGCTTTAAATAGTGTAGTATTCTTTCAAGAAGAGCATGTCTGTCAAAATCCTTCTAAAAATAGTTGGCATATAATTTTGTTGACTAAGTATCACGGACCTTAGTTATCTTCTGTGCCATGTGGGCTGCTGGACTGTTTGTGCACCAGATTGCCCCACACCAGTGGCCATTTATCGATGGTGTTTTATCTCCTTCCTTGCGATTCTTTTTTCCTGTTGCCTGTTAGTCTGCTTTGACCAGTTCCCACTGTCTCCTAATTTTGTTTTCTTAACTAGAGCAAAACAAGATGTCCACATGGGATTAGGCAACAGGTCTTCTTAAATTGCCCACTCCGTATTCTGATACACTGGTGACAAAAGGATGACCCTAGCCAGGAATGGAGTCAAGCTGTGCAAAAGGGATTTGGCAAATATCACTTAAATAAACCTGGCAGTCAGGGTTGGAATTTTTGAAATCAGAGTGCTTGTGGTGCTAGATTATACCTTTGAATTCTTACCCTAGGATAGAAGCTATGCCTGGTGGGTAAAGGTAGCCCTGGCTTCCAGGTAATCTTATCTAGAAGAAAATCATATGGCTGGCTTAGAGATATGTTATATCTTGCTTCTTATGTAGGTCTTGTATTTTGATCTACATAAGAAGATTTGACTCAGTCATTAGACTTCAGCCTAGAAAGTGCCTTACAAATACTTGTTAATTATGTTGTAATAAGGGTAATTGGAGACAAACAATTTGTTTGTTTCTTTTGAGGTTAAAAAGATAGTTTTAGAAAGTTTTAGTGTATGATCAGTTATTGACTTCTTTGGTTCATATGTATTCATTAACGTGCTTTGTTAGTAGTCAGTAAATGCTTGGTAATGCTGTCACCATTTTAGTCTCCTGTGTTGATAAAGGGGTGGTTTTACTATACACTTGGTTTATTGGTACTTTGTACCAATTGTAAAATTGCAAAACATTAAAAATGTTTTAATTTTGTAAATTTAAATCATAAAGTTGTAACACTTATAATTATAAAAACAAATTTATAATAAACTCTTCATAGCTGATGAGTCTGAAAATTAGCTTCTAAGGCAATTTTCCAAGGTGGAAAATAATAACCCATGAAGTGTTTTGTGGGGAAAAAAAAAGGGAGAGAGAGAGAGAAAGACCCGAGGTTGGGTACAGTATTTATCACTTATGCTTGATCCCCATCATGGAAATTGAAAGTGCTTGTTAACTTGTTAAATTCACTGAGAAGTATTGCTGGTAAATGAAGGTGATTCGATCTCAGCCCAGTGTCTCCCTTATGTTTCTCTTACGAACTGTGGAATCTTTTTGTGAATAACTTTGACTCCTGCAGGACACTGTTTTTTGTCTTTTTTTTTTTTTTTTTTTTTAATTTTAAGAGACAGAGTCTTACTTTGTCTCCCAGGCTGGAGTGCAGCGGTGCAGTCAGCTCACTACAGCCTCAAACTCCCGGGCTCAAGCAGTCTTCCCACCTTAGCGTCCTGAGTAGCTGGGGCTACAGGTACATGCCACCATACCTGGCTAATTTTTAAAAACTTTTTTTTTTTTTGTAGTGACGGGGGTCTCATTATGCCCAGGCTGGTCTTGAACTTCTGGCTTCAAGAAGTCCTCCCGCCTTAGCCTCCCAAAGTGCTGGGTTTTTAGACATGAGCTACTGTGCCTGTCCAGGACACTTTTAAAAAAAATGTTTTTTAAGGGAATGCTGTAGAGCCAGTCCTTGCTTTGCAGGGTTCTGGTGTGCACTGATTTCAGTTACCATTAGATAACAACACTAGTCACCCAGGATTCAAATTTCAGTCACCATGGTGTGTTACCTATGAATGCATAAGTACAGACTCTTCAGTATGCAGATCAGAAATCACTGCAAAAATAACAGGCACGCGTCTGTTCTTCAGTTTACACGCAGACAGGAGAGCATGTTTTGCTGCCTCCTTGCCTCTCAGTAATAAACTTACATGACCTATTAGCAAAATAGATAATCGAAAGTGGGAAGTGGCCAGTAAAAATGAAAGAGCAACAAAGAAACAAAAAATGATAACTCTGGAAGTAAAATCCAATTGAGCATAAATGGAGTAATAAAATAAGTAACTGACAGTGGGAACGCTGCCACTGCCGCCATTTGCGGAACTCTAGACAGGCAGCCAGAGGCACTTAGTGAAGGCATGCTAAATGGCATAATGTTTTAAATTATAGTGTACTAAAGAAGTATTAGTTTTACTGTTTTTTCATTTCTCTGTACATTATAACCAACAGTAAGAGAGTTCTTAATGCTTTGACAAACATTTTTAAAGTTCACCAGAACAATTGTGATTTCCCCCATTGATTATTAAAATCACTTGGCATGATTTCAGCTTGTGTGATTACTTTTTTTTTTTTTTCTTTTTGAGACGGAGTCTCGCTCTGTCGCCCAGGCTGGAGTGCACTGGCGTGATCTCGGCTCACTGCAAGCTCCGTCTCCTGGGTTCACGCCATTCTCCTGCCTCAGCCTCCTGAGTAGCTGGGACTACAGGTGCCTGCCACCACGCCCAGCTAGTTTTTTGTATTTTCAGTAGAGACGGGTTTCACTGTGTTAGCCAGGATGGTCTCAATCTCCTGACCTCGTGATCCGCCCGCCTCGGCCTCACGCATGGTTACTTTTATGGTCCTGCACTACCATGCAAAGTAAGGACCGCCTATATTTTCCTTACATTTGCCTGTCATCGATCACGTGACCTTTAGTGGAAATTAAGAATTACAAAATGGCCAGCACTTTGGGAGGCCGAGGTGGGCGGATCACGAGGTCAGGAGATCGAGACCTTCCTGGCCAACATGATGAAACCCTGTCTCTACTAAAAATACAAAAATTAGCTGGGTGTGGTGGCGCGTGCCTGTATTCCCAGCTACTCGGGAGGCTGAGGCACAAGAATCGCTTGAACCCAGGAGGCAGAGGTTGCAGTGAGCTGAGATGGTGCCATTGCACTCCAGCCTGGTGACAGAGCGAGACCCCGTCTCAAAAAAAAGGAATTACAAAATGGACTTTGAGGAACCTATAATGACAAATTATCTTTTGAAGGGATCCAACATGTGAATAGGTTAAAAATCCTTCTTACACTTTATGTACTTTACATATTGCCCTGACTTGTATGTTTCGAAATAGAATGGTCCAGTGCTTGCTGTTGACCTTTCCTGGCAACTCAGCGTCACCTATTTTGCTATTGATGGATACTTCTGATTTGTAATTGTGTTGGATTTCTTTTTTTTTTTTTTGAAACGGAGTCTCACTCTCGCCCAGGCTGGAGTGCAGTGGGATGATCTCAGCTCACACTGTAACCTCCGCCTCCCGGGATCAAGTGATTCTCACGCCTCAGCCTCCCAAGTAGCTGGAATTAAAAGTGTGTCCCACCACGGCCAGCTAACTTTTGTATTTTTAGTAGAGTTGGGTTTTGCCTTGTCGCCCAGGCTGGTCTTGAACTGCTGGCCTCAAGCAATCCATCCTCCTTGGCCTCCCAGAGTGCTAGGATTCCAGGTGTGGGCCACCACTTCTGGCCATGTATTAAAATTCTTTGAGGTCTCTGGGTCATATATAAATTTCCACGTAGGATGTTGTTACCAGTTATGTCAAGATTTTTGTGGTTCAGACCCCTACTGTAACTCGTCTTTCATCAAGAATGAAAAAGCATACTAAGGATATTAAGTTCTCCTTAGAATGTTGCCTTAGTTTCTGTTCCAGCAGAGAGGCCTTTAATATGAATGCTTTCTCTTGGCTTGGCTTGGTTTGGAATGTGTTTATTCCCCTTAGATGCAGGCACTGAAGACTATTTATGAGATGAGAAAGGTTAGTAGGAAAACTAGATCTACTTGATTTGCCTTAGTTGACTCTTGTCCATTGTAGTTGATTCATCACTAAGTGTCCTAGATATATGTTTTTGCTATTATCTTTTATCCCAAGGTATGATCTTTTATTCCTGTATATATTCAATCTTCTGTAGGTTTCATTAGGCCCTAGAAAATATAGCTTTCCCTTCTGTACTTGCAATGGGAAATAAAACTGTCTGCTGGATTGGAGAGTTTCAGATGCTTATTCATTCATCTTTTAAAGATCCTATTTATTTCATTTATAATCCATTTGTCTTCTTCTTTTACTGACATTCCAAATGTCAGATTAAGATAGGGACATTTAGGAACTACATGAAAGGAAAAGTAAATGGGCATAATATATACATTTGTGATGAATGAAGACCTTTTTTCCTGTACAAGAGGATTATAGTTGCCTGAACCTAAATAATCAGGAATACTGTGTCCTTTTTCATTGAAAAAGGTATGGACATTTCAGAATAAATTCTTGAAAGAAAAAAATAATCAGTTCTGTACTTTCCCCCTCACATTCATTTTCTATCCCTTTATATTTGCAAAATTTATATTTAAACGGGCTCCAAGATGGTAGCCCAAGCGAATGTCTCCCTGATGTTCTTGGCATTCCTGCTTTGTGTCAATCAGTAAATATTGTGTGAGAATCCACTATGTAATCAGCTTTAGGTAGATCTGTGGGCAATGGGAAATTCTGAATTAAATATTACCCATGTCTTTAAGGAGCTTAAAGTCCAACGAAGCTTTCATAGAAAGTCACTTCCTATGAAAATTTGGTGTCGCACTAGCCATGATGCTAGAGTTTTAGATCAATAGTTCCTCAGTGCCATTTCTCTGCTGAGATTGCTGCAAAAGAATCACCTGGGGAACTTGTTAAGAACAGAGGTTATTGTGGCCGGGCACGGTGGCTCACGCCTGTAATCCCAGCACTTTGGGAGGCCGAGGTGGGTGTATCACCTGAGGTCAAGAGTTCGAAACCAGCCTGGCCAACATGGTGAAACCCCATCTGTACTAAAAATACAAAAAATTAGCTGGGTGTGGTGGCTCATGCCTGTAATCCTTAGCTACTCAGGAGGCTGAGGCAGGAGAATTGCTTGAACCTGGGAGGCGGAGGTTGCATTGAGCTGAGATTGTGCCATTGCACTCCAGCCTGGGCAACAAGAGTGGAACTCGTCTCAAAAAAAAAAAAAAAAAAAGAACAGAGATTATTGGGCCACACTCATTAACTTTCCCTGTAGAGCAAAGGTGGGGCTCAGGAATGTGTTTTTCTTTTTAAAAATAAACAATGTACACTGCTGATTTCAGAAGGTATAGAGAAGGTTCTATGGTGAAAAGCAATTCTCCTCTTCTCCATTCTATATCCATTCAGTTTTCTTTTCCCAGAGGCAACTGCTGTTACCAATTTCTTACATGCCCTTCCAGACATATACCTTGCATTTACAAACATAGGGATGAGGGGATCGCATACAAACTGTTACGCACCTGGCTTTTGTTGCTTTACAGCAAGCGTATCTTGGAGATCTTTCCATATTCCTACTTACAGAGCTGCATCATTCTTTTGAAAGGCTGCCGTGTAGAAGCTTATAGAAGCTTGTAGGGGATTCTAATGCATAGCCAGGTTTGGGAGCCACAGATAGACTGAGTGTTAAAGGGATTTAGAAAGTTTTTAGTGTGTTAATTCCTTATGTCTTGCATTTCATGAGGAACTGGACTCAGTAAACATTTCATTGTACTTCTAGGTACTAACAAGTTTTTGTATAATGTTTCTTCTTGTAGAATTCATCAGTCAAAAATAGTGACAGTAGTAGGGTGTATATATTTCTTTATTGATGAGACCCTGTGTGGTGGTCAAAGCTGCTAGAAACAGGAAGGTTTTCCCATTTTCCATCTCTGGGCTCAAGGTGCTTAGTGCTGTTTCACCTTTCCTTAGTGTTAAGGGAGGTGGGAATGGATAGAGAAGAAGACAGAAAGCAGGTAGTAAATTACACCATAAAACTTGCTCTGCCAAAGGAATCATTTTTCTCTACGCGACTTTCACTCTAATACCTATATTTAAGAGAGGCATATAAATATTCACATGTGTTGTAGAACTTCACATACATACTGTTATGTATATACACACTTCAGATATATATTACAGATAGCATACTTCTTGCCTTTGTTAACTTAAAAACATTGCCAAGCAAACCTTTATGAAATTGATACTATTTATCATCATGGCAAGTTTTTTCTTCCCTAAGATGATTTACAAAGTTCTTACCAAATTCTCACATCATATTCATTTTGGGATGATATTTATTTGCTGTATCACAGTTTATAAATAAAAGAATAGTCTTTATCTCCACAAAAATAGCAGATATACTGGGCACTGTTTGTATCCTAATTTCTTTAGTCTGTGTAGACATTCCTCATACCCAGCCAGGTAGGCAGAAAGTAGGCTGAGGAATAAGAGAGTATTAACTTGAGAATTTCACTGTCCTTTTCACCACAGGACAGTGAAAAGTAAATATAGTTAGCTTCTTGAATATTTCAGAAATGTAAAGCACCTCCTCCTTCTTTAGAACATTCTAATAAAAATTATTACCTTCATGAAATAATGATTTGTGCTTATTTGTAAGGATGCATTCACCATTTGCATTGCCAGTTACTCTGTGTCCAAGATGTCAGGCAGTAAAGAGCAAAATAACAAGCATTTATGTACTTGAAGCAAATAATGTATCACCATACAAATCATATTGATGTGCATATTTCACATATTCATTGTGGGACAGATTTAATTAGAAGCTTGTCAACAGGATTTTTAGCTTTTTGGGGAGTATGTTTTGTACCACTGAGTGCACATCTTGGCTCTTCAACCTAATTTTCCTCTCATGTTGTTTGATCAGTTCCTTTTTATACTGTCTTTCTCCCTTCACCCTTATTATCATAGATTCTTTTAATCAGCTGGTTGGAAATAACTCTGGAAGCCCTGGGACAGTTGGAAGCATGAGCCCTGCTGTTGGAGGTAGGAAAAGTGAACCATAAGTGAACCTTAAGAGATGATTGTGAACCAAAGGAATTTGGTTCAGAGTATGCATTTACTTCAGACCCCTTAAGCATATAGTATGCCACTAAACAGCTTTAATGTGTCAATTATATAATCTTCACAAAAGTGGAAACATACCATATTCAATTTATGAAGAAACCATTTAATTTTGTGAAAACAGTTTTATGTCAGCAAGAAAATAATAGAAGTTGGGTTTTTCTGAGCCACAAATTTAATCATACATTACCAGTTTGATTTTTCACTGGAAATAATTCATACAAATTATAAATTTTTACCTTAGCTGATATCTGGTAATAAAGTGATCTGTCTCAGGGTTAAAACATTGTATAAAACGATTAACAATTTAAAAGTGAAAATGCCTATTGGCATCCTAGTATTTTTAGTAAGAATGTCAACTTATTAAGCCAATTAATAAGCCTTATTTTTACTGGCTAGCAACGTAAGATTTTTGGACAACAAAACCATTGTTCTACAGTTTCATTCTAAGCATTTTATGTATATTAATTTTCTTAAAAATCCTTTGAGGGGGTTACTGTTACTATTTCCCATCTTTACAGATGAGACCAAAAAACAAAAAACAAAACAAAACAAAACAAAAAACAGGTAAAGTAAGTTACCCGAAGTCATACAGCTTACTAAGCGGGGTAGCTGGGATTCTAACACAGGCAGACTGACTCGAGAGAGAGAGATTTTTCTCAACTCCACCATCTAAAATTAATTAAAAATAGAAAACAAATTCTCTCTTTTTTTTTTTTTTCTTGAAGCATAGCCATTTGAGTGCCTGGTGTGTGCTCTGAAGAGACCTTATTGAAGAAAAAAATACTAAGCCCAATCATAAAAGCCTAGTTCCTATTTGGGCTCAAACCTCGTAGCTAATACGCTGTTGATTAGGGCAGTGTTGGCTGACTGGAACCTGGTAGAGACATGATAATAATATTAATAGCTGCTGTTTATGACTTAGTATGTTTACTGTGCCATTGCTTACTATAGGCTTAGTCCCATGCTTTACATACTGACATACATTGTCCTGCTTAATCTCAGGGGAACGCCTGCTCCTCAGGCAGATTGAGAAACCTGCTCCAAGTCAAAACAAGTAGAGCTGGAAATCAAATCAAGTCTTTCTAATTCTACAATCTATGCATCCCATTGAAGCCAGTTGATATGTGTTTATCCGGTGTCATGGAGGTAGTAGACTGAGGATACCTTGCCTCTCCTATAGCTGTCTCTAGACCTAAACTGACCCCAGAATCAAGATAGGAAAGGAAACATGCAGAGCAAGCTGTCAGCTATCCTCTGTATTCCCGGAGTTAATTTACCTCAAAGGCCACTCCCCATCCTCCTTTGTTAGTGTGGGACTTTAGGGGTACACAATGACTCAGTCCTCTGATTATGTCACATGTCACAGTGAAGAAAATGAGTAGTTGGGTGCTTTGGATGAGAAGGTGAATTTCTGATACACAGGTGAAAACTTGAAGCAAAATTTCCGATATATAAATCTCATTACCACAGCCTTCTACTGTCTAAGGAAAGATGAAAGTTGTACTTTACATGTTGAAAGAGCTTTCCGTTTTTACCAGCTGTTAAGAATTTTAAGAAAATTCTTTAAAAAATTCAAACCGAATAGAATTTTAAAAAATTTTGCCACAATATATTAGTTTTCAAGTAAGTTTGCAGCACAGTTAATAGTCAACAAAAATTTACTGTGATCATCTTGTACTTGGTATTGAGAGAGAAATCTTAAAGAGCTCAGTTCAGGGAATAGGATATAAAAATTGCTCAGTATTAAACAATGTTAGGCCATAAGTCAGTGGAAATGTGTTTTTTTTTTTCCTACCCTTTTGGTAGGAAATGTGTATCAGTAAAATGTTGAAGGACTTTCTGTGGTGTGATCAAGTAAAGTATCATCAAGGAGGAGGAATTTGGGGCTTTGAAGACTAGGTAGTGTAAGATCATTCAGTGAAGAATGGGGAGAGTATCTGAAGCAAGAGGAATATCTAATGAAGTCCACGGACAGTAAGATCTGAAAGAATTTGGCCACCCACTCTTCTAACACCAAGAGTAGAGAATATAAATGAGAGTGTTATCCGAGAGGAAAAAAGAGAACGTTTGGCTGATCCTAGGGAATTTCGGTTAGTCATTAATTCAATTCAGTTCTCATCAAGTGTCAGAAAAAAATGCCAGCTAAGCAACAATTTCAGAAGATTAAGACAATGGAAAGTGCTAAAGTTGTCACTGCCCCACTCACCAAATGGCAGTGAGGCTGTTCTATAGATGGAAGCTATTCAGCAAAGGTCAGATTGTCACCCTGTAGGAAAACACCTCCCTTGTGCCCTCACACACAAAGTGGTCTAATAAGCTAAACATTTTGCTTTTAGGAAAAAGTGTCACAGTCTATATATGAAGGAAAGTTTTACAAGAGAAGTGAGTGGAAGAGACTAAAGAAGGTTATGTGCCAGGTTTGAAAGTGATCCTTAGAAAATTTGCTTTCAGAGTTGTGCTCTTTGTGTGTCCTACTGCATTTCCTCTTAACATATCTGTTATAGCTATCATGATTCTAGCAATTTTTTAGTAGGGAGGCAGTGAGTGAAGGATGGAGTGGGTGATAAAGAGAGTAGGGAGAAGTTATGCCTCCCTCTGAGAGAGAAACGGAAGTGTAGGCAGTAGTTCCTTTTGGTTCCTTTCAAAGACCTGAGATAATTCTTGGTTTAGGAATGTTAACTTTTTGTGTTTAATTTTATTTTTTAAAATTGTATTTTGTATGGTTAATTTAAATGGACTGTTTTTCAGATGTACTAGTTTACCAGATTTCATGTTTTTATTGATATATCAAATTTACTGTTGTGTTGTGTTGAATTTCAAAATAAATGGAGCTATGAATGTTTTACCAGTTGATTAGAACTGGCCCAAACCTGAAGCCTTCACTGACATTTCATAAAACAGATTATATGGGGTGAGGTGGGATGACAAGTAGACACTAGAGAGAGGAACTCATACATCATTGAAGATTAATAGTCATGTTCAGCCCAAGGTGTTCTTAACTAATTGAAATGTCCCTTTCTCCCCTTTTTTCCCTAACCCTCATGGGAGTCATTCTGATTTATGTATCTTAGATGTCATGGAGAGTTTATGATATGCTGGTTTAGGTTTTTCAGGACACATCTAAACATTTTTTTTCTCTAATTCTTTTGGTGTCACAGTCACTTCTTAGGAGTGAGGAATGTGGCCATGGTCAAGGTGAGACAAGACAAACTAGGGGTTTCTATAGAAAAAGTGCCAACTTGGCATCTGTTAACATTGAGTTTCTGTTTTGGTGGGAGTATAGTACCTATTTCTTTTGACACTTAATGAACCTTGCATTTAAAATCAGGGAAGTTTGGTTTTGAACTTGTTTTATTGAATGCAGAGATAGCTCTCATGCATCTTTTCACTTATCTGCAGTGATCTTTTTGTTGCCCTTTAGCCACACACTGTTTCCACACTTGGATCTTATCACTGTTATAGATGATGCTACCTCGGAAATGTCAGATTCTGAACATTCTACTCTTTGGGCATAATCTCGCCTCCTTATAGGTCAGTTGCTCAAGGCCTTCCACGGACTCAGTGCTGGGAGCCATTAAGACCCCTCAGATCATCTCACCATTTTCTCACTACCTTCCGTCTTCACATCTTTTTTGACCACTTACATTTCACGGGTCATCCTTTAATTCCCTTGTAAATATCAGGAACTCCTTTTCTGGTCTTTACCTACAAAAACCCCAACTCTGGATGAATCCAATTTCCTGCTCTGGGTCTGCACCACATGGGTGAACATTGTTGAAAAAAAATCACATAAATACATAGGAATGGTTTTGTATTAGGCTGTTTAAATGGTTTTGTAGTAGGCTGTTTTTGCATCATTATAAAGAAATACCTGAGGCTGAGTCACTTATAGAGAAGAGGTTTAATTGACTCATGGTTCTATGGCTGTACAGGAAGCGTGGTGCCAGCATCTGCTCCTGGTGAGGCCTCAGGAAGCTTTCAATCATGGCAGAAGGCGAAGGGGGAGTAGGTGCTCTCATGGTGAGAAGAGGTACAAGGGAGTGGGAGGGAGGTGCTATACATTTTTAAACCAGATCTCATGAGAACTCACTGACCATCCCTAGGACAGCACAAGACATTCCTGAGGGATCTGCCCCTATGACCCAAACAATTCACACCGGGCTCCACCTCCAACATTGTGGATTACGTTTCAGCATGAGGGTGTGTGTGTGTGTGTGTGTGTGTGTGTATGGTGGGGACAGACATCTGGAACCTCAGGTGGATTTGGACTCTGAACACTAGCTAGCAATCTTATTGTGTTTCTTAGTCTTTCGTTCTACAGATCACCCCTTTTATATTTCCTTTCCTCATACCTCTCTACCTTTTTCCATACTCAGCTGAGTGTCTCACACTAAACTTAGCTGAGAAAAGTAGAAGCCCTTAGACTGTAGTATGAAGACCAGTTTATCTACTTTTTCTTTTGTCCCGTGTGCTTTTGGTGTCAGATCTCAAAACCCATATTCTGATCCGAACCCTTGAAGACTTACTCATGCTTTATTTCAAGAGTTTATAGTGTTAGCTCTTACCTTTAGGTATATCATCCATCTGAGTTAATTTTTGTATATGGTGTGTGGTAGAGGTCCAAACACATTCTTTTGCATATGTATGTTGTCTCATACTATTTGTAGAACAGACTCTTCTTTCCCCTTTGAATGATCTTGGCACTCTTGCCAAAAATCGATTGGCCACAAATGTAAGAGTTTATTTCTGGACTCTCAGTTCTATTCGGTGTGTCTATCCTTATGCCAGTACCACAGTCTTGATTACCATAGCTTTGTTAAGTAAGTTTGAAGTCGGGAAGTGTGAATCCTCCATCCAGTGATTCTTAACCTTTTCTTTGGGTTACAGGAACCTTTTTGAGTTTCTTATAAGAAACTATGGACCAAGGGAATTGTATGTAAAGATATATACAATTTTGTATAACATTTATTTATTGAATTGGAAATTTATAGTCTTTCAGTTAAAAAATAAGTTTTTAAACAATTAGCATATTCACCTTTTGCTTTCTATGGGAAAAGTGATGTAAATCCAAATTGGACAAATAAAGTAAACTTATGTTCTACTCAAAAGCAAAGTGTAATAGCTTGATTTAGTTATGTGGATTCAGTATTCAAGCAGCAATGTCATGTTATTTGTTGACATCTTTTGGTTTTGACCTTTTGGGATTGCAGCAAGCTCTACTCAAGCTCTCAAAGACTTTACAGTAGCAAGTGTACTAGAGTTCTCTCAGGTGAGAGTAGGCTTGTTTTTGCATATCCGGAGGTCTCTGATTTATTGCTTTTGATATTTTGTTGTAGTTATTAGATTAATACATTTCAAGATTTTTGTTTACCTAATTTTTTACATGGTTGTGGGTAGAATTTTAATTGTGAAATTTAGTATTTTAATTGTGTATTGTGTTGTGTATTTTTATTTAGTATTTTAATTGTGGAATAATAGAGGAAATGTGTCTAAAACATAAATCTACAGTTTAATCAATAATTATAAAATATACACCCATGTAATAATTGTCTAGAACCCCAGGACACCACCTGCCATCCTTTTCAGATGACAGTCCTCAGAGGAAACCATTGTCCTTTCAAGATCCATCTCTTCCTTGTTTTTTTAAGATAGTTTTATTATCCCTAAACAGTATACTTCGGCTTTCCCTAGTTTTGAATTTTCTGCATACATAGAATATATCATATGTACTCTTTTATGTCTTTTTTTTTTTTTTTTTTGAGACGGGGTCTTGCTCTGTCACCCGGGCTGGAGTGCAGTGGCACCATCTCGGCTCACTGCAAGCTCCGCCTCCCGAGTTCATGCCGTTCTCCTGCCTCAGCCTCCGAGTAGTGGGGACTACAGGCGCCCACCACCACGCCCGGCTAATTTTTTGTATTTTTAGTAGAGATGGGGTTTCACCGTGTTAGCCAGGGTGGTCTCGATCTCCTGACCTCGTGATCCGCCCGCCTTGATTAACTTGTAGATTTCATTCATTTATTGTATGATTTTTTTTTTAATTTGCATTACCATATAGATTTCTGTTATGAGAATATACTGTATCCATTTTACTATTTATAGACTTCACAAATAATGATTCTATAAGCGGTTTTGTATAGGTAGGTATCCTGGTGCACATGTGCCTGAGTTTCTTTAAGGTGTGTTTACCTAAAAGAGGATTTGCTTGGTCATTGAGTAATCATAGAATATTTGATTCTTCAGTTTTAGTGCAGAATTGTTTTCCACAATGGCTGTATCAGACTATCAGTTTAAAGTTCCTATTGCTCTACATCATCTTCAACACATGGTATCATCAGGCTTTTTAGTTTTAGCTGGTCTGTTGGGTATGTTGTGGTATTTATTGTGCTTTTAACTTATATTTCCCCCAGTTACTTATGAGGTTGTACACGTTTTTATGTGTGATTCAACCACTTAGAGTTCCTTTTATGATGTGCCTATCCGAGTATTTTGTTCATTTTTCTATTGGTTTTTTTTTTTGTATTGATTTATAGGAGTTCAGTATATTCTGGGTATAATTCCTTTGGTGGCCACCTGTATTGTAATGTCTTCTGCTACTCTGGCTTATCATTTCACTCTTTATAGTTTAATGAATAGGAGTTTATTTTAATATGGCTGAAGTTATCAGTTTTCCCCCTTATGGACAGTGCTTTTTGTGTTTTGATTAAGACAGTCCTTCCTGTCATAAAGTCATAAAGATATTTTCTATATTATGTTATACAACCTTTGTACTTTGTGTTTTATGTGTGTTTAGGTTTATCATCTACTTTGGAATACATTTTTATGAGATAGCAAAATAATTTTATTTTGCTTCCTTTAAAAAGATATATAAATATCTTTTATATATATATGATATATAAATATCTTTTTAATATATAAATATATATTATATATAAATATCATTTATGGATATATAAAATATCAAGCCTATTTTATATAAATATATTTTACATAAATATGTATGTGTTTCTTTTTATCTTAACAAAGATATATATCTTTCTTTTTTTTTGAGACAGAGTCTCACTGTATCACCCAGGCTGGAGTGCAATGGTGTGATTTCGGTTCACTGCAACCTCCACGTCCTGGGTTCAAGCGATTCTCCTGGCTCAGCCTCCCAAGTAGCTGGGATTACAGATATGCGCCAACATGCCTGGCTAATTTTTGTATTTTTAGTAGAGGTGGGGTTTTGCCATGTTTGCCAGACTGGTCTCAAACTCCTGACCTCAAGTGATCCGCCCACCTCGGCCTCCCAGAGTGCTGGGATTACAGATGTAAGCCACCCCACTAGGCCAATATATCTTTTTTAAAATAAAAAGATACATATATATAAGATATTGATATAGAGGCTATATAAAAAGTGTCCAGGACCTTGTATTGAAAAGTTTATTCTTGCCGTGTGCTCTTCCGTGCCTCCTGTTACATATGAGTGCACACATATACATGGATCTGGTTTTGGGCACTGGCATCTGTTTCATATTGCCTTGATTCCTAGAGCTTTAAAATAAGTCTTGATACTTGGTAGAGTTTTAGGGTGGGGGGGGTTTGTTTTGTTTTTGTTTTTGTTTTCTGTGAATGCTTTGAGTATTCTTGGCCCTGTACATTTCCATATTAATTTTAGAACCAGCTTGTCAGGTTCCACCGATCTTGATTGGAATTAAATTGAATCTATAAATCACTTTGAGGAGAATTAATTAATATCTTTACATTATTGAACCTCAAACCCATGGTCGTGGTGTATATCTCCCTTTATTTAGGTTTTCTTTAAAGTCTCTCAATAATATTTTATACTTTTCCCTAAAGAAGCTTTGCATAGTTTTTGTTAAATTTATTCCAGTGTACTTGACATTTTTATGCAGTTGTACATGGTATTTCACTTTTTAGCTTTATATTGTTGGTTTATGGAACTAGAATTTTTAATATACTAATATTTAGCAATCTTTTTCTTGATTCTTATGATTTCTCTATAGATTCTTTTGCATTTTCTGGATGTGTAACCATAGCACTTGCAGATGACAGCTTTTTTTCCTAATTCCTATGCCTTTTAATTCTTTTCCTTATTTTACTGTACCAGTTCGATCCTCCAGCACAGTGTTCACTAGAACACTGAATAGTATTCAGTAGTAATAGCAGGTATTCTTGCTATTTTTTTTTTTTTTTTTTGAGATGAAGTCTCACTCTGTTGCCTACTGCAACCTCTGCCGCCTGGGTTCAAGCAATTCTCCTGCCTCAGCCTCCCAAGTGGCTGGGATTACAGGCACCGGCCATCGTGCCCAGCTAATTTTTGTATTTTTAGTAGAGACGGGGTTTCCCCATGTTGGCCAGACTGATCTTGAACTCCTGATCTCGTGATCCACCCGCCTCGGCCTCCCAAAGTGCTGGGATTACGGGTGTGAACCAGCACACCCAGCTGCTGTGTTCTTAATCTCAGAGTGACTGGTTTCATGTTATTTGCATAGGATGTTTTAGAAGTATCCTTTTCCAGATTATGGAAGTATCCTCTAAGCTTGCTAAGAGGTTTTGTTATTTACTTTTTAATCAAACATAAATGTTGAATTTTATCAAATACTTGTCCTGAATCTTTTTAAATGGTCATATGATATTTTTCTTTTAATCTAATAATGTGGTAAGTTTCACTGATTTAAGATTTTTAGTGTTAAAAACCACCTTGTATTCCTGGGATAGACCCAACTTGATATTTGCATCTTTACTCATAAATGAGGGTGACTTATAATTCTTTCCAAGTTTTGGTACCAAGGTTATGCTGTCATTAAATGAGTTAGGGAGCAAATCCTTTTTTCCTACTCTCTGGAGTAAATTTGATATAATATTAGATTTATTTATTTCTTGAATATTTGATAGAACTTGCATGTGAGGTCATCTGGGCCTGGAGTCTTGTTTGTGGGTCAATTTTTAAAATTACTAAGTGATCGTTCAGGACTATTCAGGCACTCTATTTCCTCATGACTCAGGTTTGCCCATATCTAATATTTTAAATCTCTTAGCATGAAATTGTTCATAATATCCTCATTTATATCTAATGTCTTTAGGATCATTCCTAAAATGGGCTATGCCTTTTCTCTTTTATCTTGGCCTTGCTAGAGGTTTACCAGCTTTGTTAATCTTTTCAAAGAATCAATTTTTGTCTTCAATGCTGTATTACGTGTTTTTTATGTCATTGATTTCTGCTGTTTATTTTTCCTTCTATCTGTTTTTAAGGTTTTTTTGTCTATTCTTTTTGTAACTTCTTGAGGTAGATACATAGCTCATTAATTTCAGCCTCTTTTTTTCTAGCAGATGCATTTAAAGCTATATGTTTCTGTTTACAAGTGCTTCATCCCACAAATTTTGTCATATTGTATTATCATTGTTCACATTTTAATATGATTTATCTTTTGATTCATTTTATTGACATTTAATAACAGTGACATTTACATAATGGTTGAGGATTTTATGGCTTATAATTGCAGTATTTCTGATGTCTCTACTGCTGCTAAGAGAGGATTACTTTGAGTATAGTATATTCTCCCTCACACTCACTTAGCAAGTTTGTAGAGAACAGAATAAAATTTATCTTTATATGTGTTTCTGTGCT
This sequence comes from Homo sapiens, assembly GCF_000001405.40. Lineage (NCBI taxonomy): Eukaryota > Metazoa > Chordata > Mammalia > Primates > Hominidae > Homo > Homo sapiens. The sequence continues at coordinate 140,139,310 of NC_000007.14, read as the reverse complement.
CTACAAAAATGTGTTGGTGAGGTGGTTGTACATTTCTCAGCTAAATTCCAACCACTGTATTATAGTTAAGCGAAGATTTTCAACTTACTTACATACTGATTTTGGTTTCCTTTGTCTTAGCTGTGTTGGAGTAGAAGAACATCATGCTGTTGACATTGACCTGTATCACTGTCCCAACTGTGCAGTTTTACATGGTTCCTCCTTGAGTAAGTACTAGATGCTTAAATAAAAATGGACATTTCAGAAAAACTGACATTTCAAACTTACATGTACATGGTAATACTTTAATGATACTCTGAGGAGTTATATTACACCCTTCAAGAACTGTAGGGAAAGATTTTGCTCAAGGTATTTAGGATGTAGTTTTTGTTTCATTAAGTCAGAAGATTAAGGGGGGAAATGTACTGTCAGTCTTAATTGCCAGTGCAGAGTCCCCAAACTCAACTACATAGTTTGATATCTTTCAATTTGAGAAGTGTGGTAAAGTAAAATTTTTCTGTTTCTGGAAACTGATTTCACTTGTTTTGCTCTCTTCACAAATAGAAGATCTTTAGTAGTATTTTGGGAGAGTATACAGAATAAGACTTTAATGCACTCATATGCCTTATATTTTAAGGAGAAAATGAGAGCATTGATAAGCTAAAATATTACTTATATTTTCTGAATTTGGTTGCTGTATTGAGTATGGCCTGGAGTCCTGCCCAGCCATCCTCTCTGCCTGAAACCCCTTCCTGAGATCTGAGGAAGTAGAGATACAAGGACACACCAGACCAGGTTTCTGACCACACTCTTCTTCCTAAGAAGGGAGAGCAAAGCCAGGGAAGCCTCAGGCATCTTTTGGAGTGGACCAACATCACACCTAATATGATATCTATTTTCAGCTTTTTACAGATGCTTCAGAATCTTTTACAGGTGCTTCAGAAGAATACATTGAAATGTTGTTATTGTGCAAATGTGAGAGAAAAAGGCTTGGATTATGTTATAAATTTTTTTTTTTTTATTTGAGACAGGGTCTTGCTCTGTCACCCGTGCTGGAGTGTAGTGGTGCTATCATAGCTCACTGCAGCCTTGACTTCCTGGGCTTAAGTGATCCTCCTGCCTCAACCTCTGGAGTAGCTGGGACCACAGGCATGCTTCACTACACCCAGTTAATTTTTTGATATTTTGTAAAGACAAGGTCTCACTTTGTTGCCCAGGCTGGTCTCGAACTCTGCCTCAGACTCCCAAAAGTGCTGTGATTTCAGGCATGAACCACCACACCTGGCCTGTAATAACTATTTGTTTTGACATTTTAGGCTGCAGACTAGCATTTTTATATTCACAAAATTAAAGGGAAAATTATAGGCTTTGTCATTTTAAAACCTTTGCCTGAATGTACCTTGATACACACTTGGGTTGGTTTTAGGTAACTTATATGACCTCTTTATTTTACATGCAGCTTTTTTCCTAGTACTTTTTTCCAATAGAGTAGACATTTTGTTCTATTTTTTCAAAAGAGACTTACTGGCAACTGACTGCTCATTTGTTTTGTTAGAAATATTAGTAATTTTTCTAATATCTTTGTAAGATACTTAAAAATTTAAGCTACCTGCATACATTAAAATATTTCCTTTTAAAATAGAGGCTATTCCTTTTGTTAAGTATACAGCATAAAAATTGAGGTTAGCAAATTGGGGGAACTGTTACATGTGTAATTGACTAGTTTATTGTCATAAATGTTTTTAAATGATTTTTCTCTGGCTAGCACTGAGTATATGATATATAACTTGAAATAATTGTTGACTGGGAGTAACTCTTGGAGAAAGTAAATAAATAATATGATGTTATCTCAAGGGAGACTTAACTAAAATTTATAGCAGTTTTAGTTTAGAATTTAAGTATACAGTCCCAAAATGAAATAATTTGAATTTAACTTCTATGAAATACTAAGTAAGTTACTATGAGGCAGAATAATGTGATACACTTCATTTTTTTCTATATGATTTAATTTTTTAAAAAACATGTTATACTCACTAAATTGATTACACAATCCATAATGGATCACGACTTAACTTTGAGTAATTATGCTTTGGAGAGAAGCTTGCCTATGCTTCTCATCCCTGAAGAACATAAGACCAGGCATTGACTATCTTCTGGTCAGACGTCCAACTCTGTGTACTTACAGGGAAAACACCCAAGATCCAGTCATCTGTTCTATCTGGATTTAAGGCTCACCTTCCCTACTCCTCACCTTCTATCCCCAACTTGGTTAATCCCTTTTGATCCCTTTCCCTCTGCTATTAAGCTTCTCTCTTTTTTTTTTTTTAATTTATTTTTTATTTTTTGAGACGGAGTCTTGTGCTGTCGCCCAGGCTGGAGTGCAGTGGCACAGTCTTGGCTCACTGCAACCTCCGCCTCACAGGTTCAAGCAATTCTCCTGCCTCAGCCTCCTGAGTAGCTGGGATTACGGTTGTGTGCCACCACACCTGGCTAATTTTTGTATTTTCAGTAGAGACAGAGTTTCACCATGTTGGCCAGGCTGGTCTCGCCTCGGCCTCTCAAAGTGCTGAGATTACAGGCGTGAGCCACTGCGCCTGGCCTCTTAGGCCTGTCTTACTTGCTACCTGGGTTTCCTGTTGGTTTCAGAGATTCCCTAGGAGTCCTTATTATTGATACCATTTAGCCAGTATAATAACTACTTCATATGGTGAATTTAGACTTTACCCTCTTACTGGGAATTAAGAACTCTATTTGAGGGCAGGTATCAAAAAACAGCCCACAAATAACTTAAATATGTATTCTCTGTCTTCTTTAGGCACATGCAATCCAAACACAAAATTTTCTCCTTTCCCTTTAACCATTACTAAAATATTCCTTCACTGACCTCCTTCCTTTAAGAAATTCAATCAGCTGTTACATAGTGGCTGATTTTATGGTTAGCATGTTGGCCCAACAGGACAATTGTATCCTTCTGTTAACCTCCTCCAAGTCAGCACATTTAAAAGGAAATGATAGTGATTGGCAGCTTATTACATGGTAGGCACTATAGTAGGTAAGTAAGTACTTAACCTATGTTATCTTCTTTGACATTTATAACAACTCCATGTGAGAAATGAGAAAAATGATCTAGCTAGCCCTTTTATGTAGCTATTTGGCAGAGCTGGAGTTTGAACCCCTAGCAGTCTAATTCCAAAGCTGATGCACTTCACTGATTAATCTCTTCTGCAAAAATGAAAATTAACTACTGGGGTTGCTGAGATAGGAGGATTGCTTGAGCCCAGGAGCTTGAGGCTGCAGTGAACTGTGATTGCGCCACTGTACTCCAGCCTGGGTGACAGAGGGAGACCATGTCTTAAAAAAGAAATAAAACTTAAAAATGCAATATCATACTTTACCTATCAAATGGGCTGCCTTTTTTTTTTTTTTCTTTTAAGTACTGATGCCCATTGTTAACCCAGGGGTATGAAATACGCTTCTTATATAATACTAGTAAGGAAAGTAAGTTACTAGTACCACTTTTTTGGAGACAGTTTTGTAATATGTAGCAATTATCTTAAAAATGTTGGTCTTTTTTCTAGCATTTCTTAGAATTTATTCTGAGGAATTAATCAGGGAAACATTAATATATACAAACATGAATTTCAACTTTGAAGAAAGATTCAGAATGAACTAAGTGCTTAAGAATCAAAAAATGATTATAATATGGTATATCTACATCTTAAAATTGTAGTCTGTTTTAAATATTTAATAAAAAGAAAATGCTCATTATATAATAAGAAAGATAAGCAGGATAAACATTGTGATCCCAATTGAAGATAAAATGGAGTTATGGGCTGGGCGCAGTGGCTCACACGTGTAATCCTAGCACTTTGGGAGGCCAAGGTGGGCGGATCACAAGGTCAGGAGATCGAGACCATCCTGGCCAACATGGTGAAACCCCATCTCTACTAAAATACAAAAAATTAGCCGAATGTGGTGGCACACCCCTGTAGTCCAGCTACTCAGGAGGCTGAGGCAGGGGAATTGCTGGAACCTGGGAGGCGGAGGTTGCAATGAGCCGAGATCATGCCACTGCACTCCAGCCTGGCAACAGGGCAAGACTCTGTCTCAAAAAAAAAAAAAAAAAGGAGTTATGTATCTATATATAGTAGAAAAAATCTGGAATGAAATACACTCAAATTTAGGAGTGATTTTAAATGAGAAAAAATAACATGCAAAGGATGTTTTAATGGAATTTCCTAGGAAGTTTGCTTTGTGATTCTAAATTTTTGTGAGTTTGTTTTTTTTTTTTTTTAATGGGACTTACGCTCTTCCATATTGAAGATTTGGCTGCCATAAGTTACTTGGGAATCTTGTTTTAGACTCTTAGATAGTTGAATAAGCCTGATTTCCACCTCTGTTAATTATTGTGACTTCTTATCGACATGAGGACCCAATGTTGTTGTATTACTGTGATCTTTGTAAGGTGGAAAAGGTTTAAAATAACTTGGAATCATAAAGTTGTTTTCCCCAAAACATATTGTGAAAATGTTCAAACATATAGGAAAAATTGGAAGAATTTTACAGCAAGCACCTATAAGCCTTATCATCTAGATTCTACTATTAACATTTTCATTACATGCTCTAACACATATCTATCCATGTAACTATTCTGCTGTCTACCCATCTTATTTTTTTGATGCGTTTCTAAATAAATTGCAGATATCAGTACATTTTCCAGAATCATAGAGGTTTTAGGCTTAAGAGTAATTTTCAAGCTTAAAAAAAAAAAAGATTTAAAACAGAAATTGTACATTGATACAACACACAAGAGCTGTAGGTAGTGCCACTCTGCTGGAAAGAGGAATGAGGTCCAGAGATCATTCCTTGGCTTTTTCCCCATCTCCCCTTTGTGAAGGGTTCTTCCACACAGTTTGAAAATTAGCAGTTTAATCCACCCCTTCATTCCTACATTGAGGAATCTGGATCCATAGGTGTTAAGTGACCTGCCCAAGATTGCAGAGAAAGCTATTGGCTGAACTAGGAATCAAATCCAAATCTTCTGATTTCGATTGCTGTGACTACTCAAGGTCATAGCCTTCCAGAGCTGTAGAATTACAGGGTCTTAGCATTGGAATAAATGATGAAGTTATGTATTTTGTCATGCTACCCGTCTTTCTTTAATTATGACTCAGTCACCTGCTCTTCTTTATGTCAGTGTAACTGTGCTTATTTAGGGAGTAAGTCTTCACATGAAAGAGGAAGGAATGATGCTATTAGAATAGATTTCTAATGTGAGATAAAAGGCCCTGTCCTGAGAAGACGATTTGGATTATCTGGATAATCATATTAGGACCTAATGTTCTGATGAAAATCATAATTGTATATAATTTGGAAATTGTATAGTATCTATAAGTGTGGACATTATAAAAGGCTCCATCTGCTGATTTGAATTTGTTGCTTTAATTTTATATGTTTTGAAATAAAAAGAGTAGGTTTTAAAAATCCACAGTTAATTGTCTGTAATTGCAGCATTACATTAAGCAAAATTCTCAGGCCTGGAAATGCATTAAAAACTTGAGTGTTTTTAATGTACTTACAATTGTTATTTCTGATTATGTCGGATATAATGATTAGAAATCACATAGTATCACCAGTTACCAAAATCATTTTTTTTTAATCTTTTAAAAATCCAGTGAAAAAAAGGAGGAACTGGCACAGACATGACTACACAGAAATTGATGATGGTTCCAAACCAGTGCAAGCTGGAACTAGAACTTTCATTAAGGAATTACGCTCTCGAGTCTTCCCAAGGTATGGAAACTTACTCTGATAAAAGAAAATGTAAGAATGTAAGAATGTCGTCTCATAGAGTGACATTATATAAAGGCAATGTTTTCAAACTTAGGCTGCAACCCATTATTGTCCTCAGCCAGCTTTTCACCTTTTTTCTTCCTTAACGAAATAGAAAAGTATCAGTACATTCCAAGAAATAGCAGTAAGTAAGCATATTTTCATGGAACTTTTGTTACATCTATGTGCACACTGGGTCACCCTGTAAAAACATTTAAGTGTGGGCCACAGTCCAAAAAGTTTGAAATACACTAATCTGAGGGAGTTGTTCCCAGTACTTGGTTCCTTATGATATGCAGCTGCTACCTGTTTTGTTTCTTTTGCCTCACCTTCTCTTGTTTTCCCAACTCTGCTTTTTCTCCATTGCTTTTATATGCATCTCTGCCCTACATCCACCAGAAGCACACACAACCACTGCAGGGGTGGGCTTTTTGATTTTTTAAAAAATAATGGAATATATTTGAGTTGTCTGGCTCAAAGAGAGTGGAAAGCATTATAAAGCATTTAATCATGCTAATTTAGATCATTTCCTACTCACTGCCTGACATCTATTTCAAGTGATAATGCTTAATAGGCTTTTACACAAGATCATAGTCAGGCTTGTTAAAGAGGGGAAGCACAATTTAAATTTAAATCACAGTATCACATGCAGCTTATTATGGAATTATTTCAGATCCTGAAACGATAAAACCCCTGCTATTTCTCCTCAGTCTTTAGAATTCCTCTCTAGCCCCCTGCCCCTTAATCCTTATGCAGAAACATATAATGGTAAGTATCTACTGTTGGCTCCCTCAGGTCTGTTGAGAGACAGAAAGAACACATATTTAAAATGTAGTGTTTCCACGTGATTTTTGTGGTGTTAAATACCCTATTCGCAAATATTCTTTTTTATCAGTTTCCAAGTTGTAGGATAAATGTTTGCGTGTTTTCTTTTTTATTGGCTCATGCTTGATTGGTTTGGCACCTAGGCCCAAAGTTTTCAGTCTGCTTCTGGTGGTGGGTCTAAGAGAGGTTTGTGAGCTCCCTAAAATGGTATGTATAATTTAGAGTCAGTTGGGAGTGTCCATTTCTCAGGGAGAGGAGCTATAGCTTTCTTTTTTTTTCTAAATAGGTTTCTGACACAAAAATGTAGTGTTAAAAACACTGGCCTAATAATTTATGTGACTTTACTGCCTGCCAGTGACCACAAATGAGAACGGGTTATAGAGATGATCACAAATGTCCAAAATGTAATTACCATTAGTTCAGGGTCTTTGGGTTTTAATGCCACAAAGCTTTACATCATTTCAAACCATAGTAGAATAGCAGTAATTATTAAATTACACATGCTTGATATGATTAACACAGAGGTGTGTAAAATAAAGTGAATGAATTATCTTTCCCCTCCCCTATTTTAAGACTTAGTGTAAGTTTTTTGAGACCCTTTTCTACATAAAAACATTAAAACATTTATGTATATGGATGTATGGATATACATAATATTCTTAAAATGGGGTTATGTTATGCATAGTGTTGTACAATTTGCCTTTTTTACTCTATTATGTTTCATAGATATCCTTCCATATGTATGCATAGATTTGCCTCACTCCCTAAATGTTGTGAGGTATGTAGTAATCTATAGGTACCATAATTTGCTTAACCGTCCCCATATATGTTTAGTTTGTCTCCAGATTTTCCTCTTGCAAAAAATGTACCTATATTTTAAACACTTGTCATTATGTATGTTTGATCAAAAGGGGAAATAAAACACCAAACATGTGAGATCAGGGAATACAAGTGATTTAAAATTCTCCCTTAGACTGAAGTTGAAGGAATTATTTAATCCTCAGAGGTTGGGGGAAGGAGGGACAATTGTGGATGCTTATTGGGGAAACTAAGAGGTAATACAGAGCTCCAGTTCAGTAGATGAGTCAAATGAAGAAGAACAAGATTATCTAGGAAAGGACTCTCAGTTTTCTTAGGCCTTAGGCTTGCCCTTGCCTTACGAGAGGATGGGAAGATCAGAGCCCAGTAATTCAGAGAACCAGCATCTCCTGTCTTCTTGCTACCTAGGCAGCAGATGACATCAGATAGTTAAGATCTGATTGTATAAGTGGAGACTATTGTGTTTTAACCTTTAAGGCAAGTGTCACACTTAATTTTGAATGTGTAGCAGCTGTAGAGCAATTGGGAGATTAAAAACTGGAATGCCCCATTGGAAGAGATCTGGTGGGCAAAGGGACAAACTCCACTTATGTTAATGTAATGCCTGTAACGTGTTGATCATCAGAGAGGGCAACTGGAGATCCAACCATTCTTGGCTTAAAGTTACTACCTAGTATTAAGACTTACTAGGCCTGGCGCGGTGGCTCACGCCTGTAATCCCAGCACTTTGGGAGGCCGAGGTGGGTGGATCATGAGCTCGGGAGATCAAGACCATCCTGGCTAACACGGTGAAACCCTGTCTCTACTAAAAAAAACAAAAACAAAAACAAAAAAATTAGCCAGGCGTGGTGGCGGGCGCCTGTAGTCCCAGCTACTTGGGAGGCTGAGGCAGGAGAATGGCCTGAACCCAGGAGGCGGAGCTTGCAGTGAGCTGAGATCACGCCACTGCACTCCAGCCTGGGCGACAGAGCAAGACTCTGTCTCAAAAAAAAAAAAAAAAAAAAGACTTATTAAATACTGGTTGTAACGGGTCATTTAAATCAGTAGTTGTCAATGGGAGCATTTTGGACACTTGTCTCAGTGGGTGGGGACCAGGGATGCTAGTCATCTTTCAATATGCAGAACAAGAATTAATTGTTCTATGTTCCATTAGACTTTAGATAGTTGTGTAGAATTTTATAGTCAGATAAAATCTGACTCGTTTTTGTTTTTTATTTTTTATTTATTTATTTTTGAGGTGGAGTTTTGCTCTTGTCACTCAGGCTGGAGTGCAATGGTGAGATCTCGGCTCACTGCAACCTCCGTCTCCCAGGTTCAAGCGATTCTCCTGCCTCAGCCTCCCAAGTAGCTAGGATTACAGATGCCCACCACCACACCCAGCTAATTTTTGTATTTTTAGTAGAGACGAGGTTTCACCATGTTGGTCAGGCTGGTCTCAAACTCCTGACCTCAGGTGATCCACTCACCTCAGCCTCCCAAAGTGCTGGAAATTACAGACATGAGCCACCGTGCCTGGCCTGACTAGTTTTTATTCTAATGCACACTCTACCTTTTGCTCTCCCAAATTTCTACGCATCCTGTATCAAGTGGCTTCTGGTGTTTCTACTTAACTTAAATCTAACCGTTCATTACAACTAGTTGTAAGCATCCTATTATTTTATGATGTCTTCTAGTGTAGTTTACATACTAAAATACAGGTTGAGTATCCCTTATCCAAAATGCTAAGGAACAGAAGTGTTTCAGAAATGATTTCAGATTTTTTTTTTCTTTTGGAATATTTGCATTATACTTAGCAGCTGAGCATCCCTAATCGGAAAATCTGAAATGCTCCAGTGAGCTCTTCAATTCTCAAAACATTTTGGATTTTGGAGCATTTTAGAGTTTGTATTTTTGGATTAGGGATACTCAACTTGTACATATTTTACTATAAACTGGTTGGTTTTTTCTTTTTGCATTTAGACCAGTTTATATATATTTCTAATTATATGTATTGAATTGTGTATATTACATTATCTATAAATTTTAGTTTAGGATAGCAAAAGGAGATTTACAAAACATTTGTCATTAAAAGAATGAGAAGTGATAGGTTAAGAACCACTGATATAGATAATCCAGTATATGAATTAACCCATCACTACCGTATTTTTTTTAAACTGACCTTACCAATAAAAATGACATTTTTATTCTTATGTTTTTCCTTAGTGCCGATGAAATAATTATAAAGATGCATGGCAGCCAGCTGACACAAAGATATCTGGAGAAACATGGATTTGATGTCCCTATTATGGTCCCAAAATTAGATGATCTAGGACTCAGGCTCCCTTCACCTACATTTTCTGTGATGGATGTGGAACGTTATGTAGGTACGAACTTTATTTCTTTAAGTACCTGGGAAAACATGGTAAAAGTAAAAATGATAGTCCTGGTAATATTAATGGTTAAATGAAGAAATGTCAATTTAGTTTTCTGCTCAGAAAAGTGAGGCTCAGTATCATCTATATTGAAAACTAGTTTTTCTCAGCAGACCTACAACTGTCAGAAAAACAGAATGACAATTTACTTGATTTTATTTACTCAGCTTCATCCTGCTGCTTTCTTTTGTGCCATTAAGTTCTCTGATACTTGCTTAGGGAAAATCATTACTGAGGGATAGATATAGATACCAGGAAGAAGATATTGGAAAGTTGGATTGGTTGTAGGCATCTGTAGAATACAGGTGCAAAATTCCCAGATCCCAGTACACCAGCTGCACAGTTAGTCCTCTGGAGTCTGCTTTGTGACCTGCTGCTGCTTAGAGGAAAGGTGGTAAAAAGAGCAGATCATTTTCAAATCTGTTTTTATAATAATGACTTGGTGAATATTGCCATTTAATGATGTCTGGACTTAATTTTTGATTTTGAAAATTCCCCAAAGAAACAGAAAGACATGAGAAATAAGGGGGATCCCCTATACCCCTTGCCATGTTGTTGACATTTTCAGTCATTTCATTAATTCTCGTGATATTTACAGATAAAGCTGACTATATGTAGATGTCATTTCTTGTCAGCAGTAGATAGAGAATATTTGAGATTAGATTCCAAATCTATTTTGACTCAAAATTGTATATTTACTATATTATCTCCTCAGCATGGAATATCTGAGAACTTGTCCCTTTATCGAGCCATTGGTTGACAATTCTCATTGATTATTGTTTCACTGAGGAAATCTAACTAAGTATTGTAACTTCACATTCAGCTAAATTTGAATATTTGACAAGTGAGAGGATGGGGCTAAGGATTAACCTGAACCTATTTGCGTAGATAGCATCTGCAAAACAAATAGCTAGTGTAATACATGTGCAGGAAAAAAATGCTCAAACTGCTTGATAGCTAACTTTTTGGTACTGCAGAGCACTTCAGTTAAATACTATGAGCAGAACCGTGTTGCCTCCTGATGATAAAGAAGTCTATAAGGCAAGACTTTCTTAACCTATATGAAGTTGCATTAAAGTAAGAAAATGGCATTTATTTGTTTTCTATTTCAGATTGGTTAAGTATTGCCATATTTTGAATTCTACCTTATCCCATAGTCCATTGTCAAACTAATTATGCTTCCTAGTGTAGCAGTGCAGTGGTCTGTAAACACCACTTCATGGGTTTATACGAAAACTGTAAATTAATCACAATTTGGAACTCAGGCCTTCGGACACTGGTACTAATGTGAACTGATTTTTGCTTCCCAATCACTAATTTTTTCTTAAAGGAGAATATTAGAAGACAGTATCAGGAGGGCAGAAATTATCCTGGTCAACTTGCATGCTAATTCCCCAATGAGTGATGTGTTTTTTTTTGAAATGATAGCCTTAGAATATTTTAGGTGTTACAAAAGTGAAAGGGAAAAGTCAGTCTCCTCATTTTATGCCTGAGAAAACTGAAATCCAGACAGTGTTGCACAATTTCTACATGCCAATATAATGTATTTTTTTGTCATTATGAGCTGTACACCAAGATATCATTAGTATACAGAAAGCTTTGTAAGCCATATACACTTTTATATTCAGTGTAAATTGTGCAGCTCTGTCTTACTGCTTTCCTTTTCCTCTGAAAAATGTCCCTTTTTTCCTGAAAGGTCCAGTTGAACTTGAGAAATTAAGAGTATAGGGAAAATATTTGTCTAGACTACATAGTTTTATAGTTGGTTTAATTATCATACCAAGTTAAAATATTTTTTGATTAGAGCATCTGCTGATGTAACTCTTAAGTCCAATAATAAGACTGTAATTTTTCTCTGCAGGTGGTGACAAAGTGATAGATGTCATTGATGTGGCGAGGCAGGCAGACAGCAAAATGACACTTCACAATTATGTTAAATACTTCATGAATCCTAACAGACCAAAAGTGTTAAATGTGATCAGCCTTGAATTTTCAGATACAAAGTGAGTAGTTCTGGGTATTTTGGTTTAGCATTCTGAGTGTTAGCTAAATGTAGTGTAATGATGTATTTATTTTAGGAAGAAACATAGTTGTGACTTCTAAAGTTGTCCAGTGGTAGCAATGTTATAAATTTTGCATTGGGACACTCAGAGATACTTAGAAATAAGATGTATTTTAAACTTTTGGCTGGGCACAGTGGCTTATGCCTTAATCCCAGCATTTTGGGAGGCCAAGGCGAGTGGATCGCTTGAGGCCAGGAGTTCAAAACCAGCCTGGCCAACATGGCGTAACCCCCTCTCTACTAAAAATACAAAAATCAGCTGGGCATGGTGGCACATGCCTGTAATCCCAGCTACTCAGAGAGGCTGAGGCACGAGATCTCTCGAACCCGGCAGGATGGAGTTTGCAGTGAGCCAGGATCGCGCCACTGCACTCTAGCCTAGGCGACAGAGCAAGACTCTGTCTCAAAAACAAACAAACATGTGTTTTAAACTTTTAAGTGTTGTTGTTAACCTTAAGTTCCATTTAATTATTTGGTTTGGGAATAGATGAGAAAAACAATTCTTAAGAATTTTTAATTTGCATGATGTGGGTGTGTGTGTATGTTTGTTTTTTGAAAGGATGTCTGAATTGGTGGAGGTCCCTGATATAGCCAAAAAACTTTCCTGGGTGGAAAATTATTGGCCAGATGATTCAGTCTTTCCCAAGCCATTTGTTCAGAAATATTGCTTAATGGGAGTTCAAGACAGCTATACAGATTTCCACATTGACTTCGGTGGAACTTCAGTCTGGTACCATGTCCTCTGGGTAAGATTGGGGTATTTTTTGTTCTCTCACTGACAAAAACATATAGCCCTAGTTTTTCAGTGGTATATTCATTTCTTGTAAATGTTACTTGTAAAGGGGGAAGTTTTTTTTTTTTTTTTTACTTTTTAACCAGGAACTGTCACTTTGCCTTTAAACGTTACGATTTTTTTTTTTAATCTCAAATAATGGAAGAGCCATGACTTTTAAATTTATATTAGATTTACTTTCTGCCCTCATCTTTTAAGTTGGTTTCTTTTAGGCTTTTGTCTCTTCTTGATTTTTTTTCCCCTAGTTAATTATCCTTTAATCCCTGAATTAAATATCTGTGAAGGAGCAAAATTACAGTAATAATTGCTTCTGGCCTTAATGTTGGGCTAGGATAGCTTGTTGGATAAGTCAGGAATGCCTATAAAAATACCAGTTCTTGGCTGGGTGTAGTGGCTTACACCTATAATCCCAGCGCTTTGAGAGGAGGCCAAGCTGGGAAAATTATTTGAGCCCAGGAGTTCAAGACCAGCCTGAGCAACATAGTGAGACCCTGTCTCTAAAAATAAAAATAAAAACATTAGCCAGGCATGGTGGCTCATTCCTGTAGTCACAGCTACTCAAGAGGCTCAGGCAGGAGGATCACTTGAGCCCAGGAAGTTGAGGCTACAGTGTGCTGTGATTGCACCACTGCATTCCAGCCTGGGCAACAGAGCGAGATCCTGTCTCTAAAAATAAAAATAAAAAAAGTAGCCAGGCATGGTGGCTCATGCTTGTAGTCACAGCTACTCAAGAGGCTGAGGCAGGAAGATCACTTGAGCCCAGGAAGTTGAGGCTGCAGTGTGCCGTGATCACTCCACTGCACTCCAGCCTGGGCAACAGAGCAAGAACCTGTCTCTAAAAGTAAAAATTAAAAAATTAGCCAGGTGTGGTGGCTCATGCCTGTAGTCGCAGCTACTCAAGAGGCTGAGGCAGGAGGATCACTTGAGCCCAGGAAGTTGAGGGCGCAGTGTGCTGTGATTGCACCATTGCACTCCAGCCTGGGCAACAGAGCGAGACCCTATCTCAAAAAAACAAAACAAAAGACCAGTTATTTGCAATTTATATTCACCTTGCTTTATCTAGAGCTGCATTGTTCAAAACAGTTGCCACTAGCCATGTGTGACTAAATTTAAATAATTAAAATGGAATGTAATTAAAAATTCAGTTCCTCGTTTATACTAGGCACATTTCAAGTGCTCAGTAGCCACATGTGGCTAATGGCTACTGTGTTGGTTAGCACAGATACAAAAAATTTCCATCAGCACAGAAAGTTGTATTGGAGAGTACTGATGTAGAAAGTCAGTCTTCATCTATATCAAATGCTTGTGCCTCAGCAATGTTCTGGGCTATATTTGTTGCTGGGTCCTTGGGTTCCTGTTTTTTTCCTTCATGAAGTAGCAAAGAATTAGTTTATTAAAGGAAGCTTATTTATAGGTTTTTAAAAATAATTATGCTGTGGATCTTAGTAGAAAGGGCAAAGCTTGCAGAGATGACTGTGGGCCTGTCAACACATATTTACTTCTCTATTTGACAATGAGAGGAGGTCAGTGGGATGTTTGTGCTTCTCTGCCCTCCTGTCTTGCAGCTATTTCTTCAACACTACTTTATTGACTCCTTGTCAGTTGAGGAGGGGGAGCTTTAAACATGAAAATGTTTACTAAGGGCAATAGCTACTGATCAGGTGTGTGAAATATGTCTTTTGAACCTAAAAGAATCTGATAATTATCCAATTTAATTTGTATCATTGTATTGAGAAATTGCATCAATGTAGGCTATCCTAAGTATGGCTTTTGCTTTTTCAAAAATAGTATGATACTTCCTTTTAGGGTGAGAAGATTTTTTATTTAATAAAGCCAACAGATGAAAATTTGGCACGTTATGAATCTTGGAGTTCATCTGTGACCCAGAGTGAGGTGTTCTTTGGAGATAAGGTGGATAAATGCTACAAATGTGTGGTAAAGCAGGGACATACCTTATTTGTTCCTACAGGTAAGGTTTTCATCCCATCCCCTACTCAACATGATTGATAGTCACATGGAGTTGGCTTTTAACTAGAACCTCTGGCTTTAACATGTTTGGAAAGTAGTTTTTATGACATTTGTTAAGAAATAATTCTGATCTTGGACTTTTATGTTTTGTTCCTTAGAGGGTTTCTCTTCTAGTTAGGACTTCTTTTGGCATTGTATTTATATCATTTGCCTTCATTTTTATTTTTATTGAGAAAAAATTCACATACCACAATATTCACCCTTTTAAAGTGTACAGCTCAGTGGTTTTTAGTAGATTAATAAAGTTGGGCAAATATCACCACTATCTAATTCCAGAACATTTTCATTGTCTCAAAAAGAAACCTCATACTCTTTAGCAGTCACTTCCCATTCCCGCCTCCACTGAGCCCCTGGCAACCACGAATGTACTTTCTGTCTCTGTGGATTTGCCTCTTTGGATACTTTATGTTGATGGAATCATACAATATGTGGGCTTTTGCGTCTAGCTTCTTTCACTTAGCATATTATTTTCTTACTTTTTTTTTTTTTTTTGAGACAGAGTCTTGCTCTGTCGCTCAGGCTGGAGTGCAGTGGCCTGATGTCGGCTCACTGCAAGCTCCCCATCCCGGGTTCGTGCCATTCTCCTGCCTCAGCCTTCCAAGTAGCTGGGACTACAGGCGCCCGCCACCATGCCTGGCTAATTTTTTGTATTTTTAGTAGAGACCGGGTGTCACGTGTTAGCCAGGATGGTCTCAATCTCCTGACCTCGTGATCCGCCCACCAAAGTACTGGGATTACAGGCGTGAGCCTCCACGCCCGGCCGGCATACTATTTTCTAGGCTTATCCATGTTGTAGCATGTATCATTACTTCATCTTTTCATGGCCCAGTAATGTTCCATTGTGGGATATACAGGTTGAGCATCCCTAATGCAAAAGTCCAAAATCTGAAATGCTCCAAAATTGAAAGCTTTTGAGCATCTGCATGACCCTCAAAAGGAAATGCTTACTGAGGCATTTTGGATTTTGGATTTTCAGATTAGGGATGCTCAGCTGGTAAGTATGTAATGCAAATATTCCAAGATCCAAAAAAAATGTGAAATCTGAGTACTTCTGGTTCCAAGCATTTTGGATAAGGGGTACTCAGCTTTACCGTATTTTGTTTATCCATTCACCAGTTGGTGGACATTGGGTTGTTTCCACATTTTGACTATTTGAATGGTGCTGCTTCGAACATTTGTATACAGTTTTTTATGTGGAGGTATGTTTTCATTGCTTTTGGGTAAATATAGCTTGTAGTAGAATTGCTGCATTACATGGTTTAACTACGTTTAACTTCTTGAGGAATTGCTGACCCGTTCTCCAAATGGCTGCACCATTTTACGTTACCACCAGCAGTGTATTTGGGTTCCAGTTTCTCCACACCCTCACCAGTGCTGTAATTGCCTTCTATTCTATTCTAGTGGGTGTGATGTGTCATGATTTGGATTTGCATTTCCTTAATGAGTAATGATGCTGAGCATTTTTCTTGTTGGGCATTTGCATATTTTCTTTGGAGAAATGTCTATTCAAACCCTTTGCTCATTTTAACATTGGGTTGTCCTTTTTAATTGTTGAGTTTGTAAGCATTCTTTATTCTCTGTACTAGACCCATATCAGTATGTATGATTTGCAAATAATTTGCTCCCATTTTGTGGGTTATCTGCTCACTTTCTTGATAATATCCTTTGATGCACAAAAGTTTTTAATTTTGATAGTCTTAACTATGGTCAGCTCTCCATTGCTGTTAAAAACCAAGCCTGTAAGAATCTGGGCTGCTGTCCCAGGACAGTTAGGACAGCATAGGGTGTGTCTTGAGAGACCCTCAAAGAAAGGACTGAGTATCAGCCTTAGCTGTAGCCTCAAGTATAGGTATCAGGCCTCTCATTTTGAGATGTAAATGAATGTAGAGTATAGACTGTCCAGACCAGTGGTTTCGAGAACTGTGTGCTGGTTTTGGTGACCCTAATGACTGTAAAGTTCACAGGGATCTGTCCCTGCAGGTCCTGCTGAAAGCCTTGCCTCTGGTGTATATAATAACAAATGTATGTTGAATAAATGAAGACATGCCTTAGAACTACCAGAATATTTGCCTAGATTAGTAACAGTATTTTCATTGTGAATGGGCTCATTCACATTGTGAATGCCCCTCCCTTAAATCTTCCTACTTCTTGCTTTTATGTTAGGTATTTCTAATATAATCATAAATTGACATTTATGATTCTTCAAATCATAAATTGACATTCATAGAATAATTTTTTAAATTGATTTAATGTCCTAACTAGAATATAAAGAAGAAATAAAAAGGTAATTTATAATGAAATGCTATTTCAGTATGTGCCTGTCTAGGCACAGCAGCATTAGAGAACAGAATGAAATAGTAATTGCATAAGGAAGGAAATCAATCTAGGTGTGTGTCAGTGGCAACACAAATTCTATCAGTAGCACTGGTGTAGGTACTGATACTTCCTGGAATATCAGAATCACATGGAGGGCTGGTTACAACACAGATTGCTGGACGTCATGGCCAAGGTTCGGATTCTGTGGATCTGGAGTGGGCCTGAGAATGTGCATTTCTAACAAGTTATTGGCTGATTCAGGTGCTGCTGGTATGGGGACCATATTTGGAGAACCACTGCTGTAGGCAATGTAATTCTTTTCCCAAGGTTGTTAGTGACTGATAAGCTTCCAAACTACAGTACAGTTTTTGTGTTTCAGGAAATTGTGCCAAAACCATGAAAATATACTGTGTGTGGGTGTCTGTATATACAGATATATATAATAATATATAATAATGGAGTTCTAATTTCTAGGCTCAGATAGTTAATAGGACAGGCTTTGTACCTATATGAATGCGCAGGAAAATTTGGCAGTCCCGAGTGATGCAGGACAATTTCATTTTGTATGGAACTGTCTCACATATTGTACTCCTGGCTCCCACTCACAAAATGCCAGTAGTGCTCCCAGATCATTGTGACAATCAGAAAAGCCCCTAAACGTTCCAAAACATCCTGAACAGGCAGTACTGCCGCTATTGAGAACCACTGATGTGTAGGATTTGGAGTTGGCACAGACTGCTAATTTGTGGTTTCAAGGTCAAGCTCAAGGCTTTGTGCCTTTGAGCACAGCAATGGGCACACTTGAAAGTGAGTCCTTTGAGGGTTTTTTGTTTTGTGTTACAGTTCAGTGAGGGGTCAAAAGATGAAAAATACAAAGAAAACGGGATTTGTGTATTTTAAAAGCTAATTTGCATACAAATATGTGTTTGTATTTATTTCTGGTGAAGTCTTGAAGTCTGCCAACATTTTTTTCAAAAGTTAGACGTCATGTCTTAGAAATGGTTTTCACTTTGTAAGCATTTGTATGGGAATACAAAATATCATTTTTTGGCAACACCTATATTTGTAGGACCATAACCCTTCATAATTAAATGTGAGTAATCTACCTTTTCCTTCTACAGAGTCAGGTCTCAGGTTGACTCCTCTGATCCTCCTCTGCTTAGTCCTTTCGGGGCACTGATTTCAGGATGACACCAGGGCGATGGAGTGTCCCATCAATCCCAGTGTGTTCTCTAATGGAAAATGTGCTTTTCTAATTCAAACCAGATTTGGCTGGTCTCAAAGAGTAAAATCTTTAATATAAAGTTGGGTTGTGTTTTTAAGCTAAAAAACAAAAACAGGCTGGGCACAGTGGCTCACGCCTTAATTTCAGCACTTTGGGAGGCCAATGTGAGAGGATGACTTTGAGGCCAGGAGTTTGAGATCAGCCTGGGCAACAAAGTGAGACCCCATCTCTATTTTTAAAAAGAAAAAAACAAATACAGTAACAACTACAAAAACCGTCACCTTATTTCTCAAACTCAGCATAGAGCCTACCATATAATAGGCATTTAATAAATAATTAAATCTATAGATTGTAATAAACATTAACTTCTCTAGCACTGAAATATGAAGTAAACTGATATTGATATTTTGAGTTACTTCACAGGTAGATATCCTATTGGTTTAGTTTACATATTGAAAAATGACTGGTTTATATATTTTCAACCATTTTAGGGTGGATCCATGCTGTGCTCACTTCTCAGGACTGTATGGCTTTTGGGGGGAACTTCCTGCACAACCTTAACATTGGCATGCAGCTCAGGTTTGTGTCATCAGTATTTAAATGACCTTTTGTCCTTTTTAAAAATAGGATACTTTTTTTTTTAACTTAAAAAAAATCAATAGCTTATTTTATTTGAGATTCCATGGAAATAGTCCCTGAGATATTATTAGGGATAGAAGCTTTTAACAAAAGTAGTATTTTAAAATTTTGCCAGGAGGATAATTTGCATTTCAAATCTAAAACAACAACAACAAAAGGGAACTTATTCAGATAATATTCCAAATTTCAAAATTTTGTGAAAATGTATGTGTTCTTCTTTGGCTATTTTTGCAGTGAGGGAGATGAACAAAATCTAGTCAGACTCAGATGTGACATATGGTGCTAGAAAAAAGCAACCGTAAGTCAGGACTGCTATCAAAACACCTGCTTTAATTTTGCTGCAGGTAAAGGATTAATAGCTGTTTCTCCTCTATATGAGAATTTGACCTTTGCGTAACTCTCTTCTCCTAGTAGTCTAATGAGTGTTGACTTTTACTAGGTAACATTGCTTATGGTAAAAATGATTCCTGATTGATAAACTGCATCAGGACTGGGAGAACTAGAAATACCTAGTAAGAAGCCATATCTCTGGACTTGCCTGAATGTGGTAACTCTTGTAACTTGGCACACTCATAGAGATCCCTAGAAGCTATGCATCTGTGTGTGGCGTTATTAGGGGAGATAGTGGCTTTTACAGGGCATAAGGCTTTAAGCAGCCTTAAACAGCTCCCACACCTACCAAGTGTGGATCTTGTCTTTTTGTACCTGAGCTGTCCCTGAGGGAGGGATGGCTCCTGTTTAATTCTTGCCAAGTGTGGTCTTGAGCTGGAATGCCTAGTGGAGCCTAAATAAAACTTTTTTGGGTGGGTATTGCACTGTTGTCTAACACATAGAGGTGTTTTCTGAAACACACAGTTTTATTTATTGTAGTAGAACCCTCGTAAAAATGTCTTTTGTTAAAACCAGGATACAAATCCCAAAGTGTGATCCTGATCTTCTGTGAAGTCCAATACAATTCTTAAGTATACCATCAAATTCCTTAAAGTCAGAACCTGGATAAGATCACAATTCAGTCTTGTCCAAATGTGATGTTGCTAAGAAATGTAAAATACTTTATTGGTCTTACATATCATGACCTGGTTATTTTATTTTCCAGTTGGTTACTTTCATCTAACTTTGAAATTCTAATATTAATATTAAAAATTTCTTCAAACTCATTTAGGTGTTATGAGATGGAGAAAAGGCTAAAAACACCAGATCTTTTCAAATTCCCTTTCTTTGAAGCCATATGTTGGTTTGTAGCCAAAAACTTGCTGGAAACCCTGAAAGGTAATTAATAATTTGCATGTTTGTATATGATATGATGCATATTGTTTGTAAATTCACTCATAGCCACCTGACAGAAAGAGTCCCTTTTCTAGTAGTGTATGGATGTCACTCCTATTTTGTTTTTTAAATAAGTGGTTTTCCCCCATCCAGCAACCTTTTTAGCAAGTTAGAGTCTTTAGTCCATAACCTGACAATCCATGTTCTTAAAAATTTGTTATGAAAGACCTGGATCAGAACAACGTAGGTAATATTAGAAATGTTCATTCCATCTAGTCCTCTAGAAGCCTGCATACATCATCAAGCACGTAACAGTGCCTGACTCTCAAAAATGCAGTTTATGTCAAGAGACTGTTACCTATTATATGTTCCCAAAATTTGCTTTTAAAAAAGCAAACTAGGCTGGGCACAGTGGTTCACGCCCTAATCCTAGCACTTTGGGAGGCCGAGGCAGGCAGATCACCTGAGGTCAGGAGTTCAAGACCAACCTGGCCAACATGGTGAAATCCTGTCTCTACTAAAAAAAAAAAAAAAATACAAAAATTAGCCGGGCATCGTGGTGCATGCCTGTAATCCCAGCTACTTGGGAGGCTGAGGCAGGAAGAATCGCTTGAACCCGGCGGGAGGCAGAGGTTGCATTGAGCCGAGATCATGCAATGGCGACAGAGCAAAACTCCATCTCCAAAAAAAAAAAGTCAGGTTATGATTCTGTAGTTGAAGAAAAAAAACCTTTTTTGAACTTGTCTTTATAGTTGAACCCAAAAGCTACTTTATAAAAGGTGGAATTTCAGACTTTGATGTTTTAATCTTTTGGTTTAATTATCTTTGAGCACTCAAGTTGGAGACTGATGTCACTTGCTTCTGTTTTCTGCTTTTCATCCTCTTGTGCTAGTGAGAATAGTTTGTCTGCTTTTTGTGTTGTCTAACTTTTCTAGTCAGTTTGTAAATAGTGCTACTATTATAATTGACAACTCTCAGAATAGACATAAACAGATTAAACAGTAAAGTTTATTGTGAACATTTGCTTCTTTTTCCATTTTAAAGTTAAACAAGAAGAAAAGGTAAAATGAAAAGAAATAACCAAAAATTTACTTCCCAAGATAGGATGTACAGAACTAAAATGATAAAACTCATATAACAATGGTACCCTAAACCCCCCACCTCACAGCATAGTGCAGAGATGTCCTGGCAGTGCTTCTGGTGTATGGGATAGGGGTAGAATCCCATGCATGAGAAGGAGACAGGTCCTTTCTTTACAAGACCAGTCTTTGCTCCAGAAATGAATCCTTATCGTGAATCCCTGACACATTCAGTGTTTTCAGTTATTTTTCTTGGCTGTGGGAATGTCACAATGGACTGTAGAGTGTCATACATAATTTTCAGTAAAATACTGGACAATAGAGTTTATAGTCTCCCATTTAAGTACAAGCCTAGACAGACAGGAACACTTATATACTTATAAAAACACAAATTTCCTTGTTTTGTGGAAATAAATCCCAACTATTGAACCTTCTGGTTAAGAGATTGACAACTCTATACTTGGTTCAGGATACTTTCTCCCCTCTTTTCTCTCTGTCCCAAGACTCCAAGTTCCTGTCTTATGGTTAGCTAGGAGAAACTATCCACGAACACACACACACACACGCCTCTACCCTTGGGGTGATGCACAGTGGTTTTTTTTTTTCTACTAATGTCTAAGAGAAGCTCATTCTTTAACTTCTTAAAACAAATTAAGAGCTTTACCTGAAAGACAAAATCTTGCCATTGCTCGTGAAGCCACAGGAGCAATTTGCTTAGTCTTAGAACTATTTAGTCTTTGTGTTAGGCCATCAAAAGTTCAGAAACATGGAGGTCTGATTGAAAGTATGACCATACGTTAAAGACTTTTTTAAAAAGGATTATTAGAAAAGGGTATTTGTGGGTTGTTTTAAGATGTTTCATTTTATTAGCCAGATCAGTGTAGAATACCTGGCAATCATAGTGATTCAATCCAGTCTCATCAAGGCAAAAGCCAATTGATCATTATAGCAATTGCCATCATTTTAAGCATTCATCCTGGAAACAGGAATAGTGGTCTTGTGACCCCAAATTATGTCGTTCTTTTATCCGTAACCTTTTTACTTTACATTGTGGCCTATTGTTTGCCAGCTCTCAGACTGTTCTAAGGCTTATATGGTGGGTTAAATGAGGTTGAATCACCTGAAACTCTTTACTGTGTTTCATGTCAGTGATAGTAAAACAGTGAACCAGTTTGGATTTGTGTAAGGAAATTAGCCACTGTGCAGAAGCGAAATCCTTTGTTTCAACTTAGCTGAATTTTGGACCACATCTAATATATTTTGTTTGTTTTAGATTATCACAATTTGATTAAAAAACTCAAGACATTTTTGTTGATGTGTGTTTATATTTACTTTATTATGTTATTAAAATAGTTGATTATATAGATCACACACGCACTGCATACACACACACACATTCATACCGTGTAAAGAATAAGGCTGTTCTTACTCAGGTAACCACCACCCAAATTAAGCAAAAACAGCCTTGCCAATACCTTAGAAATGCTCTGTTACCTTTCTCATTACACCTTTCCGCTTCCCTTCTAGAGATAACCATTATCCTGACCTTTGTGTTAATACTTTTCTTCAGTTTTATCACCTGTGTTATAAACTAAAATAATTTAATTTTCTCCATTTGTAAACTTCCTACAAATAAATTCATACTGGTATTCTCTTGTAACCTTTTACTCAGCATTGTTTGTGAGATTCATCCATGTTTTTGTGTGTGGCTGTAGTTCTTTTTCATTGCTAGAGTATTCTGTTGTATGAATATACTATGATATACACACACACACACACACTGATTCTGCAAGTTTGACATTTTGGAGTTATTTTTGGTTTTTGACAATTACGGAAAATGCTGCTAAGAAGTTCTTGTCTTTGTCACCTAGTACAAGAATTACTCCAGAAAACAGGCCTAATTGCTAGGTCATAGGTAGAATTTAGCAGTTGCTGCCAAATTGTTTCCAATTCCCATTTCCATGGCAGGGCAAGAGAGTTCCCAAAGCTCTATGCTCTGGCCAACACTTGGTATTGTTAGGTTATAATTTTTGCAAATCTCATGGATATAAAGTAGTATTCTTTGTGCTTTTAATGTGCATTTCCCTGATTATTGATAGAATCGGGTAGTTTTTTTCATATGTGTATAAGCCTTTTTTTTTTATGATAAAAATATTGTATGACATTTATTTTTTTTTTTTACTTTTCTTGTACTATTAATGTTTTATTTTTTTTTATTTATTTATTTTTTTTAAATTTATTTTTTTATTGATAATTCTTGGGTGTTTCTCACAGAGGGGGATTTGGCAGGGTCATGGGACAATAGTGGAGGGAAGGTCAGCAGATAAACAAGTGAACAAAGGTCTCTGGTTTTCCTAGGCAGAGGACCCTGCGGCCTTCTGCAGTGTTTGTGTCCCTGATTACTTGAGATTAGGGAGTGGTGATGACTCTTAACGAGCATGCTACCTTCAAGCATCTGTTTAACAAAGCACATCTTGCACCGCCCTTAATCCATTTAACCCTGAGTGGACACAGCACCTGTTTCAGAGAGCACGGGGTTGGGGGTAAGGTCATAGATTAACAGCATCCCAAGGCAGAAGAATTTTTCTTAGTACAGAACAAAATGGAGTCTCCCATGTCTACTTCTTTCTACACAGACACAGCAACAATCTGATTTCTCTCTCTTTTCCCCACATTTTCCCCTTTTCTATTGGACAAAACTGCCATTGTCATCATGGCCCGATCTCAATGAGCTGTTGGGTTACACCTCCCAGACGGGGTGGCGGCTGGGCAGAGGGGCTCCTCACTTCCCAGAAGGGGCGGCCGGGCAGAGGCGCCCCCTACCTCCCGGACGGGGCGGCTGGCTGGGTGGGGGCTGCCCCCCACCTCCCTCCCTGATGGGGCAGCTGGCTGGCCGGGGGCTGGCCCCAACCTGCCTCCCAGACGGGGTGGCTGGCCGGGCGGGGGCTGCCCCCCACCTCCCTCCCGGATGGGGCGGCTGGCCGAGCAGGGGCTGCCCCCAACCTCCTGGACGGGGCGGCTGCCGGGCAGAGACGCTCCTCACTTCCCGGATGGGGCGGCTGCCGGGCGGAGGGGCTCCTCAGTTATCAGAAGGGGCGGCTTCCGGGCGGAGGGGCTCCTCACTTCTCAGACGGGGCGGCTTCCGGGCGGAGGGGCTCCTCACTTCTCAGACGGGGCGGCTGCCGGGCGGAGGGGCTCCTCACCTCCCAGACGGGGTCGCGGCCGGGCAGAGGTGCTCCTCACATCCCAGACGGGGCGGCCGGGCAGAGGCGCTCCCCACATCTCAGACGATGGGCGGCCGGGCAGAGACGCTCCTCACTTCCTAGACGGGATGGCAGCCGGGAAGAGGCGCTTCTCACTCCCCAGACTGGGCAGCCGGGCAGAGGGGCTCCTCACATCCCAGATGATGGGCGGCCAGTCAGAGACGCTCCTCACTTCCCAGACGGGGTGGCGGCTGGGCAGAGGCTGCAATCTCGGCACTTTGGGAGGCCAAGGCAGGCGGCTGGGAGGTGGAGGTTGTAGCGAGCCGAGATCACGCCACTGCACTCCAGCCTGGGCAACATTGAGCACTGAGTGAACGAGACTCCGTCTGCAATCCCGGCACCTCGGGAGGCCAAGGCTGGCAGATCACTCGCGGTTAGGAGCTGGAGACCAGCCCGGCCAACACAGCGAAACCCCGTCTCCACCAAAAAAATACGAAAACCAATCAGGCGTGGTGGCGCGCGCCTGCAATCCCAGGCACTCGGCAGGCTGAGGCAGGAGAATCAAGCAGGGAGGTTGCAGTGAGCCGAGATGGCGGCAGTACAGTCCAGCTTCCGCTTGGCATCAGAGGGAGACCGTGGAAAGGGGAGGGGAAGGGGGAGGGGCGTTTTCTATATTTTCAATACTATGTTATTGAGTACAAATTCTAAGTGGTTACATACGTCTTTCTGGTGAATTGAATCCTTGGTCATTATGAAATAACCCTTTATTAGTGACAGTTACACCCCCTTTCTTTTGGAAGCTTGGTATCTTTTTCCCATCCTTTTATTTGAAACCTTTCTATATTTTTTAATATGGTATGTGTGCATATTTAACTTATTTTAAAATCTGGCCAGATACAGTGGCTCATGCCTATAATCCCAGCACTTTGGAAGGCCAGGGCTGGAGGACTGCTTGAAGCCAGGAGTTTGAGACCAGCCTGGGCAACATACTGAGACCCCATCTCTACACAAAAAAATTAAATCCAATGAAATGGCCTTTCTTTTAACTGGAGTATTTAGTAAATTACATTGAATGTAATTCTGTTTCTTTATTGTCTTTTTGAATTGTTTCATATTTCACTTTTTATATTTTTATTAATTTGGAAGTTATATAGTTTTATATTTGGTGGCTACTCAAAATCTGAAGTTAATCCCTTTAACTTTAGAACATTTTAACTATTTTTTTTTCTCACCCCATTTCCATTCCTACAGAACTGAGAGAAGATGGTTTCCAGCCTCAAACTTACCTAGTACAGGGAGTGAAAGCACTGCATACTGCTTTAAAATTATGGATGAAAAAAGAAGTAAGTTGTTTCAACAGTGAAATCACTGTGTTTTATGCCACAAGATTAGGAAAACAGAGTCCTTGTGCTATTTTGGCAGCACGTGTGAATGCCAGTAGTAGAGGGAATAGAAATCATGCCTTTATATACAACCTGCATTTTATTATTCAGTATATACAAATGTACTGGCTTCTTTTATGAGAATAAAGTATTTATTTCTTTAATCTTCAATCTGGAAAAGAAAGTAATTCAAGTATATTTAGGAAATTGACTAAGAAATGAACATATAGGTAACATTGAGCTCTTACAGTTGTGCTATAGTGTGCTGAGAGCACTGTGCTTAATCTTTATACACATAATCTCATTTAATCCTCAATGCCAACTGTGTGAGGTCTAGGTGCTGTTGGTACCACCATTCTACATATGGGAAAGCCAAGGTTCAAAGAGTTAAGTAACTTGCCCAAGAGAACTGGTGAAGTTAGGACTTAAAACTTAGATCTCTGGGACTGCAAAGCCTATGCTCGTTACCACTCTGCTAGATTTATGTAAAAGTGAAGGAAAGGAGAGACCAAATTTCAAGCATGAGCTTTCCATTTTCATGAAAATATGAGCTAGTTGTTTGCATTTGAATCCCACCACCTCCAGATCTCCATTTGGAATTAGTGTTTCCTTCCCTTATGCATCCATGCTATATTTCTTGTGCCTATGGGCTTAAAACAAATGTTTATAAAGTAATATATTTGTGTTTCCTTCAACTGGGTCTGTGAGCTCTTGAACAGGGACTGTCTTTCTCATCTTTATTATAACTCCATGGAACTTTGCACATAATACTTTAATAGGTGATACATACATATGTGAGCTGATGAAAATACATGTCCATATTAATTTCTTTTTTTTTTTTTAGACAGAGTCTTAATCTGTTGCCCAGGCTGGATTGCAGTGGTGCGATCTCGGCTCGCTGCAACCTACGCCTCCTGGGTTCAAGTGATTCTCCTGCCTCAGCCTCCCGAGTAGTTGGGACTACAGGCACGCACCACCACGCCTAGTTAATTTTTGTATGTTTTAGTAGAAATGAGGTTTCGCCATGTTGGCCAGGCTGGTCTTGAGCTCCTGACCTCAGGTGATCCACCCGTCTTGGCCTTCCAAAGTCCTGGAATTACAGTCATGAGCCACTGTGCCTGGCTGTGTCCATATTAATTTCTTGAATGTCCCCTTGAAATAAAAATCTTGCTCTTAAGAAATACTGGGAGACAGTAATTAATAGGTTACTGCCTCAATGATTTTATACTCCCTTTTTACTGTATTATCATTGCTACATATCTGCTAGAGCACAACAGTGTGGAAGCATTCAGGAAAATAAAAATCATGTCCTCCACTGTGAAAGACCTTATTGTCTAGGTGACAAGGAAAGCCATAAGCAAATTTAAAACTGTTTAACAAGATAAAAACAAAACAAAGCATATGTTGCCAAAACTGTATAATTTGTTTCCTACTGAAGGCTTTAGATGTGTGATTCTCAAATTTGTGACTTTATCAGAATTCCCTTTAGAGCTTTTTTTTTTTTTTTGAGACAGAGTCTCACTCTGTTGTGCAGACTAGAGTGTAGTGGCACAATCTCGGCTCACTGCAACCTCCACTTCCTGGGTTCAAGTGATTCTCCTACCTCACCCTCCTGAGTAGCTGGGATTCCACGCCTGGCTTAGTTTTGTATTTTTAGTAGAGACGGGGTTTTGCCATGTTGGCCAGGCTGGGCTCAAACTTCTGACCTCAGGTGATCTGCCAGCCTTGGCCTCCCAAAGTGTTGGGATTACAGGCGTGAGTCACTGCGCCCGGCCTTCCCCTTTCCTATTGATGGGATCTTTTTTCTATTTTGCTTTTGACTATTAAAAGAAAAAAAAGTACAAAAATTTATTCAAATTAGATTTCCCAAGAGAAATTAGGATTACGTTAGTGTCTGTGTTCTCCTTAAAAATCCTTATGCATTATGAATTAAATGTTAAGCTTAATTTGTCACTTTACGAATTAGTAGTAGTAGTTAGAATTACAGTAGGCTTTGAGGAGTAGAGTACAAGGTTACTACTCAATGTAAAGCAAAATTCACTGTGAGACTAGTCTGTTTTTAACACAGTCTAAGAGGATTTTGTATGTTAATGAGAATCTCCTTAGAAGGCATTATACTAGCTACACGAACTCTGAAACCTGGCTTACTAGTATTTGGCGATGTCTGTAACAGTTTAGAGAATCCAAAAATTGGTTTAGTAAATTTGTTTTTACATATTAAAGTGTAAATAACTTTGGTTTTCTTATTTTTGTTAATCCAAATACAGCTTGTATCTGAACATGCCTTTGAAATTCCAGACAATGTTAGACCTGGACACCTTATTAAAGAACTTTCTAAAGTAATTCGAGCAATAGAGGTAAGAGTGGAAACTGTCATGTAAATGCTTGATTATTATCTGCTTTGAGAAGCAAATGGATCTATTCCACTCTCTACAAATATTTAAAAACTCTTACACACTTAGAAGAAATATAATGAGCTGAGTCTTTGGAGGTTTCTCAGGTTTTCAGGCCTCTGAAGTCCTTAAGAGAAATTTAAATATTGTATTCTAATGAATTCTAATGAAGTAATAAGGAAACAGTTACTAGTTTAGGATACTTAAAAAAAATCAAAAATACAGAGTATAAACAGTAGAACTTTCAGATACAGTTAATTTCAGCTACCCAGAGAGGAATACATGTTTATGTAATTAGAACAAGAGAAGAAATGTAAGGTGAATGAGTCAAGCTAGGGAAGCTGAGATGGAGAGAGGGATGATAAGCAGTAGAGTGGGGCAAGGAGATGCTTAGGTAAATGCCCTTTAATAAAAGCTCATAAAATCTGATGAGATGTTTTAATTTATTAATTGAGAGCTATTCTCGGTGTTTAAGAAAGGGTGTTTTAAAGTAATTCTTCAAGAAGGTTGTTCTGTTAGTGTCTAGCTTAAATTGAGAGGAAATTAGGTGGAGGAATGGAGGCCAGCTGATGATTTAACAGCTTACATTAGGGCTGTGTTTGGAGAATGGAAAGAGGTATACATTTACAAAATACTAAAATGCTTGCTTTAATATCAATGGATAGAATGTGTAATTCTCAATGTGTTCAGATAGAGGAGAAAAATACGTTCTGTTTTTAAAGTGTTACAGTAATCACATTTAAATTGATTTAGTATCAAAAGTCATATATCTAATCTTAAATATATATGTAAGTTTATACATATATAAATCTCATGCATGATAACCAACATGAAGAATAAACTTACTGTGAAAGGTATGATTCTATATGAAGAAAAACTATAAATCTTTACTTTTAGGAAGTAAAACAGTAGTTAAATGGGAGTGTCAGTCAGCTCTAAATTAGTATTACAAATTTAAAGTGGTAAAATACACTTGGAAGAGTAATTAAACTGGTCTAGAGAGCAGCCAGTTCAGGATGGATCAGAAGAATGAAAGGATCCATATTTGTTATGACCTGAAATTCAAGTTTAAGTGGGTGTCTGTTATTTTATCTGGCAATCCTATCCAGGAAGGATGTCTCCAGAGAAAAATATAAAATTATTAGATTACCAAATGTGTTTGAATGTTTGTATTCTTCTAGTGGATAATTTGGGAATCAGTTAGTGATTGAATAAGGGAATGTAATGACAATATGTTATGTGGCGCTGGGTTATCAATAATTTTTACCAAGTCCAATTTACTGAATATTGAAGGAAAGGGAGGTATGTGCATGTTTAAGAGAGGTGTGTAAGGATTAAGACTTCATCTTGCATGATAGGAATTCAGTAATATCTGAAGCTGAAAACAGTATAAACATATCATTTTGTAATTTGGAGGCAAATAACTACAGGGAAAACCATTTAGAAGAGTTGGAAGTCCTGGCTATATACCTAAAAGAATTGATAGCAGGGACTCAAACAGGTATTTGTACACCTACGTTTATAGCAGCATTATCCACAATAGCCAAAAGATAGACCAAGCAACCCAGGTGTCCATCAGCAGGTGAATAGATAAAGTGTGGGACATACTCACAGTGGAATACTACTCAGCCTTATAAAAGAAGGAAATGCTGACTGGGAGGATTCCAAGATGGCCAAATAAGAACAGCTCCAGTCTACAGCTCCCAGCGTGAGCGACACAGAAGATGGGTCATTTCTGCATTTCCAACTGAGGTACTGGGTTCATCTCACTGGGGCTTGTTGGACAGTGGGTGCAGCCCACGGAGCGTGAGCCAAAGCAGGGCGGTGCATCGCCTGTCCCAGGAAGTGCAAGGGGTCGGGGAGTTCCCTTTCCTAGCTAAGGGAAGCCGTGACAGACGGTACCTGGAAAATCAGGACACTCCCACCTTAATACTGCACTTTTCCAATGGTCTTAGCAAACAGCACATCAGGACGTTATATCCTGCGCTGGCTCCGAGGGTCCCACACCCACGGAGCCTTGGTCACTGCTAGCACAGCAGTCTGAGATCAAACTGCAAGGTGGCAGCGAGGTTAGGGGAGGGGCATCCACCATTGCTGAGGCTTGAGTAGGTAAATGAAGCAGCCAGGAAGCTCAAACTGGGTGGAGCCCACCACAGCTCAAGGAGGCCTGCCTGCCTCTGTAGACTCCACCTCTGGGGGCAGGGCATAGCTGAACAAAAGGCAGCAGAAACTTCTGCAGACTTAAACGTCCCTGTCTGACAGCTTTGAAGAGAGTAGTGGTTCTCCCAGCACACAGCTTGAGATCTGAGAACGGACAGACTGCCTCCTCAAGTGGGTCCCTGACCCCTGGGTAGCCTAAATGGGAGACACCTCCCAGTAAGGGCCGACTGACACCTCATACAGCTGGGTGCCCCTCTGAGACGAAGCTTCCAGAGGAAGGATCAGGCAGCAACCTTTGCTGTTCTGCAATATTTGCAGCCTCCGCTGGTGATACCCAGGCAAACGGTCTGGAGTGGACCTCCAGCAAATTCCAACAGACCTGCAGCTGAGGGGTCTTGACTGTTAGAAGGAAAACAAACAGAAAGGACATCCACACCAAAACCCCATCTCTAGGTCACCATCATCAAAGACCAAAGGTAGATAAAACCACAAAGATGGGGAAAAAAACAGAGCAGAAAAGCTGAAAATTCCAAAAATCAGAGTGCCTCTTCCCCTCCAGAGGAACGCAGCTTCTCGTCAGCAACGGAACGAAGCTGGACGGAGAATGACTTTGACAAGTTGACAGAAGTAGGCCTCAGAAGATCAGTAATAACAAACTTCTCTGAGCTAAAGGAGGATGTTCAAACCCATCGCAAAGAAGCTAAAAACCTTGAAAAAAAAGATATGACAAATGGCTAACTAGAATAAGCAGCACAGAGAAAACCTTAAATGACCTGATGGAGCTGAAAACCATGGCAAAAGAACTATGTGACGCATGCACAAGCTTCGGTAGCCGATTTGATCAAGTGGAAGAAAGGGTATCAGTGATTGAAGATCAAATGAATGAAATGAAGCAAGAAGAGAAGTTTAGAGAAAAAAGAGTAAAAAGAAACAAACAAAGCCTCCAAGAAATATGGGACTATATGAAAAGACCAAATGTACGTCTGATAGGTGTACCTGAAAGTGACGGGGAGAATGGAACCAAGTTGGAAAACACTCTTCAGGATATTATCCAGGAGAACTTCCCCAACCTAGCAAGGCGGGCCAACATTCAAATTCAGGAAATACAGAGAACGCCACAAAGATACTTCTTGAGAAGAGCAACTCCAAGACACGTAATTGTCAGATTCACCAAAGTTGAAATGAAGGAAAAAATGTTAAGGGCAGCCAGAGAGAAAGGTCGGGTTACCCACAAAGGGAAGCCCATCAGACTGACAGCGGATCTCTCGGCAGAAACTCTACAAGCCAGAAGAGAGTGGGGGCCAATATTCAACATTCTTGAAGAAAACAATTTTCAACCCAGAATTTCATATCCAGCCAAACTAAGCTTCATAAGTGAAGGAGAAATAAAATCCTTTACAGAGAAGCAAATGCTGAGAGATTTTGTCACCACCAGGCCTGCCTTACAAGAGCTCCTGAAGGAAGCACTAAACATGGAAAGGAACAACTGAGACCAGCCACTGCAAAAACATGCCAAATTGTAAAGACCATCAAGGCTAGGAAGAAACTGCACCAACTAACAAGCAAAATAAGCAGCTAACATCATAATGAGTGGATCAAATTCACACATAACAATATTAACCTTAAATGTAGATGGGCTAAATGCTCCAATTAAAAGACACATACCGGCAAATAGGATAAAGAGTCAAGACCCATCAGTGTGCTGTATTCAGAGACCCATCTGACGTGCAGAGACACACATAGGCTCAAAATAAAGGGATGGAGGAAGATCTACCAAGCAAGTGGAAAACAAAAAAAGAGCAGGGGTTGCAATCCTAGTCTCTGATAAAACAGACTTTAAACCAACAAAGATCAAAAGAGACAAAGAAGGCCATTACATAATGCTAAAGGGATCAATTCAACAAGAAGAGCTAACTATCCTAAATATATATGCACCCAGATTCATAAAGCAAGTCCTTAGAGACCTACAAAAAGACTTAGACTCCCACACAATAATAATGGGAGACTTCAACACCCCACTGTCAACATTAGACAGATCAACGAGACAGAAAGTTAACAAGAATATCCAGGAATTGAACTCAGCTTGCACCAAGTGGACCTGATAGACATCTACAGAACTCTCCACCCCAAATCAAGAGAATGTACATTCTTCTCAGCACTACGTCGCACTTATTCCAAAGTTGACCACATAGTTGGAAGTAAAGCACTCCTCAGCGAATGTAAAAGAACAGAAACTATAACAAACTGTCTCTCAGACCACAGTGCAATCAAACTAGAACTCAGGATTAAGAAACTCACTCAAAACTGCACAACTACATGGAGGCTGAACAACCTGCTCCTGAATGACTACTGGGTACATAATGAAATGAAGGCAGAAATAAGGATGTTCTTTGAAACCAATGAGAACAAAGACACAGCATACCAGAATCTCTGGGACACATTTAAAGCAGTGTGTAGAGGGAAATTTATAGCACTAAATGCCCACAAGAGAAAGCAGGAAAGATGTAAAATTGACACCCTAACATCACAATTAAAAGAACTAGAGAAGCAAGAGCAAACACATTCAAAAGCTAGCAGAAGGCAAGAAATAACTAAGATCAGAGCAGAACTGAAGGAGATAGAGACACAAAAAACCCTTCAAAAAAATCAATGAATCTAGGAGCTGGTTTTTCGAAAAGATTAACAAAATTGATAGACTGCTAGCAAGACTAATAAGAAAAGAGAGAAGAATCAAATAGATGCAATAAAAAATGATAAAGGGGATATCACCACCGATCCCACAGAAATACAAACTACCATCAGAGAATACTATAAACACCTCTGTGCAAATAAACTAGAAAATCTAGAAGAAATAGATAAATTCCTCAACACATACACCCTTCCAAGACTAAACCAGGAAGAAGTTGAATCCCTGAATATACCAGTAACAGGCTCTGAAATTGAGGCAATAATTAAGAGCCTACCACCCAAAAAAAGTCCAGGACCAGACGGATTCACAGCCAAATTCTACCAGAGGTACAAAGAAGAGCTGGTACCATTCCTTTTGAAACTATTCCAATCAATAGAAAAAGAGGGAATCCTCCCTAACTCATTTTACAAGACCAGCATCATCCTGATAGCAAAGCCTGGCAGAGGCGCAACAAAAAAAGAGAATTTTAGACCAATATCCATGATGAACATCGAT
Organism: Homo sapiens; assembly: GCF_000001405.40. Taxonomy (NCBI): domain Eukaryota; kingdom Metazoa; phylum Chordata; class Mammalia; order Primates; family Hominidae; genus Homo; species Homo sapiens. The sequence goes on along the minus strand of NC_000007.14, from coordinate 140,105,714 downwards.
GCAAGAAATCCTCAGTAAAATACTGGCAAACCAAATCCAGCAGCACATCAAAAAGCTTATCCACCACGATCAAGTCAGCTTCATCCCTGGGATGCAAGACTGGTTCAACATACGCAAATCAATAAACGTAATCCATCATATAAACAGAACCGAAGACAAAAACCACATGATTATCTCAATAGATGCAGAAAAGGCCTTTGATGAAATTCAGCAGCCCTTCATGCTAAAAACTCTTAATAAAGTAGGTATTGATGGAGTGCATCTCAAAATAATAAGAGCTATTTATGACAAACTCACAGCCAATATCATAATGAATGGGCAAAACTGGAAGCATTCCCTTTGAAAACTGGCACAAGACAGGAATGCCCTCTCTCACCACTCCTATTCAACATAGTGTTGGAAGTTCTGGCCAGGGCAATCAGGCAGGAGAAAGAAATAAAGGGTATTCCGTTAGGAAGAGAGGAAGTCAAATTGTCCCTGTTTGCAGATGACATGATTGTATATTTAGAAAACCCCCTCATCTCAGCCCAAAATCTCCTTAAGCTGACAAGCAACTTCAGCAAAGTCTCAGGATACAAAATCAATGTGCAAAAATCACAAGCATTCCTATACACCAATAACAGACAAACAGAGCCAAATCATGAGTGAACTCCCATTCACAATTGCTTCAAAGAGAGTAAAATACCTAGGAATCCGATTTACAAGCGATGTGAAGGACCTCTTCAAGGAGAACTACAAACCACTGCTCAACAAAATAAAAGAAGACACAAACAAATGGAAGAACATTCCATGCTCATGGATAGGAAGAATCAATATGAAAATGGCCATACTGCCCAAAGTAATTAATAGATTCAATGCCATCCCCATCAAGCTACCAATGACTTTCTTCACAGAATTGGAAAAAACTACTTTAAAGTTCATATGGAACCAAAAAAGAGCCTACATTGCCAAGACAATCCTAAGCAAAAAGAACAAAGCTGGAGGCATCATGCTACCTGACTTCAAACTATACTACAAGGCTACAGTAACCAAAACAGCATGGTACTGGCACCAAAACAGAGATACAGACCAATGGAACAGAACAGAGCCCTCAGAAATAATACCACACATCTACAACCATCTGATCTTTGACAAATCTGCAATGGGGAAACGATTCCCTATTTAATAAATGGTGCTGGGAATGGCTAGCCATATGTAGAAAGCTGAAACTGGATCCCTTCCTTACACCTTATGCAAAAATTAGTTCAAGATGGATTAAAGACTTAAATAGTAGACCTAAAACCATAAAAACCCTAGAAGAAAACCTAGGCAGTACCATTCAGGACATAGGCATGGGCTATGACTTCATGACTAAAACACCAAAAGCAATGGTAAGAAAAGCCAAAATTGACAAATGGGATCTAATTAAAGAGCTTCTGCACAGCAAAAGAAACTACCATCAAAGTGAACAGGCAACCTACACAATGGGAGAAAATTTTTGCAATCTACCCATCTGACAATGGGCTAATATCCAGCATCTACAAAGAACTCAAACAGATTTACGAGAAAAAATCAAACAACCCCATCAACAAGTGGGCGAAGGATAGGAACAGACACTTCTCAAAAGAAGACATTTATGCAACCAACAGACACATGAAAAAATGCTCATCATCACTGGCCATCAGAGAAACGCAAATCAAAACCACAATGAGATACCATCTCACACCAGTTAGAATGGCAGTCATTAAAAAGTCAGGAAACAACAGGTGCTGGAGAGGATGTGGAGAAATAGGAACACTTTTACACTGTTGTTGTGACTGTAAACTAGTTCAACCATTGTGGAAGTCAATGTGGCGATTCCTCAGGGATCTAGAACTAGAAATACCATTTGACCCAGCCATCCCATTACTGGGTATATACCCAAAGGATTATAAGTCATGCTGCTATAAAGACACATGCACACGTATGTTTATTGTGGCACTATTCACAATAGCAAAGACTTGGAACCAACCCAAATGTCCATCAATGATAGACTGGATTAAGAAATTGTGGCACATATACACTGTAGAATACTATGCAGCCAAAAAAAGGATGAGTTCATGTCCTTTGTAGGGACATGGATGAAACTGGAAGCCATCATTCTCAGCAAACTATCACAAGGACAAAAAACCAAACACCGCATGTTCTCACTCATAGATGGGAATTGAACAATGAGAACACATGGACACAGGGTGGGGAACATCACACACTGGGACCTGTCGTGGGTTGGAGGGGGGGGGAGGGATAACATTAGGAGAAATCCTAATGTAAATGACAAGTTAATGGGTGCAGCACACCAACATGGCACATGTATACATATGTAACAAATCTGCACGTTGTGCACATGTACCCTAGAACTTAAAGTATAATAATTAAAATAAAAAAAAAAAGGAAATGCTGACACATGGTATAGCGTGGATGAACCTTGAAGATATTTTGCTAAGTGAAATAAGCCAGTCACCAAAGGACAAATTTTATAAAATTCCACTTATATGAGGTTCCTAGAAGTGTCAAATTCATAGAGAATGCAAGTAGAATGGTAGTTGCTAGGGGTTGGCGGGAAGGGAGAATGGGAAATTATTGTGTAGTGGGTACAGTTTCAGGTTTCAGTTTGTGCAGATGAGAAGCTTCTCGAGATGGATGGCAGTGATGGTTGTGCAACACTGTGACTCTACTTAATGCCACTAAACTGTACACTTAAAAATTGTTAAAATGGCAGATTTTATGTTTATGTTACCACAGTAAAAAAATGTTGCAAGTGGTTGCCTCTGGAGAATGAGAGGGATGGGGAAGAGGAGGCTGCTATTTTTCATGATATGCTTATAGAATATTTAATTTTTAAAACTACATAGATGTATAATTTTAGTTTAAAAAGTAATTCTTAATTTATTCAAATATGTACGTGAAAAGAATGTTCATTGTCGGAAAGAACAGCAGCCTAAATGGCTACCAGTAAGTATTAGGTCAGAAAATTAACAGTGGAATGCAACACAGCCTTTAATAAGATATTGAAAATCAAGGCCCAGTGCAGTGGCTAATTTAACACCGGTAATCCCAGCACTTTGGGAGGCCGAAGCAGGTGGATCCCCTGAGCTCAGGAGTTCAAGACCAGCCTGGGCAACATGGCAAATACTTGTCTCTAAAACATTAGCTGGGTGCAGTGGCGTGCGCCTGTAGTCCCAGCTACTTGGGAGGCTAAGGTAGGAGGATCGCTTGAGCTCAGGAGGTGGAGATTGCGGTGAGGCAAGATTGCACCACTGCACTCCACACACTGCAGCCTGGGTGACAAGAGCGAGACCCTGTGTCAAAAAAAAAAAAAAAATCAAGGAAGTATGTTCACAGTATATTATGTTGGAGAGAGAAGGGATATAAAGTTCTCAGCAAAGCTGTTTGAAGCTTAGGATTTAGTCTTTTTTGTGTTTATATGGTTAAACTGAATGGTTTTTGTTTTCTGAAATATTTTTATGGATGATTATTTAGTCACGTATGTGTGTAACAGCCTTCTTATAAAAATACTCTGATTTTAATTCTTAAAGGAGGAAAACGGCAAACCAGTTAAATCTCAGGGAATTCCTATTGTGTGTCCAGTTTCACGATCCTCAAATGAAGCAACTTCCCCATACCATTCCCGAAGAAAGATGAGGAAACTTCGAGATCATAATGTCCGAACTCCTTCTAACCTAGACATCCTAGAGCTCCACACAAGGGAGGTCCTCAAAAGATTAGAGATGTGTCCATGGGAAGAGGCAAGTATTATGTTTCATGACAACAAAAAGAAACTTGGCTGTTCCTTAAAGTCTTTATAGGGATAATAAGAGAATAGTCTTGACTATTGTTGATATCTAATCTTGGCTGCAGCATTGTAGGGATCAACCAGTAGTTATGCCTGTGACAGGGAGTGGTGCTTAATCTTTCTAAGTTTTAGTGTAGAATTTGAATGAATAGACCTCATTCGATTGCTGATATGTTTATTGAGTCTTTAGCAAGTACCATTTCCTCTTCTAGGCTCTGGAGAAGATTGTGAGCAAAACTTAAGTCCCTGCCCCTCATGAAGCTTCCATCCTAGTTCAAGCTGGAAGGATGGGGAGACAGAGACATATACTAAAATAATACAATTTCAGATGATAAGCGTTATTTAAAAAAAACCCAAAACAATAGAACAACAGAATAAAGGGGGATGGGGTAAAGCTGGCTGCTTTAGCTAAGGTGGTCAGAGAGCCTCTCAGGTTTGAACCGACAGCTGAGTAACAAATAGGAAGAAGTCAAATGGTTACGTGGTGATTGGAGGAATGGCATTACAGGCAGAGGGAAGAGCAAATGCAGAAAGCCTCTACTTGAGCCAGCAGTCAGCCTGGAGGACTGTTAGACTGGGAGACTGTCAGAAGAAACTCTTAAACTTCGTGAAGTGCTGGCCTACTGGACAAAGGGGAGAGTGGGAGGTAGTAATGAGATCAGTGTAGCGCCTTTGCAGAACATGGTAGTGACTTTGTAGTGAGCTCTGCATCATCCATACTTTTACATCCCAAGAAGAGGATAAGCAGCCATTTTAAATGAATAAGATCGAAGAACCAGGTGCTGTGGTGTGGGCCTGTAGTCCCAGCTACTTAGGAGACTAAGTCAGGAGGATCATTTAAGCCCAGGAGTTTAAGGCCAACATAACTAGATCCTGGCTTAAAAAAAAAAAAAATTGGGAGGCCGAGGCGGGTGGATCACGAGGTCAGGAGATCGAGACCACGGTGAAACCCCGTCTCTACTAAAAATACAAAAAATTAGCCAGGCGCAGTGGCGGGTGCCTGTAGTTCCAGCTACTCAGGAGGCTGAGGCAGGAGACTGGTGTGAACCCGGGAGGCGGAGCTTGCAGTGAGCCGAGATCATGCCATTGCACTCCAGCCTGGGCGACAGAGCGAGACTCCGTCTCCAAACAAACAAACAAACAAACAAAAAAATATATATGTATATATATATATATATATATATATATATATGTGTATATATATATATATATATGTATATATGTATATATATATATATATATAACTTTTTAAAATATTTTAAATTGTATGTAATTATAATGTTTTAAGATTATGCTGTTCTAAACTGTAATCATCAGAGAAGATTAAGCTTATTATGAAAGGTTCTATTTATTATTAAGGGGAAAATCACTATGAAAAGGAAGTCTTTTTGATTCATTAAAACCCAGCTACTGCCTTTATGTCGCATGGTGACCCTTGTTCCTAGTGGTAGCAGTGTGGTGAGCTATAAGTTGCTGACTAGGTATTAGATGAAGGATGGGTGAATGGAAAGGCCCAGTAGCTAGCACTTTAGCAGGAAGAAGCAAGGGGAAGAGAGCTAAAATACTCTGAGGCAGTGCTTCTCCAGTTTTTCAGCTTTCTGCAAGAATGAAATTTCTTTGAATTCACTTTATGCATATTTTATGTTTTACTTTCTAGAATGCATTTCATGGTTAATGGCCCTCCAGAAAGATGAGCCATACTCTTACTTTGGCTTTAGGAACTCTGGAGTGCCATACTGCTGCATATCCCCAAGCCCAGGTGGCTGCCTGTATCTTTGAGATGCAGGACCATGGGGGAGGTGGTGGTATACTGTATTCCATCAGTCGAACAGGGCTACCTGAGGGTGGATGGTAAGTAAGTTCTGCATTTATACCTTCAGGACATCTTGAGCTCTAAACTGAATGGAAAATTCAACAAACATCTCCAACCATCCTCCACAGTACCTGAATGGAGAGCGAAAGATAATGATCTACGATTACTGCTGACAAATGGAAGAATAATTAAGTATGTAAAGTAAATCAGAGTATCAAATAGATTAATTTTCATTGGGTTCCCTTTGTTCATTTAACCCAGTGGTCCTCAACCTTTCTGGCACCAGGGACCGGTTTTGTGGAAGACAGTTTTTTCTCAGCCAGGGAATGGTTTTGGGATTAAACTGTTGCACCTCATATCATCAGGCATTAGATTCTCATAAGGAGTGTGTAACTCTTGGACATGTGTAGTTCACAATATGGTTCACGCTCCTATGACAATCTAATGCTGCCACTGATCTGACAGGAGACAGAGCTCAGGTGGTAATGCTCACTCACCCACTACTTACCTCCTGCTGTGTGGCCTGGTTCCTAACAGGCCACGGACTGGTACCAGTCTATGGCCCAGGGGTTGGGGACCCCCGTTTAATCTGTAATGAGCTCAGTGGCTCACACCTGTAATCCCAAGTTGATTTGGGAGTCTGAGGTGGGAGGATCTCTTGAGACCAGGAGTTTAAAACTAGCTTGGGCAACTTAGCAAGACTCCATCTCTACAAAAAAATAAAAATAAATTAGCTGGGTGTGGTGGCCATGCCTGTAGTCCTGGCTACTTGAGAAACTGAGGTGAGAGGATCGCTTGAGCCCAGGAGTTCAAACTTACAGTGAGCTATGATTGTGCCACTGCACTCCAGCCAGGGCAACAGAGCAAGACCCTGTCTCAAAAAACAAAAACAAAAAACGAACCTCAGATCCCTAGCGCATACTATTGCACAGTTGAATGAAATATGGGGACAGTGTCTCAATTCTCTACTCTTTGTAAATTAAGGGAGAGGGGAATAAATACTGTTTGGCTACAGAGTCTTGCACTATATTCTGATTACTTTTCCTTCTTAATACAGAGATGAAAGGCAGCCCTTTGCAGATCAAAGTCTTTATACAGCAGATAGTGAAAATGAAGAGGATAAAAGAAGGACAAAAAAGGCAAAAATGAAGATAGAAGAGAGTTCAGGAGTAGAGGGAGTGGAACATGAAGAATCTCAAAAACCACTGAATGGTATGTTTTTTTAATGGTTATTTTAAAGATCTTTTGATTACTAATGTGATAATATGTAAAGTAACTTGCTAATTTTGAAGTTCTTAAGTTTAAAATAGCAGAAAACTTTTGTGTCCCTAAAACTGTCTTGAAAAATCTGAAGTATGAGAGAAGTGCTGAACGTGAATGCCCAGTGAGGTATACGCCCAGTGGCCAGGGGCGGTGTTCTCAGTGAGGGGATGTTTGTGGGTTAGAGCTGCACTCATCTAGTCAGTTTTTAAAGAGTCACTTGAAAGCTCATGCATGTTATAGGCCTCTACTCCCCAAAATAAAAGTTTCAAGTTTCGTTTAATTTTATATGTAAGTTCAGCTACCATGTGTATGGTTTTCAGAATTAGGAAGTATATATGATTAGCTAATCTGAAGCTGTTAGTAATCCATGCATTGTGGTTTTAATTGATTACCTGTTGACAAGAAGGCCTCTACTGGGTTATTAATTGGTTATCATCAGTATGGCAAAATAGTAACACCTCCTTCTCCTTAAGGTCTTTCTTCTTTGAATTAAGCCTTAGTTTCTCAATATATTTCAGGATCTCTGTATTCCTTTCTATTTTAAAAAGTAGTTCAAATATATACTTTGGTACTTGACAAATAAATGTTTCAGATAACTAACATTATTTAATCCATGTTGAACACCCCAGTTCCTGCTAATCTGAGTGAAATTGGCACTGCTGTAGTTGGTGACTCTGTCTTTGCACACACCAGGTGCTAATCAACAGGAATCCATCAAACCATTGCTATATGTTAGTGACTCATGAAAGAACCCAGTTTATAAGCGTGTTGAATTCACTATCTACGTGAATGCGTTTTACGTTTGGGAAGGTTATCTTTTTGTTTTCTAATGATACAACTAATGCAAAAGGAGAAGTGTGAAAAGCATCTGATAGCTAATTTTAGTTTCAGCATTTTTCTTCTGGAAAGAAATACAAAACAGTCAATCCATCCAAGTAAGGAATATATAATTATGGAAATACCACACTTAATATTTGAGAATATACTTCAGTCTGTGTCTTGGCCAATTAGGGAGAAAGACCTTAAGGGGAGAAAGAAATGAAGAAAATAAAAGTGAAAAAGGAGGGTAGAGCAAGAGAGATTGAGAGACATCACAAGCTGGGTGGACTTTAGATACCATCTTGTCACCTTGTTCATCGTAGTCAAATGACTTTCTCTTTTTCTCATCCTTTCATTCTTTTTCAGGGTTTTTTACACGTGTGAAATCAGAACTCAGGAGTAGATCATCAGGATATTCTGATATTTCTGAGTCAGAAGACTCCGGACCCGAGTGCACTGCACTGGTACGCCTGAGACCCCATGGCTTGTACGTTATTTGATGGAAAGATGAGCACCACGTAACTTCTCCTGGAAGCAAGGCAAATGACAGCTTTTCTCAAAGCTTGTCTGTCTGACTTACATTAGCACAGGGTCTTCTGTGGTGGTCAGTGTACACACATGCCATCATGTGACCATTCACATTTGAGACATAGAGCTTTTGTCTGATTTTGGAAAGGGTAGAGGGAGAGACTCCTTTGCTTATACTATTCTTGTTTCATATTTCTCATGGATTATATTTTATTTTACCTTAAAGAAAGCCTATACTGTGTATTTTTTTAATCAAGGTAGTATGTTCATGTAGTTAATAGAGATTATCATTTTTTTCATGTGAATTACAGAAATAATTCCCTGATAATTAAGATTCTGACTTTCTCTAGATGTATAAAATCTTTTCGGATTCATTTGTACAGACTTGGTCAATTTCTTATGTAGCTTTGTTTCCATGTAATTATCATCTCAGAAAAGTATCTTTACCACTGAAGAGTCTGAAAGTTCAGGTGATGAAAAGAAACAAGAAATAACATCCAACTTTAAGGAGGAATCTAATGTGATGAGGAACTTCCTTCAAAAGAGCCAGAAGCCATCTAGAAGTGAAATTCCAATTAAAAGGTAGGCTTGCTGATAGTAGTAAGTCTTATTATATTGTAAGGTAAATACTATGAACACTTTTTTTAGTTTTAAATTTTACCAAAAATGTCATCAGAAAAAATAGACTCTTGTGTTTTTGGATCATCTCTTCTTTAGGGAATGTCCTACCTCGACGAGCACAGAGGAAGAAGCTATTCAGGGCATGCTGTCTATGGCAGGGTTGCACTATTCCACGTGTTTACAAAGGCAAATACAAAGCACAGACTGCAGTGGTGAAAGAAACTCTCTCCAGGATCCCAGCAGCTGCCATGGCAGTAACCATGAGGTTAGGCAGTTGTATCGCTATGATAAACCAGTGGAATGTGGTAAGAAACATAAATTATCAGTCTCTAAAAAGTAACATATGTTGCCCAACTTAATGGCTCAATAATCCTCATTTAGGTTAGAGATTATGAATAAGCATCTTTAATTGGAAATGTGTTAAGAAGGTTGACCAAAAAAAGCACAATGCTGACATATCACGTAAGATGGAAGCAGAAGAACTCAAAATGTAAATTACCTGGGATTGACAATTGTGTTCACTAGCATCATTCTACCATTGTTATTGCAAGCCAGTTAGTATTATTTCCCTTTTACAGACAGGTTGATCAGAGTGGAAGGAGTGTTTTGGTGCCTTAAATGGCCAACTAAGCTTGAACAATCAGCCCTTTTTCCTTTTATGAGAGGAAAAATAAGTTTTAAACTGTTTCTTTCTGATTGAGGCTATTCCTTCTCCTACTTGAAAAGAAAGTATTAGGAAAAGAGGGTAGACTCAGTGGCAGTGTTAGGCATGCCACATAGTGTTTTCTTCCTTGTGCCTTTAGAGAAAATGTTTGTATCCCAAAAAGCCTGAGGAGGACCGGGGAGAAGATAGTACTATATTAAAATTGAATGCCTATATAATAAATATGTTTGATCCTACATAATTATCAATTGTATACCAGGAGCTTGACATCCATTTCACTGAAATAATTTTTTTTATTATTTATTTATTTATTTATTTTGAGACTGTCTCACTCTGCTGCCCAGGCTGGAATGTAGTGGCACAAATATGGCTCACTGTAACCTCAACCTCCAGGCCTCAAGCAATCTTCCTGTCTCAGCCTCCCAAGTAGCTGGAACTATAGATGCATGTCACCACACCTGGCTAATTTTTTTATTTTTTGTAGAGACGAGGTCTCACCTATGTTGCCCAGACTGGTCTCCAACTCCTGAGCTCAAGTGATCCTCCTGCCTCTGCTTCCCAAAGTGCTGAGATTACAGGTGTGAGCCACCATGCCTGGTTATTTCACTTAATTCTTAAAACAATACTTGTAGGTAAAATCACTCCCATTTTACAGGTAAAGGAAATAAGACTTAGTAAAACTAATTTAACTTGTCTGTACTTCATGTAACTATTATTCAGTGGTATTGGAATTTGAAGCCAGGACCATCTGATCTCAAAGTCTTTGCTTATTGTATAAGAGGAAATTGAAGTTTGGAGAGGATAAATAAGTTGCCTAAAGTTGCGTTGGTAATGGAAGAACTCAAATTCAAATCTGGGTTTGTCTCTTTTTGTACTGCACCATTTTGTCTTCCTTTAGTCCCTTGAAAGAGAACACTTCTATGGAAATACTGCAAAATTCAGGCAAATACCTGCCTTTATTCTATGTGGAAAAATATACCATTTTTATAGAGAATTATTGCATTGGTTTTACATATACAATAGGCGGCCATGGAATTTGATTCTAGATCACTGGGCGCAGTGGTTCACGCCAGTAATCCCAGCACTTTGGGAGGCCGAGGTGGGCGGATCACCTGAGGTTGGAAGTTCAAGACCAGCCTGACCAACATGGAGAAACCCCATCTCTAGTAAAAATACAAAAATTAGCCGGGCGTGGTGGCGCATGCCTGTAATCCTAGCTACTTGGGAGGCTGAGGCAGGAGAATCGCTTGAACCTGGGAGGCGGAGGTTGCGGTGAGCTGAGATTGCGACATTGCACTCCAGCCTGGGCAACAAGAGGGAAATTCCATCTCAAAAGAAAAAGAATTTGATTGTAGATCTTCCAGCATCTAGCCCAAAACCCATCATATAAAGACAGTCTTTGAGGCTGGTCTGAGTATGGTGTTTATAACTATTTGATCACAAACAATTACAGATTTCTTTGTTTCTTCTCCATCTCACTGCTTCACTTGACTAGAGAATGAATGAATAAATGAAGACAGTCTTTGAGAGAATCAAAAGAATTAGCATAATAGGTTATGAATTGGTGACTTTTTGTTTTTGAGGGAAAGGCATATAGTGAAGGTAAAGGTATGCAAATGAGTATCTAAAGAGTTAATGTGTTTTTAAATACAATGTCAACATAAATTTGCTTGCTTTTTTTTTTTTCCCCCAAGATGGAGTCTCACTCTGTTGCCTAGGCTGGAATGCAGTGGCATGATCTCAACTCACTGCAACCTCCACCTCTCGGGTTCAAGTGATTCTCGTGCCTCGGCCTCCCAAGTAGCTGAGATTACAGGCGTCCGCCACCATACCCAACTAATTTTTGTATTTTTAATAGAGACGGGGTTTCACCATGTTGGCCAGGCTGGTCTCGAACTCCTGACTTCAAGTGATTGACCTGCCTTGGCCTCCCAAAGTGTTGGGATTACAGGCGTGAGCCATCACGCCCAACCTGCTTTCATTTTTAAGCATTAGGCTAATTTTGTCATTTCAAATCAAGTTTGTGCAAAGTTAATTAAACTAAAACTTCTCTTTAGGATACCATGTCAAGACTGAAGATCCAGACTTGAGGACTTCCTCCTGGATTAAACAGTTTGATACTTCCAGATTTCATCCTCAGGTATATTCAAAGTTTGAAACGTTAAAAGGAGATTTAAAATGATCATTAACGTTGTTTTTGCTTTCTTTTTTAAAACTGTAACAACCAGTTATCAACTGCTAGATCTAGGCAGCCAGAAAATTACAGTTAAATGCACATTTGAACAACTGTCCATTTTGAGAGATGCCGAAATGATAACTAACATAAGGCTCATGGATAGAATGTGATCTGGAAAAGAATAATTTATTCAAGGAAGCAGTTAAACCACTGGCTGCCAACCCATGTAGGTTATATCTGGTTAGAATGAAATATTCAAGGAAAAGATGAATATCATATCTTTTTAATCTCTGATGCTGTTTCTTGAACGGTTTTGGATACTGAATTTCTTTGAGCATTTGATGAAAGTTACAGATTGTCTTTCTAGAAAATACATTCATGATAAACACAACTTTTGCTTACATTATCAAATGAACCCAAAATAGCAGTTTTGAAAAAACTAAAACTTTATCAGCAGCACCAAACAAGAGAAGTGATACAACCTTTTTTTGCAAACCTTGGAAAATGGCAGCCAAAGAAAGAATCAAAGTTCTCATGTGGCACTGTGGGGCCCCAAACCTCTCTACCCCAAGCACACATAAGAAAGAAAGTAAATCAGCAAAGGCAGAAATATTGCCTCTAGTTCTCCTCTGAGTGAAGAAACATTTGTGGGGGAGAAGGGAAGGAGGGAAGAGGAGACAGAGGGGAACATGAGTCGACTGTTTAAGAAGTGAAGGGAAAAATCTCTTATGAATAAAGCTTTCACATGGCACCGAAAGACCTCAGCAGAAGTGAAAAAGGCCTCCTGGGTTTTGCCATCTTCCAGAGCCCTGAGGTGACTGGAGGAATGGATTAAAATCCCTGGAGGAGGAGACACCCGTGTATATAGACAGAAAAGACTCTACCCCTAAATATGGAACATCATTAATCTCTGAGTAGTAGAATTATGGGTGGTTTTTATTAATTTTTTAAATTTGGCTTGTCTATATTTTCTAAATATTTAAGCAATTACTTGCATAAGAAAAAGAAGCAAGTTTTTTTTTTAAAGGAAGGCTTTGTGAGTATACGTTCTTTGACTAGAAGGATACATTCCAGAGTCAAAGGTCATAAGAAATCTCATTATAATTTACTTTTCGGTGTATGATTTTATAGTGCCTCACTGTAGCTGGTCATAAAGTTTATCACTTACTAGCACTATAGGATTCATTATGTAATTTGAGCTATTATTTAAATCTGGCTGTTCTTTTTATAATTGTTTTTGAAAATAAATGAAGACATAGAGGATGGATGATTAGCATAATGAAAACTGGTTTCATGAAACATTCACACTATAGTGTACTCTGTTCACATCTAGTCTGTTCCTTTCTCTTTTTAGTGCTGGTTATAACCCTCTCAGTTAATTTCAAGACTCATCAATCAGTAGCGTTTTTTTTGCCCCCTGAAAGTTTACTCGATAGTCTTAAGAGACTGAAAGAGTAGTTGTAGTGAAAGGAAAACACCAAGCTTGGCACTCTGGATCTAAGGATTTCCTAGCAAAAAAATACAGTGGAGATGAACCTGATAGAAGATAGACTCTAGAAAAGAACATGACACATGAGAGGTCCAAGGGAGCTGTGACTTGCCAGGGAAGTGGGAGATCGATCCATTCCCCCAGCTCAGGGTCCCTGCGTTGGCATGTGCTCACTGAGCTGAGTAGCAAGTAGGGCGTGGTGCCTGTTTACGTTGTTTTCTCTCACTCTCTCTTTCGCCTTCTTAACTTAACGATGCAACTTAAAGACCCGAGTCCTTCAGAGCTACTGAGACGACATCATGCAGGAGTGGTCATCCGTGGCTAATAGATGTTAAGAAAATCAGAATTCAGTAGTTTGTTTCTTCTCTCACTTGACTTTGCCAATGCATAGAGAGCTTAAATACCTCATTTAAACCCTAAAAATTCAGCCTCATGTCCTTCCTCCTCCTTCAGGATCTAAGTAGAAGCCAGAAATGCATCAGAAAGGAAGGTTCATCAGAAATTAGTCAGAGGGTACAAAGTAGGAATTATGTGGACAGCAGCGGCTCAAGCCTTCAGAATGGAAAGTATATGCAGAATTCAAACCTGACTTCGGGGGCGTGCCAGATAAGTAATGGCAGTCTAAGCCCAGAAAGGCCAGTTGGTGAAACTTCCTTCTCGGTGCCCCTTCACCCCACCAAGAGACCGGCATCAAATCCACCACCTATCAGCAACCAGGCAACAAAAGGTAACTTTCACACATGTATAGAGAAAGTATATTTCTGACTGTATGTGATGGTCATCATGGCAGTTGAGGTGTAGTCTCTGCACTCAAGTTGTTCAACATCTCATGCATAGTAGACAGCATAGTGATGGCAGTATACACAGGCTACTACAGGAACAAAGAAAAAGGATACCCAAGTCAGCTCTGAGGAGCGAGAGACAGATCCTAAAATCAGATGTTCAGGGGTTAGCCAGGCTGAATTGGGGAAAGTGACAGAATAGACAGCTTTGAAGGCAGAGGATTGAGCCTGAGGCAGGGCACAAAGGGGAGAAGCAGGATATGGGGTATTTGTGAAATGGTAGTCAGTTTTGTTGCCTAAGCATAGTGTAATGCAGGATAGGGAAGAGCCCAGGCTGAAGAGCAGGCAGACCAGACTGTGGGAAGCCTTGTGAGTCTTGTGAGGGCCTAGTGTGATGAGGTGGAAGGGTTTTAAACAGCGGAAGTTCAGAAGTATGACTCTGTCCATGCAGAACACCTAAGGGCTTACTTCCCATAAAGAAAGCTCTCCCCGTAGTCTTCCAGGTGCTCTCTTAAGTGTACTTTTCATCATTACTTACACTCCCTTTTGGTGTTTTATAGGTAAACGTCCAAAAAAAGGAATGGCAACAGCCAAACAACGTCTTGGGAAGATCCTTAAGTTGAACAGAAATGGCCATGCACGTTTCTTTGTGTGACAGAGCTGCTGTTGCAGCCATTCTTCCCTTTGGAGACCAGTCTAGGGGTGCAGGAGCCTGGAGCTTCCGCTGTCCCCCTGCCTGGAGCAGTTTGTGTGTATAGTAAGAACACTGCCCGAAGAACAGAATGAACCTGATGCTGCATTTTCACTGTGCCACACCCACTCAGCAATAACCATTTTGGACCTGGTGGGGGAGAGGAAGAAGGAGGGTAGAACCTTAAAAAGAGACCTTGAACTGGAAAGGGTCTCTTGTCAGGGCTTGAATTTTATTTTGTTGTTGGTAGTGTCTTGATGTATTTTCAGTGGTAGGGTAAAGAATTATCAATAATTTATTTAACAGATTTTTTTTTAAAGTTAACAGCTTTTAAATTCTTTTTTTAAAGCTATTTATTTGGAAGATTTCTGGAGAAATATCTCACTAATTTAGATGTAAGAATGTGAAGGTTTTTAAATTATTTTTGATAGTGTGTGTGTTACATGTGGGGAAGGGCCACAGTAACAGTAACTAGTCTGGACTCTTAAATTTGATATTCAGGTTAAAGTCTTAAACAGGGATTTGATGCATTAATTATTTTAAATTAAGATGTATATGAAAATCATTTTATTTTATATATTTCATGTGTTTTTTATAAGCTATTAGCTTCGCTTTTGCTAACATCCAAGGTGCATACTGTTATCCAGGTTGATTACCTTATATCCCACCTTCCCTCTGCACTCCCCATCATTTTGTGATGACCCAGTAAGACTCTTCTCTTTGCAGGGAAACACTTTCGTAGCCAATGTGTAAGAACTCCATGAAAGATCCCTCATTTCTCATTTCGTTTGACATTGTGATTTTCTTCTCAACATTAAAAAAAATAGGCTTTTGCATTTTCATTTCTGCTGATGATATCTGGGTCCCAAAGAGAGCAGCTTTAATATATTTTTCCTACTTGTGGGAAAAGTATTATAAGTTTGGTTAAATTGTCATGTTTATAGTTTTTCCAAGTACATTTGTAACTACAGCAGGCCTTCTTCGTACTGCTGCTGTTGGACAACAGGACTGGCACCTGCTGCAGAGGTTATACCTTATGATACTTTTATGCTCCATACCTGATTTGTTGGGAAATGTTATTTAGGATATTCAAATCTGCATCATAAGCCGTAATATAATAGGATTAATACTACATTAAGTTGTATAGAAGCAAGCATGTTGGAATAGATCTTTTGTGTGTATTTACTTTTTTTATTTCTTAATTTTCTAAAGAATTACTTAAGATATGGATTTGGAGTAAAATGGGTGCTTTTGGCAGTTTCTTCCATCTATCCTAACCTGACCAGTACATATTGAGGTTAAGTATCTGGTTAAACTTTAAGGTATTCATTTATCTCCTTTATGTATGATTTTTACTAAATGCCAGTTTTCATTTGCTTATAGTAGCTTCTATTTTCCCTTTTTTCCATCCATGGCATAAAAATAAGTGATTTCTGGGGGTGGGGCAGAAATGTTCCCAAGTCTGACAATAGAGCATTTTACAAATTCCTACAAAGAAAATATAGGCAAATAGATAAAATTTATTTTTATGGAGAAGAAATATGGCCATATTATGGATTTGTCTTTTTTTTACTCAGCAAGATAGCAGGACTTACCCTTCTCTATTAAGTATCACTTGAATTGCTAAGAAGAAAAAAGTCTGTACCATCATCTTTCATGGTTGCATTCAAATGTATATTTTCAAAGAGAAATACTTCTTGTGTCCCCATTCCAAAATGTCATGGGATAAATATGAAATAGTTTATGAAGTAGCCTTTCTGGTTCAGAGTGACTGGACCAAAGTCTGAATCTTATCTGGGTATCAGGAAAAAGAATTTTTATGGAAATCCTTAGTGTCTATAAACAACCCGTGTAAACCCTGTCTACACTATGCCAAAACCAGTGGAAAGATGGGTAGAGTCATCTTATCTCAGGATGTCAAAAATCTGGGTTTGACTGATTCCCCTACCTTCCCACACAGTATATTCTTGTGATTTTTGCTTTTCTGTAGATCCTGAGTCGGTGTTACAATAGTCATGTTTTTATTTTGGGTTAAGAAATACGAGGTGTAAGAGCTATAATTTCCTTTTCGTGTTATATCATGATCTGGGTTTTCTTTTTTCCTTTACGTTTTTCACAGCTCTTGAGTATTTTCTATTTTTTTCTTTAGTCACAAAAATTAAAATTAAACTTTATTTTTATGAATTAAAATGAAATTTAATTTATTTTTATGAATTAAAATTGTGGCCAGTATCCACTGTGTCCTTAGGCTGAGAAGTACTAATTTGGAGTAGCCCGTGTGTGGAATTCTAAAGTGAAGGTACTGTGGATTCATTTTTAGTAGTTTTAGCCCCTTAATAAGTGGCTAAGTTAGAAAACTTTCAGCGAGGTAATAGAACCACTTGAATAGAATCCATGTGTCTTTTTCTGAATTGGTGAAAATTCGGCCACTGATCCAGTGACTCCTGGTCAAACGTCTTATAACATTACTGGCCATAATGCATCCCTTTATCTCATGGAAATGGCTGAACTTTGTGGTAGCTGCTGCGAGTACCTGGGCTTAACAGTAATAGAGAACCTCATTTATACCATACAGACACAGCAACTTAGGAAGACAGCACTGATAGCATTTAGCTAGTTGTAACCAAATACAAATATGTAAAATTGAGAATTATGATTAACATATGCAACTTTAGTAATAGGAATAGATGATAATTTTCCTGTATTGTTTCAAATAAGTGACTGTTCAGCTGGGATCCATTGGATTATAATTTACAATGTCACATAATATTATGCTTTTCAATATTGATGAGTGATGTAAACAATATAAAGTTGGCAGTTTGTAGTAGTTCAGTATCCTAGAAATACATTGAACTTCATAAGTATCAGTTCATTTTTAAGCATACAGAATTGAAGATTCTGACTGAAATCATAAACTCAGAGGAAACAAGCCCATCTTTATCACTAATTACTTAGCTTGAATACTTTTCTATTTTTAAATAATCCTAATTATTGCCTTTTCAATTATAGTCTACTGTATTTATTTATATGGGATCAACAGGTATTTATCAAACATCTACTGTGTGCCCAGCACTACCTAGTACTGTTGGGGAACATCAATTTGCAGTTGTGGTCTCTGCCCTTGAAGGTATCTTCTCCAGGAAATTAGCAGTATTATTTTCACTTCTAAGCAAACATGAGCAAAAGAGGACCTGTTCATTAAAAAACATGCTGACTTTTTTAGTTTCAACTGAGATATGCCACTGTAGAAGTGAAAGTAATTTCACAATTAAAGAAATGCTTCAACTTGGTAATTAATATGGTCATACAGGGACTTGGTGTAGCATGCAAGGAAGCAGAAGACCTGGGCTTTTGTCGAAGTTCTGCCATTTAGGTATCAGCTGTGTAACCTTGAATAAGTCACTTAACTCTTTCTCTTAGTTTTCTCATTTGTAAATTTGGATTAAAGTGTTTATTATGATAATCAATTAAGAAAATCTCTTAACACTTCATACATACAGAGAACTTATCATTAAGTTAAAACTGGCAATTAATGCACCTTTATATATATTTTTAAATGAAAACTAATACTATTCATGATGTTTATTTTATATCAAATATATGCCCAGGGCATGCTACTTTAAAAATCCGAGGAATCTCCAACAAGGTGCTGGATTAAAATCAGATTTCGTGCTTGAAGTGGAAGAAAAATGAAGTTGTTTATGGATAAGAGAGTGAGAATGTGTATCCTCAAGTACGTTAAGATGATTTAACTGAAAGATGGCTTTAGGTTTTTCTTGAAGAATTAGGAAAGTACCATCCCCACAGATTCAGCATACTCTTCAGGTACTAGATAAAGGTGAAGGAAGTCATGGAATTAAAATGACTTAGCAACTCCCCAGGGAACTTGTGGGGAGAATGAGGTGGTTAGAAAGGTGAGAATGCACAAAGACAGCTCTGGGTTGGGTACCAACAGTTTGCTTGGTAGAAAGAAACCAGTGTAGGAAAGGAGACGCCACCAGACATCTTCAACAGACAAGATTCTTTCTGCCTTTTTCAAAAGATGCTCTCTGCAGCAGTAAGACTATAGATAGAGTTGATTGGAATATCATGTGACCCAGTATGCTACTGCTAGGCATAATTATCAAAAATTCATTTTTCTCATTAAATATTGTTAATTGCTCGCCACATAAAGAGAAGCTAGAGCTCACCAGTCTTGGTGGTGTCCTAGACCTTCCTCTAAAGCAGTCTTGGGAAGCTGGATCATCAGATCTTTAGCCTAGACAGAGTGTCGCTGGTAAATAAAGGAGACACAGGTAACCCAGAGTGGACAGTGATTTGCGTGGGGAGACACAGTGGATCTGGGGCCTCTGATACTTTGCTTCCTAAAACAGCCCCCAGTTTTCGGCTTGCCCTATGAGATGATGTTCATGTGCTTCCTTGAAACCAGGTGGAAAGAAAGGGGAAGAATTAATTTTCTCATTCTGTTGCTGTTGAACGTAATGTAATCTTAATACTGTAGCCTTCCTAGAAGCCCTTCCCTCTTTTTCATGCTGTAAAGTCAAATATTTGATATCCTTAACATAAATTTTAAAAATTAAGGTCATTAGGAAGCAAATGTCTATTTCCAAAGCAATGAGCTTGTTGTGACTGTGATTTTATTCTTCTATAGTATTTTTTTCCTCATTTTAACTGAGAGGAGAAAATAATACTCTTTTGCAATATCCTTAGGTTCTCCCCTTCCCCCTGGTGCCCCTTCTAGTGTCTTAAGACTTTGTCTTAACAAGTATAACATTACATTTTGTTGTTAAAACCTTTCGAAACTGTATTCAGTGATTCTTCCAAGTTTATCTGCTCTGCACTATTTCACTAATAAACCCTGGCTACCACGTAGCCCTTGATCTCCAAGTAGTTTACCTATGCAAGACCTGTGACACTCTGAATTCACTTCTCTTTCTTTCAGAAAGTAGTCATAAATGGAGCTTAATTATAAAGGTAAAACTTGTCTCCAACCAGTTTCATTTTGGCCATTTCTTTTTCAAAATGTCAGCTGTTTTCCTCCAAGATTTTTCACCAAAACAATGATCATAAGTGCTGGAATATATAATACTTTGCAGGCATAAAATAACCCAGACATACTCTCATATTTCTTTGGTGTATTTTGGTTGGTAAAACTTACCAGCATTAAATGTAAAATATAATGAGGAGTTAATTCCTTACCTAGAACTATTTCTTCCTTTTAAGATTCATAAGTAACCTTTTATTTTTACAGAGCTACGTATAACTTCCACATTACAGTCAGGGACCTGAGGTGTAACTTACTAAGTGAACCCCAAGGTTATTTTATCTTGCAAAAGAAACCTAAACCAAACTAAGGGCCTTACAGTTTATGGTTAGACTGAATCAAAAGCTATAACCTCAATTTTTCCAAAAACAGCTTCTGACTGCAAAAGCAAGTCATACAGTTGTTAGGTATGAAATAGCACTGATCAGGAAATGCATCTTCGCAGATGGTATTTCCTTCAGAAAAGACTTTTCTACTTTTAATATAAATTAAGCCATAACAGTTTCATGCTGTGGAAAGAGGGTGAAAAGGTTCATTTTAAGAGATTATATAATATGAACTTTCACATTTACTGTGAAATGTCTAACTTTGCCAGTGCTTCAGCAAGTTTTTTTGGGGGGTGATGGGGAGGGGTAGTATTGGTTTTAGAGGTTTCAAATCTGTGAACTTTGGAGAGGGGACAGTTGTTGGCTCTGGTATTTACTAGTTTTGTAGTAACGTTTTGCTAGCCTGACTGACTTTTCTTACTGGTTTTTATGCCCACGGTCCGAGGGGACTGTTCTTCTTGTTGGGGGTGTCTGCGGAATAGCGTCTCGTCTTGTTTGTATAGGCAGTCAATGTGTGTGACATGTGTGTCCTTTCAGTCCGGAAGCCCACTGTGTGACAATGGCGTGGGGTGTGGCTGGGAGGTGGGGTGCTGAAGCTTGAAGAGCATTTCTTTGCTGATTCATAACAGTATTTCCCATCTTTTGCCTGCAGGCAGGGAAAGTGTACAGTATTTATTTTGTTTCTGTTTTACTTTAAATTTGTAAGTCTTTAAGTAGCTTACATTGATTATTATAGGGGAGGACAAGTGACTTGTTTAAAGTTGTATTTAGTATTCTTTCCAATTTCTGTATTTTAAAATATTGAAATTAAAATTGTATTACTTCTGTTTTGATTTTTTTAGCACTTAGTGTATTTTTTGCTCATTTTGTTTGAAAGTATAAATGTTGAAAATTGTATAAAATGCGTCCTTGAAAGAAAAAGAATCTGAATTCTATATCCAATTCTGACTTTGTTCCCTTTTTCTGCTGATTGAATCATGGGAAATTATTTAAAAGTATGAAAAACTGGGTTCAGCGTCTGCTCCTTACTACTTCTGAAGACTTCAATGTGAAAAGTAATTGTCTTATTTTATTAGCAGTATTGCTGGGGATGAGTGATTGCTCAAAGAGAGGGAAGAATACAAAAGTGTAATTGGCAACATGAGGCTGAAACGTAGAAACGGATGTGGGTACTTGGCTAATGAACATTTCAGCACACTCACAGCCCCTGCCCAGGCATCCCACAAATATTTCCTAACACCTGCAGTACAGTAGGCACTGTTTTAGCACTAGTGCTGCAGGAGTGAGCAAAACCAAGTCCCAGGCCTCAAGGAGCTTGTGTGAGACACAAAAGGCAAGTGAGAGCCAGGGGTGTGGTGGCCTGGCTGGCTGGTGAAGGTGAGAGTGTTAAGTGCACACTCCGTGAGGAAGATGAGCTCAGTTTTGGACTCAGGGTCTGAGAGACAGGGATGATACGGACCAGGAAAAAGATCTGTCCTTAGAGGAGATGAGAGAGGAACTCTGGACCAGGAAGGAAGGAGCCCTGCAGGCATCACTTCCAGGGCAGAAGAGAAGCCTAGGAAGGAGACAAGTGGGCAGGAAGTCTGTTCCCGAGGAGAAACTGAGCTCAGAGTCCCAGAAACCAAGTGACCAGAAGGACCAAAGACCATACCCTCCCTCCCCCTAATATCTGCAAAAGAACAGGGACGCCAAAGCATGCACACTTAAACACACCTTGAGAGCTGCTTCCGCCCCTAGAACGGAATCCACAAAAGCAGTTTGCATCTCCTGTGTCTGCTTTCATGAAATTGGTTGAAATCTAAATCTGAACAAATCTGCTTGTTTTGTGAAAATCCATATACTATTTGTAAATTTGTGGGTTGTCTGCCCTTCCCAAAGCTCATACGTTAATGAAACAATGATCAGGACCTACTCTTCTTAGACTTTTCAGCTGATTTTTGTGGTTTCACAACAGTGAGACAGCATGAGACACATCACTGTGGGATGTTGATGATAAATGCCAATTATTTTACAGTAGGAAGGATCAAATGCTATGTTACAGACAGGATTTGAAACAGGAGCCCTTACTATCTTTTATTTCATTCCATTTGAGTACTTACTGTGTGCAAGGATATTTTTATTTCTTTCTCAAAATAACCCAGCGAGGTAGGTACTACATTCCTCATCCTACAGATGCATCCAAGGCTCAGAGAGGGCCAATGACACTTCCAGGTTCACATGAATACAGACATTTTCAGTCTGTCTGACTCTAAAGACTATTCTAAGCTGTTTCTCTAAGTATTTTTAACTATATACTTTTAATTAAGGAAGGAATAGATGGTCCTTAGGAATGGTTGGTGTTGTAAAAATTTCTTTGCAGGCGCAACCCACTGTGGATTGAAACTGTAGTTTCTTGTGGAGGTTTTTTGTCACCAGAACCTCTCTTGAGTCCACTTTTCCAGGAGCTGGGCACACTGAAGAAACATCTTCTAGAATTGAGCTCACCTTCTAGTGAATAACATAGGCTGTAAATAAATGACATGTGAGAAGTGCTGTTAGGATACAGGAACCAAATGTGGATTTCCAGAGGCTCAGAGCTGGCATATGAGTAGAGGCCATGCCCAGTGCACCCCTTCCGCCCTTTCTGCTGGACCTAACCATGGCCCCGTGGGGCAGCGCAGCAGCCTCCTTCACAGCCTTGCCCACCCGGGCTGCTCCCTCCTCTCCTGCCCTGGACACCGAAGCCACATCCTGCCCTATCTTCTGCCCCAGCTCTGTAGGTGGTCAACCCAGATAAGGAGGAGAGGAAAAGGTCCTGCTCTGCCCACCATCGCTGATCCTGGGGTGCTGCCTACCCGTGCCTTGCAGAAGCACCATCCACATCTTCCTCTTGATCCACTCCTGGGCTCAAGTCTCTCCTTGCCTTGTCCAGACTCTTCCCAGCCTGTGTCTCCAAAATGCCTTTACACTTTGTAAAGTGCTAGTTCTGAAATTTTATAAAATCAAAAGTTTACATAAATCCTATGCCAGAGTTGAGGAAAAAAAAAAAAAAGAAGGATCTACAAGTGGAAAGTAATATGTGTAAATTCCCTACTTTTTTTTTTTTAAGGCAAATATGACCTGGGACAAAAGACTTGCAATAACAGTAAGAAATAGTATTTGACCCTCTCCTATGCATATTTATTTATTTATTTGAGACACAGTCTTACTCTGTTGCCCAGGCTGGTACGATCTTGGCTCACTGCAGCCTCCACATCCCAGATTCGAGTGATTCTCCTGCCTCAGCCTCCCGAGTAGCTGGGACTGCAGGCGTGCATCACCATGCCCGGCTAATCTGTTTTTTTTCTTGTTTTTTTTTTTGTTTTTTTTTTTTTAAGTAGAGATGGCGTTTCACCATGTTGGCCAGGCTGGTCTGGCTCCTTGCCTCAAGCAATCCACCCGCCTTGGCCTCCCAAAGTGCTGGGGTTACAGGTGTGAGTCACCACCCCCAGCTTCCTATGCTCTTATTCTAGAAGCTGTCCTTCCGTTTCTGGGTGCCCTGGAGGAGTCTCGTACATCATATATCAATCCTACCACCATCCTCTCACCTCCCACTTACCACAACCTCCAATTGCAGTTTTCCCATCCAACCTCTAATCTTTGCAAATTTTTGTTTTTTTTTTCCTGAGACAGGATCTTACTCTGTTGCCCAGGCAGCAGTGCAGTGGTGCAGTCACGGCTTACTCCAGCCTCGACCTCCTGGGCTCAAGCCATCCTCTCACCTCAGTCTCCCAAGATGCTGGGACCACAGGCGTGCACCACCACAGCCAGCTAATTTTTAAATTTTTTGTAAAGAAAAATGTTGCCCAGGCTGGTCTCGAACTCCTGGGCCTAAGCAATCCTCCTGCCTTGGCCTTCCAAAGTGCTAAAATTACAGGTGTGAGCCACTGCATGCAGCCCAAATTTTTGTCTCTTACCCTTTGGGACCTGTATTAGGGTTCTCTAGAGGGACAGAACTAATAGGAGATAGATTAGATAGATAGATAGATAGATAGATAGATAGATAGATAGATAGATAGGAATTTATTAACTCAGTATCACAAGGTCCCACAATAGGCCATCTGCAAGCTGGGGAACAAGGAGAGCCAGTCTGAGTTCTAAGACTGAAGAACTTGGAGTCCGATGTTCGAGGGCAGGAAGCATCCAGCATGGGAGAAAGATGTAGGCTGGGAGACCAGGCCAGTGTATTCAACGTTTTTCTGCCTGCTTTATATTCTAACTGTGCTGGCAGCTGATTAGATGGTACCCACTAGATTAAGGATGGGTCTGCCTATCACCTTTGATCTTGTGAGTCTTCATTCTAACCTGTTAGACTCCATGGAATCCGAGGGCTAGGAACACAGACTGCAGTCAGAGTCAAGTGGGTTAAATTCTGGCTCTACCTTTACTAACTGGTCCTGGGCAAATTATATAACCTTGCTGTGCCTCAGTTTTCTGCGACATACTTATCTACCTCACTAGGCTACTGAGTGATTAAATAAATGAAAACATATGGCACACTCAAGGACAGTGCCTGGCACAAGGAGACGCTAACTACTAGCCATCAGATCAAGCTCCTCTCTGTGCTGCTGTATCGAATGCCATCTGAGTTCCACCAGCTGCCAACCAATGCACTTACTCAAGCTACTGCGACGAGTGTGAACACGATTAGACTAAAGGCAGGGCATCCACAAGAGAGCAAAGGGCACGGCTGCCTAAGGGGACAGAATCCTACTGGAGAAGGAAGCCAGAGTCCAGACATAAGCCTGGGAAAGTGCAGAAATCCTGGGACATGGGCTAGGGAGCCTGAGGTATCTTTCAGTTTCTGGAATAAGGCTACCAGGTGGTTAACAGTGGCTGGTTACCTCTGGGAGGATGGGAATCAAAAGGGAGAGATAATTGATGCTGGGCATTTTCACACATTTTACTTTTATGTTTTTGTGGAATTAAGAGAGACAAATGTGTTCTACTGTGAGGTATGTGTTAACTGCGCCCAAGACACACTAATCACACCATCATACCTGTGCACAGCCCGCAAGAAATCAGCCTGCCTGCTCCTGGTGTGTTGCACTGACAGCCCAGTGGGATGGGGTGGGTCAGGGCTGGTGAATGGGGCACGGTAAATCCCAGGGAGCTTGGCTGCGAAGCGCTCCCTCCTCCGCTGCTCTCTACCGAGTCTGGCTTCTATTCCTACCCTTTTCACTTTTTTGGTTACTTTTCCATGTTTCGTCTGTCTTTCCTACCAGCCTGAGTTTAAGGCTAGGATTGGTATTCTCTTATCATCAGCACCTCCCACACATTTTAGTACAAATCTCAAAATAACATTGAGTAAACCCATGAACATGGGTATTCCTCATGCTCTCTCTCCCTTTCCCCACCCCTGCGCACTCTTCGCTCTGCCTCTGGCAGCCATATGGGATGGGGGGAGTGGAAGAGAGAGAGTAAAGAGAAATGGAGAACAATGGGGAAAGAACCCTTTACAATTTGAGGATTCTGCCAACTATTAAGAACTGTAGAAATTCACCAATATGGTGTTAAAAAGAATGAGTATTTCAGGTTTCTTTATGAGAAAAAGGAGGAGGAGTAGATTTTCCTTTAATGAGATCAATTGTGTGAATGAGCTGGATTAAAAATATATACACCTCACTTAGAACCTAAAACTTAATTTTATTGTACTTGCTTTGTAAACTTTATATAGGTGTGCTTCACTTTGAAAATATCAAATATAGTCATGGTTAATGTGTAAAACTATAAAACAGATCAATAAGGTGGTATCAAGTTATGAAAGGACTTTGGCCACCTGCAGATGACACAGAACAGTATTTTCAGAGCTCAGGAAGCCCTCCATGGTTGCTGGGCTCTGCTTTAACTTCTGAGCGGTGTGATGCTTAGGAAAGCAGTTGCTCAGTGGTGCAGGAGGGCTTGCCTTGTAAGACCACAGGCAGCCCCAGAGTGGACAAAGATGTGAGTCTGGGCTGGTTAGGGAGAGAAGCCTGGCAGAAAGCAGGGTGAGCAGAAGGCAAACTCCTGCCTTGGTTCCTGCAGTCCACCTGAATGGACGCAGCTTGCGCCTCGGTATCTGGTTCCAACTCCCCTTCAGTACAAAACTTGCTTCCCTGTGAATGGGCCTCGACAATCTTCAGTTGCCCAGGCCAGGAGTCTGGGTGATCTCAAATCTTCCCTCTTCCCACCACAACCAGTGACTCTCAAAGGCCTGCCGGCTCATCCTCACGTGCCTCAGTCCACCTGCTCCTGGCCTCGCTTCAGCTCTCACTGGAGCTCTTGGGATCAAGACCAAAATCCTTAATGTGGTGAATGAGTCAGATGTAGATTCAGCTGTGAGGGAGAGAAAACCCAGGACACAAATGGCTTAAACAAGATAGAAGGCAGGAGATAGGTGTTCCAGGACTGAGACCACTTCCCGAGGGGGTCAGGGCCAGGATCTGCCCTCTGCTGGCCTGCCGTCCTTGGCACAAGGCTTCACCTCCCCATCCCAGATGGCTGCGTGCAGCCTGCAGCCTCCAGGGGGAGGAAGGGTGACCCTGTAATCACTTTATTGTCTAGTTTCTCTATTCTTGAGAGACTGAAAAGCCTGGACTTTGGAGGCCACAAGATTCGAGCAACCTAATGCCTGGCTGGCCTTGACAAGTTATTTAATCCCTCCTAAGTGAGTCTTTATTTCTTCAGCTCTGATGTAGGTATAAAATAGTAATTTATACTAAAAATGGTGGTCATGAAAAGCAGATGAGATAATCCACAGAGTTTAGCATTGTGCCTGGCACATGTGTAATAAATGTAGTAGTGATTTTTTTTTTTTTTTTTTTTTGAGAGAGTCTCACTCTGTCGCCCAGGCTGGAGTACAGTGGCACCATCTCGGCTCACTGCAACCTCCGTTTCCTGGGTTCAAGTGTTTAATATTTGATATTTGTCGCCATGATGCGGCGGTTTATCTGGGGTGGAGACAACGTCCCCTGTCCTCTGCGGGGTTTGTCTGCAGTGGAGACGCTCCCCCATGTCTGCTGCAGGGTCGCCCCTTGGCAGCTGCTTCCTGTTGCTCTCTGGGTCACCACACACTTTACATCAGGTCTCTTCCTACGGTTCTGCGACACTGCTGTCTGTCTGTGGTTCCGCCGCCTCGCTGGCCTCAGGTGAGAGCAGGTGAGAGGTGGGAAAAGGCCACACCTCTCTGCCTGCTCCTCCCAGAGCTCCCACAGTGCTCTCACAGAGTGAGGGCGCCAGGCCTCTCCAAAGGGTCTGAGCATTGAAAGGAATTGTGAGAAAATGTTTAATTTGTCCACTCAATCAGATGATTCCTCCCAGTCTAAGGGAAAATGAACCTGCTTAAGAACAGCCCAGGCCCTGGCCTTGCTTCCATTTCAGGACCTTCTCTCTGCTTTCGGTCTGTTTTCTGCCAGCGTACCCTGGAAGATGCAGATGGCACCTCCAGCTGCCTGACTGGGGAGTTTAAGATTATTTACAGGCCGGGCGTGGTGGCTCACGCCTGTAATCCCAGCACTTTGGGAGGCCGAGGCAGGCAGATCACGAGGTCAGGAGATCAAGACCATCCTGGCTAACAGGTGAAACCCTGTCTCCATTAAAAAAAAAAATACAAAAAATTAGCCGGTTGTGGTGGCGGGTGCCTGTAGTCCCAGCTACATGGGAGGCTGAGGCAGCAGAATGGTGTGAACCCGGGAGGTGGAGCTTGCAGTGAGCCGAGATCGTGCCACTGCACTCCAGCCTGGGTGACAGAGCGAGACTCTGTCTCAAAAAAAAAAAAAGATTATTTATAATGGGCCTGGTGCGGTAGCTCATGCTGGTAATCCCAGCACTTTGGTAGGCCTAGGCAGGCGGATCATGAGGTCAGGAGTTTGAGACCAGCCTGACCAACATGGTGAAACCCCATCTCTACTAAAAACACAAAAATTAGCCAGGCGCAGTGGCATGCACCGGTAATCCCAGCTACTCAGGAGGCTGAGGCAGGAGAATCGCTTGAACCCAGGAGGCAGAGGTTGCAGTGAGCCGAGATTGCATCATTGCACTCCAGCCTGGGCAACAGAGTGCGACTCCGTCTAAAAAAAAATTAAAAAAAAAAAGTAATAATAAAAAAGATTATTTACAATGGAGTGAGCAGGGGAGAAAGCAAAAAGAGATGGGGCAGCATCCTGGGGTTAGCAGCAAAGAGGAGCCCTTACCCCACTGAAAGTCTGGGGAAGGGAGAAGTTACCAGAATGCTGAGGAAGAGCTGTGTGGAGCTGCCTCCAGACAGGAGCTGTGGCCTCTGGCACAAGGATATGACCAGCCACTCAAGGAAAAGCCCGGGATCTGCGTGCGCATCCGCACTCTCCTCTCTGATCACCTGCCAGCTCCCGGCATGGGTGAGTCTCCATGGAAGATAGCTGGGGAGGCTTCTGACCCCATCCATCGAGGTCAGCCTCTGGGAGCACAGAGCAGGTTATAGGACAGTGGAAAGTGGACCTAGAGGGGCAGATGGAAACTACGCAGCACAAATCCTCCACTCCTCAAAATCTCCACACCCACCTCTTAGGAAAACCAACCCCTTCTGGGAAGGACTGATTTCACTCTACAACACAGCCTTCAATCATCGGCTGCAATCACCCAGTGATTCCCCGAAGTCTGCTACTCAGTCAAGAATAATAATGTTGGAGGGTGGAGGGCAGGAAGGTGAATCTTGGCCACTCTGTGGGGTAGGGGAGGGACCTTGGCACTCCAAAGACTGGTTCCTTCTCAGCTCTTCTTGCCAGTGGGAGGTGAAGATCTGCCTGTTCTCTTCTTCTGATCTCAGCTCACTGCAACCTCCACCTCCCGGTTCAAGCAATTCTTCTCCCTCAACCTCCCAAGTAGCTGGGATTACAGGCGTGTGCCATCATGCCTGACTAATTTTTGTATTTTTAGTAGAGATAGGGTTTTGCTCTGTCGGCCAGGCTGGTCTCGAACTCCTGACCTCAAGTGATCCACCTGTCTCTGCCTCCCAAAGTGCTGGGATTACAGGCATGAGCCACTGAGCCTGGCCTAAATTTCCTCTTCTTACAAGGACACCTGTCATTGAATTAGGGCCCACTCTAATTACTTCTTTTCAATTTAATTATATCTTTACAGACCCCACCTTCAATAAAGTTACATTCCGAGGTACTAGGGATTAGGACTTCAACATAGGAATTTTGGGAGCAGGGAACACAATTCCATCTCTAACGTGACTCGCGACTGGCTCAAGTACATGCATATATATTCCCGAGACTGACAACTCTCAGGACAGTTGATAAAGCCATAATAAAAACAGAAGCCGTCTTTCTTTCTACCACATCTGTGGAGATCCCCCGACCACGGGAGTGATGGCCAGTGCGTGAGAGATGGGGTTCCTTACAGAGCCATCAGCCTGCCTACAACCTCCAAATAATTGCTTTACCTTAGGCTAGATGCAATCTGCAAGCAGGGCTTCTAGCCCCACTCAAGTCCAGTGCAAGTCCTCAGGGATTAATATGGGCTCCACCTGGGTGGTGGGATGATGGGTGATGTTTGTTATTTTTTCTTTCCTCAAATATTTACTGAATATCAGGTACTGAACTAGGTAGGCCGGGGGTGGGGGTCCATGGGAAAAAGCCAGGGTCCCTTCTGTCAGAGTGGAGGTTACAGCCAAGGAAACAAGTAATGTGCTAGAGTCATGATTGCAACAGCTCTGAAGTCTGGTCCCAGGGGTCACACACTGTCCCAGTCCTGGCATCAAGCCTCGGGCAGCAGTGCAGACTTACCCTTCCCTCTGTGGGGATTATCTCCCCCCATGAGTGATGTTCCTGTGACTCGACCCACAGAGCACACTGGACATCATCTGCTCTGCCTAGATGCCTTTGGCTTCCTTTTGCCCTGCGGGTATGCCCGTCTGCAAGCTTTGCTTCTAAGGCCTACATCAAAACTCTTCAGGCCGGGTGCGGTGGCTCATGCCTGTAATGCCAGCACTTTGGGAGGCCGAGGTGGGTGGATCACAAGGTCAGGAGATTGAGACCATCCTGGCTAACATGGTGAAACCTCGTCTCTACTAAAAATACAAAAAATTAGCCGGGCGTAGTGGCCCCAGCCTGTAGTCGCAGCTACTCGGGAGGCTGAGGCAGGAGAATGGCGTGAACCCGGGAGGCGGAGCTTGCGGTGAGCCGAGATCGCGCCACTGCACTCCAGCCTGGGCGACAAAGCGAGACTCTGTCTCAAAAAAAAACAAAAAACCTCCTCAGCGGCCTGCCCTTGGGCTACTGGATCCACTTTGTCCAGGTGCAAATGCAGGTGCAGAGAGCCAGAAGGACCTAGGACTTTACTTCTGCCCCCATGCACACTCCCCTGCCAGCCTTTGCCAATGCTGGATGGATGACCAGTGCAGTGATATGACAGCCTAGAGGAGGGACAAACTCGGTGAGATTTACAGTCGATCCCCATTATTTGCAGATTCTGTATATGCAAATTTACCTAAGCACTAAAATTTATCTGTAACCCCCAAATCAATACGTATGGTGTTTTCACTGTCGTTTTTGGACATATTCAGAGCAGTGAAAAAAATTGAGCGCACAACGACAGCTGAGGTTGAGCAAGGCAACCTTCTTGTCTTCTTGTTTCAGTTCTCATAACGAGTGTCCTTTTTGAGATCTATTTAGTGCTGCATTTTTTGCATTGTTGTGATTTTTGTGGATGATTTTGCTGTTTACAGTGGCTCCCAAGAGTAGTGCTGAAGTACTGTGTGGTGTTCCTGAGTTTGAGAAGGCTGTGATGTGCCTCACAGAGAAAACACACGTGTTTGGTAAGCTTTCTTCAGGCATGAGTTATAGTGCCATCATCCGTGAGGTCAATGCTAATGAATTAACACTATCTATTAAATAAAGTGTCTTTAAATAGAAAAACACATAAAACAAGGTTGTGTATTGATCAGTTGACAAGTATGTGATCAGACACTCATAGGAACCTAGCCCTGTATTTCCCCTAGGAGCGATGGATCAGTTTCACTAAGTGTCCACAGCAACTTTACAGAACACAACGGCTGCCAAAGAACAGGAGTCCACTATACATTCCAGAGGTCCCCTTTGTGTTCAGGTTGAGGCAGGGACGTTGCTTGTCTTCTCCCTGTTCCCTCCCTGGCTTCTCCCACTCTTACACCAGCTTCTCCTGGGAGCACTTCCTTAATAAAGAACTTGCACAAGAATCAACATCTCAAAGTCAGCTTTAGAAACTGGACCTGAAACAGAAAGGAAGCATGCTTCTCTCTTTGCTCCTTATCCCCTGTTAAAACTGATCCCCCCTCTTCCTCAGAGACCAGCCCTGTACAATGTGAGATACTAGGAGGGCAGTCGTGGTCAAGCTACAAAATGACAAGGTCTTGTTTTGTGATCGTTCAGACAATAGACTCCCACATTTGTTATGGCAGCCCTAGGAGACGAATTCAGCGCTCAGGAGAAGATATGATCCACTTGTCTCTGAGATTGGAAAAGCAGCATATGTACTAATACACAAGGCACATAATACATAGTAAAGAGAGGTTCCACAGTGATTCCCCCCAGAACAAATAAGGTGTGCCCCAAAGTGACTGCTGTCTTTCCATAAACAGCACAGGGACATTTTTGAAACAACAGATTCACTCCTTAAATATGATTTAATTTCCTCATAAGCAAACCCTTACCACATTTCAAATAACCTCTCTGCTCACCATCTTCTATCCTCCAAACTCTTTTACTTTATATGTCCTCATTGTTATTAGTATAATTTTCTTAATAAACAATGTATTTGTTTTGTATTAATTTATTATGTATTGTGTCTTCCTTAGCTTTTCTGTACCACTGCAACTACATTTTGATTTATTTCAGATTTCCAATCCCTGACCTTTCACACTGTCTCTTATACTTTCTTTGCCTTCTCTTTCCTTTCCATGCCCAGATTGGTTCCATAATCTACTAAAACAATTGCCCCTTTGCAAAGGCCCTCAAAACATGCCTTGGTCTCCCTCCACTGAATGCAAAAGCCAGAACCCCAATCCATGTTGAACCTAATTTCTTTGCAACTCAGAGGCAATTGACCTCTGTTGGGAAAAACCACGAATCACATAATTGGCTGACTGCTTTAACTTTAATGTATGATCTTCAAACTTAAATGGGACTTACCATTGTCTGGTAATCCTACGTTTTGCTGGCAGAATTGGTCTTTTCATAGGAGACAACTGGATCATATCTTCTTCCCCTTTCCTACCCCTTACTGTAGCCCCACCTTCGGCTGGTGATCTTCCTTCACATCTCACCGAGAAAACAGAAAGCTGAATTAGTTACCTAAGGCTGCTATGATGGTTAATACTGAGTGTCAACTTGACTGGATTGAAGGATGCAAAGTATTAATCCTGGTTGTGTCTGTGAGGGTGTTGCCAAAGGAGATTAACATTTGAGTCAGTGGCATGGGAAAGGCAGACCCACCCTTAATCTGGTGGGCACCATCTAATCAGCTGCCAGTGAACATAAAGCAGGCAGAAAAACGTGAAAAGGCGAGACTGGCCTAGCCTCTCAGCCTACATCTTTCTCCCGTGCTGGATGCTTCCTGCCCTCAAGCATCGGACTCCAGGTTCTTCAGTTTTGGGACTCAAACTGGCTCTCCTTGCTCCTCAAGCTTGCAGACAGCCTACTGTGGGACCTTGTGACTTTTATATATATAATATAAAGTATTAACATTCATATATTATACTTTTATTAAGTATTTATATATGTATATATACATATATGTATAAAAGTATTAACTTTTATATATACTTTTATTAAGTATTAACATATGTGTATATATATACTAAGTATATATATATAAAATATATTAATACACTATATATATATATACTAAGGAAGTTCTGGGGGCTAGAAGTCCAAAATCAAGGTGTCAGTAGGGCCAGTCTTCCTCTGAAGTCTCCAGGGGAGAATCCTTCCTCACCTATGCCAGCTTCTGGTGACTGCCATTGATCAGTCATGTTCCTTGATTTATATGCATCGTTCCAATCTCTGCCTCTGTTGTCACCTGTCCTTCGTCCTGTGTGCCTATCTCTGTGCCCAAATTTCTTTCTTCTTCTAAGGCACCTATCATTGGATTAGGGTTCACCCTAATACAGGATGACCTCACCTTAACTTGATTATACCTGCAAAGACTCTGCTTACAAATAAGGTCACATTCATAGGTTCTGGATGGACATGAATTTTGGGTGGAGGAATTTTGGGGGGAACACTATTTAACCAAATGTAAAGGCCTTCCCTCATCTTACCGCAAGGCTAGATACAAACCTACTCACAAATGCTACACCCTTCCTTTCTGTCTTACCTGCGTTATGAAAAACACAGGTCCCTACCAACAGGAGGGCAGGTCCTTGTCTCTACCAACATGAATCCCCCAGTTTATGGGCAGTATGTTCCCTCTTTGTTGCTGCAGTTACCCCCTCACCTAACATCAACAATGTCCCCACTAGATCATTTCCAGCAGAATGAAACTATGCATTAGCATCTCTCATCTTAAGATAAAAGATAGGCTGGGTGCAGTGGCTCACACTTGTAATCTCAGCACTTTGGGAGGTCGAGGCAGATGGATCACCTGAGGTCAGGAGTTCGAAACCAGCCTGGCCAACATGGCAAAACTCCATCTCTACTAAAAATGCAAAAATTAGTGGGGTGTGGTCGTGGGCACCTGTAATCCCAGCTACTCGGGAGGCTGAGGCAGGAAAATCGCTTGAACCTGGGAGGTGGAGGTTGCAATGAGCCGAGATCGCAAAACTGCACTCTAGTCTGAGTGACAGAGTGAGACTCCATCTCAAAATAAATAAATCAATAAATCAATAAATAAAGATAAACAAATCCTTGACTTCACATACCCCTCTCATCAGTTATTCCCACCACCTTACCCTGCTTCCCTTTGCAGAAAAACTTACTACTAACTGAAGCAGAAGTTGGCAACTGGAAGAGGCGAGCTGATGTAACAAAAACCTACAATATGTGACACTGGTTTTAGGACTGGGCTGTAGGCAGAAACCTGAAGGGTGGCCAGGGAACTGCCGGTGGAGGGTGGAATAGCAGTCACGAACCTTTTATTGCAAGCTGAGAAAGGGGGCCTTTGTTACAGAGACTGTCACCTTTGTTAACCTGGAAGATGGAAAATGTTGCAGAGAAACTTGTGGATCTGGCTAAAAAGATTTTTAGGCTTAAAGCAGAATAAGACAATTGCCTAGAAATTGGGCTTAAAGCAGAATAAAACAATTGCAAGAAAGAGATGTTACGGAAATAACTGTTTGGTTTTTAAGCAGAATTTAGAAAAAATATTTCCAGCACTTGCTAGGTTAGAAAATAAAACTATTTTTATTCCTACCCCTCTGGCTGGCAAAAAAAGTAAGAAGTGACCTTGGAAAAGATCAAGTTCAGGGCCTGCCAGTAAAATGTGGCCTGACATTCAAGATCAAATGAAGGGTGCAGCTATCACACCCTTGAAGACATCAGAAAGATTTAAGGTGGTATTTTATAGACTTTTCAGCTGAAGGACTTTCCTTTCTAGGAATCTTAATGGCATTCCAAGTTGTACCAACTTGGAAAAGAAGGGATACAGACAGTTCCAAAATAAAGAAAAATTTGCTCCCAATTTTCTATGGGCAGGAAGCAGGCTGAGAAATCTACTCAACCGCCAATATGAGCCATTTCTTGTAGGAAAAGGATGACTCTAAGAGCTGGCATGAAAAATGGGAGAATCTTGATAAATGCTTGCATAGTGGGGCTTGTTCTCTTGGGAGCTACCTAACACCCTATAAAGCAGCTCAGGATAGAATACTAAATAATGAGAGCCACACACAGAGAGATTGCAGGATGAGAGACCATCTTGAAGGTTCTAACTGCAGCTGAGTTGCCAGCTGAATGTAGCCACTGGAGTGACTTTTGCTATACCATATGAGGCA
Organism: Homo sapiens; assembly: GCF_000001405.40. Taxonomy (NCBI): domain Eukaryota; kingdom Metazoa; phylum Chordata; class Mammalia; order Primates; family Hominidae; genus Homo; species Homo sapiens. Next base: position 140,070,743 of record NC_000007.14, on the reverse strand, counting down.
GAAGAACTGCCCAGCTGAGCCCAGTTAACACACAGAATCATGAAAAATAAATCATTATTATTTTTAGTCACTAAGTTTTAGGGTGGTTATTATGTGGCACAGACAAAACATTTCTCTATCTTTATTTGATCTCTTGATAGTGCACTCAATGTAGCTGATCATCCCTTCCTATTGAAAAACTTAAGTTTATGACTCCATATTCTTCTGGTTTTCCTCCTACCCCACTGCCTTCTCCTTTAAACCTTAGCTCTATCAGTCTCCTCCTTCTCTTTCAGAGGGGCAGGTCCTTGGAGTTCTCATTTACACTCTCTTCTAGGGTGGTCTCATCCAGTCCCGTAGGTTTAAATACCATCTGTATGTTCGTAACTCTAGTACTGACGTCTTCTATAAATGTCAGACTCACAGATCCAATGTCTTCTGGGTATTTTTCCACTTGTATGTTTTTATAGGTATCTTCTAACTATCTTTCTGCCTTAAAATCCTTTATAACCTATGTTTTAAAAGGGTACCCAGCATTTTTTTTGTTGTTGTTTTGAGACAGTCTAGCTCTGTCACCCAGGCTGGAGTGCAGTGGCACCATCTCAACTCACTGCAACCTCTGCCTCCCGGGTTCAAATGATTCCCATGTGTCAGTCTCCTGAGCAGCTGGGATTACAGGCACATGCCACCCTGCCCAGCTAATTTTTTAGTAAAGATGGGGTTTCGCCATGTTGGCCAAGCTGGTCTCGACCTCCTGGCCTCAAGTGATCCATCTGCCTCGGACTCCCAAAGTGTTGGGATTACAGGCGTGAGCCACCGCACCCAACCCTAGGATTTGTTTTAATCAGGTATACCAAGACACACAGACACAGAAATGACTATGATGAAATAAGTTTTTATACTCACAGATCTCTAGAAACAGGAAAGCAGAGCATGCCACAGAGGGCCACACGGAGAGGCACCAGTACATGTCAGGAGACAGAGACAGTGAGGAGAAAACATAGCCAAGAGCCTTTGTTGTGGTTCCTGGGTTGAGGCAGGGTAAGCAAGCTTAGCATAGGCTAGTTTTAATTAGTTCAGTAGACTCTGGGGTTATAGGGGCTGTCCCCAGTTGTCTGGTACATGGACCTGGGGCAATTAGGAAAAGAGAATACTGGCCTACAGTATGACAGCCCCAGGAGAACCCTGATGAAGGAGGTGATTGGAAGTATGGACTCTGGGTTGGTTGGTTTGCCTATGAAAGGAAAGCTCAGAGGTGACTTGTTAGCTGTATCTAGGAATTAGCTAGCCCTGGGACACGTAGTCCTTCTAGTGTCGAGAAGGCCCCAAGATGTCAAAGCATCAAATATAGAAACTAGAAAATGTGATTATTACACTTGATAATCCTTTCTATTTCTGTAAAGTCAGTAGTAATGACTCCTCTTTTATTCCTGATGTTAGTAATTTTAGTCTTCTTCTTTTTTCTTTTTTTGGTCACTGTAGGCAAAGAATTATAAATTTTCTATCTTATCAAAGAACCAACTTTTGGTTTTATTCTTTGTATTCTTTTTAAATTCTCTATTGTGTTTCTACTCTAATCTTTATTATTTCCTTCCTTTTGGGCTTAGTTTGCTCTTATTTTTCTAGTTTCTAAGATGGAATGTTAGGATATTGATTTGAGATCCTTTTTCATGTAGGCATTCACAGAGACATATTTTCCTTGAAACAATGCTTTCACTACATCTCATAAATTTGTTTTCATTTTCATCTATCTCAAAAATATTTTCTAATTTCTCTTGTGATTTCTTATTTGACTTATTATTTAGAAGTATATTTTCTAATTTTACATATTTGTGAATTTTTCAAATTTCTGTTATTGACTTCTACTTTTATTCCATTATGGCAAGAGAACATACTTCATATAATTTATTTTACGATTCTTGAGACTTGTTTTATAGCCTAGCATCTGGTATATCCTGGAGTATTTTCCATGTACACTTGAGAAGAATATGTGTTCTGCTCTTGTTGGGTGAAGAGTTCTATAGATGTCTTTCAGGTCTACTTGGATTATAGTATTGCCCTTCTATATCCTTGCTGATATTTTGTCTGGTTTTTTATTCATTATTGAAAGTAGATATTAAAGCCTCCAACTATTATTGTTGAATTGTCTATTTCTTCCTTCAGTTCTGTCAGTTTTTGCTTCATGTGTTTTGGGACTCTGTTGTTAAGTGCATTTAATTTATATTTATTATATATTTTTGGTAGATTCTTTGATCATTATAAAATGTCCTTCTTTATCTCTAGTAAGAATTTTTATCTTATGTCTATTTTGTCTGACATTAGTATAACCACTCCGGCCCTCTTTTGGTTACCATTTGTATGGTATATTTTTTCCATCCTTTTACTTTCAATCTGTTTGTCTTTGAATCCAAAATGTATCTTTTGAATGCAGCATACAGTTAGGTCATGTTTTCTATTTTTGTTGTTTGTTTTGGTCCATTATGCCCATCTCTATTTTTTAATTGGAAAGCTTAATCCATTTACATTTAATGTAATTACTAATAAGGTAGGATTTGTCTGCCATTTTTCTATTTTTTCTACGTCTTTTGTCTTTTTTTTTGTTTTTCAACTCCTCTAGTACTGCCTTCTTTTGTATTAAATAGATATTTGCCAGTGTGCCACTTAAATTATCTTATCATTTCTTTTTTTTTCTTTCTTTCTTTTTTTTTATTGAGATGGAGTCTCACTCTGTTGCCCAGGCTGGAGTGCAGTGATACGATCTTGGCTCACTATAACCTCCACCTCCTGGGTTCAAGCGATTCTCCTGCCTCAGCCTCCTGAGTAGCTGGGATTACAGGTGCCTGCCACCACACCTGGCTAATTTTTTGTATTTTTAGTAGAGATGGGGTTTCACCATGTTGGCCAGGCTGGTCTCGAACTCCTGACCTCAGGTGATCCACCCGCCTCGGCCTCCCAAAATGCAGGGATTACAGGCGTGAGCCACTGTGTCCGGCCTCATGTATTTTATTGGTTATTGGTTGCACTAGGAATTACCAGCAACATCTTAATTTATAAAAATCCAGTTTGGATTAATACCAATTTAATTTCCACAGAATATAAAAACTGCTTCTCTATGGCTTCACTTTCCTTCCCCATTTCCTTCTGCTGTTATTGTCACAAATTACATCTTCAAAACATTGTCCATCAACTTATATTTGTAATTACTGCATTATGTAGTTGTCTTAAATCAGATGATGGGGGTTACAAACAAAAAATACGTTTATACTGTCTTTTTCATTTACCTGTGTAGTTACCTTTACTGGTGCTTTTCTTTCTTCATGAGAATTCCAGTTGCTGTTTAGTGTCTTTCACTTTCAGCCCAAACGACTCTCTTTAGTGTTTCTCCCAGTGCTAGCAACTAACGGGCTCAGCTTTAGTTTATCTGGGAATATCTTAATTTCTCCTTCATTTCTGAAAGATAGTTTTGCTGGATATAAAATTCTTGGTTGATTCTTTTCACATTTTGAATACATCATCACACTACCCTCTGCATGCATGGTTTTTGATGAGAAGTTAACTGTTTTTATTTTATTGTTGATTCCTTGTGCATGATGAGTTGCTACTTTCTTGCTGCTTTCAAGATTCTCTTTGTTTTCAAAAGTTTGATTATGATGTGTCTAGGTGTAGATCTATTTGAGTTTTTCCTACTTGGAATTCATTAAGCTTCTTGGATGTGTAGATTAATGTTTTTCATCAAATCTGAGAAATTTTAGCCAAAATTTCTTCATATATTCTCGCTTTCCTTTCTCTCTCTCTCTTCTCCTTCTAAGACTTCCATTTTGTGTTATTGGTATATCTGATGGTGTCCCACAGGTCTCTGAGGCTCTTTTCATTTTTCTTTTTCGTTTCTGTTCCACAGACCAGATAATCATCAATTGATCTATCTTCAAGTTTGCTGATTTTTTTTTTCTTTCGCATGCTCAAATCTGCTGCTGAACCCTTCTAGTGAATTTAACATTTCAGTTATTGTACTTTTTGGCTCCAGAACCTTTATTGGTTCCTTATTATAATTTCTGTGTCTTTATTAATATTCTGTTTGGCAAGGCATCATTCTCATCCTTTCTTTTACATTTTTAGAGATGGTTTCCTTTAGCTCTGTGAACATATCAAAAATAGCTGATTTACACTCTTTGTCTACAAAGTTCAGCATCTGGGTTTTCTTAGGAACAGTTTTTATTGATTGCTCTTATTTCCTTTGTATGGGTCTTACTTTCTTGTTTCTTTGCAAGTCACATAATTTTTAGTTGAAAATTGGACATTTCAAACAATGTGCCAACTCTCAAAGTCAGATACTCCTCTCTCCTCAGGGTTTGATTGTGCTTATTTTAGTATTAGGTTGGTGCAAAAATAATTGCGGTTTGCACCAACCTAATAGTTGCTGTTTAGTAACTTTTTTGAACTAATTTTTTAAAGTGTGTATCTTCATTGTGTGTGACTATTGAAGTCTCTACTTGGTCAACTAATGATTAGATGGAGATTTCCTTAAACACCTGGAACCAATATGTCTCCTAGTCTTTGCCAAGGGGCTCTGTATGCACTTTGGGGTATGTCTTCAATTTTCATTAGGCAGTTTGCAACTCTGCATAGCTTTTATTTCCTGCTAGCACAGAGCCTCAGTGTCAGCTAGTAGTGAGAGGTTAGGATCTTCTCAGGTGTTAACAGAGCATGTGCACAGCCCTACACATGCACATGGCCTTCTAAATTCCTGAAAATATACTGGAGCTTTTCAAAGCCCCTATGGACATCTCTTCCTTCAACGTTTCCTTTTACATTTCTTTGTTAGTCTATTGTTTGCCCCTACCGTTACCTATTGCCTCAGCCAGTTACAATGTTAAAATATTTGACAAATCACTCCCTCTTCAGGTGGAAAAACCTTTAGGACTGAGCTAGTTCCAAAGAGGTTGAATAAAGACAACCCTTTTCAGGATTTTTTTCCAGGGACCCACTAGATAGGTTAAATAATGACTCTTCTTTGGGAATGAGACTTTGAAGTAGCTCCAGCCCTGTCTCCTCCCTCTGGTACAGGTACTAGGAACGTGGGCTGTAAGTTTTCAAGGCTGCCATGGAACTAGAGATGGGGGTGCGATAGGACTAGGGTAAATTAAAATACTATAAATATTGCTGTTCTTACTGAGAGTTTGCTGTTTTTCCTGACTAAATGCCAGATGGGTTGCTGCAAACCTGTGACTAATTTCTAGGGCTCTAAGAAAGTTGATTCTGACAATTTTTGTCAGTTCTTTCCTTGCTTCCTTTATGGAAGGGCAAACTTGCTGGGATACTTAATCCACCATTTTCACTGACATCACTCTTCCTTTCTTTTTTAAAAAATGTTATTTTATTGCAAAAAAATATGGAAACCACAACTAAAATTAACTTTTTTTTTGAGACGGAGTCTTGCTCTGTTGCCCAGGCTGGAGTGCAACGGTGCGATCTTGACTCACTGCAACCTCCGCCTCCCTGGTTCAAACGATTTTCCTGCCTCAGCCTCCCAGGTAGCTGGGATTACAGGCACACACCATCACACCTGGCTAATTTTTGTATTTTTAGGAGAGATGGGGTTTCACCAAGTTGGCCAGGCTGGTCTTGAACTCCTGACCTCAAGTGATCCACCCACCTCGGCCTCCCAAAATGCTGGGATTACATGCGTGAGCCACTGCACTCTGCCTAACATTTTAAATTAAAAATTAACATTTTAGGCTAGGCGTGGTGGCTCACTGTAATCCCAGCACTTTAGGAATCTGAGGTGGGAGGACTGCTTGAGGCCAGGAGTTCAAGATCAGCCTGGGCAACAAATGAGACAGTGTCTCTACAAAAAAATATAAAAATTATCTGGGCATGGTGGCACGTGCCTCTAGGCCCAGCTACTTGGGAGGCTAAGGTGGAAGGTTCGCTTGAGCCCAGAAGTTCCAGGTTGTAGTGAGCTATGACTGTACCATTATACTACAGCCTGGGTGACAGACCAAGACCTTGTCTCTAAAACAATAACAAAAACAAAATTAACATTTTATACAATGAAAACATTAAAATCACAATTAAAATCCAAGAGAAAACCCTTCATTCAATTTCCTAATTAAATAAATTCATTTTCATTTGTCCATGTTACTATCTAGTCTTTATCCATACACTTATTATTTACATTTTTGTAGTAATAGTACAGGTAATTTTTTTTTTTTTTTTAAAGATGGAGTCTCACTCTGTCGCCCAGGCTGGAGTGCAGTGTCATGATCTCCGCTCACTGCAATCTCTGCCTCCCGGATTCAAGCGATTCTCCTGCCTGTCTCCCGAGTAGCTGGGATTACTGGCGCCCGTTACCACGCCCGGCTAATTTTTACGTTTTTAGCAGAGACGGGGTTTCACCACGTTGGCCAGGCTGGTCTCAAACTACTGACCTCAAGTGATCCGCCCGCCTTGACCTCCCAAAGTGCTGGGATTACAGGCGTGAGCCACTGTGCCTGGCCTATAGTTAAGATTTTTATATTCATTTTTAGTGAATGTTATACCGTATACCGTAAGTACTCTCCCCCCACAATCCTTCTGCCTCTCATCTTCCCTTTTCCATTTTCCTAATACCTCCTACTGCCTCCTCTCAACTACCCTTGTGTGTTTCTTCATCTTTCTCCGTGCTTATTCAAAAATATCCTGCCACACACACACACACAGGCTTCTCTTTTTGTTATTCAGACATTTAAAAAAATTAATTCTTGATCATTCAACTTGATTATTTAGACATTTCTGTACAGCCATCTTTTCTCGTTTACCACCACATCATGGCTGTCTGCCCCTCTACATCCGCACACGGAGCTCTAACGCATGCTTGTTAAACAGCCTTCGTAATAGTCTTTAAAGATCAACCACACTGTTCCCACGTAACCCTACCTCCCAGGTAGGGTTCCCCCAGTAACACTTTCACACATAACTTATTTACTGTTCCTTTTACTTCTGGAAGATTCCGAGAGGAAAGATTGCTGGGTCAAAGGTCACACGCGTTTTCAATTTTAATAGCTATTCCTGGATTACCTCCTCAAAGGGCTCTAACAACTCGCATTGCTCTCAGCGTGTGAGAGGGTCCTTTGCTCTGAAGGGTCTTCTAAAATATTTGTTCAATCGTTACTTAGCAGGGGCTGGGAGTAACGGATTTTATTTTATTTTATTTTATTTTTTGAGACGGAGTCTCGCTCTGTCGCCCAGGCTGGAGTGCAGTCGCGCAATCTCGGCTCACGGATTTGCTCTTTTAAAGGACATACCCTTTTATGTTTAAATGAAGGAACTCATTGATGCACCGAGGCGAAAGGAACCTTTAATTAAGTGCGTCTTCTATGCGGAGTGATCGCTTTTGTCACTTGTTCGAGGGGTGAGAGCTCCCGTCAGTTGTCCCTGTTTCTGTGAGCCGTCTACGAAGCCCGGGCTTGGCCTGGGCGACGCTGAGCGGCTTTAACCGGCGGCGTCCAGCCGGCTCCGCCAGCGCTGCCGCCGCCCTCGAGGCTCCCTCTGACTGAAGGCGCGCTGAGCATCGCGGCATTAGGGGCTCCTGGTCCCTCAAACATCCAGGGAAGCCATTTTCAGGGACTAGGTACTGACCCCCGCGAGCCGCCACAGCCACAGCCCGCGCTCCGGGCCGAACGCCCGAGCTCAAGAGCTCCCGAGCTTCCGTCGGGCGGCGGCCTCACAGCTGGGGGCCCTGAGGCGGAAGGCGCAGCCGCTCAGCTGCGGACCGGGGGCGTGGCGAGGGCGCACAGGTTCTGTTTTTCGCCGGCCCGGGGCCGCTTTCGGTTTCGTTTCCCGCCGGCGTCTCCACCCTGCGAGAGCCGCCCGCCAGCCAGCGTCCGCCGCCGTCCGCGTCGCGCCACCCGCGGTCCGACGGGAGCAGGCCCAGCGGCCATGGCCCAGGCCGGCGTCGTCGGTGAGGTCACCCAGGTGCTGTGCGCGGCCGGGGGCGCCCTGGAGTTGCCCGAGCTGCGGCGCCGCTTGCGGATGGGCTTGAGCGCCGACGCGCTGGAGCGGCTGCTGCGGCAGCGTGGGCGCTTCGTGGTGGCGGTGCGGGCGGGCGGCGCAGCCGCGGCCCCGGAGCGCGTGGTGCTGGCCGCCTCGCCGCTGCGCCTGTGTCGCGCGCACCAGGGCTCCAAGCCGGGCTGCGTGGGGCTCTGCGCGCAGCTCCACCTCTGCAGGTTCATGGTCTACGGCGCCTGCAAGTTCCTGAGAGCCGGGTAAGGCGCCGCGCCGGGAGCGACGGCGGGCGGAGGTCCTGCGCGCCCTCACGCACTTCCAGCCCGCTTGGGGGTCCTACTTGAAGTTTGAGCAGACAATTCGGTGGCTCTGCCCTGACCTCGCACCGTCATTCACTAAAGCGAGCGTTTAATGAGCACCTGCGGAGTACCTGGCACAGTGCGAGGGACTCAGGGTCGAGTGGGGTCCTCTAGACGCCTGGGGGGAGAGAGTGATTTACATAGAGCATGGTAGTGCCGGGTGGAACACCCGGGTGTGGCCGTGTGGGGTGGGGAGGGAGGGAGGCGGCGGCTTAGGGGAACTCCACGACGCCGCGGGTCGCCCCTTGCCAGCTTTGAGGCCAGACAATGAAGGTTTTCTCTGCCCAGCAGCTGGTAGAGATCTTTAAACCCAGTTCAACCCTATTAATCTGCTTACAAACTGGAAAATGCAGACTCCCTGCCATCGCCCACAAGGTCCTGGGGCACTGGTCCCTGCCCACCCAGGACCCTTCTGTGACTGGAACACCCCCCCCCCCCCGGGCATTTCTGGGAGCCTGGGCATTTCTGGGAGTCTTTGCTCTGCCTGGAATGCCCTTCTTGCTCTTGGTTGGCCCTATTTGTTAATCCTTCAGGCCTCAACCTAAAGATCACATCCCATTTGAGGATTTTTCCTCCCCTTACTCTTGGTCACAGGGAACTGTTTATTTTCCTCATGGCACCCAGCTGCCAGTAGAATAGAAACTCCCTGAGGGCAGAGGCTCCAGCTGTCTCCCCAGCACTTAGCGTCCATGTTCTGTGCATAGCATGTGGCCAGTGGGATGTGTGGAAGGGATTGCTGAGGTTTATGCTAAAGAATTTGGGCCTCACCCTGGAGGTGATGGGGCGGGTAAAATGGCAGGAGAGAGCAACCATCAGGTTTGCGTTTTAGGAAGTCTAAGGTAGTGGTGTGGGTGCCAATTTAAGGGAGGATGTTGTGGGGGAACCACTGGGAAGCTAGTCATCAAGGAGAATTCCTTCCTCCCCTGCTCCCTCCTTTCTTGCTTGCTCCCTGTTTTGTGTGTGTGTGTGTATGTTTGTCTTAATAGAGTAGATATTTCTTGCTCATGTCAGGCCCAGTAGTGAGCATGGGGTGGGGGCCTTGATCCATACAGTCATTCAGGGATGCAGGCTGACTGACCTCCGCTCTGTGCCCCTCAGCACATGGCTCTTGAGGCCAGCCTAGGTTATCAAGTTCGAGGGGGCTGATCGAAAAGAGGGATGCATGGGAGGTTTTTGTGGGCCAGGTCTAGAAGTGGTGGATTTCCTTTCACCCACATCCCATTGACCAGAAGCTGTCTCGTGACCCTGTCTAGATGCAGGGTGACTGGGAAATGCCTCTAGGAAGCAGCTGTCTGGAAGTATCTAGATTAGAGCTTTCCAAGGGCTATGTGTGTGAGAAATTTGGGATAGCTGGTGACGGTGTGATGAGAGGATATGTGAGAGGTGACGACTCTTCAGTCTCTGTTCCTGCGGTGGCCTGGGTGTTGTTCACTGAGAGAGCAAGAGAGGGTTTTAGTTTGGAAGCATGCCCAGGAGGCAGCTGTTCAGGTCAGAAGCTTGGGAGGAAGGCCAGGGCCCCAATGCGCTGGGCTGGTTTGGGAGATATTGGGCGGTGTATGTTGTAGTTGCAGCCCCAGGAGTGGATCAGATCTGAGGTAGCGTCTGAGGCCTGAAAAGAGGCTGAGGGTGGAACTCTGGGGAAATCAGCCTTCAGGGATGAGGCAGTCCAGGGGAGAGCAGGGAACAACAGCCCACGAGGAGGAAGGCACACAGCAAATGGTGGCTGGATAGAGCCACTCATGGGGGTAACTGGTAGATCTGTTTCATGTTCATATTTGGTAAAATAAAGATGGCAGCCCTGTTCTTAAGCTAGTTCCCAAAATGTGGGGTCAGGTCTGACTTGTCTCGGAAATCTGTAGTGTGATATTTACTGGCTCAGATGACCTTGAGTTTTCTTCTTTCTTCAGTTTTCTCTTTTCCTTGTGGTTTACACAGGTGAGTTTCTTGAACCTTCCATTTCTGACTCACTTTAGGGAGAGTGGGTGTGGTTGGCTGCACTTTTCTGCTTCCCCTGTGACTCTGCTTGTCTTCCTGAACCGCAGGGTCAGTTCTTTTAGAAATAGCTCATCAGTCCTGCTGCAGAGCTGGTACGGAGTCCTGGGTGCCTGACTCTTAGTCCTCTACTCAGGAGGCATTGAGCCTGGTGGTCTAGGGCACAGTCCCAAGATCCAGCCCACCTTGTTTCAACCTGGGCTCTGCTCCTTGCTAGCTGATGGCTTCGGGCAAGTGACTTTACCTCCAGGTCTCAGTTCCCTCATCTGCAAAGTGGAGTTAATGATATTACTACCCTCACAGGCTGGTTGAGGACTGAATGATTAACTCATAAAACATTTTGGCAATCCCCGATATTTGGCAGTTGCTCAATAAATTTTAGTAGTCATTATCATTGTTACCATCAGTCATCGTTACACTTATTAGATATATTTGGCTCTGGCAGCACCAAATTATTTGCCCCTCTTCTGGAATGTTCTTCCTTTCTCTTGCTGTCTCCTCCTCACCCTTTAAGTATTCCACTCAGGCTTTATGCCATCCAGCATGCTCCCCTGATTTCTTCCCCAGTTCTCTCCCAGCCCTGACTGGCTCAGGTGCCCTTCCGCTCTGCGCTGACAGATTCTGACAACAGCTGACGTTGCACTTTCCACTCCGTATCAGAGTCTCCTCTATGTCTGTCACCTCCGCTAGATGAGGGAAAGAGAGCAGGCAAGGATGGCTTCAGGGTTTTTGGTCTGTGCAGTGGGAGAGGGAAGTTGCCTTTTACTGAGCTGGGGGATTCTGTAAAAGGTGCAGGTTTGGGGTGGATCAGGGTTTGGCATTCTCCTGAGATGTGGCATAGGAGGCATGGCAGTGCCAGAGTCAAACAAATGCTGTTGGCCTGACTCTTCTGGGTCCTGGTGACTCAGGCAGTCATTTAAAGGTTTATCTTTGGGTTCTCAGGGCATGGTGCCAATGTCTGGCTCACCCTGGTGCTTATCAGACGCTTGTGGATGGAAAGAATGGAGGAAGAGAGCAAAAAAAAAAAAGCTAGGTTCAGGGCTCTGTGTGTGTGTGTGTGTGTGTGTGTATACACGCCTGCACGCATGCACATATGTAACCTATAATGATAAGATGCCATGCTCATTGATTCAGCCTGTGGCTAACTGCTTACCGACTGACTGCTGTGCAGCAACTCCTCTTTGTCATTCTCATCAAATGCTTGTTCAGAGGCGCTGTCCTGGGCCTTAGACCTTGCAAGGCCCCATCTCCTCCTTGGTAAATACACATTGGATTTTTTGTTGTTGTCATGTAGACATGCTGGTTTTTCTTTTTTTCTTTCTTTTTTTTTTTTTTGAGACAGAGTCTCGCTCCTGTTGCCCAGGCTGGAGTGCAATGGCGCAATCTTGGCTCACCACGGCCTCCGCCTCCTGGGTTCAAGCGATTGTCCTGCCTCAGCCTCCTGAGTAGCTGGGATTACAGGCATGCACCACCTCGCCCGGCTAATTTTGTATTTTTAGTAGATACAGGTTTTCTTCATGTTGGCCAGGCTAGTCTCGAACTCCCGACCTCAAGTGATCCATCCACCCTGGCCTCCTAGAGTCCTGGGATTATAGGCGTGAGCCACCATACCCAGCCTACATGCTGGTTTTTCTCTGGTGCTTGTAAATACTGTCAGGAAGTGTTTCTGAAAAATTGTCATGAAGACTGATTTTATCAGCTTTCAGTTTGCCAGCGCTGCCATAACAAAGTACCATAGACTAGGAGGCTTAAACGACAGAAATCGATTTTGTCACAGTTCTGGAGGCTAGAAGTCTGAGATCAAGGTGGCAGGGTTGATTTCTTCTGAGGCCCCTCTCCTTGGCTTGTAGATGGCCACCTTCTCACCATGTCCTCGCATGGTCTTCCCTCTGTGTGTGTCTGTGCCCCAATCTCTTCTTTTTTTTTTTTTTGAGACTGAGTCTCACTCTGTTGCCCAGGCTGGAGTGCAGTGGCTCACTGCAAGCTCCGCCTCTCGGGTTCATGCCATTCTTCTGCCTCAGCCTCCAGAGTAGCTGGGACTACATGCGCTCACCACCACGCCCCGCTAATTTTTTATATTTTTAGTAGAGACGGGGTTTCACTGTGTTAGCCAGGATGGTCTCAATCTCCTGACCTCGTGATCCTCCTGCCTCGGCCTCCCAAAGTGCTGGGATTACGGGCATGAGCCACCGTGCTTAGCCAAATCTCTTCTTATAAGGACAGTAGTCTTGTGGGTTTGGGGCCCACCCTATGGACCTCTTTTTAACTTAATTACCTCTTTAGAGACCTTCTTTCCAAATAGAGCCATATCCTGAGGTCGTGGGAGTTAGGACTCCAACATAGAAATTTTGAGGAGACTCAATTCGACATATAACACCAGCTCTGCTTCTTTGCAGGAAGAACTGTAGGAATAGTCACAGCTTGACAACCGAACACAACCTGAGTGTGCTGAGAACTCATGGCGTTGACCACCTGAGCTATAATGAGCTATGCCAACTCTTGTTTCAGAACGACCCCTGGCTTTTGCCAGAAGTGAGTGCCAGGGGAAGTCTGGGTTCCACAGCTCCCTGGGGACATTCCTGTGTCTTGGGAAATGTAATGACTGGGAGTGGAATGGGTGGGCCCTTGGTGATCTCTGGTCTGGTTTCCACCTGCAGAAATTTGGAATGTGGAGCAGAAGGAGCAGTGAAGTTCAAGGGCCAGCTTTGCCAACAACCCAGTTCCACAAACATCACACAGATGCCATGGATAGCTGTGCGACTAGGGCTGATTCTTTAACTTCTCTGAGCCTCTCAGTGTGCTCCATTGAGAAATGAAAGGGTGGTATTTGGCCTTCTCTAAGATGCTTTAAGCCCTCAGAGCCTCTTTGACTTTGAATTGTAGAAAAGAGAGCTCAGAGAAAACTGGGGCTTGGGGAAGGGAGAGTTGATGAGTCAGTGTGGGAAGAGTATAGGTAGATTGTAGAGGTCCTTAGGATGTAGCCATTTGATTTGCATTGTCTCATGTGAAAGGAGCAGCTCTAGTCACTTTGAAGTTCTTGGATTTTCCCAGTGGAGGGGCTGATTCTGTGCAGTCTCCTTTCCATTTCGTTCCCCTTTTAGCCAAGGGCATTTGTTAGCAGCCGTCATCTAGAGTGAGGGATGTAATAGCTGTGTTCTGTGTGGATGATGGAATCACAGCTTGTGAAGCCCCTTTCTCACCAGTGGACTGGCCACTGGGGAGGTGGTGTCGTGTGAGACCTTCCTGAACTGGTGGTTTTTTCCCTCTCTGTCAACAGATTTGCCAACATTACAACAAAGGAGATGGACCCCACGGCTCTTGTGCCTTTCAAAAGCAGTGCATCAAGCTCCATATCTGCCAGTATTTTTTACAGGGGGAATGCAAGTTTGGCACTAGCTGTAAGAGATCCCATGATTTCTCTAATTCTGAGAATCTGGAAAAATTGGAGAAGTTGGGTATGAGCTCAGACCTGGTGAGCAGGCTGCCTACCATTTATAGAAATGCACATGACATCAAGAATAAGAGCTCTGCCCCCAGCAGAGTGCCTCCTCTTTTTGTCCCACAGGGGACTTCTGGTAAGGCTGGTGGGGAGTGGTAAGGCTGGTGGGGAGCACGGGAGGTCCTGGGCTGGGGGTTCCCGGATTCCAGCTAGCCATTACATGGAATGTGTGACTTTGGGCAAGTCTGGTGCTGCTTTTAGTAAAATGGAGTTGATGATGCTTTCCTAACAAGGCAGGGAGTGCGGGGGTGAGGATAAGTTGAAATCATAGACTTGATCAAGCATGCCATCCTAGACAAATGTGAATTGGTATTGATGGTGAGTGAATTCTGGATGGGCCTAGTCTGCACTGAAATGGGAGACTTGGCTCCTCCCCCTGTGCAGTCACCCCTATCTTCACCCCCACGAGAGCATGCTCTTCAGGGAGGAACCCAAAGTTAGGAATGCTGTGCTGCACAGCTCTGGGGAGCATTCCTTGTGTTGTATTCTGATTTTACAAAATGAGTGAAAGAAGCATACCTTAATTATGGCATTGGCTGTATTCCTGACATCAATAAGTAGAGTTTTTGAGCCATTGTAAATTTGCTTTGTTCCCTGCTCATCTCCAGCACCTAGACAGTGCCTGGCCCACAGTAGGTACTCTGACATTTGTTGAATGAATGAGTGTGCTAGGATACTTATTTTTTAAAAAAGACTGTCAGGTTTAGTGACAGGCAGATTTTGAACAGAGATTTTTATTTAATAAGCATTTCTTGAGTACCTCTTGTGGGGCAGATGAATAATGTGGTCTGTCAGGGAGATGATGATACACTGGCATTCATTGGATTTCACAGTATCAGCCATTGGCTGGCCATTCTGTTACCCACTCTTTCATTCAGCACCTTTGTGTGCTTGCCACATGCTGGGCGCTGTCTTGGGTGCTGGTTATTCCTTGGCGAAGCTGAGACATGCCTCCCCTCAGAGCAGAATCAAACCCTCTCAGCTGTAGTGGTGGCTACAATTTTAATAGAGCACTTCCTAGAATGTCAGTTGCATGCCAGGACTACCTGCAAACAAAAGCACCACTCTAATTGTACCTGACTTTTATATTTAAAAGTTGTCTTTTGAATTTGTTTTTTCTTTACATTGTCTTCAATTATGTTTTGTTGATTTCTTTCAGTTGTAGGAATCCTAGAAGTAGACAGGTTTTGTATTAAATAGATCTTTAGGAGTATCTTACAGCCTTGAATACAGTTGGATTATAGCCTTGTCAGAAAGGGAGGAGGGATCCACTGCCAGTGATGTCAGCTGCAAGAGCAGTCACCATCGTCGGGAGAGAGGGAGATGACCTTCGGGGTCCCATAGACCTAGATTTTGAGTGAAGTATCTCAGGGGCTTATAAAAAGAAAAGGGAAGATGAATAACGACAGGTGACACTAAATAGGGATTGCAAATTAATTTTATGTGCTCATTGGGGTTAGCTGGGTGAGGGTAAATGTCATAGGTAAAGACTCATTGGCATGGTGCTAGTAAAGGTAAAATAGAAAGGATTTATGTGCCCTTTTTATATTAAGATCCTGATAATTAACCTAAAATTAATTAAAGGGGCTTCATTTTGAAATGTGGACTTTCTTTTTATTACTCTTGTCTTGGTATTAGTACCCAATTCTGATAGTTCATTAATGAATGTTTGCTATATAGCTTCAAATCTAGTTTATAAAATTAGCCCTCTGTTTGCCCTCAGGGGTCATCACAACCTTAGGCATAGAAGGAATTGTAAGATGCCTCAACATGTAAGACAATGGTTCTCCCCTTATTACAAAAGTGTCCCAAGTCCCACCCCTGGAGGTTCTGATTCAGTCAGTCTGGAGTGAAGTCAGTCTAGGGCAGAATCAGGCACTTGTGTTTTTAAATGGGTCTCCTAGTGAATTGAATGGACAGCGAGAGTTGAGAAAGGAGTCCCCTTCATGGAGTCCTGGATCTGGCAAGCAGCCATGTGGCGTCAGGCTGCCAGCCTGTCACTAAAAAGTAGAGGATCCACCTGTGTAGGAGCACTTTCACCCCAAACACGATAGGGCTTTGTGAGCTTGCGTTGCCCACTTTTGTGCAGAGAACTGAATGAATCCTCTTTAACTCTCTTTTATACCCCATATCAGAAGCTGACATATCTTTGTGGTGTTTCTTTGCAGAAAGAAAAGACAGTTCAGGTTCTGTGTCCCCAAACACTCTTAGCCAGGAGGAGGGTGATCAGATCTGTTTGTACCATATCCGGAAAAGTTGTAGCTTTCAAGGTAAGTTGGAAGAGGCTCCTTCATTCCACTTGTGGGAGGGGTAACTGCTTGTCATTCCCAGAGCTGTGCTCTGAAGTCACCCCCTACCAAACCTCTACCCCATCCGGAGAGGATCAGGGCTTGGCACTTTGGCCAAACCAATTCTGAAGGTATTTTGTTGGGGAGTTGAAGATGGTAGCAATTCTTTGAGTTTTCAGAAATTAAATGTGGATCATTTTTGGGAACATAACTGGTTCATGCACCAAATGAGTGTCAAGTATTGAGCCTTGGTCAGCTTAGCATGAGGTCACAGACCTGCACAGGACAGGGAACTGCTCAGCCTGGTGGGAACAAAGATAAGGGTGATGATAGGCTGAGAGCTCCCTTAGAAACTGGAAAGGACCTCACTGCGAAGGAAACACTTGTGTTAGCTCTTGGAGGATGAGTAGTTGTTTAAATTGGGGTTTTTTTTCTGTATTGATCCAGTGAACAATCCAGTGATCTCTTTTTTATCAGAAGCAGCAATTCTGGTGTGCATGTGCCTGTCTGTATTTTCACTAAACCTTTGTTTTCTTCTTAAATGCTGTCCTGGGCTTTGACTGAAGAAAGGTTTGTTCTCAAATTTGGTGACTCCCCTTGACAACCACCAAACTTCTTGTTTCATTTTCAGTTTTTAAAAATTACCCAAGCAATTAATGAATACTTTCACTCTGTAAAACAGTTCAGTAATACAGAGTGAAGCATGAAGTCCTCCATCGTCTTTGCCCAAAGGTAAACACTTCCCGTGTGGTTGTGATATTTGTTTTATATGTTTTTAAACAGATAGGAGCATGTGATAATGTTATTATTCAATCTGCATCTTAACATTGTATCTTGGAGATTTTTTTTCCATGTCAGTATGTGAAAGTCCACCTCATTTTAAAAACAAGTGTGTAGTAGTTGATTATAATGATGTTCCATTGAGCATTGAAGTACATATATGTGAGTATTTCCATAGATAGATTCTGGGGAATGGAATGATAGGTCAAGGAATATGAGCTATATATATATACACACACATATATATGTGTATTCTGAAAGCAATATTACTGAGCTATAGTTTACACAAGCTAAAGTGTACCATTTTAAATGTATACTGAGTTTTGATAAGTATATATGCTCATGTAACCATCTCTACCATCAAGATATGGAACCCCCTCCAAAAACATTGTTTTATGCTCCTTTATAATTAATCCTCACCCCCTAGTTTGTCACGCCCAGGAAACCCCTGATCTACTTTTTGTCACTATAGATTAGATTTGCCTTTTCTAGAATTTCACATACATGGAATCATACAGTGTATTATCTTGTGCCTGGCTTCTCTCATCAGCATGTTTTTGAGATTCAGTCATGCTGGCATATCAATCATTTGTTTCTTTTTATTGCACAGTAGTATTCCATTGCATGATTGACTGCAATTTGTTTATCCATTCATATGTTGATGAACATTTGGGTTGTTGCCAGTTTTTGGCTTTTACAAATACAACTTCTATAAATATTTATGTATAAGTTTTCATGTGGATATATGTTTCCATTTCTCTTGGGTAAAAGACAGACATAGTTACTGGGTTATGTCATGTGATTGACTTTGTAAGAAACTGCCAAACTGTCTTCCAAAATAGATAATAATATTTTATGTTCCCACCAGCAACGTGTGAGAGTTTCAGTTATTGTATATTCTTGCTAACACTTGGCATTGTCTTTTAAGTTTTAGCCATTCTAATCAGTGAGTGATGATGTCTCGTGGTTTTAATTTGCATTTCCCTGATGATTAATGATGTTTAACTTTTATTTACATGTACTTTTGGGGCATCTGTATATTTTCTGTGAAGTATCTACTCAAATCTTTTGCCTATTTTTTATATAACAGCTTTACACACACACACACACACACACACACACACACACACAAAAGGGGTCTTCAGAAAGTTTGTGGAAAATGCATATTATGAAAAAATTATGCATGGAGTTCAAAAGTTTTGCACCAAAATAAATTCATACTAACTTGTAATAACATATCTGAAGAGGATCTAGTTTGAGGCACTAAGAAGGATAAGACATCAATTTGGAAAGAGCCCCTATCAAAGCAACATGAATTTTGCTGCAGTTGAAGCAAGAACAAATATCAAATTAATGGTGACTCTTGGGTGGCAGAATGACAAAATCATTGATGCTTTACAAAAAAGTTTATGAGGACAATGTCCCAAAGAAATCAGTTTATAAATGAGTAAGTCATTTTAAGAAGGGATGAGAGAATGTTAAAGATGGAGCTATGCACATCAATTTGTGAGAAAAAAAATTAATGTTGTTTGTTCCTTAATTGAAGACCAGTGATTAACAGCACAAACAGTAACTGACACCAGACATCTTGATTAGTTCAGTTTATACAGTCTGCCAGAAAAATTAAAAATTAAATTTGAGCAAACTTTCCACTCTATGAGTGCCAAAACCATTCTGCCTGGATCAGCTGCAGACAAGAGCAGAACTTTGAATGGAAATTTTAAACAAGTGGTATCAAGATCCTGAAGCATTTCTCTGAAGAGTTGTAACAGGAGATGGAACATGGCTTTACCAGTAGGATCCTGGAGACAAAGCAATGGCTCCTAAAAGGGGGAAGTGGCCCAGTCACAGCAGAAGTGATCAGGAGCAGAAGTCACAGCAACAGTTTTTTGAGATGCTGAAGACATTTTACTTGTTGGCTTTCTAGAGGGCCAAAGAGCAATAACATCTGCTTATGATGAGAGTGTCTTGAGAAAGCCAAAACTTTAGCAAAAAAATGCCCAGAAAGCTTCACCAGAGGGTCCTTCTCCACCACCACAAGGCTGCTGCTCATTCCTCATCAATCAAGGGCAATTTTGCAAGAGTTTCAATGGGAAATCTGTAGGCATTCACTTTACAGTCCTGATTTGGCTCTTTCTGACTTCTTTTTGTTTTCTAATCTTAAAAATCTTTAGGTCGGTCATGGTGGCTCATGCCTGTAATCTCAGCACTTTGAGAGGCCGAGGCAGGTGGATCACTTGAGGTCAGGAGTTTGAGACCCGCCTGGCCAACATGGTGAAACCCTGTCTCTACTAAAAATACAAAAATTAGCTGGGTGTGGTGGCACATACCTGTAATCACAGCTACTTGGGAGGATGAGGCAGGAAAGTCACTTGAACCCGGGAGGTGGAGGTTGCGGTGAGCCGAGACCGTGCCACTGCACTCCAGCCTGGGCGACAGAGTGAAACTCTGTCTAAAAAAAAAAAAGAAAAAAAATCTTTAAAGGGCACCCATTTTTCTTCAGTTAATAATGTAGAAAAAAGACTGGATTGACATGGTTAAATTCCTAGGACCCTTGGTTCTTTATGGGTGGACTAAATGGCTGGTATCGTCTTTTACAAAAGTGTCCTGAACTTGATGGAGCTTATATTGAGAAATAAAGTTTATATTTTTTATCTTTTAATTCCGTTTTCCATGAACTTTTTGAAGTCCACTTACATATGTAATATTAACACAGAATTGGGCAGCCATCATCATAGGCAATATGAAAACATTTTCAACACCCCCAAAGTAACCCCGTCTTCATTAGCAGTCTTCCCTCCCCCCAGCTCCTGATGACTACAGATGAAGGTTCCATCTCTATAGATTTGCTTGAATATTTCATATAAATGGAATCATACAGTATTGGTCTTTAGTGACAGTTATACCCATTTTTATTGGGTTATTTGATCTCTTATTGAGTTGTGTTTTGTATATGATTTATACTGAAGATATATCCTTCCAGTCTTTCATGTTTATTTCCTTTATAGTGTACAGGTATTTTAATAGTGGTGTCCAGATAATATTTTTTTTCTTTTATGGTTTGTGTTTTTTGTATCCTAAAAATATTTGCCTATTCTAAGCCTACAGAATGTTTTCTCTTATGGTGTTTTCCTAGAAGTTTCAGGGGCTAGGCTTTTAGGTTGAAGTCTAGCTGTGAATACTTGTTCTCTTAACTCTGATCATTCTGTCCTTAGGTATCGCTGTTTCTGTGTGAGTTGCTGCCTCTCTTTGAATTGTTTTCCTTCATGTGTTGAGCGACTCTTGGTTGTCTGTCACGTTGGTGCTTGAGAATCCCGTATACCTGTTGGTTGATTTCCATGGGGCTGATTTGGATTCCAGGCCCTCATTCTAGTGATGGTGGGGAAGAGGCAGAAGGTCCTGCTTGGTGAGGTGGGAGGCTGGCATGTAGCCTAGGACTGGGACGGGGGCTTTGGTGGCCGTCTCATTTGCTTTTCTCTTGCTCTAACCCTTATATTCACACTTAGTTTAACTAGGAAGTGCACAGCAAGCTTCCTTCACACAAGCAAGTTAGGGGAAGGGAGTGCCTCTGCCAGGGGCTCCCATTGTTCTCATTGGGATTGGCCTGGGTATCGTTCTTGCTCCTGGCTTCATCTGACTCTGAATCTGTGATGACCCCAGATCTTTTCTACTTCTGTGGTATGTTCTGCACATTTTGTCTGCATTTTTCTCTCTTCTTTTTATATCTATTTGATTCTCATTGCTCCATAGTTTTAGCAATTCTTGAATAATTCTGGTCTTTTGATGGTATTTTTTATTGTTTTCCAGTGCTTTTGGATTTATTATTCTCTCTGGCCTGTTATTTCAAGGACTATAGGGAGGAAGGGCTGGGGTGGATGTGGTGTTTTGTCTGCCAAATTGATTTGATTTCTATGACTCACGTCCTAGAAAGCCCCTGGAATGCCAACGTGAGGTAGGGAACATTAGAAGGCGGGAAAAGAAGTTGAGAAAGGGGACAGGAAGACCAGGACAAGGGAAAGGACCTTATGTCTCTACCGCTGTGCTGGGACTAGGCTCTCACCAGCTGCTGTGGCTGCAGTGGCTTACCTGGTGCCTCCTGTCCTGGGCACCTTCCAGCTGTGAACAGTGTGGTCTATAGCTCAGCTTTGTTTCAGAACGGAAGCCTCAGGCCTGCTGTTTGATTATAGTGCATTCCCCTGGCCCCCATGTCCTTCCTGAGGAAGCATCAGCCTGGAGGGCCCTAAGGAGTGCACCTTCCCCAGGATGTGCCTGTTTGCAGGGAGATCCTGTCTCAGGCTGTCCATAGTACACCTGTGCCTGGGGTTTGTAGGTATAGCATTTGACTACTGGGATGCCCTGGGGTGGCCTTCTGCTCTCATCCCTGATCATTTCCTCTAATGCCTTTCAGGGAGGGAACAGGAACTGGTTGGTTGTGACCTTGGACCATAGCTATTTGTCTTTCCTGGCCCAGCCCTTTAATTATCTGTTGTGTACACACCTGCTTGAGAGAGTTCAAGAGGTTCCTGACCTAGTGAGCTGTCCATGTTCAAACTGGACAAGTTAGGAGATCTTCAGTCCCTGGTGTGGCTGTTTTCAGCCTTGTTGCACTTAGAGGAGTTTCCTTGCTTGGGTGTCCCCACCTTGTTCCCTCAGTCCTCTCAGCCTGGCACTCTCTTCTGCCCTGTCTGCTCGGCCCCATACCTGATCACACAATCCCAGGCACCCTCCCACCCTCCTCCATGGGACTTCCCCCACCAGGTGCTTTTGCAGAGCCTGGGAAAGAAGTGGCATTGAGATGTGCCTGAAAGAATGCACACAATTTTAGAAAATTTTAATTTTTTTCAAGTATCAAATTAGCTAGTTTCATTATTATTTTGAAATACAAATTAAAAATGTACAAAGGACACTCAGTAAGAAATAAGTCGCCCTCACACCAGTTTTCTCCAGAACTCAAGTCCCCTCCAAGAAACAGCCATAATTATCCATTCTTTGAATATCCTTTCATCGAGACTGTATACGTGTACAAGGGTATGTGTCTGTTCAGTTTCCTTACACAGGCACGCTAGCATGGCTTTCTACCTTTTTCACTTAATTAGATGTATAATTTTTGGAATATATTATATCTTCTTGTGGTTCAAAGTTCAAAACATGCCAAAATGACAGAAGTCTTTGCTTATAACTTTGTCTCCAGTTACCAGGTTCCCTCTGCAAGAAATAATATGTGCATGTGTGTGTGTTTAGTTAGAATATGTCTAAACTTACTTTTTTTTCTATTTTTTACCCAAATAGAGGCATTCTGCACCTTGTTCTCTATCTTCCTGCCTTAGAGCAAATATCTCAGAGGTAGCTAGCTGCATGTCACAGTGCAAAGAGCTTCTCATTCTTTTTCTCTCCTTTCTCCCTGTCCTCTCATGACACTTCTCTGTGTGGATATAGCAGAACCTCACATAGGCTGTTGACAGGTAGGGAGAGGGTGTGGGTGGCGTTCCCGGTGGTGGCAGGCACCAGCAAAGACAGGGCAGGCAGCGTGTGCTTGGAGTGATGAGAGAAGTGAGGATCTGGCTGCCCAGGAGGAACATGGGGTTGGTGAGGGGAGCAGCTCACCGGAACCCATAGGTCTGGGCCATTGTGTGGATGTTGGTGGGAGAGTGTCAGGGAAGGAGTGAGCATGTTGTTAGCCAGAAGAGATGCAAGGAGCCTGTAACCATGCTGCTGACCTGCCTTCAGTTGGACGTGTTGGGTTGGGATGGATTTCTGGTAGGGATGAATCTGGCTCCATCTTTGCTGTGATCTCTGCCCGTCCACCTGCCACACAGAGAGTGATATTGAGGAGTCAGACTGCCCCCTGCAGTGATGAGACCTTTGACCTTCGCATAATCAGCTTCTTACTCTCATTAAATAAAGTTCATAGATGATATAAACCATCAACATACATATTTCTAAAAAATTGCCAGGTGTGGTGGCTCACACTTGTAATCCCAGCACTTTGGGAGGCCAAGATGGGTGGATCACTTGAGGCCAGAAGTTCGAGACTAGCCTGGCCAACATGGTGAAACCTTGTCTCTACAAAAAATACAAAAATTAGCTGTGTGGTGGTGCACACCTGTAATCCCAGCTACTGAGGAGGCTGAGATGGGAGGATCACCTGAGCCTGGGAGGTTGAGGCTGCAGTGAGCCGTGATTGTGCCACTATACCCCAGCCTGGGTGACAGTGAGACCCTGTCTCAAAAAAAAAAGTAAGGTCCTGTTAAAAAGTGAGACATAAAGAAGGAAGATGTATGTCTTAGTCCATTTTGTTGCTTATAACAGAGTACCTGAAACTGGATAATTTATAAAGAAAAGGAATTTATGTCTTACCTATATGGAGGCTGAGAAGTCCAGGTTGTCAAGGGCCTGCATCTGATGAGGGCCTTCTTGCTGGTGGGGACTGCAGAGTCCTGAGGTGCTGCAGGGCATCACATGGCAAGGGGGCTGACCATGCTAGCTCAGGTCTCGCTTCCTCTTATAAAGCCACCAGTTCCACTCTCATGATAACCCATACACCCATTAATCCATTTATCTATGACCCAGTCACCTCTTAAAGGCCTTACCGCTCAATACTATCACATTGGCGATTAAGTTGTAACAAGAGTTTTAGAAGGGACAGACATTTAAATCATAGCAATGTATATAATAAAATGCAAAAAGTGTTTCTGTATCTAAATGCTCAGGCATGCCGGCACTGAAAAAACAGACTCCACCACACATTTCAGAATGTTCCCAGGTCAGTGGGCAGCACCACACCTGTTGACAACCACAAGGCTAGGGCATGCTGTGTATTGCCCAGCTATCTTACTCCTTTATGTTTTTATTTCAGATAAGTGCCATAGAGTTCATTTCCATTTGCCGTATCGATGGCAATTCTTGGATAGAGGCAAATGGGAGGATTTGGACAACATGGAACTTATTGAAGAGGCATATTGCAATCCCAAAATAGAAAGGTAGGAAATATGTCCCTTGTCTCTGCTTTGTGCCTGGGCTTCTGTGTGTGACACACACACACACACACACACACACACACACACTGTGAGCAGCCTAGTCTGGAGGTGCCTGGGCTTCTGTGTGTGACACACACACACACACACACACACACACACACACACTGTGAGCCACCTAGTCTGGAGGTAGAAGGTGGGCTGGAATCGAAAGTCAGCGTTCATACTGGCAGTTTGGTGGCTTTGTTCTCCCACCTCCCTCTCCTTTCAGACAGGAGCAATGGGGAAAGGAGAAGATGGTACCAAGACCAAGTATTAAGTTCTCAATTGTTTGGTGCTGGGATTGATCATGTACATCTATACTCATTATTACAGAAAAGCGAGAGGTGATAATTTCTATTTGTGAAATTTTGGCCTTTGGCCTATACAGCCATACCGCTGAACTGCTGTTTATGGTTTAACCTTTAACTTTTTTTTTCCCCAAGCATGTCCTAGTATTTTCCCTTAGTTAGTTCAGAGTAAATAGGGGATTCCCGGATAGCCTTCTTTTCAGATACTTAACATATTTTTCATTGAACTTGCTGAAATATGTTGCCAAGAAGAGAATTTGAGCCTGCTTTTTGAGTGTGTAAAATAAATTTGCACTTAGAGTACAATTACGTGCAAATTGCTATTGGTAAAGTATGTGAAACCAATTACTCCTGTTAGGAGGATTAAATGGTTCACATACCACCCCAATCTTTCTTTTTGAGGCAAAATTTACACACAGCGAAGAGCCTAGATATTAAGCATACAGTTCAGTGAGTTTTGACAAATACATACACTTGTGTAGCCAGCATTCTGATTGAGATACGGATCATTTTCCTCACCCCATCTCCTTCCAGTCAGTGCCTACTCCCATCGTTCACCACCGTTCTGACCTCTGTCACCATAGATCTCTGTCTTGCCTGTTCTTGAACCTCATATAAATAGAACCGTGTGGTATGTACTGTTGTGTCTGGCCTCTTTCACTCAAATTCTTCACCCTCCAAATGGGCAAACTACAAGGTCAGACACTTCCCGGCAGAGGAAGCACAGGTGGCCAATAACGTGGATCTGGATTTATTTCTGCCACTCATTATAATTGTCACTGTGACCCACTTTTTGTATATTTCTTTTCTCTTTTTGATCTTCTTGTAGATTTTTTTCCTCACTTGGTTTTTTCCCTTTACTAGTTTGGACGTTATATACTGAATTTTTATTTTTTCAGTGGCTGCTCTGGAAATCTAAACAGACTCTTTATCTTAACAGACTTTTAGCTGAGCTTAAGCCAATCAGTGCCTTTTGTCATTCTGTCAAACAATGAAAGAACCTTGGACACTTGAATTCTGACTAGTTTCATTCAAACTTATTTACTAATTATATAAATTTGGCCAGATTACTTAATCTCATTTTACCTCAGCTTTACTATATGTTAGGTAGACAAAATAATAGTTTCTACGTCACAAGGTTATTTTGAGAATTAAATGAGTTAATATGCATAAAACACTCAGATCACTGCCAGGCACATAAGATGTGGGTCGAGCGCAGCAGCTCATACCTGTTATCCCAGTGCTTTGGGAGGCTGAAGTGGGAGGATTGCTAGAGGCTGGGAATACACAACTAGCCTGGGCAACATAAAGAGACCTTGTCTCTACAAAAATTTTTAAAAAAATTAGCTGAGCATGGTGGCGCGTGCCTGTAGTCCCAGCTACTCAGGAAGCTGCAGAGGGAGCACCATTTGAGCCCAGGAGTTTGATGCTGCAGTGAGCTATGATTGTGTCACTACACTCCAGTCTGGGTGACAGAGCTAGATCTTGTCTCTATTAAAAAAAAAAAAAAGAAAAAGATGCACTGTATGTATTGCTGATATAATATTTTTAATCCTAGAGGTTAGAAATTCGTATTGTTTTAGGCAGTCAGTATTTGTTTAAGCTTACACAATTACCATTTTGTTTCTTACTCACCATTCCTTTGCTCACACTTCTCCTTGTTTATCATTTTCTTTCTTTAAGTTCCTCTGTTGGAGGTTGCTTTAATGAGAGTCTGGAGGTAATTGTGTATTTTGTTAGTCTGAAAGGGTTTTTATTCCCTTCTCATTCTTGAAAGATAGTTTTACTGGGTATTTTCCCTCAGTTCTTCAAAGACTATTTCATTGTTGTCTGGATTCCATTGCTTCTACTTAGAAGTTAGCTATCAGCCTAAATCGAGGTGGTATTAGTTCACTTCTTAGGGCTGCTGTAACAAATTACCATGAACTTGATGGCTTCAAACAACAGAAATTTATTTTCTCGGTTCTGGAGGCTAGAAGTCCAAACTGAAGGTGTTAGCAGGGCCTTGCTCTGTCTGAAGGCTTTACAGGAGGATCCTTTCTTGCCTCCTCCAGGATTCTGATGCTTAGAAATCCTTGGCATGCCTTGGCTTGTAGACGCGTCACTCCAATCTCAGCCTCCATTGTCACAGGCATTTCCCCATGTGTCTGTGTTCAAATTTCCCTCGTCTTAAAAGGACATCAGTTTTGGATTAGGGCCCACCCGAATCCAATATGACCTCATCTTAACTTGATTATATCTGCAAAGACCCTATTTCCAAATAAGATCGCATTCATGGGTACCAGGGATTAGACCTTCAGCATATCTTCTTGGGGACACAATTCAATCCAGTATAATAGATAGTCTGTTTTTTTCTCTCTGGCTGTTTTTAATATCTTGTCATTCTTTGGTGCTGTGCAGTTTCACTAAAATCTGTGTGTGGATTTAAAAAAATTTATGCTACTCATATTTTGCTGTGCTTTCTGATTTCCTCAGCCATGATCTCCTTAAGTATTCCTTCTCTGGAATTCTCATTAGATATATGGTGAAGTCTTCTCACTTTATCTTTTATGTCTTCTAACTTCTCTTTTATTCTCTTTCTAAACTCTGCCACATTTCTTCCTCTCAGGCTCTCAGTTCATTAGTTCAGACTCTTCTGAGATGCAGTGTGTCCCATCGAAGTATGATTTTTAAATTTCAGTTAATTTAATTATGTTTAAAAGTTCTAAGGTCGGGAGCAGTGGCTCACGCGTGTAATCCCAGCACTTTGGGAGGCTGAGGAGGGCGGATGGCTTGAGGCCAGGAGTTCAAGACCAGCCTGGCCAACATGGTGAAACTCTGTCTGCACAAAAAAATACAAAAATTAGCTGGGCGTGGTGGTGCATGCCTGTAATCCCAGCTACTCCTCGGGAGGGTGAGACAGGAGAATCGCTTGAATCCGGGAGGCGGAGATCACGATGAGCTGAGATGATGCCACTGCACTCCAGCCTGGGTGACAGGGTGAGACTCTGTCTCAAAAAATAAAAAATTAAAAAAAAGTAGTAAAAAAGGAAAAGAAAAAAAGTTTTGGAGGGAGTGGAGGAGAAAGAAAAGAATAATGAATAGTAAAAGTTCTGTTTTTTTCCTTAAATTTACCCAGTCAGTTTTTATAGTCTCTTGATTCTTACTCATACTTTTGATGCTCAATTCCTTTTTAAAAAACATATCACGTATATCTGCATCTGAGAATACTAATGTTTATAGTTCAGGGTGGTCTGATTTTGTTTTTGTTAACTTTTGCTCATAGTGTCTTTGTTTCCACATTTTGTGATCGATTTTGAGCTCATGTTTGATTTGATGGAAATTTCTTTGGAAATTCTTTTTTTTTGAGATGGAGTCTCACTCTGTCGCCCAAGTTGGAGCGCAGTGGTGCGGTCTCAGCTCACTGCAAGCTCCGCCTCCTGGGTTCATGCCATTCTCCTGCCTCAGCCTCCTGAGTAGCTGGGACTACAGGTGCCCGCCACCACTCCCGGCTAGTTTTTGTATTTTTAGTAGAGACGGGGTTTCACTGTGTTAGCCAGGATGGTCTCGATCTCCTGACCTCATGATCCACCTGCCTTGGCCTCCCAAAGTGCTGGGATTACAGGCGTGAGCCACCATGCCCGGCCAAGAAATTCTTTTGAGGCCTGAGTTGAAGGTGAATTTCTCCAGAGGGGATGTGTGTTTGCTTCTCTGAGAACTGCTACCCTGGGTGGTCTTTGCAGCTAATTCTCCCAAAATGTGAATCAGTCTAAAACTTCTGTGAGGCTTGAGTGGTTTATGAGTTCTCAGAGGAATTTTTTCCTCCTTTATCCAGAACCAACATTAATACAGGCAGGTTTCCTTGCCAGATGTCTTTGCAAGGCAAGTCCCCTCTCCAGTCCCCCTTTACTAAGGTGGGTCATCTTTTAGGGTCCTGGTTTTACGCAGAGGTATCTCTTTTGAGATTCAGCCTCCTGCCGTACTCAGACCCTACATTTGTTTCCTGCTTCCCTTTTGCGGCCAAAGCCCAGGCTCTCTGTCGTTACTCATCGATACTGCCCTGGGATAGCTGCTGGCTCTCGCCCTCCTCTCCGCTCTCCAGTTTCGTACCTTCCTTTGGTCTTTAGGCAGTACTGCGTTTAGAAAGGGAGCGTGTCCTGGTGGCTCAGGTGCAGGCTGTGCAGCCCACCTGCCCACCTGAAAGCCCAGCTCGCCCGCTGACTAGCTGTTTGACCTTGAACAGGTTTCTTCACCTTCCTGAGCTTCTGTTTTCCCGTCTGTGAAGTGGAGATAATAGTCTCAACCTCATAGGGTTGTGAAAATGTCATCGCCTAATACATATAAAGTGCTTAATGCAGGGTCTGGCTCACACAGTAAACACTCAGTATATGTTAACTATTGTTATTTTTGGCTTCTGAGGACTTCCCTTTCTTGCCAGCTCAGCAGTGAATTTTAAAAAAGAATGATTTCACCAGCATCTTCGGCATTTTGTACTGAGAGGAATTTTCGTCATAACTAGTCTCCCACATTATCTTGATTTTGATATTTTTATACCTCAAAACTGATCTGAAAAAGCAGTTTCCTCTACCTCTGGGAACTTTTTCTAAAATGTGCATGCCACATTTACTATTCGCATCTCCCAGCTATATGTTCTCAAGCTGAGGGACCTGTGTCTGCTTGGCTGGTGGGATTTTCAGTCTGCTGCTGTTTTTCTTCTGTAGGATCCTGTGCTCTGAGTCAGCCAGTACCTTTCACTCTCATTGTCTGAACTTTAACGCCATGACTTACGGTGCTACCCAGGCTCGCCGCCTCTCCACGGCCTCCTCTGTCACCAAACCTCCACACTTCATCCTCACCACTGACTGGATTTGGTACTGGAGTGATGAGTTTGGTTCTTGGCAGGAATATGGAAGACAGGTAAGTGTGATGGAAAGAGGGTGAATGTTTTGTCCTGAGGATCTGTAAGAGAGGAGCCAAATAAGAGCCCCCATATTGTTGCCAGGGGCATCCTTGAGAGAGCTGAGGATCCCCAGGTGCCAGTGTGGCTCACTTGCTTTGGGAGAATTATGGCAAAACTAGATAAGTTGGAATTTATTTGTATGAGCTTTCATCTTTGAAGAGCTTCCATCTGTTGGCTCATGAGAACTGAATGACAAATTTGTAGTGAGATCAAGTTTCTTCATTGGTTTTATTAAATGGGATAGAAAGATGTTTCTCTTGTTGAACAGGTAACTTAACCCCACAGCTGGTGCCTATGTGTGCAAGTGTGTTTGTGTAGCTGTGATATAGAGGTAAAGGCTTTTCAAACTGGTTGTCTGCCATTTCTGCAACTTTACAGAAGGTAGGCAAATATAAGAAAATTGATTTATATCATGTATAGGTTTGGAATCCAAGCCAAATAACAAAAAATAGTTGCTGTCAATTCTTCGCAGGTGTTTGTGGATGGGTCAGATTAAAGGGAGTCCCCTGGTCACTTATAGAAATACAAGTTTAGGCCGGGCGTGGTGGCTCATGCCTACAATCCCAGCACTTTGGGAGGCCGAGGTGGGCAGATCAGTTGAGGTCAGGAGTTCAAGACCAGCCTGGCCAACATGGTGAAACCCCATCTCTACTAAAAATACAAAAATTGGCCAGGTGTGGTGGCGTATGCCTGTGGTCCCAGCTACTCGGGAGACTGAGGTATGAATGAGAATCACTTGAACCCGGGAGGCAGAGGTTGCAGTGAGCAGAGATCACACCACTGTACTCCAGCCTGGGCGAAAGAGCGAGATTCCATCTCAAGTACAAGTTTAGGGAAGGCACCATTGATAAAGAACTCACCCTCCAAAATGAAAATCGATAGGTATTTTGTACTCTTCTGGGTTTCAAGAGGCTATATTGAAGCTTTAGTTTCTTATTCTTAACTGCACTCAGAATGCCCTTTAACTCTGGTGATGCTCTAATGTAAGCTCCATGAGGGCAGGGACTTTTGTCTTTTCTTTTGCCCCATCGTATCCCGTGTGTGGAATGATGCATAGCCAGTCCTCAGGAAATAGACATTGGCTGATGGAAGGAGGAGGGTGTTACTGACAGTGTCTGTTGGTCAGCTGGAGATGGTCACTCTCAGCGATGGCCTTGCTGCCTTGCACTACTTCCTTTCCCCTCTCCTCCCCTGCTCCCCTCTTGCCAGCACCAGCCTCTCCTTGCTTGCTGCTCTGCCCTGCCTGCCTTTCCCACCTGTCTCCCTCCCGTCGTGGGCGACCTGGGACTCTCTCTGACCTGCCCTGTGGGACTCATCCAGATAAGCTCTCTGGGTTTGGTCAGGAGCGTGAGGGGAAGAGGCTGGCGTGACATGGAGGAGGGGGAGAGGATGACTGCCCAATCATGCTCCGGGAATCCCGGCTCTCCTGGAGATGGAGGGACAGATGGCAGGCGCAACACACTTAGCAGATGTGACCATCACGTTCATTCTGTTTGGGGATCTGTCCGGCTTCTCGGAGGAGACCGCTGGTTGCTGAATGAGATGACACAGGGCTCTGGGCAACCCATGCAAAAGTAGGGTTCCCCGGTGGTGTCTCATCACAGCTCTGGTTGTTGGGGCCGGTCTCCTCCAGTCAGCCAACACCTGGAGCGTGCCCCTTTCTTTCCTGTGCTCCTCTTCCTCTGTGGCAGTGCAGAAACTCATGGCGAGCAGTTTGAGAATGTCTGGGGATGAACCGCGTGTGGATGTTATTGATATGCCACGTGCTAGTGGGGGCGTAGAAACACATGTAGGCTTGGTGGCTTCAGGCTGGACAGCCTAGGATGATCTGGTTTGTCTTGTCCTCCCTTTCCTACACGTTTCTGGTATAACCCCACATTTAGGTTTCTTTTTTAGTTTTCTGTTAATTGCCACTTCAAAACAGTTTTCTCTTGATTCCCAGAAAAGCTAAGTTTTTTCTGTCTGAGCTCAAGAAGTACTCCAACATTTCATGTCAAAATCAGACACCTGCTGGTCCTGCCACAGGACATGTGGGAATCTGTCATTCCTTCCACATCTCACTTGGTGCCTCCAGGTGCTAAACCGAGACCTTTCTCAGCTTAACACATAATATGGCTGCCATTGTTGGTTTCTCCTTCCAAACCTCCCACTGAGGGCAAAAAAACTCTTTGCTTTTTGCTTTCTGCTCATCCACCTGCATCTTCCCTCCCTCTGTGACCATCCATCTGCAGGGATTTTGACTGGAGGCCTGGGTCGGGGCAGGACGCCTGCATCTGACTGCTGCTTCTCCTCTCTGTTTCCCTGACTCAGAGCTTCATTTCCTCAGGCCCAAAGGGGAGGGATTGTTTTCTTTTCCTTTCCTCTTGTTGTCAGAAAGGGATTTTTATGCCACATCCTCTTCCTCCCGGACTCTAGTCTAATGGCTTGGTTTTGAAGGAAGACAGACTTCAGAGAGAGAAACTTAGGCGCCGCTATGAGACCGTAAACTAGGAGGCTGCTTTACAAACCATTATACCTCTTACACCCGCCCCTTATGGTCCTCATGGGGCCAACTCATGTCATCCCTCGGGCTTGGGCCTTGGCTCAGGCATCTTTTTCTTCCAAGAAACCTTTGCTGGGTCTCACCCTTCCTTGGTCATTCTTAGTTACCCATCTCAGCGTCTAGAGCACCCGTGAGACCTGTGTGGGACCTTGTGCTTGAGGCTTTGAAATATCTGGGTACTTTTTTTTCCCCTTCTCCATTGCTGGACTCAGTTGCGCAGAGGCATGGGTGACTCTTGTCTTGTCTCACTTTTGTTCTGTTAGTAACACCTAAAGCTTGTGACCCAGGAGAACTAGGATGGTAGCAGTAGGGGGAGCAGGAAAATTGACAGGGACAGAGGGAGTTAGTTGGTTATAGGTTGAATAACTTTAATTTTAGTTGTCAGTGTAATCTCAAATTTAATAAGAACGGTGATGATAATAGTAACATTTATTGAGTATGTTTTGTTCTGGGCACTGTACTAAGTGCTCCACATGCCTTATTTAAATGATTTCTCCAGCCCTGTGAGGACAATATAGTCCTGTTGTATAAAGGGATGAATATGGCCTAAGTACTATTATTCATATTATAAGCTTGAGATAACGGAGGCTCAGGGAGGTTAAGATAACTTGCCAAAGTTATAGAGCCAGCAGGTTTGGGAGCCAGAATTCAAACTCACTCCAGCTGAAGCTACGAGATTTCCTGTAGGTAATTGTGGAAGGATAGGGATTGAAATGGATAATTTAAAAAATAGATGAATGCTCCTAGGGACCAGAAAAAGAAAACCGCAAGGAAGAGGACCGAGCTCTGATTAAAGGATGGTTGCAACGTGAATAGACGGGTAAGACCAGCCTGGCTTGGGCTGCCCAGTCAAGCAGCACTCCAGAAGTCGCTGTTGCTGTTCTGCCGGCATTTGAATGGCTGCCGTGTCCTCTGTCCTAGGTGACTTGAGTGCCCTCCTCTCCGTTGCTCCCATCCCTGTCTTCCTGCTCAGCAGGACCCATATTTACTGCATTGTGTTTGCTAGGGCAGCTTCAGGAGACAGTCATGTTGCCTCCATTCTGTGCCTCTCTCTCCTGCCATACCATGCTCCCTGGCCTCCATCTTCCCCACCACAGGACTGTCCACCAGGAGCACCTCTGAAATGTGGCGTGGGTGCCACCAGCGTTTTTCCTCATCACGCAGTTTCTTGCCTTCATAAAGTGTCTGGCTTTCCATCGCAGGGCACGGTGCACCCTGTGACCACTGTCAGCAGTAGCGACGTGGAGAAGGCCTACCTGGCCTACTGTACACCGGGGTCTGACGGCCAGGCAGCCACCTTGAAGTTCCAGGCCGGAAAGCACAACTACGAGTTAGATTTCAAAGGTATCCTGTGCCCTGCCCTCGCCCAGCAGAGCCTGCCTGTGTTGGCTCTGTCCCTACACCTTAACCCTGGAGGAGCCGTGTGCACATACTGAGGGCCTGGGTGGGTACA
This sequence comes from Homo sapiens, assembly GCF_000001405.40. Taxonomy (NCBI): domain Eukaryota; kingdom Metazoa; phylum Chordata; class Mammalia; order Primates; family Hominidae; genus Homo; species Homo sapiens. The sequence continues at coordinate 140,037,605 of NC_000007.14, read as the reverse complement.
GGAAAGAAAAGCAAGGTACCAGGTCCAAGGTAGACCTGGAGACAGATGACACTGGCCCTGTGCAGTGGAGGAAGAACTGCATCAAGGATGTGAGGAGAATGGACCCCAGGAGGGGCAGGAGCCCCAAGTGTGGAGGACAAGCAGGGTCAGCATGCATGTAGCATGGTTGTCCTGCTGTATCCGAGGACTAACCTGAGTCCCTGACAGGTGTCCGAGCAGCTCCGTCGTGCAGTGTCTGCCTTTCACTCCCTGCTGCAGCAGTGCTGCTGTCATCTTTTTTTTGAGACGGAGTCTCGCTCTGTCACCCAGGCTGGAGTGCAATGGCGTGATCTTGGCTCACTGCAACCTCCGCCTCCCGGGTTCAAGTGATTCTCGTGCTTCAGCCTCCCAAGTAGCTGGAATTACAGTCATGAGCCGTCACACCTGGCTAATTTTTTGTATTTTTCATAGAGACGGGGTTTCATCATGTTGGCCAGACTGGTCTTGAATTCCTGTCCTCAAGCGTTCTACCCACCTTGGCCTCCCAGTTTGCTGGGATTTCAGGCATGAGCCACCGCGCCTGGCCTGCTGCCATCTTTTCTGTAGGCGACTTTGGAGTTGATGGGTTTAACGGATGGTAGGACACAGAGTAATTGAAAGTCCCTGAGAAGCAGATTTTCGTGCACTCATGGTGTCCTGAGGCTGGGGCTGAAATGTTTCATCCTGGTTGCCTTACAGAGAGAAATAGGCCACCCTTTGGCCAGTTCCTCCAAGTGGCTGATGTGTGAGAATTTTTTTTTTTTTAAGTTTTAATTTTGTGTAGTTTCTCTTAAGCCATTTCCTCATGAGTGTATCGGTCCAGCTTTATTCAGTTCCGTTTTGCCTGTATTTCACATTTTAAACTCTGAGTCCTTCTGAATGTTCAGCATTTTATAAGGGAGTAAGTGGGCCTTCCTTTAAACACAGTTTATGGTTTTCTTTATTTTTGCAGACGTTTATTCTATGTGGAGTATAGTGAAGTGTCTGGTGAATTATCCTAAAACCACTTTGGCTGTCTGTTTCTGGCCTTGGTTTTGCTTGTGGTTTCGTGGCACTTGTGGTTTTGCTTAGGGTAGATCACTACCCCCTTGACATGCCCTTTACGGTGAAGTTTTTCTCCTCTAGAGTGCGAACTGCCTCTGCTGGAGAGCGCCAGCCACGTGTGGTCTGGTTTGCTTTCCACGGCCTGACACACACCAGTGCATGAGAGGGGACCAGTGAGAGCATAGACGTTAATCAAATCAGGACTGCCCTGAAGGTCAGGACTGTGTGGCAAGCATACATCTGACTGCTGCTGACAGCAATCTGGAATATTTCTTTTAAATATCTGGAAAATATCAAAACAGATAGAAATGTCAGATACTACCTTGATCATTCCCAACCTAGGCCACACCCTGGGGACATAACAGAACCTCATAATAGGGATGGGGAAGAGCACACACGTGCAGTTTATGATTCCTGCAGACTGACCGAAGCCCATTTGAGTGGGCACAATTCTTCTCCTTCTCCTCCTTCTCCTCCTTCTCCTCCTTCTCCTCCTTCTCCTCCTTCTCCTCCTTCTCCTCCTTCTCCTCCTTCTCCTCCTTCTCCTCCTCCTCCTCCTCCTCCTCCTCCTCGTCCTCCTCCTCCTCCTCGTCCTCCTCCTCCTCCTCCTCCTCCTTGTCCTCCTCCTTGTCCTCCTCCTCGTCCTCCTCCTCTTCCTCTTCCTCCTCCTCTTCCTCTTCCCCCTCCTCCTCCTCTTCCTCCTCCTTCTTTTGGTAGATACCAGTATCCATAAAAGAAGCTTGAGATGAATTGGCTTCTTCCCCCACAACTTCACTTCTAAGTATAAAGCAAGTCTCAAAGCAAACTGCCACACATATTTATTAGCTGTTTATTAGGAAGCAAGTACATTTAAAACACACAAAAGAGCCCAAATGAGTTGTTCTGAAGGTTTAGGGATGATTCAGTTCTGCCCTTTTAGGGACTCTTGTCATAAATGATTCACTCAAGGCAAATGCCAGGATTCCAGAGGCAGAATTCTAGCATCCTGTTAGGTGGTGTCTGACGGGGCAGAATTCCCCAAAGACAGGCTGTAGCCTAGGGTATCCTCTGGAAGGGTAAATTAGGGAAAAGACCTCACTTTACTGTGTCCATAGAAGGGTAGGGAATGTGTCTGACACACATTTAGCCAGTCCACGTATCTTAGCTCACTTTTAATTTCACCAGTGAAAGCCATTTAAGATTCATCACAGATGGCCAGTAGGCCAGTAACACCCATTTAAATATGCCAGTGAGAATGGTCTTGATGGGCGGCTGAGTAGTGGGTAACAGAAGGGGTCATGGTTGCTGCATCTGGATCATGGGCTCTGAATGAGAATGTGGATGGACCTCCAGGAATAGTGACCATCTCAGCTGCAACCTAAGAGACACACACTTGGATAACCATCCAGTTTATGCTCAACTGCAATAAGGCTAATTCTGGACACCTATAATTTTTAATATTAAAATGTTTTGTAAATGAAAACAAAATTAGTTGGGCATGGTGTCACAAACCTGTAGTCCCAGCTACTTGGGAGGCTGAGGTGGGAGGATTACTTGAGCTGGTGAGTTCAAGGTCCACTTGAGCAACAAAGCAAAAGACCCCATCTCTTAAAAAAAATGTAAGACTTGAGAGGGTTTTCCTGGCAGGCAAGGACAGAACAAACACTGCTAGGTATTTGTCATTTTTCAACTTGAGGGGCCAGTTCCCCCAACCCCAAATCCTCAGGATGAGTATGGGATTCTTGAGGGTGGGGAAGCAAGAAATTTGTTTATTAAAGATATTATTGGTTTAGAAAGGTTGATGAATACTGCCATAGTTTAACTAAAACAAAGTCATAAAACTTACATTAACTCTGAATCCCACTAACTCAAGACATGGTAGTTTGATCTCAGGCTGGGCTGAGGCTTTTTTATATCCAAGCTGGGAAAAATTGCCAAGCAAAATAATGGTTTAAACAAGATTGGAAGGAACAATTTAAAAGCACTCATGTGTAATTGATATGTCAATTACTAATCATTCCTCTATTCATTAAACCCAGTCTCCTAAGGATACCTATTTTCTTTATGAATATTTGAAATGTGTAAAATGGCCCTATTTTTAACAGACTGATTCTGGGTTTTACACATTTGGATAAGCTTTCAAATCTATCTAATTTGTGTTTATAAAACATTGCCATCCTGTGTGTATGTATATGTATATGTATATTTTTTCACTGGTTATGTTTTTTTTCAGCCTTCGTTCAGAAAAACCTGGTCTATGGCACAACTAAAAAGGTTTGCCGCAGACCCAAATACGTGTCTCCCCAGGATGTGACGACCATGCAAACCTGGTAGGTTGCAGTGGGGGGCTTGGTACTTAGGATGTAATCAGCTGGGGTGTGCTCTGCAGTGGTGACAGAAAACCTGCCTCAGACAGCACCCGGGCACCGTTGGCTTGTACAACGAAGTGCTCCCACACTCTGTTATCGTTTGTCTTCTACTAGTTGGACCAGAGTGGGAATTACCCTGTGGGTAGAAGCTTCGTGATGCATAATTAGAAGGCTGCCTGTTGTGATCTGCGATGATTCTCTGGAGAAGACAGACTCTGAAGGCGAGTCTAGACTTGAAGCCAACCCATCCGTTTGTCTTTTCTGTGGAATCATTGAGTCATAGACTTGAATTTTTTAAATGTTGAAATAATGAAATAATGATGGAATTACACCAATAAAAACTCATGTATTTTAGTATTTGAATATCACGGAATACCAAAACTCTAAAAACAGATATTGCAGTCACTAATGGGCGAGCTTCGTCAGGGTGAGTTTCTTTCAGTCCCAAGATGGCTGCCAGGAGCCACCAGGTTAGCCTGTGGCCTGTGAGCCCCTAGAAGGGAGGAGAGAAACCTCCTATAGCAGATGAGGGGAAATTCTTGTGCTTTGTACTGATCAGACCCTATCTCAACCTCTGGTGTTATTTTAGGCTTGGGGAGGTGGGATGGGATTGGAACTGAGAGGAAGGGGTCAGTGTTCTCCAAACCACACAGCCACATATTGGGGGAAGGTGGCCTGCATGGTGGAGAGGGACCACAGTGCCCATACAGTTTGGGCTTGCCAGAGCCAGTGCTGGGACTTTAGGCAGTGTTACTGGTAGCTGGCTGCACCTTCTGTTCGCCTGAGAGGTCTGGCTTGTGTCTATTTTATGGAGAACCAACAATGTCTCTTTTGGTTCTTTTGTTTTGTGAAGCATGCAAAGGTCGTTTTTAAATGAGTTTGGTACAAGATAGAGGAGAAAGGTATTATCAGTCCACGAAACTGCCTTGTGAGTCAGACCTAGCAAAGTAATTTCCTGGGAATGTGCCTTACTTTTTCCTTTTTAAATTAAAATTTATTTTTGCGCTGGGTGCAGTGACTCACACCTGTAATCCCAACAGTTCAAGAGGCCGAGGCGGGTAGATTGCTTGAGCCCAGGAGTTCGAGACCAGCCTGTGCGCCTGTAGTCCCAGCTACTCAGGAGACTGAGGTGGGAGAGACACCTGAGCCCAGGGAGGTCAAGGCCGTAGTGAGCCAAGATCACACCACTGCACTCCAGCCTGGGTGACAGAGTGAGACCCGTCTCAAAAATAATAATTATTATTATTATTGTTTTTGACTATGTGTAAAACCTTCACGTGATTAAAAGTCAAACCTATATAAAATGGTATCCTCTGTAGACTGTAACTTCCTCCCTGTTATCTCTACCCTGTTCCCACTGTGGGTAACATTAGTTTCCGGTTTCTCTTTTTTATGTTTCTCTTTGCAAAAATAAGCATTTGCATACATACATATAAAAGTATTTTCTTCTTGCACAAAAGGGAACATGCTATCTATACTGTTCTATACCCTTTTTTGTTTTCACTTAAAAATAGATCATGATAATCACTTTGTTTCAATTCATTAACTTCCTCAATCCGTTTCTTCTTTCCTGGTTCTCTGTAATATGTATGTACCATAGTTTACTTAATATGTCCCCTTTTCATGGATGTTTGTGTTGTTTTCAGTCTTTTGCTATTAAAAAGTATAATGTCGTGATGAACCATTTGATGTATGTGCTGTTTCAAATTTTGGAGGTATGGCCAGGTGCGGTGGTGCACACCTATAATCCCAGCACTTTGGGAGGCCAAGATGGAAGGATCGCTTGAGCCCAGGAGTTTGAGACCAACCTGGGCAACATAGCGAGACCCTGTCTCTTTTTTTTTTTAATTAAAAAAAACAAATTTTGGAGGTCGACTGTTAGGTCAGAGTCGTAGGAAGTAAACCAAATTCCTTTCCATGGGCTTGAATCATTATGCACACCCACTAGGACGCATGAGATGCCACAGAGTGAGTTGTCAGGCTCTTGGGCTTTTGCATTTCTCAGGGGTAAAGATGGGTCAGTGGACTTCAGTTTGCTCTCTCTTAGGAGTGAGGTTGAATATTATTTCTAACATGTAAGTGCCATTTTTGCTTCTTTTTCTGTGGACTGTTGGTCTTTTTATCCATTTTTCTATCAACTTTCTGGTATTTTTCTTAAATATCAAGAGCCTTTTATCTATTAGGGAGGTTGGCCCTCGTTTTGTTATATAAATGGCAAATATTTTCTCTTAGTTTGTTGTTTGCCTTTTGACTTTGCCTGTGAAGTATTTTACCATAAATATATATCTCTTATTATTTTAGTTAAATGTATCAGTGTCTTACTGATTCTGGATTTAGAGTTTTGGTTGATTATGACCCTCCTATTTCTGGAAGTCATTTTTTATTCTTTTCCTATACAAAGCCTACCCTAGACAAGGTTTGGAAAAGTCTCTCTGCTTTCTGAGAGTAGATCTCTCTTATTCTAATTTAGTTTTTAGGGGGCCACAAGAAGATGCCAAATGTCCAAACTAAAAGTGATTCAGACTAAGATATGGGTGATTTGGGGTCTCCTGTAAGCGGAGTGTCACACACTGTTCACACAGATGAAGTGTTCAGTTCTTCTCTCTGACCCATGTGCCAGCAGCTGGTTGTCATTAACTCCAGTAAGCAAGTCTGCCTGGGCCTGCATGGCCAATTGGGAATCTGAGGGTAGATCACTTTCAGAAACAACTTTTCTGTTTACACAATTAATGAGGTCATAAAATGTAATGTCCATATTCAGAAGTCATAATACAGGAGTGTCATGTAAAATTTATTTATGTATTTATTTATTTATTTATTTATGAGACAGGGTCTCACTCTGTCACCCAGGATGGAATGCAGTGACCTGATCACGGCTTATTGCACCTTCCACCTCCCGGGCTCAAGCAATCCTCCCACCTCAGCATCCCAAGTAGTTGGGACCACAGGCATGCGCCACCATGCCCAGCTAATTTTTTTATTTGTTGTGGAGACAGGGTCTCACCATGTTGCCCATCCTCTATGAAAATGTTTCATTCATGTGATTGGGTCTTATTTTTTCTTTTCTTACCTTCTTTTGTGTATATGTATATTTTAAAGGCTATGGTAGAAACTACATGTTCTTCACTTAAGTACAAGTAAATCAATATCTTTGCCCTCCTATCTTTTCTTCCATTTGCCTTCCTCTCAACTTTTTTTAAACCTCAAGAGGCACCATTATTTTATACTCTGAAAGTTTCATTAAATTTACTCACATTTTTACCACTTTGTCCTTTCAGATTACCTTAGATCAGGGGTGTCCAATCTTTTGGCTTTCCCAGGCCACATTAGAGGAAAAAGAATTGGTCCACACATAAAATACACTAACACTAACGATAGCTGAACTAAAAGAATAAAAACCACAAGAAAATCTCATAATGTTTTAAGAAAGTTTACAGATTTGTGTTGGGTCACATTCAAAGCTGTCCTGGGTTACATGCAGCCTGCGGGCTGCAGGTTGGACAAGGCTGCCTTCGATGAAGATTTGTTGGAAAACTGTTTTTGGTTTGTCTGAATATGTATGTACGTATGTATGTATGCATGTATGTATGTATGTATTTTGAGATGGAGTCGCACTGTCGCCCAGGCCAGAGTGCAGTGGCATGATCTTGGCTCACTGCAACCTCCGCCTCTTGAGTTCAAGCGATTCTCCTGTCTCAGCCTCCTGAGTAGCTTGGACTACTGGCGTGCGCCACCATGCCCGGCTAATTTTTGTATTTTTGGTGGAGATGGGGTTTCATTATGTTGGTCAGGCTGGTCTTGAACTCCTGATCTCAAGTGATCTGCCCACCTCGGCCTCCCAAAGTGCTGGGATTACAGGCGTGGGCCACTGCGCCTGGCCAACATGTATTTATTTTGCCATCAATCTTGAAGGAAATTTTCACTGGGTATAGAATTTTGGGTTGTAGGGATTTTCTCTTGGATCATTGTGATGATCACTCCACTGTATTCTGGCTTCCACTGTTGCTTTTGAGAAATTGCCTGTTGGTCTAACAGGTGCTTCTTTGACAGTAATCACTCTTTTTTCCTTTGGCTACTTTTAAGAGCTTCTGTTTGTCTTGGAGGTAGGCATCCTCACTAAAGTGTATCTAAGTATGTGCTTTTATTTATCATGGTTGAGATTCTTTGGGCTTCTTAAGCTGCGGATAGGTGCATCTCATCAGTTCTCTTTGAAAATCGCCTCCACTGTCTTGTCTCTCCTCTCCTAGAGCTTCACTTAGGTTCTGATCATATTCAAGTTCTCACTGTTCTCCATGTCTCAACTTCTTTCCTGCATTTTCCATTTCCTTGTTGCTGTGGGCCACATTCTGGACAATTTCATTTCACATATGTTTCAGCTCACTGATTCTTCCTCCAGCTGGTCTAATCTGCTATTAAGCCTGTCCACTACACTTTTATTATTAAAGATTGTACTTAATTCTGTAAGTTCTATTTGGTTCTTTTTTAGATCTTCCAGGTCTTTTTATAGTTTCCTGTTCCTTGCATATGTTTTTAAAGTTTGTCTTTTTTTTTCCTTTAAACATAGGAAGAATAATTGTTTTGTAATCTCTCTGATAATTTCAGCATCTTAAGTCTTTGTGGGTCTGTTTTTGGCTGATTCTTGCTGGTAGGACCTTGCTTAGTTATTTTTGAACTGTGCCATTTTCCCAGGAAAGTTATTTGTGGGAGTTCTTTGAGGCTTAGGATGAAGGTATATGTTTCATGCCAGCAGAAACAGAAGGTAGATCTATTTAGAAAGAACAGTGTATTCTGAAACTTAATAGGAATGATTTGTAATTATAGTTTCACAGTCCTTGTTCCTGAACCCTTGATCCATATGTCTTTTGAACTGCTTTTATTTAATTTTTAGAAAGATAATGTGATGCTTGTATCACGTGACACTCTGTATTTTAGCACATTAATATTTCTGCAGTAAACAATATGCATAGTCAGTTTAAGAAGGATAGATACAGATCACAGTGGCCTCTTACTAACTTCAGTCAAATTTCTACTGCCAAATGACTTTTGATGTCACTTTTATGTTTTTCAAAAAATGTTTTATTTCATATTTTCTCCTGCTTTTCCTGAGCTGTATAAAAAGTTTTAAAATGTCAATTATACCTCATCGAGGCCTTAAAAAAATGTCTTTAGAGCTCTTAGAATTTCAGAATTGTGGATAAAGGTTTATGGCTGTGTGTGTGCTCCTTTAACCATGTACTCCATCCCTTTTATCCCTTTTGTGTGGTAGTTGGGACACAGGCGAGAAATAGATCTCTCAGGACTGTTTGGAGTTTGGCTACATAGGCAAAGATAAAAGTGCTCTCATGTTGTGAATATCGTGCTAACATTCTTCCTTGCCTTCTACCTGCTCTTGAAATATGATGTGCTGAGACTCAAGACTGGTGATATTGGCTAGCAGAGACCACCTATGGTATATTTGCTTTGTGTAAGAATAAAATGTCTACGTGTTTTTGTTTACATTTTTGTAGCAATACCAAGTTTCCAGGCCCGAAGAGCATCCCAGACTATTGGGACTCCTCTGCCCTGCCAGACCCAGGCTTTCAGGTAGGGGACGCATGCGCCTGGGGCTGGACAGGAAGGTGTTCTGTAGAAGTGGGTGTGTGTGAACAGACTGTGCCATTCCTCAACACTGAAGAAGCTGTAAGGCTGGGGCTAATTGGGGCAGGAGGGCAGTGACAGATGTGGGCTTTATTTTTGTTTTTGTTTTTTGCAGAGGGTTTTGTTTTTTCACCACCCAGGAGTTGGCTGTGGCTCTGAGGGGAGGGGTTGTCTTGTGGAGGGAGGAGGATGAGCGTGAAATTTGCTAGAAAGGGCAGAAATGAGTTTATGGGCTGGGCTTAACCAATAAATACCAATTTTATTAAGCGAGAAAAGGAGAAGCAGCCTGGGGAGGACCTGAGTCCGATGGACATTTGGAATGGGGTTACTGTCAGGAGGGAAGGCATTCACGACTAGCAGACAGGAGAATGGACAGTCAATTTGGCAGCTTGTTGAGGGGCTCTGACCAGTGGGAGCTGTGCTGAGTGCAGGAGAGTACGCAGACTAACATCTGAGGCTGCCCGTCTGCACCTGGGCTGATGTCTGCCAGCTGGCCGGCTGCCGAGCACTGTCTAACTCAGCTTTAAAACGTGACGGTCCCTGTCCTGGGAGGACTTATTGAGCTTGTATAAGGCACATGCAGATGCCAACAGTGCAGGCAAGAAGTGCTAAGGACCTAAAGGGGTTCAACATGTTTGTCTAGACGACTCTGTGGTCCTTGGACCATGTAGTCCAACCTGTGTCTTTGACCTGTGTGGGACAAGAAAAAAAAAAGGCAGGGACATCCAGGGGATACCCTCGATGGTGGCTTAAGCATCACGTGTCTGTCCTTTAGATTGGTTTCACAGTGATGAGGAGCAAAGTGACTACAATTTGCAAACATAGTAAATCCTCAACATCATCAGTAGGTTCTTGGAAACTGACTTAAAGTGGCACAACATACTGTCTAACGAAACCAATTTCCCATATGCTAACTGACATAAACAAGAGGTTTGTTGTTTTACTTAAAATTGCAGTTTCCAAGAACCTATCAATGACATTTCATGAGGACCGATTGTCTCCTGTGCCTGGAGAAACCACAGGAGAATGTGGTCACTGCTCTCTGGGCTTTTGTGCTTCTGCGGTTCTAGTGTTTACAAGAAGCTTTGGGAAGGGACTGATTTATATTCTGCACGTTGATGGTAATGCATTAAAAACATTTGCCCCTTGCAGAAGATCACCCTTAGTTCTTCCTCGGAAGAGTATCAGAAGGTCTGGAACCTCTTTAACCGCACGCTGCCTTTCTACTTTGTTCAGAAGATTGAGCGAGTACAGAACCTGGCCCTCTGGGAAGTCTACCAGTGGTGCGTTGGGGCTCGCTCTTGGTGGGCTGGTGACTCTGTCCCTTCACACCACTGGCTGGTTGCCACATGTGGCCCGGGTTTCCAGGAAAAGCAGAGCGGCAGTTAGGGCTGCCATGTGCTGGGAGCTGTGTGTCTGCTCTCCTTCGTCCGCTCCCCCAGGGCAGTGTGGTAGCACATCCCATTGTAGAGATGAGGGCACCGAGGCTTCCTGGAGCATACCACCTGGTCCCGTTCATGAGTGGTGGCAAAGCTAGCACTCTCACTTGTCCATTCTGCCTTCCTGGAGACCAGTGGGATGGGTCAGTACAGCCCACCACACCATTAGCCCCAGGAACATAAGGCTGTGGCTAGACAGCAGGGGTCTCAGGTTCATACATGAGGACTGGCTTGTCCTTGAGCACCCACTCACCTGTCTATGTGGGGAGGAATCCTACAATAGGTCACCATGGCAGGCTGGGTCTTGCTGACCTGTCCCCAGATGGGGTTGGGGTAGTGTAATGTGTACTCTGTGCACAGTGATGAAGTCTGGGAATGGGAGAGGGGAGAAGGATGGGCACCCACTGACCAGCAGCCTGAAAATTCCTACAGCATCCCAGGGCTCAGCTCCATGCAGGAGCAAGGTGGGGGTGGGGTTGGGGGAAATGGTACCCATTTTCCAAGGGCTGCTCTGCTTTTGGAGTCCAGGGAACCGCTGCTGTCTGGAGCTGTGGAGGGAGGGTTTTCACCCAGCTCCCACGATCCCCCTTCTTTTCCACACCCTGGCTTGTGGCTGGAGCTTACAGGCCTAGTCAGGGTAGCCTGTGACCTGCGTCTCTTGGTCCCAGGACACTTTTGGAATTTTGGAAAAATGTGTTGTTTTGCATCAGGCCGGCTGTATTTGGTGGCCGGCACACTCTGCCCCCAGCACACATTCTTCTGTGATTCTAGGCAAAAAGGACAGATGCAGAAGCAGAACGGAGGGAAGGCCGTGGACGAGCGGCAGCTGTTCCACGGCACCAGCGCCATTTTTGTGGACGCCATCTGCCAGCAGAACTTTGACTGGCGGGTCTGTGGTGTTCATGGCACTTCCTACGGCAAGGGTAAGGCATGACTGGCCTCCACCAGCAAAACCCATGTTGCTTTGCCCCTGCATAGGAACAGACTGCTAGAGGGCATGAGGGGACCAGCCTGAGCTGATGAGCAGGTTCAGACTCCATGTGTGGTGGTACCTGGGCACAGCTACCAGTCACATCCTTGCTCTTGCTCCTCTGGGCATGGTCAGGAGCTTGGCCCCAGGTGTGGGCAGGGTGGCCTGCCTAGGCTGGGGTGTTGCTTCCCTGTGGAGCAGAGGCCCTGGGAGATGGTGACAGAGACGGGAGAGGAGAGGGGATACCTTCCCAGCCCTGATGAAGTCCCTGACTGTGCCTTTACTATTGATTTCCTTAGAATAGAAACCAGAAACCCTCAGAGATACTCATGTAAACATGTATTCTAGCTATCACGTGAGTTATCTGAGTGTTTTCTTGTCTGTTATTTTTAAACTTGCCAAAGAAAATTTTAAAATACTATTTCTTTGGAAATCGAAATTCAAGAAAATTGGAATAATAATAATTAAAAAAAACCTCTTTGGGTAAATTTTACCTGCGTTCATTGGTTTTAACATGCTGCCACTTCTCTCTTTCTCTCTCCCTCTCTCTTTCTGCACCATTTTCAGGTAGGTGGCATATATTGTCTCCTTTCACCCTTTAACACATCCCAAGAACAGGACATTATCTTCTGTAACCACAATATGCTTACCAAGTTGAGAACATTTTCTGCCCAGCAGTCCATGTTCCGGGTCCATCAGTTCTTTGTTAGTCAGTTTCCGTCTGAGGCAGCGATGGCAAGGGGTCAAGATGGACAGCAGCCAGTGGTAGACTTGTGGATTTAAATGTACAGGTGACAGCTTCTAACTCAGATTTCCATTTGACAAGGCTCATAATTCTATACATTGGGCTGCCAGAGTCTACAGACTGCTTCCGTATATGGGATCTCATTCATTTTCCATGCCAACCCTGTAAGGTTGGGCTGAACAGCCCCATTTTATGCCTGAGGAATCTGAGGTTTGGGGGATTAAGTAGTGACGTGTCCACAGGCCTTTAGGTTTCGTGGGGCAGATCCGGAACTTGAAAGGAATTTGCTATCTCAGTTTGGTAACTCCTCAGATGCTGCCACTCAGAAGGGTGTTGGTATCACTGATGCATGTGACTTCATGAGGGAGAGTGGAGACATGGCACAGAGGGAGGGAGGGAGATGCGGGGTGGAAGAGTAGAGGCCCTGGCGTTGCACATCACCAGGACGCTATTCGCAGTGTGCTGACCCTTCCTGGCTGCAGGCCCCTCCACCAGCTGAGCCCTCGTGTGTCATTTCAGGGAGCTACTTTGCCCGAGATGCTGCATATTCCCACCACTACAGCAAATCCGACACGCAGACCCACACGATGTTCCTGGCCCGGGTGCTGGTGGGCGAGTTCGTCAGGGGCAATGCCTCCTTTGTCCGTCCGCCGGCCAAGGAGGGCTGGAGCAACGCCTTCTATGATAGCTGCGTGAACAGTGTGTCCGACCCCTCCATCTTTGTGATCTTTGAGAAACACCAGGTCTACCCAGAGTATGTCATCCAGTACACCACCTCCTCCAAGCCCTCGGTCACACCCTCCATCCTGCTGGCCTTGGGCTCCCTGTTCAGCAGCCGACAGTGAGCGCACAGGAGTGTTCCAGGCCTTTCACCTGCTCTGCCTTGAAATGGCTATTTGGGCCTTTCCTTTTCTTTTTAAACAGAAACTTTTAATGAACTGTTCTCTTAACATTGACCTCTCAATGAAGTTATGTTCTTAATCTCTTGCTAATAATGATTTTTACTTTTAAGTCACTTTTGGGTTCACTAGTGGATTAACCAGAAGTGATTGTAGTTGAGTCCAGTTTTGCTTTTTAATAATGTGTTGAAGTTTTAGTTTTTACTCTTTGTTGACTTTGCTGCTTATTGGCACCAGGGACAGAGTTTCTAGATACAATTTTATGGATTGGTTTTAATTTTTATGAGTTTGTCTCTGCAGTGATTCGGTTTCTCAGAGTCTCATGGCATCATAGTTTTTCCAGAATGACACAGTAGCCACCGGTGGATGACAGCCCACGGGCGGCACAGTCACTTCTGCCTGTTGCTCTGACACCAACCCAGGCAGCTCTGCTGTGGCTTCTCCTGGGCTCTGGCATTAGTTGGTCTGTGTCACATTGTCAGAACAGGTGGCTGCTGTGTGGTGCCATCGAGTCCCTGCTGGTTCCCCTTGTCCTGGGAGGGTCACCCATTGCCCAAGGAAGTGCATCCACCTGGCAGGTGACCTGGAGGAGTAGCTTCCCCGAGGACCCCCAGGCTTGGCCTGTGATTGCGCAAACCCACATTTCCTAAGCACACTGGACACCCTTCGAGTGTGGGTTTTAACATCCCTGTGAGATTGAATACTTGTGCCACACATGTCACAAAAGAGTATGGAAATAAAAGAAAATTTATCCGAAGTGGATGAAGACTGAAGCTCATTTTTCTGCGTCTATTGATTGAGCACCTACTGAGTGCCAGGCGTTTTTCTGAGAGTCAGGGATTGCCTTTGTTCATTTGGACTTCTGTAACAAAACACCATTGACTGGACGGCTCATCAACAGCAGACGTTTATTTACCGGGTTTGGAGTCTATAAAGTGCAACCTCCTGCTTCCTCATAGATTCAGTCTTCTCACTGTAACCCTACGCGGTGGAAGGGCCTCTTTTATAAAGGCACTGAATCTCATTCATGAGGGCTCCGCCCTGGTGGTCTAATCACCTCTACTTTAAATACTATCACCTCAGGGGTGAGGATTTCAACATTGGAATTTTGGGGGTCGTAACATTCAGACCGTTATCAGGGCTGTGACAGAGCTGATGACACGGCTTGGTGAGCTACGTATGGATTTATTAAGAAGACAGTGAAGCTGAAGGTTCAGGGCCCCTCACTTGCTGGAGCCCCTCCCCAGGCCCTAGGAGGGACCCTAGCAATATGGTCACATGGTCATAGGTTTTGATAAAATTTGCAAATGTTACACTTTTTTTTTCTCTTTCCTCCAATTCGTAGATAAGTTTCAGGCCCCGTAAGACCCAGGTTCACCACTGAGCAATGTGCTGTGCATGTGGAGAGAGTGTTGTGTGTGTCCCTCACACGTGGCAGTTTACAGGAGCCTCCCTTCTGGGCTTTGGCTGGTTCTGGCCCTGTTGGCAGAGGGGCTGGCGGGGCCACTGGTGTCACCAGGCTGTCAGCCCTCCCTACTCGGTCCTCACTACATGCTTTTTGCCCAGCCTCCACCTTCCTGAGGACGTGTGTCTGCTGGCGACTTGCTGCTTGGGCTTCAGTTGGCTTGCCTGTATTTCTCAGGTCCAAGGTGAATATGAACCCATTTTTCCATCTTTGGAGTGATCTGAAACCTTAACACAGGCAAGTGCAGTCAAGCTGGAGGAGAGCCAAGGTAAATGACCAGAGGAACAGCAAGAACAACACAGCTTCACCCAGCAGCTGGGTCAGCCACATGGTTGCCCATGGTATGATTTTCAGAACCCCCTCCAAATTTCCTCACAGCCTGACTGATCCTGCCATTTCACTCATTGCTTTTTCATTAAGTCATTGGTCCTGCTATGGTGTAGTTGGGCAGGGGCAAAGAGGTGTCAGAGAAAACCATTAAATCAGATGCATGTCTGTTGCTAAGGTCTTGCATGTAAGTGAACTGATTCTATGCTTCTGAATCATCTGGGAGCTGGGGAGATTTGGGGAGCAGAACTGGTTCACTGGGGGTGTAGATGGGGAGGGCGGCCAGAGGGATCCGGTGGGAGATGCTCAGTTGCTCCGGAAAAGTCCACTGAGCTGTGAAGACTCTGGCAGCCATGGCTGGGTGACCTGGAAGAAAGCAGGTTAGGAAGAGCAACTCCTTGGACCAGCAATGCTAGGGAGGGTGGGAGCCACATGGCCAGATTGCTTGATGACGGGGAGGGAGCCGTTCCTGCCGGTGCAGAAAGGGTGGGCATTGTGATGGGAAGGGGTGGAAATGACTGTGACTCTCAAGATGTTTGGTGCCAAGAGGTGGTAGGGTCTGGGACATGGGTGTATGTGTGTGGGATTGGCCAGAATCTTTGTGAGGACTCAGTTGGGAATCTAGCAAGAGGGTTTTTTGGAGGACCAGGCGGTGCGGTTCCCTGCCCTGTGATACCTGGTGTTGGATGTGAACAGTGGGATTTAAGCAGAGGTGGGGTTGGTGGCCTCACACAGTAGAAGGACTGGAGTCCAGTGACCCCAGCACATGAGGAAGCCTCTACCACTGTGTCTGAAGGTGGTGACCAACTGAGCTGGGAAGGCGAGGGAAGCTGGATGGAGCTGACAGGCCGGGGGGCGGGGCCGGAGGTCCCAAGGGAGGACTCAGGTTGTGGGGCTGTGCTCCAAGCAGGGAGCTGAGTGCGCCATTGGGCCTGTCTGCAGGCTGAGGTTCTATGGTGGCGGCAGCCGTGGGGAGGTCAGGGATTGTGGGACAGGCAGGGAGGCCGACAGGTTCCCAGGGGTGGATGGTTTTCTCCAGTGAGTCTGAGTCCCAGGCTGGGCATTGCAGAGGGGCCAGGTGATGGAGAAGGGCAGGTGGTGGCAACAAGGGTGTGGGGAGGGCCACAGGACAGCCCTACACCTTGAGGCAGCAGTCACTCACAGGCCTGGCCCAGTGCTGGGCAGCTGGGGTGTCCTCTTCCTGCCTGGAGGGCCAGAGAATAAGAGAAGGGGCCCCCCAAGGGGGATTTTGAGGGATACAGTGGGTGCTCCTGGCTGAAGGGGATGGGGGACCACCAAACAGTGGAAGCAGCAGTCCCAGCAGTGAATATGTGGAAACTCATTCTGCCAACTCTCCCAAAATGGCCTGAAGTTTCTAAAGGTGGGTCGTCAGCATCTGGGTGTCACATAAGGGGCTTACAGATTTCTACAAGATCGTTCTCTATACAACATTCAACCTCTTAAAGCTGCTCAGGTGTCAACTAGAGGACAAGTGGTCTTTTGATCGAGGCCAGCCTCCTTATTTTACAGAAGAGGTCTCTGAGGCACAGGGAGGTGATACGGCTCTTCACCAGCAGCCATGAATGCGCAGCTGCTGGTGGCTGATCGTGAGACTGACCTTGCAAGTGCTTGGTTGAATGTGAACTGCTTAGCAACACAATACTTATTTTTACAAAAAAAATCACCTCTATATTTTGATTCTTTGATCAAAATTAATATACAGTGTTTTTTGTTTTGTTTTTGTTTTTTTTGAGATGGAGTCTCACTCTGTCACCCAGGCTGGCGTGCAGTGGCGCGATCTTGGCTCACTGCAACCTCCACCTCGCTGGTTCAAGCAATTCCCCTGCCTCAGCCTCCCAAGTACCTGGGATTGCAGGTGCCCGCCACCACAGCCTGGCTAATTTTTTTGTATTTTTAATAGATATGGGGTTTCACCATGTTGGCCAGACTGGTCTTGAACTCCTGACCTCAGGCAATCCACCTGCCTCAGCCTCCCAAAGTGCTGGGATTACAGGTGTGAGCCACCGTGCCCGGCCGATACAGTGTTCTTTAAAAGAAAAAGTATATCATTTTTCAGACTCTCATTTTTCTGTCGATTGAAACTTGACTGTAAAGTTGGTACTACCCTACCTAGGAAAATCAAAGCATAATAAAGCTTTGGAACCACTGCTGAGGTTGAACTTTCGATAAATGTCATTCTCTACAACTCCACAATGCACGAGAAGCTGAAAGAGCCACGAGCTAGTGCCATCAGGACAGGCTTACCTGGGGGTCCTCATGTGCCCTGCACCATGGATTCCTTTCAGCACAAGCCTGGGACTTCCTTTAAAACCCCACATTCTCAGTTGTTTTGTCAAAACTACATTTTCACTTATTTATCAGCAATTCTTCATTTAGAGAGAGCACTGGTTCAAACCCCATTGGCAATGTCAAAACCAAGTGCAACAAACGTTTATTAAGCATTTAGGAAATGTTATGTAAAGAACCTCTTATCCTTGCATGCCAGGCACTCTTTCAATCACTTCAGTGACATTTTTCCAAAATTCTGAACATCCACACTTAGGGTTTTCTTTGAATTTGGGGGTGCCCTCCCCCCACCCGGCAGCCTTCTGTGTCAGCGGGATACGATCTTGATATAGACACCATTTTTTGGACCTAGGGCAGATTTGGATTCTAGCTGCAGCGGTACCTAAAATAGAGAAAATTAAAATATTTGTCAAAGAGATAGTAGCATCTCACTGTACAAATGAAGACTTGGAGGTTCAAGAAGGCCAAGTCCGTTGTCCAAGGTCACACAAGAAGAAAGCAGAGAGCAAAGCCCCAAACCTATCTTTCAGTGACTCCAGCCGTCCCTGCTGATCCTCCCCATCTCACTCTCCAGTTCTGGCCAGTAACTGAGCAATGCCCTCTGGCCCAGGGGCTCTGGGGAAAGCAGCTTCATGCTGTTCCTGCTCATGTGTGCTGTGGTCTGGCCTCACTGACATCCAGAAAGCTTTCCTATGTCCAGCTTAAAAGGCAGAGCCAGTGGTGGACTGGGGACTTTGAAGAAAAACCAAAGAATTACTCGAGGAGTTGGGTTTCCTCTGGAGCTGAGTAAAATGATGAGCCAGTGGCTAATGTGACAGCAAAGAGTCACCAGGGTCTTAGTGCTTGGGGCTGTACGTGTCTCCTGTGGGAGCCATAGCCCTCAAAGGCATCTGAAAAAGCTGCAGGCCCCAGCACTTGTCTGAGCAGACAAGGAAGAACGGGGAGCCCTTGACTCCTGGCTGGTTCTTAAGCCGGGGAGTGCCAGGCATAAGCAGCGTTTTGGGAGACTGGTCTGGCTGCTGCACTGTATGTTGAGATCGTGGGGAAGTGAGACAAGCCCCGCACACGTGGAAGCCCCGATGCAGTGGGGCTGCTCCTCCGTCTGCCCCTTGACCTCACTTGGTTTGGCTCTGCTCTGCCGATCTGCCCCTCCCTGTCTCCAGCCCAGAGTATGTGGATGCGTTCACTTTCAGTATCTCAGACTCTATGTCCCCCATCCAAGCTCATTATTCCTCCAGGACCAGCAGCTGGTCCCAGGTTCTCTGTCAGAGGCACTGCCTGTCTCAATCTAGAATTGTTGCTATCTGTCAACTGTGTCCTTATGCCTTCCTATGCCTGCCTGTCCAGGTCTGCAGCTGAACAGTGGGTTCCGGGTGGCAGGACAAGCATGAGGATAGGTGCAGGGGACAGCAGTGGTCAGGATAGGCAGGGAATAGCTAACGCTGTGCAGAGACGTAGCCAGATGTCAGGAAGGAGGGAGAGCTTGGGAGTGGGCAGGATCTGGGTGAGGACCCCCGTTTCTCTCATCTCTGGCTGCTTATCCATTTGCTCATTAATGTTTGTTGAATGAATGAGTGAGCACCTGTCATGCGCCTGGCATTAAGCTAGATGCTGGAAAGTCCAACAATGAATATGACAGACTGGGTCCCTGCCATCACGAAGCCTGCAGTCCTGCTGTGTGGCCTTAGGCAAGTTATTTAACCTCTCTGAGCTTTGATTCCTCATCTAAAGAATGGGAATAGTCACTCCTACTCTGCAGGGTTGCTGTGAGTGTGAAAGCAGGGGATATAAGCTCCCTGACCTGTTGAGGAATTGGTCTGCTGGTTCTGGAGTGTGTGATGTGGGGGGGAGATAGGGCTGGAAAAGTGGGTGAGGCCCCATTTCAGGAGAGCTCAGCTCTCTGGGTGAGGACAGGGTCTGTGCACCAGTCTAGGACCTCAGGAATGAAGGCATATGTTGTTGGGAAGAGGCTGTGTCACCACCTGTGAGAGGGACCAGGCTGTGGCCATGGGGACACGTGAGTGTCTGCACAAGGGGGGAAGGCAAAGCTGGGGGTACCGTTCAAGGAGCTGAAACCCTTCAGCTTCCCCTCCAAGCAGACAGCACCTTGCTCTGTCAGGAGGAGCCAGAGGAAGTGTCCCCACCTTCTGTAGGACAAGCCATGCACCCCCCACCCCGCAAAGGCAGGCACATGTCACAACTGCAAATGCCATTGTCTGTGTGCCCTTTGTGGAAGTGGGAAGAGCTACAGCAAGGTGAGGTCCAGCCCTGGTGTGCAGAGAACAATACTAATAACAATGGTTAACACGTGCTCGGGTTGGCTTGCCAGGGCTTACCTGAGCGCTGTGTGAACTCACTGGATCCTCACAGGATGTTGAGAGGTAGAGGGTGTTATTATTATCACCCCCACTTTACGAATCAAGAAACTGAGGCCGAGAGAGGTTAAGGAGCTTGCCCAAGCTCACGGAGGCAGAGCCTGATGTTGCCCCCAGGCTGGCCTGCTCTCACGCAGAGAACTGGGGTGGCCCTCCCACCCCTGCCCCTGCCCCTGCCTCTGAGCAGGGGGGCCTCACCTGGGTCTCAGGGCAGGCTTGGAACCGGAACTTGTGCAGCACGTGGAGCAGTGTCAACTTGACCTCAAGCAGCCCTAGACGCACCCCGAGGCAGCTCCGTGGGCCGGCCCCGAAGGGCAGGTACGTGAAGGGCCGGTGCTGCTGCCGGGCCTCAGCCGTGAACCTGCAGGTCCGTGTGGTCAGGGCTGGCCCAGAACACCCGCTCCCTCCCCTCTGCAGCCCTGTGCTCCAGCTGAGCCACCCCTGCATCTGAGACAAGGATGTCTCCAAGGCTCTGGGAGCTGATGGCTGCTCATTCCTGAGCCTCAGTCCCTCTCTGCTCCTGGCCTCCTGTCTTCCTGCACAGCCCCAGAGGCAGAGCTGAATTCGCAGAATCACCTGGAATGTCCACAGCTCCCTCCCTGCCTCTCCTTAGGAATTCAGTGTGTGGCTAATAAGCCCACAGACTCACCGCCACCCACAATCAGAGTCTAAACACGGCATCCCTGAACCCCAGGGTTTGGTGATCACCCTCACCTGGGCCCATGGCGCCACCTCCCCTCCCATAGGATGACCCAGCCGCCACCTGCTTCCTTGGCAGGGTACCGGGCACCTCAGCACCTCCTGGGCCCTCCCTGGGGGGCGTGTCCTGCTGGCTTGCCCTGCAGGTCTCTTGGGCCACACTGGCAGCCCCTCTCCTGCCCGTGTTTGCTTTGCAGGCCCCTGCACTGGACACTTGAACCACTGGAAGCTGCAGTACCTGGAGAGCTGGAGGCCCTTCCTCAGAACTGCTGAATCTCCTACCAAGTAGTGCATTTGCCTGCAGCGTGTGTCCCATGACAGTGAAGCTAGGTGGCACTCACTGTTCTGTAACAGCGAGCTCACTTTTTACTACCCCTGGGCTTTATTGTGAGGCTGTAAGCCCTGTGGCTGCGGCACGTTCAGGAGCTGCTGACTGTGGAATATTGTTGTGTAGATCCCATTGCTCACGTTTTCCCAGTGACTGGGTCGTAGGCTTGGGCTGAACTCAGTTGGAGCCATGAAAGGTGAAAACACAACTGGTGCCGGGCCAGCCCTTCCCTTGCCAGATCACACACACAGGATATTGACTGGTTCTGATGAGGACCAGAGTGTGGGCCGCCTGCTCAGATGTTTCCAATCACAGAGCCCAGAAATGAAAGGAGACAATGAACCAAAGCCAGGTGGTGGAAGGCGGGGACCCAGGTCAACCAGTGGATCACGTGAATTTAGATTCATGGAGACATCAGCTGAAGCTGTTGTTTTGGCATAGATGCCCGTTTTTTAAAAAGGAAATGATGTTCCGTTACTTTCCAGTGCAGACCTGAAATACAATCCTGTATCCCATGTCCTGGCTTGAATGAATGGAAGACAATCATTTGAAATTGCCTTGTTCCTTGCATGCAGGGCTGCTGAAATGCTAAATCTCTGGATTCAGTTTGGACCTTGAAAAAATGGTATAATTATTTATTTATTTATTTATTTTTATTTAATTTATTTATTTTTTTTTAGACAGAGTCTTGCTCTGTCACCCAGGCTGGAGTGTAGTGGCACCATCTCGGCTCACTGCAAGCTCCGCCTCCTGGGTTCACGCCATTCTCCTGCCTCAGCCTCCCAAGTAGCTGGGACTACAGGCGCCCGCCACCACGCCCAGCTAAGTTTTTGTATTTTTAGTAGAGATGGGGTTTCACCGTGTTAGCCAGGATGGTCTCGATCTCCTGACCTCGTGATCTGCCCACCTTGGCCTCCCAAAGTGCTGGGATTACAGGCATGAGCCACCACGCGTGGCTAAAAAATGGTATAATTATTTCCTTTGGAAATTATGTCTTGCAAACATCTATCTGAATTGCCATAACTTTTGACTATTTGGGGACAATTTTGCTAAGTCTGTGCCTCCCGGCTGCTGCCTCCACTGGTAAATTTCTATCCCACACACTCACATCCCTTCAGAGCTTTTTAAAAGGGGCAGTACTCACCTTTCAGGGTTGAAGGTCTCCGGGCTTGGCCAGTGCTCAGGGTCATGGTGCAGGGCACCCACGGCCATCTCTAGCACAGCGCCTGCGGGGATGCGCTGCCCCAGCACCTCGCAGTCCTGAGCTGCCTCCCGTGTGAATCTGAGGGAAACACCAGGTCGGGGGTGGATACAGAGAAGAGATGAGGAGCAGAGCTTGGGGCGTGCTGGGCAGGCAGAGTCTGAGTGTGAAGGGGATCAGGGGCAGGCAGCATGGTGTGTGGAATGAGGCTGGGGACAGAGGACCCCCTGCTCAGCCCCCTTCCCAGGGTGACCAAGCCCCTACCCCATTACCACTCACTGCCCAGGAGCCTGCAGCCCCGAGGCTAGGCTCACTTGGTCCTTGATGAAAATGTACTCATCCATCCCTTCATGCATCCATTTGTCAAGCACAAAGGGCCCCTCTTGTGCCCCATGTCGGGGTGCAAACTGCTTTGGAAGGATTGCTTTCATAGTGGGGGCCTGGAGGGTCATTCCTGGGCCACAGCCTATCCTATCTTCCCATTCACAGCCAAGCCTCTTAAAATTGCCCTTGCTCACCCTCTCGCTCCCTCTCCTCCCATTTCACTGACTAGCCCTGCTGCCTGGCATCTGTCCCCTCCCTCCTGTGGATGGTCCCCATGCCAAGATCCCCAAAGAATATTTATGGGTACATCTGATGAATACTCCTCAGTCTTCATCTGACTTGGTCTGTCTATGTCATTGATTGTCTTCCTCTTGCACATTTCTTTGGTTTGTTTGTTTTTCTGTTTTAATTTTCATTAGGAAATAATTCTGAACTTACAGAAAAGTTGAAGAATAGTACATTAGATACCCATGTATCGTTTACCCAGATTCACCTGCTGTTTTTTGCTGCATCCTCCTCCTCCTCTTCTTCTTCTCCTCCTCCTCCTTCTTTCTTCTTCTTCTTTTTTTTTGAGACAGGGTCTTGCTCTGTCACCCAGGCTGGAGTGGCACAATCTCTGCTCACTGCAACCTCTGCCTTCCAGGTTCAAGCAATTCTCCTGCCTCAGCCTCCCGAGTAGCTCAGACTACAGGTGTGTGTCAACAGGCCTGGCTAATTTTTGTGTTTTTAGTAGAGACGGGGGGTGGTTTCACCATGTTGGTCAGGCTGGTCTCGAACTCCTGACCTCAAGTGATCCCCTGCCTCGGCCTCCCAAAGTGCTGGGATTACAGGCATGAGCCACTGCACCTGGCCTGTGTCCATCATCTTTACCATTCTCTGTGTGTGTGTCTGTCTCTCTCTCTCAGACACACACACACATGCACACACACATTTCTTTCCTTGATTTCTCCCTCATTGGCAGGCTCTTCTGCATCCACCAGCCTCTTAAATCCTGGCACTTCCCAGGGATTTCGTCTGCCCTCCCAGATTCAACTTCCATTATCTCCTAAGCCTCCTACCTCAGCCCCAGCCTGAACCCCAGGTTCCAATTTCTACCCACAGACCCGGCCTCTTCCCTGGGCGGTCCACAGAATCCTCGAAGTCGGCCTGAGCAGCAGCAGGTCATCAGAATCTTCTCCTCCTTCTGTTTCCCACACAGGCTTGAGAAAGCCGGAAACCAGAAGCCATCCTGTACTCGTCTCTCCCCGTCTGCAGATTCATCACTGGTCTTTCGTATGGTGCCATCTCTCCAGTTTTACTGCCATCTCCTTAGTTTAGATTCTCGTCTCTCATTGACCTCTTTGCAATCCAGTCTTCTCATGACAACCAGAGCCATGTCTCTGACATGCAGTTTTGTCTGCTTCTTCCCAAGGATGGGCTGCCTAGAACAGGGAGCTGGAGCTGGAGCAAGACCCAGGTGCTTGAGGCTGTATGGCCCCAGAGCTGAGGCTAGAGTCGCAGTTAGCTGGTGAAACCTGTAGCTCAAAGTCAAGGGCAATCAGTGGGTGAAGTGAGGCCATGAATCGGGGACGGCAGCAGATCAGAAGCCAGGAAGATGGGCAGTGACTTGCGATGCACAGTGAGAGGTAGTTTAGGACCTGGGTTTGGGATTAAGGCCATGAGCAGGTCAGGTGTGTTGGAGGCTGCTGGTGTTGATGCAGTCTCCAGGTTTGCCTGGTCAAGCTGCCTTCAGGGCTGAGCCTCAGGCTGGTGTTCAGGGCTCCTGGTGCTGTGAGATCACACCCCAATCTGACTGCTGGAGCCACTGCAGCTTGTGAACAATCTGAACCACCTTCCAGTCCCCCAGCTTGGGTCTCCTCCGTGAGGCCTGCCAGTGAGAGCCGTTCCTGGTTCCTGGGAGAGTTCTAGCTTCCTTACCCCACCAGTTTCTTACAACCAACACCCGTGACTCAAGAAAGCACCATTGAATCTCTCTTCCTTGCAACTTGAAATCCCGGCATGGCTCTCTTAAGCTTGTACCTTGTTGATTATGGCCCAGCAGGTGACCCTGGGAAATGAGTCTACCTGGAGCCACACAACTCAACTCTTGGAGTGAGCATCGAGACCACCTGTGTCAGTGACTTCCTCTCTGCTCCAGAAAATTCTTGCCGAGGAAGATAAACCTCTGAACCAAGAAACAGCTTCACTGTTGGCTTCAGGAAATTAATGCAAACTAATTTGTCTGAGCAAACCACTTTCCTATCAGGACAATGGTTTGCTTGCGTGAGCAAACAGTTCACTTGCCAGACAACAGTCTTACCTGTCAGAACTCCCTTCAACTCACCTACCTGTATTCACTCATTCCTAAATTGTTATGTCATACATCTTGCCCCAATTTCTTTTTTTTTTTTTTTTTGAGATGGAGTCTCGCTCTGTTGCCCAGGCTGGAGTGCAGTGGCGCGATCTCAGCTCACTCATCTTGCCCAATTTCAAATATTCCTTGCCACAAAAGACCTACCTTAAACCTCTGTAACCCAAACTCCAAACCTTATAAGTGTCCTTTCCTGATCTGCTGGCTTTGAGTTCCTGTTAAACAAACGTGCTGTCACTCTTCAGACCTACATGCAACATTCTAGAAACAAAATTCGAGGTGGAGAGGTGAAGAACCGCTCTCTTCCTGAACTTGGGTAGACTTTTGGACTTCGAGTGTTGAGCACACGCTCTCAAGAGTTCTGGTCATGGCCGGGTGTGTGGTGGCTCATGCCTGTAATCCCAGCACTTTGGGAGGCAGAGGTGTGTGGATCACCTGAGGTCAGGAGCTGGAGACCAGCCTGGCCAACATGGTGAAACCCCGTCTCTACTAAAAATACCCAAATTAGCCAAGCATGGTGTCGTGCGCCTGTAGTCCCTGCTACTCAGGAGGCTGAGGCACGAGAATCGCTTGAACCCGGGAAGAGGAGGTTGCAGTGAGCTGAGATCGCACCACTGTACACCTGAGCGACAGAGCGAGACTCCGTCTCAAAAAAAAAAAAAAAAAAGTTCTGGTTACAGGTGATTTGGGATTTTAAAGGATGAGATAGAGCCTTTTAGGACGAGGGCAGAATTACAGCCCCAGCTTCTCTTTATCACCTCCCTGCACCTCTCAGCCCACCCCCTTCCCAACTACTTTTGTGACTATAGGGTTCGATTGAGAAGTCTCTCTCTGACTTCAGCATTATCCCACTCCAACAGATCTGGCTCACAGCAAGAAAACCAAGCCCCACTTCCTGCCTCCTACCTTCCAGACTTCAGGCCATTTCCTATCCCAGGTAACACGGGGGTTGGGAGGAGACGCTGGTCACACCCTCTGTCAAGGCTTGTCCTCGAGATACCCTCCCAACGTAGCAAAGTTCTGTTTCCCTAATGAATCCCGTACACGGGCTCCCACTCCTGCTCCTGTCTGTACCACTCCCACGTGCCTGGAATCCATGAAAAATCTTCTGAGTCTTAAGTCCTTAACACAGGACATGAGAACATCTAATGAGGACAGGCTCAAACCGTCCATCAAATGCCATGATAATTCTGGAATATTGGAACATCAGAATTGGTCCTGGTGAGGCTGGGTTTATTTAGTTATTTATCTGCTCACCTGTTTATTATTTCATTGTGGATATATATATATATAGAACATAAAATGGACCATTTGAACCATTTTTCAGTGTGCAGTTCTGTGGTTTTAGTACATTCATTGTGCAACCAGCACTGCCATCCATCTCCAGAACTTTTTCCTCTTCCCCCACTGAAATTCTGGATCCCTTAAACACTAACTCCCTCCCCTCCCCTCTCCCTGGTCCCTGGCAGACAGCCTTCTACTTTCTTTGTTAATTTGGCTCCTCTGAGTGAGTCCTGGTGAGGGAAGGAAATTTGGGTTTGAAAATCTGTTCCCTGTTGTCTATGTCTCTACCGATAGCTTCTTCTCCCAGAGAGGAAAATATTTGATCAGATTGTTCATTTTACCCAAGGGCAATGGCACAATCTCATTTATGCTTTACTTTTAAAGGGTAGACTATATATGCTTGTATATGAACATAACATTTCTAGAAGAATACTTAAATTTCTATCTTTCTCTTCTCTAGGGGATGGGATTGGGATGGAGAATGGCAGGGGGCCTTTTTTTTCTTTTTTTTTTATTCTTCATTGTTTAGGGGACTGTTTTTTTTGTTTGTTTGTTTGTTTGTTTTTTTTGAGACAGAGTCTCGCTCTGCCGCCCAGGGTGGAGTGCAGTGGCACTATCTTGGCTCACTGCAACCTCCGCCTCCCAGATTCAAGCAATTCTCCTGCCTTAGCCTCCCTTGTAGCTGGGATTACAGGTTTCTGCCACCATGCCCGGCTAATTTTTGTATTTTTAGTAGAGTCAGAGTTTCATCATGTTGGTCAGGCTGGTCTTGAACTCCTGAACTCAAGTGATCTTCCCTCCTTGCCTCCCAAAGTGCTGGAATTACAGGTGTGAACCACTACACCCGGCCGGGACTGTTTTTTTTTTTTTGGTTTTGTTTTGTTTGTATAAGCATGCTATTTTGGCAATATAAATAATTAAAAATTCAAAATAATTCTATGCTGGATTTTACTTCAAGCTGTAGGATTGGACTTCCCTAAATATCCTAAAGGAAATGCAATGATTACAGTAATTACTGTTATGCCCTGTTCCTGCCCGTAAGAGA
Organism: Homo sapiens; assembly: GCF_000001405.40. Classification (NCBI taxonomy): domain Eukaryota; kingdom Metazoa; phylum Chordata; class Mammalia; order Primates; family Hominidae; genus Homo; species Homo sapiens. Next base: position 140,010,800 of record NC_000007.14, on the reverse strand, counting down.
TTAAAAGCAGCCTGTGGCTTCTTGCTGCTCCCTCTCTGTTATGAGCCTTTCATGTAACAGACAGGAACAGAAAAAGGCCAGGGCGTGGAGAACCCATTGAGATGCTAAGCTGCTAATGCAATTATATGTGCTTGGAGCTGATAGCAAACACCAGCACTGAAACCAGGGCAGGCAGCTGGGGTTTGTGATGTCTGTACCCGCAGTTCCAAAGGGGTCAGATGAAGCTGTTCCCTGGCACCCTGCTTGTTCTTCTTTTCTGGAAACAGCCTGGACCTGGAGGCAGACCCCCTGGAAGCTGGAAAATAGGGCCTTCCCTTCCCCGTAAACTGAACCTCATAAGAGATCAACAGAAGCTTCAGAACTGCACCGCACAGCATCCGGGAGTCACCTCAGTGGCGCTCAGACAGGGCTGCTGTGTTTCCCACAAGGGCGATTCTGATTTTCTTTTATGAGTAAGTCCAAGTTGTGTCAGCACTTGGGAAAAGTCAACACGCTTTTTGAGATGAAATAAAATAATAAAATAAAAATGCTCACTCTCCCTACATTCACCCCCAAATCCTTTGAGCAGAAGCAGATTGTCCTCTGGTCTGGGTGAGAATTGTGACACCTTGTCTCTCTCATATCTGGTGATCAATAAGAAAAGCCAGCAGAGCTGATAGGGTGAAAAATGCCCATGGAGCAGGTGTGGAGCAGCTGTGAGGCAGGTGTGGGGTGGGTGTGGTGTGGGTGTGGAGCAGGTGTGGGGCGGGTGTGGTGTGGGTGTGGAGGTGTGGGGCGGGTGTGGAGCGGGTGTGAAGCGGGTGTGGAGCGGGTGTGGGGCAGGTGTGGGGCAGGTGCGGGGCAGGTGTGGGGCAGGTGCGGGGCAGGTGTGGGGCAGGTGTGGGGCAGGTGTGAAGGTGTGGGGCAGGTGTGGGGCGGGCATGGAGGTGTGGAGCAGGTGTGGGGCGGCTGTGGGGCGGGCATGGGACAGGTGTGGAGCAGGTATGGGGCCAGCATGGAGGTGTGGGGCAGGTGTGGAGCGGGTGTGGGGCAGGTGTGGGGCAGGTATGGAGGTGTGGAGCAGGTGTGGGGTGGGAGTGGGGCAGGTGTGGAGCGGGTGTGGGGCAGGTGTGGGGTGGGTGTGGGGCAGGTGTGGAGCGGGTGTGGGGCAGGTGTGGGGTGGGTGTGGGGCAGGTGTGGGGCGGGTGTGGGGCAGGTGTGGGGTGGGTGTGGGGAAGGTGTGGGGCGGGTGTGGGGCATGTGTGGGGAAGGGGCGGCTCAGGAGAGCGAGGCTGGATGGAAGCTGTCCATTCCACTGTCCGACCAGTGCCGGCGCTCCTCCCTGCACACATCATGCTGCAGGCAGCTGAGCGGGCACTACAGTTCCACCTGTGCCACCCACTGCCTCTTGCCTGCTTCTGCAGGGCCAGCCAAGCAGGTGTGTGTCCCCATTTAACCCGTAGGAAGGAGAGGCACGGAGCAGCATGAGGCTCACGATCACGCAGTATGCCAAGGCCAGGGCCAAGATGGTCTTCTGACGTGCCCTCTAGACCTGTTAGATGAATTCTAACTACTTCACCCAGGTTCTCTAGTTTCTGTCTGGTCCTCAGGTGAGATCACCAGCTTCCTGGTCCACCTGCACCAACTTCCTTTTCTGCTCTGCTGTTTATAACGGGTCAGTGGAGAATCGGCCACCGCATTTTCATGTTGAAGAGCCTAACCCCTTTGTTATTCAACATGACAGCTAATAAGGTCTTGTCTGATGGATTCGTGGCTGAGTTTAGGTCCAGGAAGTACTGTGTCCATTGATCAGTTTCTGTGCTGTCCTCTTGCTGGAGAACACACCTGTTTGGCTTGGCTGCTCTCCCTCTTGGCCAGGAGCCCTGGTCACCAAGCCACAGCTGGACCCCAGCTACCAGCCAGCTCTGGGGCCCTGTAAGGCCTTCTTTCCTTTAAATGGCCTTTGTTCTATTTGATCCCTGAATGCTTTATCTTGAACTTCATTTTAACATGTACACCAGCTTCCCACAATCCCCTTGGAAGAAAGCTGGATATCAATTATGAAAAAAATAAGGCTGGGATTGGTGGCTCACGCCTGTAATCCCAGCACTTTGGGAGGCCAAGGCAGGCAGATCACCTGAGGTCAGGAGTTTGAGACCAGCCTGGCCAACGTGGTGAAACCCCGTCTCTACTAAAAATACAAAAAATTAGCCGGGCATAGTGGCGGGCACCTGTAATCCCAGTTACTTGGGAGGCTGAGACAGGAGGATCTCTTGAACCCAAGAGGCAGAAGTTTCAGTGAGCCAAGATCACACCATTGCCCTCCAGCCTGGGCAACAGAGCAAGACTCCATCTCAAAAAAAAAAAAAAAAAAGAATAAAAGAAAGAATTGGATGACAGTTTGCAAGAGGCTCCAAAGGAGATCAGGGAAGGGCTGCACATCAGGTCTTAATGCTGGCATGGGGAGAGGGGGCACAGAGCCCCTGAGTGACTGGCCTGCTTCCACACTGAGACCCAAAACCTTGTGTGCTTGAGGACAATGCAGTTCGAATCACGCCACCGGAATTTTCTGTATTTGCTTCTGGACTTGAACATTTGGACAATGTCTACAATTGCATTCTTTGTAATGCTTTTGTGTTGAAATATCGTTTTGAGATACCCTCAAATCATCCACATATTGTCTTTAAAAATGGTGAAAGGTATTTCCATATGGTTTATGTGATCTGTTAATTCATAAAAGTGTTGAGTGGAATTTATCACATACGGTTAATGCTTTGTGCTGCTTCTGTTTCTAGAGCCTGAAATCTGGCTGTTACTTCACTCTCTGTAGGGGTCTGGGGACATGAATTAAGATGCCCTTCTCTATGGAGTGCCTTGTTTGGGAGAGTTTGAACGAAGCACAATAGTTGGTTTTGCTCTCAAGATACCCACAGGTTGGTGTGACCGGCTGGTTGGTGTGTACATTAGTGAAATGTCATGGAGTGGCAGATATGTGTCCAAGAATATAACATGAAGTGTATAGTTACAGCTCAAAGTGCTGAGGAGGAAGGGCAGGGAGGACCAGGTGAGGCAAGCCCAACACAGACGTCTTGAGGGGCAGTGAGACGTTTTGGAGGGTGAGTCGTGTTGGAGCTCCAGGATGGGACAGCTGGGGGTGTTGGATGGCAGGAAGGAGCTCCCAGGACTCAGACAGTCCCCTACTGTCTGAATGCCAGCTCCAAGATCAGTCAGGGACTTTTATCTGTTTTATATACAGCTGATTTCCCAATGCTTGGCACAGAGTAGATGCTCAATAAACAATTGCTGAATGAATGAATGAACGAATGAATGAATGAATGAACGAACAGGCAGGGGAAATGGCAAAAGCCAGCAAAGGCTAGGAGACCAAAGGGCCAGCTTGGGCTGGGGAGGAAGGCGGTGTTAAGAAAATGCCTGTGAAGCTTTGAGAAGGTTGTTAACCTGTAGGAAAGCGGGCCAGATATCTGAGGTGCCATGGGGATACAAAGGAACCCAGGACTCAGGCGTTGCCCTCCAGAAACACAAGTGGTAACTGATGGAGGAGGGCCCTGACCTGCAGGCTGGGGCAGGGGGTAGGGGTAGGAGGTGGGGACTCGGGCAGGGGAGGGGGCTACCACACACCTGAAAGCTGGCGGGTACATCCTCAGCGTCTCTGCAATCACCATGTCCAGATAGGGCAGGCCTTCCTCGAGGCTGCAGAACTCAGGGGCCATCTGATGGAGGGGTCGTGACAAAGGGAGAAGTTCGTGTTAGCCCAAATCTCACAGCATTTTGTCTTTTCCTTAAATTTCAATCTCGTTTCCAACTTTGGCAAACATTTAAACAGAAACCCCACAAAATGGAAAGTCGGTATGACCCAAATTGCATCTGATTGGCGCTCAGTGGTTCTATTGTGCTTATATTTCACGGTGCTAGCCTGGGGCTCAGGGGTCTTCGTAATACAGAGAAGTTTGGTTATAAAACTGCAGCGGCAACCACAGCCGCCAGCATTTATTGGGAGCTGACGATGTGGCCGACCAAGTGC